>NC_000011.10:16935000-17560000 GCF_000001405.40 Homo sapiens
ATGGGCGATTTTCTGGCTCTTACCATTCAAACTAGGAACAAGACGCCAGTTCAGTAACTGTGTTACTTCTTCCAAATAAGACTTGTCAAAGCTACTGTGGGGAAATTGGGAAAAAGAACCTAAATCTATCCACAAATAAATATCGAATGTGAGGCTGGGCATGGTGGCTCACGCCTGTAATCCCAGCACTTTGGGAGGACAAGGCAGGCAGATCAACTGAGGTCAGAAGTTCAAGCCCAGCCTAGCCAATATGGTGACACCCCGTCTCCACAAAAATACAACATTAGCTGGGCATGGTGGCATATGCCTGTAATCCCAGCTACTCGGGAGGTTGAGGCAGAAGAATCGCTTGAACCCGTTGCAGTGAGCCAAGATCGTGCCATTGCACTCCAGCCTGGGTGACAGAGTGAGACTCCGTCTCAAAAAAAAGATTAAATGTGTCGGTCCTTTTCTAGTGTGGGGAGGGGTAAAGGCATGTCAGTGCCCACTGCTATTCTCTGGTGTCCTTTTAAAGGTAGAAACATGCTTTAAAATATGAAATAGCCAGCAGTCTGGAAACACAACTTTGGAGACATAAAAGTTATTAGGTTTTCCAAATCACTGATATGAGCCAAAATCCTTACTGAGACTAGGGGGCCAAAGATAGAACTGAAAGCCTTGTGACATTTGCAAACACCACCCTAAGTGCCTTCTTCAGGGATACTCTCTCTACATAATCCTGAATGTTGCAATTATTCAGATCCCCATGTGCAAGCAGCACATGTTTTTGAGGCTCATTCTCAAGGGACCAAAGAAAAAGTGGTATTTTTGTCTAGCATTTTTTTTATCACCAGAATTCACTATAACCAGTATCTTGGCACTCCAAGAGCACACAGTGATGACAGATGCTTATAATGTTCACCCTGAAGACTTGCAACCTTGTGGAAGAACAGACGGATCAAATTATGCCTTGTTGCAGTTTGAAATGTGTTTTACTGCCTTCTAATATTTTGAAGACTGACAATCTATGCAGCACACGGTAGGTGGCAACACTGAGCCAGGAGAACATCCCATTTGCCAACCTTGCTGAATAGAGAAAGTTTAATATGATAATGAACCCCTTTTGAAAAATCAGGTCTCTGCAGGGCACAGTGGCTCATGCCTGTAATCCCAGCACCTTGGGAGGCCGAGGTGGGCGGATCACAGGGTCAGGAGTTCAAGACCAGCCTGGCCAACATAGTGAAACCCTGTCTCTACTAAAAAATACAAAAAATGAGCCAGGCGTGGTGGCAGGTGCCTGTAATCCCAGCTACTCGGGAGGCTGAGGCAGGAGAATTGCTTGAACCCGGGAGGCGGAGGTTGCAGGGAGCCGAGCTTATGCTATTGTACTCCAGCCTGGGAAATAGCGTGAGACTCTGTCTCAAAAAAAAAAAAAAAAAAAAAAAAATCAGGTCTCTATTAGAATAATGACAACAGGGACAAAGCAATTAAAAACACATGCCTAACAAATTTGGAATCAAAAGCACCATCAAATGTACTTCCTGGCATGTTGTCATTTCCCACCTCCACTCTCCCAATCATTGGGCAAATCCAATTATATTCCTGGAGACACCCGAATCATGCCTCTTCTCTCCCTTTCTCTCCAGTGGCTTTTATGAAAATAATATTCAACTTTAATGCATCTGCACTTCAGGAGACAGTGTGACAAGAACAATAAACACATTCACCATGTGCAGAAACCAGGGAAAATGAGTTCTGAGACTATCTTTGCCAACCCCAGGTGTGGGCTTTCTTTTCCCTAAACTCAGGCGATATTGGAATGTAGCAGCTGTCAGAAAGCAGCAATGGCCTGTGCCAGAAATACCTTTGCTGAGCTGCTCTAATTGCCAAGAGATAAGAACCCATAACTCACACAGACACTTGTAGCTCTGGCTCAGAAACAGCAGGCAGAAAGGAAAGAGCATGCCTTCCAGCAATGTGACCTTGGGCAAGCTGTTTCCCTCCCCCTGAGCCTCAGTCTCCCTCATCTTTGAGGACTACCAGCAACATGTATCAAGTACCAATTACAGGATTGGATTTATAGCAGGTTAATAACCTGGAGTCGTTGTTATTAACAATCTCCAAATTGTTAATAACCGTGGAGTAAAATGAGCTTGGAGATGGCCACCAAGCTCTCTGGACAAGAGACAGTTTGCACGCTTGAAAGGGCCTTGATTTCCTGGGAAGACACTACAAGAATCAGTCACATAAAATCCCTGAATGCTTTGGCCTTATTCATTTGTTCTAACAAATATTTATTGAGGGTATACCATGTGCCAAGATTGTGCTGGGCACTGAGGACAATATGGCCCAAGTCTCATGAGGTATATAGTCTAGTAGAGAACACAAGCTTTCAAAATAATCATCTAAGCACATGAGAATGTACATCTATGATAAACACTACAGAAGAGAGGTATACGACCATCTGTATCATAGCCACCTAAATTGAGAAATTGGCCCAGTCTGAGGAGCCATATAATGAGGAGTGAATAAGACAAAGAAGAAAGTTGAAGAGGACCTTGTTTATAAGAAATTTAACTTAAAGAAACAAACTAGGAAGCACTTAGCTATCCCTTAACTAGGATGTTTTTCTTTTCTTTTTTTTTTTAGATGGAGTTTCACTTTTGTTGCCCAAGCTGGGGTGCAATGGCGCCATCTCAGCTCACTGCAGCCTCCACCTCCCAGGTTCAAGCGAGTCTCCTGCCTCAGCCTCCTGAGTAGCTGGGATTACAGGCATGCACCACCATGCCTGGCTAATTTTGTATTTTTAGTAGAGATGGTGTTTCTCCATGTTGGTCAGGCTGGTCTTGAACTCCCGACCTCAGGTGATCCACCCGCCTCGGCCTCCCAAAGTGTTGGGATTACAGGTGTGAGCCACAGCACTCAGACGATGTTTTTCTTTTCTAACAGTAAAATCCAGAAAGCTTACCCTGTTTCCTTCTTGTTTTGGCTGCCAGGAAGCTCCAAGTCAAATGTGCAGCTCAGCAGAAACACAGACCCTTAATGTGAGTGCCTTCGTATTCTTCCCAACCTCCTGGGTTTGTCCTTTTCCTCTTACTTATATTTTCCCTAGTCCTGATTTCAAATTCCTATTTCTATTTTATCATTGTATCTAGTGTTCATGGACCTTCAGAGGAAGGAGGCAGGATGCAAACACAAATGTTCTAATATTCTTCCTAAGGTTAAGGGGTTGAGATGGAAAGAATGAACAGGGTGCCCTTTGTGTCCCCTTGCTGGTGTGTTACCCTAGAAGCAGGGAAAGACACGTGGCTTCGTCTGCATTTATACAAATGGTGCATTCTGTTTGATTTGTGTGATCTAGAATGATGGTGCTTTTTCCCATAGCCCCTTTATCATGTATTTATGCCCCAACGAGTAGCTTTCCTTGTGCTCATTTTTTTCTCTGAAACATTTACTGGTCTATTAATACATTTAGTGAACTTACATTCTCAATATTCTAAGATAGGTGCCCCCCTCACTTTTTTTTTCAATTTTTCTCTTTTAATAAAGAAAATTCATTAAATGTGTAACTGAAGTTCTCCCTTTATACCTTTGAAAGGCATGATATATACATAAAAATCCTTAATCAGACCATACATCATGATTTTTGGATCAGAAAATAGTCACCTTCCTCCTATAGTGATTAACATTCACATGTTGGAAGGCCGAAAACAGAATAGAGATGAGAAAGAGATGTGGGAGAGACCATTTTTCAATGTGCAGTTTATCTGCACCTCATTAAAAAATAGAATGCTTTAGGAATAAAACATCCATTTCTTGTAAAAAACAACAACAACAATGTTCCTCTTCCTGGGAAAATGAAATTTTTGTAAATAATAATCAGACACAATTCAAGAAACCACAAACTGTGGCTCTTACCCTTCTCTGGTCCTTGCTTGAATAAAGCTTTGGACTGTCTTTCCCAGGAAAGAAATACACAAACACAATTTTTTACAATAATAAACACAATTTTGAATTTTAGAAGATTCAAAGATCTCCTAGAGGAATATTCATGAATTTCTTAGGCAGAATCTTCCTAAATGGAGCAAATACCTAAGGATGCCCAAGATCTTTGACAATGTGGCAAGAACATTTGAAAAAATATACTATAAGCTGGACACAGTGACTCCCTCCTATAGTCCCAGCGCTTTGGGAGGCTGAAGCAGGTAGATCATCTTGATGCCAAGAGTTCAGGACTAGGCTGGCCGACATGGTGAAACCCTGTCTCCACTAAAAATACAAAAAATTAGCCAGGTGTGGTGGTGCACGCCTATAACCCCAGCTACTTGGGAGGCTGAGGCAGGAGAATTGCTTGAGTCTGGCAGGCAGAGGTTGCAATGACCCGAGATCGTGCCACTGCACTCCAGCCTGGGTGACACAGCAAGGCTCTGTTATCTAAAGAAAAAAAATAAAAAGAAAAAATATACTATGAATATTAGCTATACAACATAGATAAAAGCTATGAAGATTAATTAAAATAATAGGAAATTTTAAAAATTTACGTATTTAGTTTTTATTGAGTCAATTTAAAGAAAAATACTACACGGGTATTGCAAAAATGCAGAGGTGAGACAGGAATGCTTAAAGTTAAAGAAATACTGCACAGGCAATGCACAGATTCTAGTTTTAAAACTATGCAGATGCTGTCACTCACAAAGTAAATCATTCAGGGCCACTGATTTTTTTCGTGTTTTCTCTCCTCATGTTCCCCAAACCAATTAGCTTGGCAACATACCCTACTCCACCCCAACAAGGCCTTCCTTCTATTAATGAGCCAGAGAATTTCTGGTTTGCTGCAAAGTTTATGAAGAGTGAAAGGGTGCCTTGGGATAGAAAATGTGTGTGGGGTGAAGGGACTGGGGACTCACCCTGAGCTCTCTGGGCAGAGGTAACAGACCAGCTGCATTTCACTGACCCCTAGATCTGATGAGACCCAGACATCACCATAGGAAGTGAGTAAGAAACCCAATGGTTCAGAGAATGGTACCACATTTGCCAAGCCAAAGCCAGGGCCACTGGTGCTGGGGGCAAGAAGGGTTAGCTGTGTGGATCTGTCTCCCTCTTCATAAACAATCAAAACTTTAACATTCCTATCTCCCCTACTGGGCTGTAACTTCCAGGGGAAGAAGTACCACTTGTGTCTTCTCAGCCCTGTGTCTCTGGCCCCTAGCACAGTGGCTGGCACATAGTAGGTACTCTGAAAAAATGGAAGAACTATTTTGGGGTAAGGGAAGAGAAGTATCTCAGATCTTTTCTTCTGCTGTTTTTTTTTTTTTTTTTTTTTTTGAGACAGAGTCTTGCTCTGTCACCCAAGGCTAGAGTGCAATGGCGTGATCTGGGCTCACTGAAACCTCTGCCTCCCAGGTTCAAGCAATTCTCCTGCCTCAGCCTCCTGAGTAGCAGGGACTACAGGCAGGTGCCACCATGCCTGGCTAATTTTTTTGTATTTTTAGTACAGACGGGGTTCCACCAGATTGGCTGCTGGTCTTGAACTCCTGACCTCAGGTGATCCGCCCGCCTCAGCCTCCTAAAGTGCTGGGATTACAGGCGTGAGCCACTGCACCTGGCCTCTTTTGTTTTTCTCTCTGGTGGCTAACAGATGCTTTGTACTAGTAGATGCTCAAGAAATGGTTCCTTTAAAAGTGAATAAACTGCCTGACATAACCAGTAAGTGTTCAAAAATGAAGATAATTACCTTTTTTTGTTTGTTTTTTTAAAGGACAAATGAATCCAACATAGTGCCTTTGTTTTTTCACTTTCCATAGGCAAGTACAGAGTGGCAAACAAAAGGGGAGGAGTGATGGAGCCCTGAATTAAAGCTGCCTGTGGCTTCCCCAGGGCTGTAGACAACAGGCCCAGTCCTCCCTAGCCAGGTGGCTCTGAAGTCATTTCTATCTATTCCATCCCCTAGGGAAGGAATTTTAGGGCTGAGTGTGACACCAAGAACCAGGTGCCCTCCACTCTCTGGATAAACGATTCAGTGAAGATGTGGCATGTCTTTCTCCAACTCAACCCTAGCACTTACCTCCAAGAAATAACTACACTCAGGAGAAGAAAAGTAGTAGAAGCGATGTCCAAGTGAGCTTCCCTTACTGGCTGGGTGAAGGAGGTGGCAAATCCCTGAGGTCACTCTTTGCTCTTCAAAAATGGGTACCCCTCCCTAGGGTGTCCTTACCCAGATGGGTCAAATGTTAATGAACAAAGGCTCCATAATCTCAGAGCTGGAAGCAATCCACAAGCTCAGGGCCCATCCCTTTATAATATCCCTGCTGACTGGTCGTCCAGCTTGGATGCCCCTAATGATGAGAGACTCATTATCTATCTTTGGGCTGCTCTATTGAACACCTGGATCTCTATTGTTTTTCTCTGAAAAGGAAGATGGTTTCCAAGGCACTCATGAACAACTTAGCTCATAGAAAGGGGCACCACAGGAGAATCTGGTTCAATTTCCCCTTCTGCCAGCCTAGTGACCTCTTAATTTAGAATCACTGACTCATAGAATTTCTAGAACTAGAAGCAATGGCAATAATAGCTAACATTTACAGAACACTTACTATGAGCCAAGTATATGCTAAGAGCTTTATAGGCATTATCCTATTTAATACAACATTTAATTCTCACACTCTCCTTTGAGCAAGGTATTATTTATTAGCTTTTTTATACATGAGGAAATGAAGCCTCAGTGAGTTTATGTAGCTTGCCCAAGATTATACCATGAAGAAGTGGGTGAGCTAGGAATAAAATCCAAAGTTTTGTACTTAAAACCTTAAAAAAACAGACTACTATGTCAAAACCTAATACATAAAGTAAAGCAGCATTATGTGTGAAGGCCCCTCAGCCAGTGCACAAGCATGGGTAATTATAAGCAACAAACACATCTTGAACTCCTCTGCTGAAAGCACCTCTCTCGAAGGGATTTCCACTGCCTTGTTCACTGCTGTACCCCAGTGTTGCTCCTGGTACATGGAAGCATAAATATTGCTAACTGAATGAATCCAGTGTTTACAGAGTGTTTACTCACGCGTAAGTTCTAAGGATCTTACATGTATTTGCTCAATTAACCCTCACCACAGGTTCTATGAAGCCCATTTTACAGACGAGAAAACTGAGGCACAGAGCACTCAAGTGGTGTTCCCAAGGTCACACAGCTAGTGATAGCGGAATTCAAATTCAAACTTGGGGGGTCAGATTTTGTGCCTCATTGACTATACAGAACCAATCCATTCCCTTAGAACAGGTCTAAGGAGAAAGACTTGAGGCCTGCAGGAGACGCCCTGAAGGCCATGTCAACAGCTAATGGCTGGGCTTCTACTATCAACCACTTCTGCATCCCTGACATCCTGCCTCTGGTTTTTCCTATTCTCCTCATAATCCTACTGTGAAGTAGACATTGGGGCCTTTAGCATCACCATTTTCAAGTTCACTGCTCTGAACTCCCAGGAATGCCACCATTTATAGAGAAACTCAATGACTAGCACCTACTTCAACTCAGCTGTTGCTGACGAGCTGACTCTGCTCTTCTCAGCCCTGCTGTGTGAGTTCCCAGCTGTGTCTCACACACTAGTATCCCAAACACCATCGGGGAAGAGAGTGAAGAAGCAGAGTGGCAGAGAGAAGGCCAAAGATGATAAGGAAGATTGTGAATGGTGCTTTCATCAGTATTTCATAGCAGTTTGATTCCAAGCCCACAGTTTAAAAATGAATTGCTGCGGCCGCTGTAAACTGCTGTCTTCTGGGCTTTGCAGCTCTGCAATAAAAATTCAATCTAAGCAAAGCAATTTCTCCACTTAGGCAACTTTCTTCTTGCCCCTCCCAGAGAGGTTAGGAGACTGTCTTTTAAAATAGTAGATAAACTGCTGAATGCCCTTTAGATTCTATTTCATAAATTTCTACTTCAATAAAACCACCAGTGACAATAAACAACAATGCTAACGCTCAAAGTTGAGTTAAATGATTCAGAATAACTGTTCTAGATGTCCACTTCAAATGTAAAATTTACCTTTTGAATTTGAAAACAGAGCAAACCCTGTAAACTTTTTAAGCTGACTCCCAAAGCTAACCTAACACTTAAAGCACCAGTATCTGATGAAATATAATGCAAGCCACATACGCAATTTCGAAACTTCTAGGTTTTTAAAAAGAGAAAATCAGTGAAATCAATTTTCATAATATATTTTACTTAACCCAAAATATTATTTCAATATGTAATCAGTATAAAAGTTATTATTGCAATACTTTACTTTTTTTTTTTCTAGTATTAAATCTCTGAACTCTGGGTGTATTTCACATTGACAGCACATCTTAACCCAGACTAGCTGAATTTCAAGTGCTCCATAGCCACATGTGGTCAGTGGCTACCTTTCTGGACAACACAAATCTAAAGCTTTCAAGTCCCAATTTAAACACCTGCACAGTCTCTCCCTCCCCCGATACAGGAAAGTACACAGACAGGGCAGAATCAGAGGCTTTTTAGCAGTGAGAACTTGCTGTTGAGCCAAAGCACAGCCTCTTACTCCTTATTTTATATCAAATCCTGTCAAATCAACCACAGGCTTCAAAGATAAATGCTATACTGGAGTGACTCTGATTAAGTCATTGGGCAAGAAAATGGGAATGGGAAGGAGGGATTATTACAATAAATAAGAGTATTGATAATCCCTTACATTTACAGAGTCCACACAGAGATGGGTACTCGCATTCATCATTTCATCAGACACTCACACCTGATAACCCTGAGACACGAAGAACCTTCGTGACCAGGAGATCATCCAGGCAGACAGAGACAGTGCCAGGAGAAACTAAGCCCAGGGCTTGGCCTCAGAGTCCCAGGATCTGTCCTTGGGTTCCCAAAGTGCATAAAAGCAAAACTCACTGGAGGCACTTATTTAAAATACAGATTTCCAGGCCCTGCCCAGATATAATAATGAAGAAGTTTAGGGGATGGGAAGAAAGGTAGAACCTCAGGGTCTGCATGTTTAAGACATTTCCCAGGTGTTTTTGATGTTGTCTCTTTGGGAATGACTGTACCAAACCACCTTGAAAGAATTAAAGTGGGCCGGGTGCGGTGGCTCACACCTGAAATCCCAGCACTTTCGGAGGCCAAGGTGGGTGGATCACCTGAGGTCAGGAGTTCGAGACTAGCCTGGCCAACATGGTGATACCCTGTCTCTACTAAAAATACAAAAGTTAGCCAGGTGTGGTGGCGGGCGCCTGTAATCCCAGCTACTTAGTAGGCTGAGGCAGGAGAATTGCTTGAACCCAGGAGGCGGAGGTTGCAGTGAGCTGAAACCATGCCATTGCACTCCAACCTAGGCAACAAGAGCAAAACTCCGTCTCCCAAAAAATAAGCCGGGCGCGGTGGCACAGACCTGTAATCCCAGCTACTCAGGAGGCTGAGACAGGAGAATCACTTGAACCCAGGAGGCGGAGGTTGCAGTGAGCTGAGATTGCACCACTGCACTCCAGCCTGGGTAACAGTGTGAAACCCTGTCTCAAAAAAAAAAAAAAATTAAAGTTCTTCTCCTTAAAAAAAAAAAAAAAAATTCAATGTGCAAAAACCCATATTTGACAAAACAGGGCACTATTCTCACCCAGGAGACCTCATTCACTGAATTGGACTGCTGGTATCATTCTTTCTATGTATGTGAGGTACATCATAACAGACAGGTTAGTAAGACTTGTTGAATTCATGCTGAGCAAATTGTTGGAGATGTTTTTCTCTGTAATTTCAGTGACTTTGCTCCAAGAATCCTGGAGAAAATTTCTTCTCTGTCTGATAATAACGTTAATAACCAATATTTATTAAGCATTTACTATGTTTCACAAATATACATTATCTCATTAATGATTGTTAATCCTTAACAACAATCTTATGAAGTTCATGTTATTGTTAAGCCTTAACCAACTCACAGATAAGAACTTTAAGGATCAGAGGAGTTCACTTTTTTTTCCCCCTTCACCCAGGCTCAAGTGCAGTGGCACCATCTCTACTCACTGCAACTTCTGCCTCCCGGGTTCAAGCAATTCTCCTGCCTCAGCCTCCCGAGTAGCTGCGTTACAAGCATGTGCCACCATGCCCAGCTAATTTTTGTATTTTTAGTAGAGTTGGGGTTTCACCATGTTGGCCAGGCTGGCCTCAAACTCCTGACCTTAAGTGATTCACCAACCTCAGCTTCCCAAAGTGCTGGAATAACAAGTGTGAGCCACCATGCCCGGCCCCAAAAGAGTTAATATTTTAATCAAGGTTAATTTGAAGTAGGTCTATATAATGCAAAAGCTTCATTATCATTATTCCTCCTAATACTAATACTGGTTTCTTTCTGGCATCTAGTGTATTCTACTAGCCAGTAATAGTGTGTTTACTGTGTTGGCCTACCCTTCACACAGGTGTCTCTCCTCTGTGATTTCACAACCCCTGTAATTGACTGTTGTCTGCCTTCCCCAAAAGACTGAGAGTTCCTTAAGGACAATACCTCTTCACAAAGTCCTGTAGTGCTTGGTAAGGGATGATGGATAGATGGACAGATGGACAGATGGATGAAAGCCTGAAGGGCAGAGAAGGAGGGCTAGATCACTGGATTTTATCAGCCAGGCAAATAGAAGCTCCATAAAGTTTCTAAGCAGGGGCAGGATAAAAACTTTGATCCAGGAATATCTGGCACTCTGTGGAGGTGAGGGGTGGTGAGGGGACATGAGGGGAAGGGAGTAGTTAGGAGGTCCTTAGCAGATCTGAAGGGAAGGAGTCCCAATGCTGGGAGGCAGTAATGCCATATTAAATGGCAGTTTCAAAGGCATCAGGGATCTGGGCCCAAGAAGTGGGCCCGCTAGGGACCTGATTAAGAACAAAAGTCCTACAAAGTCTCATACTTTCACTCTCTGGCCTCAAAGGACACTGCTGCTCTGCCTTCCCATCTAGGTAACCGGTGCTCTTTGCTTTGCTTTTAAGGTATAACACATTCCCAGCCTCAAAATCCCAGCCTGCTCATGAGGGAGCCACAGACACAAACAGGCAAGATGCCCTCCACTGTCGTTTCCTCCTCACTTAGTGGGAAGCCACTCACTTTCCCAACCTCTCCTCATGGGGGCAGCAGGAGCCTGCTGTGGCGCCACCCATGATCTTTCCCCGTCTGGGTGCTTCTGCTTCTAGCTCCTGGGCTCTTCCTGCTAGAGACCTAAAGGTGGGCAATGCTGGCCAGGAGAGATGGCGTCCATGCCAGCCCATGTCCAGCCAGGCTGAGGCTTCTGGCCTTTCTCCCAGCACCTTCTCCCAAACAATCTAGACACTGGATAACCTGCCCTAAAGAGGACTGGACACCCCACCCACCAGAACCCTCAACCCTGGGACCTCTCCCCGAACGAACGTGTGAAACCCTCCTTTCTCACTCCCTATGACCAGGCAGGATTATACCAACCTTAAAGTGGAGGGGAGGGGGGGACTTTGAAATTGGTCACAGAATATTTTTAGGGTTTGGGAATCACAGGGATTTTAGTTTGTTTATGCTGACTTTTTTGATGTGTTCAAAGAATTTCACTTTAAGTGTTTCCCAAGAGGTTTGCAAAATCAGTATGCACAGAGGATGCCACAAACCTGCCCACAAAGCCCTCCTTCAGTACCTAATTAGAATGGCAAATCAGGATATCTGAAGGCTCTAGGTTTTGAAGTGAAATTTCTGTAGAAAACAGCATAAAAGTACTCATTACTGACAGGCCTCAACTTGCTGTGGGTCTTAATGAGCTTTCTGTTAGACTCTGTTAGACTCGGGCTCCAGCAACACCCCCTCCCCCACAGAGACAACCTAGGGGAAACACTCCCTCGGCCACCATTCTGCTCGGTAAGGTATTTTCCTCTCCACTGATCAAAGTGGAAGAAGAAGGAGAAATTTTCAAGTTTAAAAACTCTCATTCCAACTTTGGAGTTTGCAGGCCCCTAATCCCCAGGTGAAAGGGTAAAGTGATTGGGTCATCTGGGCTGCTGGTTCCAAAACGCAGCTGCGCCAGCACCCCCTGGGAACCTATAAAGAATACAGAGGCCTGGGCCCCACAGGACCTGGCATTTTTAAACACCTTTCATGACCACTGACTAGGCTACTGTTTTCTCAGCTACTGGGTTGTACAATCACACCTGAAAGTATCACCTCACACATGTTAGGAGGCCATTATCAAAAAGATGAAAGATAAGTATTGGTGAGGATGTGGAGAAAAGGGAACCTTGTACACTGTTGGTGGGAATGTAAATTCGTACAGCCATTATTGAAAATGGTATAGAGGCTCCTCAAAAAATTAAAAATAGAGGCTGGGTGTGGTGGCTCACACCTGCAATCCTCATACTTTGGGAGGGCAAGGCGGGCAGATCACCTGAGGTCAGGAGTTCGAGACCAGCCTGGCCAACATGACAAAACTCCGTCTCTACTAAAAATACGAAAATTAGCCAGGCATGGTGAGAGGCACCTGTAATCCCAGCTACTCAGGAGGCTGAGGCAGGAGAATCACTTGAACCAGGGAGGTGGAGGTTGCAGTGAGCTGAGATCGCACCACTGCACTCCAGCCTGAGCGAGAGAGCGAGACTCCACCTAAAAAAAAAAAAAAGAAAGAAAGAAAGAAAGGAAAAGCAAATATGGCTGGGCGCGGTGGCTCACACTTGTAATCCCAGCACTTTGGGAGGCTGAGGCGGGTGGATTGCCTGAGCTCAGGAGTTCAAGACCACCCTGGGCAACATGGTGAAACCCCGTCTCTACTAATACACAAAAAATTAGCCGGGCTTGGTGGCGCATGCCTGTATTCCCAGCTACTTGGGAGGCTGAGGCACGAGAATTACTTGAGCCTTGGAGGCAGAGGCTGCAGTGAGCCGAGATCATGCCACTACACTCCAGCTTGGGCTATAGAGTAAGACTCCGTCTCAAAAAAAAAAAAAAAAAGAAAAAAAAGAAAAAAAGAAAAGAAAACATGCATATATATACATAATGGAACACTAGTCTGCCTTTAAAAAGAAGAAAGTCCTATCATTTGAAACAACATGGTTAAACCTGGAGGAATTTATGTTGTAAAGCAAGCAAAGCACAAAAAGACAAATACTGCATGATCTCAATTACATGTAGAGTGTAAAAAAGGTGAGCTCATAGAATCAAAGAGTAAAACGGTGGTTACCAGAGGCTGGGGTGGGTGGAGGGGTTGGGAGATGTTGCTTGAAGGTTACATAATTTTAGTTAGGCAGAAGAAATAAGTTCAAGAGATCTATTGTACCTCATGGTGAGTACAGTAAATAACAATATATCGTATACTCAAAAATTGCTGATAGATTTTAAGTGTTTGTACCACAGAATAAGTATGCGAGATATTATATACATTAAATAATATAGCCATTCCACAGCTATCAAAACATCATGCTATACACAATAAATACAATTTTTGTCAGTGAAGCACACACACACCCCTGACTGTATCAGAATGTCCTCCATTGCCTCACCCTCCATTTCCCTCACATCAGGAAGGTAAGGCCATAGTAATGATGAGGAAGAAAGAATAGATAGGTAAGATGGTATCTGCACAAATACATGTGTTCACACATACATGCACACATATATACTCGCACCCCACATGCACACACATGTGCACACACACAGAGTGAAGGAGGAACACACACACACACACACACACACAGACACCCCTCAGCTTCTCTTGCAAGTTCACAGGAGCTGGAGAAGATGAAAAGCACAGAAGCTTGAAGCAAGAAGCTCTTTTCTCACATCCCACATGGATGGAAGTACTTTAGCAGAACTTGATCATGAGCTCCAGGATTCCCACAGCCACCTCCGTGAAGCCCTTGCCCACTTTCCCGCTTCCAGGGCATCCTCAACACAGGTCCTGTGGGTTTCAGGTCTATAGAGACACCTCTCTGGCCTCCTCAGCATCATCCCTGGAGCAGGACGTCATTGCTTCTCAGCATGGCATTCAAGCCATTTAAGATGTGAATCTTTCTTCTGCTTCCCCTTGTGCCTGTCCACTCAGACAACCCAGACCCCTTGTCACTCCATACACTGGATTTCTTACCTCTAAGCCTTGCTCATGTTGACTCCATCCCCCAGAAAGCTGCCCAACTCCCACTCTCTTTACCCCCTCCCCATCTCTATTTAGCAAGCTTTATCTGTCTATCTGTTTCAGTGTAACCCCCCCATCTGCCTCCTTTGTGCTCCTCCCCACCATTCACCACTACACAGAAGCCATGCCTTCCACCTAAGCCCCATCTCCCCTGCAGGTGGGAAGGGGTGGCACAGGGTCCTGCTCACCTTCTAGGCCTCATTTAGAAGACTCTAGATGCTCAGCAGTTGAAATGCATTTATAATGTTGGTTTATTGTCCATGAAACCAGGAGTTCTCAGATTTTAAAGTGAACAACATGGGGAGGGAGCGGTGTGACTGAAAATTGTAAACTCTCAGAGATTCTGGTTCAATAAATCTGGGTATGGCCCTGAAATCTGCATTTGTAACAAAACACTCTATTATACACACATGAATCTGATGCAGATGGCCTGTGGATCACACTTAGAGAACACTGCTAAGCAATTAACTTATAACAAATGCCCCAAAATTGTTTGCTCATTCATTCATTCATTCCAATGTCTGTCTGCCCACTATATGCCTATCCTAGGTACTTGGAGGAATAAAGAAGAGAATCAAGAATTGGATCTTACCCTGAGAGTCTATCTAGCACAGGAGTTAAGACATGGATATAAATCACCAATGTAAACCAAGGCACGATACAGAAAGTAACAAATGCTGTCAGAGCATGGAGATCATGAGCTACAGAAATTCAGAGGAGGGAGAGAAACCAAACTGGAGACAAACAGATGGAGGGGAGGGGAGAGACCAGAACATCAAGCCAAGATGAGGTTCTGAGAATGGGAAACTGGTCAAGAAAGTCAAACTCTACAAGGGGCATGGGAATTAGGCCTGTCAACAACCTTTGGACTTGGTGAGTAGGAGGCCAAGCAGATCTCAGAGAGTGGAGGATGAAAACCAGACAGCAAATGGTTAAGGGGGGAGTGAAGGCAGAGTAAAGTGTGTGTGGGGCGGGGGGCGGGGGCGGAGCACAGAGAAGGGAGGGAGCAGGGAGAGGAGTCAGTGGGAGAACAGAGCGCTGAGAACCATTTTCCAAGAGCTGAGAAGGATTTTATCCTTTGCTATATACCACGCCCTAGAATCTGTGAGGCAAGAAAATAGAACCAATGGGCATGGACATGAATATCATTACGGGTGAAGTCTCAAATTAAGGCATACTAGCCTTCAAAGAAATGAAAGAAGAACACCCAGAGCAATGATGGAAAGAGATCCCAATCAGGAAGTTTCAGGGATCCCAGTTCTTCCTGGTGCAAAGCTGTCCCCTGATGTTCCAGGGAGCTGGAAACAAAGGGATAAGAAGGCTGTGCATACCCACAAAGAAGAGGGTATGTATGTCCCTACTTCCTCTCCTTTGGGAAGAGATAAGACTTTTTTTTTTTTTTTCATAAAAGGAAATCTCTGCTGGATACAGAATAGAGTCCTGACTCCTAAGCATGGTCCGCAGGCCTTCCACAATCTAATGCTCAAGTACTATCCAGCCTGATCTGCTCGCCATTGTGGCCCCACAGATATCTTAGCCTCACATGCCTACCCTTAGCCACATTCCCTCCACCTGCCCATTCCCTCAGCCTGAGCCATTCACATCTCCAAGCCAATGCACATAGGGCTGCCCTGCATGGAACAGCTTTTTCCAAACATTTTCCCAAACATTTTCCCCTCATTCAGATACCCTTGCCTAACTCCCAGGCCTTTATGCTATAGATAAAGTGTTTCCTCCCCACCTCACTTCCTCGTTCATGTTTCCCCAGCTACATCTTTCTCTGCACTGCATTTTCACGACACTCAGGAATCCTTCTACCTTGGCATTCATTGCACTGTGTAGAAAGCATCCATCGCAGGCCTGCCTCACCTTCAAAACTGTTAGCTCCCCAAGGGCCAGGAACCAGTCCCCAACATCCTTCTATTCTTTTAATCATAACATTTACTGAGTGCTTGCTACGTGTCAGACAGAATTTATCTGTATTATCTCATTTAATCCTTCATAATTTTATGAAGTTTATCATCCATATTGCAAAGACAAAAACAAAGCCTGGTAGCATTACGTATCTTACCCAGTGTTACACAGCTGGAAAGTGGAATACTGGTATAGGAACCCAGGCAGTTTCACCTTGCCCTTCAGCCTCCTCCATGCAGCATGGGGAAGGTGTTCAGTTGACATTAGTTGAGTGAATAGGGATGGCTGAGAATACTCTCCATCAGTCTAAGAGGGGAGACATCATGACGATGATGATGATGATGATGACGAAGAAGACAACAACAATAACGGTGCATTCTACCAAGCACTTACCACGAACTGGGCTCTAGGTTAAGTGATTTACCTGGATTGTCTCACTGAATCCTTATCTTATGAGATAGATATTTTTATTAGTTCCCATGTATAATGCAAATACGGAGGCCCAGAGATGATAAGTAAAAGAACTCAGATACAAACCCAGGCAATCTCACTCTGAGACCCAGACTCTTATCCACAGGGTCATGCCATCATCTAGGTAAGCTATGTAAATGAAAACGTAAAAGTTTAGAGGCAATGCAAAACCATATGGGAAAGGAGATGGTTAGAGACATTTCTGGGTTAGTAACTTGTCAGTTTTAATCAGGGAATGCCTCTTGGAAGAGCTGGTCCAGAGCTGCATATTTTAAAGAAAGGAAGAATAAATTAGGGAGCTCCAAAGGGATGAGACTGGATGATAAAGTGCTGGTGAAGGTTTATCCATAAATACTCAACCATATCTAATTACTAGCATCTCTGTGCTTCTGTTTATCTTTAGTTCCCATCCCTATGAGACAAAACAAGTATGATTTCAGAGGAAACTAAGGTCTAACTGAGGAATGGAACCTGTGAGGTATCACACAGCACCTGGACTGTGATCTGAAATAGCCTTCCACACTGCTGAGTGCTAATGCACTATATCTGTGGGGCCCAGCCTGACCCAAAATGGATACACACAGGTCCCCCAAGATCAGTTCCCCTCTTCCTCCTCAGCAAGGATTTTTAGTGAATTTTAGCTGGGCACCTTATAACCCAGAATAAAGACATTTCCATGCAACTCTGAGTAGCTGTGTGAATAAGTCCCGATGAATGGATGTAGGTAGAAGGACCATGCAGGACTTTGGGTATTCCTAAAGGGGTAACTGTGTGTGTTAAGGAAGTGAGAGGGGAAAGGGAGGTGATCCTATCCACTGTTGCCTGGAATAAAAATGACGGCAAAACTCAAGCAGCCATATTAAGCTCCTTTCTGCTAAGGAGGGCAGAAAAGCAAAACATAGAGTGCTTGGGGCCCAGAAGACTTTGTGAGACCAGCCCAGTAGTTCTGGGATGACAACCTCCAGACTTTCATGTGAAAGAGAAATCAATTTCAGTCACTGTTCTGTCAGAGTTTCTATCATTTGCAGCTAAACATAACCCCAACTAATACAAATAGGAATAGTTACTTTTAACTTAAAAAAAAAAAAATTCCCAGACTTTCGTCATAATACAGGTGGAGTGTCTTTTACCTGAAATGCTTGGAACCAGAAGTGTTTCAGATTTGGGGTTTTTGCATATTTTAGAATATCTGCAGAATACATATTGGTTAAGCATCCCTAACCCCAAAATCTGAAATCTAAAATGTTTCAATGGACATTTCCTTTGAGCACCATGTCAGTGTTCACAAAGTTCCAGGTTACAGATTTATCAACATTAGGAATGTTCAACCTGTAATTATACTTTGAGTATTTCTTGACTTTAAAAACACAAGAGAACAAAGCCTCTATGTATCCAACAAAGCTTTTTCATGAATTAACTAAATTTAAAAAATTTTTAATTTGCTTTTTCACAATGGCATCTACATATATTTGAAAATAGTATTTTTTTGACAACTGACACTACAATAATTCTGAGGTTCCCCACCAAGGGGTCAGCCCAAGATTTGGGGAACCCTTGCCCTAAATGACACAGGGAGGTCAAAGAAAAGTTTCATGGAGGCAGTGAAGTTTGAGCTATGCCTTAAAGGCTAAGGATTAAGTTGCCAGATGCACAGGAAGGGACAATGAAAGGACACTGTAGACACAGGAAACAGCAAAGGTAAAGGCATGGTGAGGATACTATTAGTTCCTATTGGATTACAATCTCAGAGACCAGTCTTAAACCTTGGTCTTTTTCACAGTAATCAGCAAAATGCCTTGTACTGATTAACCAAACGAACATAAGAAATTTTAAATGAGTATGAAGAATCCAAAGAAAGTTATAAGAAAGTTCTTTTGTGAATCCTACAGTGACTATAATCTGTAAGACTTAAAGTCCTAAGATCTTGTGCCAAAAGAAAATGAACACAATAAGAACAATTTTGTACACTATTTCCAATTTAAAAGATTAAATAAGCTAAACCAAATGATAAGGACCGGGGCTTTCCAGAATAGTAATAAAACCAAGATTCTGGATCACATGCTTGACAGGTAGATTTCATTTTATGCTCTACATATTTTTTTGCACTGAAATACACAGAAAAACTTACACAAAGTTTATATTAGAGCCCTTTATTTATTAATTCTTAATATTTGAATAAATAATTCTGTATTTAAGGGCACCACTTTCACTGCCTCCTAAAGGTAAGTATACTTGGTTGACTGGAAAGGGCAGTGTTTTTCTAGTTTGTGTTTATTTTTCTGTTCAAACATATGAAAAGTCTATTCTTCACTGTGCAGGAAAATGCAAAGCAGATTTAGAGGGTGCTTATGGGTTTCTTTCACCTCTCCCTTAAGAAACTGGTAAGACAGGAATGTGACAAATGGCACAAGGTTTATAAAACAATAATTTGCCCTTTATCATGATTAGAAAGTTGGCTGACTGAACAGAAACTTATATAAAGTTCAGAAACAGACCCCTCACACACACAGGAAGCTACAATTAGTTGGGGAGTCATATGGAAATTTCAGGGCTTCACTGGTTGAGAAGCAAACAATGCAAAGATAGAGGACACTCCACAAGGCAAGAGGGATTTGTAGGGTTTCTGGCCTTACATATTTTGTTAAACAATAGCCAAAAAATAAGATAAAATAAAAATATCACTATAAATGTTTTCTTATCCAGCACTATTGGAGCAAACAATAAAGAACCAATAATGGCCAGGCACAGTGGCTCACACCTGTAATCTCAGCACTTTGGGAGGCTGAGGCAGGAGGACTACTTGAGGCCAAGAGTTCAAGACCAGCCCTGGCAACACTGTGAGACTCCATCTCTACAAAAACAACAACAACAACAACAAAAATTTAAATTAGCCATGTGTGGTAGTGCACACCTATAGTCTCAGTTACTCAGGAGGTTGAGACAGGAGGACTGCTTGAGCCCAGGAGTTCAAGGTTATAGTGATCTATGATCACACCAACACACTCCAGCCCGGGCAACAGAGCAAGACTCTGTCTTTAAAAAAAAAAAAACAAAAACTAATAAGATAGGATGCTGGATGCTGTTAGTTATTTGAAAGGTCACAGAAATTATTCAAATAAATTTCTTTGGAAGATAGCAAAATAAAACAACAAGAAAGTTAAATATTAACGACATACTTTACAGTTGTCTCATGTTTTCTTTTTTTTTTTTTGAGACAGAGTCTCGCTCTGTCACCCAGGCTGGAGTGCAATGGCGCAATCTCGGCTCACTGCAACCTCCGCCTCCCAGGTTCAAGCAATTCTCCTGCTTCAGCCTCCGGAGTAGCTGGGATTGCAGGCACCCGCCACCACACCCGGCTAATTTTTTGTATTTTTATTAGAGACGGGGTTTCACTATGTTGGCCAGGCTGGTCTCAAACTCCTGACCTCGTGATCCGCCCGCCTCAGCCTCCCAAAGTGCTGGGATTACAGGCATGAGCCACCATGCCTGGCCTCATGCTTTATTTTCACATATACTGTTTCATTTGAAACAGTTTTTGCAAATGTCAGAGTAATTTTTAATTCCCTTATCAGATGGATTTTTTATTTACTCAAATAATTCCCAAACAACTGTTGAACGCAAAGCACTATGCTAGGCGCCCTAGAGAATACAAAGAAGAAAACTGAAACCCCCAATGAACCCTGATGCTTAGGCTGCAGCAGGCTAACAGGAGAGACTTGCTGAATGAATGAATGGTTTTTCCTGGAGTATTCCTCTGCTACCCATCAACATGGCAACTTCCTACTTATCCTTCAAGGCCCAGTTCAAATATTGCTTCCTATTGAGCATTCCCTTTTCTGTATCCCATGGAATAAACTGCCCCTGTGTCCCTAAAGTGTTCTATACAAATACTCATGAAGATACTTGTTGCCTTATGGTTGTTTACTTACCTGTTTGTCCCACTGAACTGGGCTTAAAGGACCATGACCTACTCATTTTTTATTCCCCAGCATTTAGTATAGTGCCTGGCACCCAGTAGAGGTTCAGTTAGGTGTTTGCGTTAATCAAATAAGTCCACTGCTTTCAGAATAATAGAGGAGATGATGTATATAGTTAAGCTCAGAATCGATGAAGCTTAAAGAAAATAACTGCTTAGATGGAGCTCTAAGTTTTTATTGTTTTTTCCCCTCCAGGCCATGCCAAACATGAGCCAGCAGTCCACAATGGAAGGACAGTGAAGACTACCTCCAGAAAGCTCTAGAATGGGGGCTTGGGGGAAAATGGGATTTTAAGTTCAGTTCTCAGTTATCTAAAATTAAGGCAGGCTTAGTAAAACCACCGAAGGGATCTAAAATGACTGGAGAATGGTTAGAGACCTGGTTATCTAGAAAGAGGGGGATTCTAGAGACCATACATAGTCACTTAAAAAGCAGGGGTGTGCCAGTAGTCCCAGCTACTCAGGAGAGGATCGCTTCAGCCCAGGAGTTTAAGGTAGGCCTGGGCAACACAGCAAGACCCAGTCACCAAAAACAAAAAAACAAAAAAGTTAGGGATGAGTATGGTAAGTGACCACACGCAGTAGCCTAGTTTGTGGAAATATGTTCTTTTTGTACTTTCCACAGGGACCAGGCAAAACAATCATATTCTCTTCTCATAACAGAGCAGCTCAGAGGAGTATGTACGTATGTGTGTGTACACATACGTACCTATTTTGTTTTATTTTTTAGAAACAGGGCTGTGCTATGTTGCCCAGGCTGGATTTGAACTCCTGGGCTCAAGTGATCCTTCCACCTTGGCCTCTGGATTAGCTGAGACTCTAGGCTTGTGCCACCATGCCCAGCCACATGCACGTGTTGAATACTCATTCTGTACCAGGCACTAGCAAGTGCAATTCTGAAGGGGGAAGTAATCCCCCAGGACAAGTTAACACCCACTTAGAGTATGAACCACTTGGTTCCCAGAGGGGAGAAGTACCTTTCCCAAAGTCACATAACACAGCAAAGATAGACTCTCAGTTTAGTGTTCCTCCCACCAGCTAGTTCCATGGCTCTCTCTACTGATTAACAGAACCAGCTAATGGTCCTTCAATAATCCCACGCTCACAATGCCACAGTAAGATTTAAAGATAGCTTGTATTTTAGTTATACCTAATCCAGGTCTGTGACAGGGATAAAGGGAAATCCTCATAGTCCTGGATTCCAAAGGAGGTATGAAGTCTACTCCCGCCTGGGCCCTAATCCACAATCTGTCTATAAAAGACATCTCAGCCAGCTTTATTCTGGTGCTTCCTGCACCTGGATGAGAGACAGGAAGCAGCATATCACACTTACCTGAGGTCTCTGGCGGTTATAATGTTCTGCAAGGACTGGCCAGCCCTGTCAACTCAATCTAAAGCAGTTTAACCAGTCAATGCAAAAGTTACACTGCCTTGAAGAACAGAAAGATAAAGACAGCCCAGATGATCCCAAGGAAAGTGGTAGGTTTAAGTTTTGTGTAATGTGAGGCATTATCACCTCCCCCCGTGGCTTTAGGCGCAGCATTAGTCACCTGCTAAGGAATTGTTCTGATGGATGAGATAAGACTCAGGTAAGCAACAGGGAGCCCAAAGGTTAGTGGCAAGAGCCTTTCATTCAAGGGAAGAAAAAACTAACAAAAAAGGGGTTTACTTCACAACCACTTTCAAACTAAATTCCATGGGGATATTCAAGAATACATGTTCTTGTTAATCTGAGATACAAAAAGAGGTCTAGGCATACAGATGTTCAACACATTATTACTTATGGCATTAAAAAACTGGAAACAATCTCAGTATCCAAAAACAAGGAATTGGTTAGAAAATTCTGGTATATCCATATGACAGAATCTAGCTTTATGATGAGAAGACCTCATGCTGAAGACCCGAGGCTTATTTAAATCGATCAATAAAAGCATATCCAGCAGCCATTAAAAATTATCTCATGTATGATTCCATTTATATGAAATATCCAGAGCAGATAAGTCTACAGAGACAGAAGGTAGATTGGTTGGTTTCCAGAAGCTGAGAGAAATGGGAAAAACTGGCTTAGCAGATAAGGGTTTTTACCTTGGAGTGATGGGACTATTCTGGAACTAGACAGAGATGATGGTTGTAAAACACCATGAATGTGGTGAACACCACTGATTTGTTGACTTTAAAATAGTTAATTTTATATTACATGAATTTTACCTCAATAATTTTTTTCTTTTTTTTTTTTTTTTTTTTTTTTGAGACAGAGTCTCGCCCTGTTGCCCAGGCTGGAGTGCAATGGCACAATCTCAGATCACTGTAACCTCCACCTCCTGGGTTCAAGCAATTCTCCTGCCTTGGCCTCCTGAGTAGCTGGGATTACAGGCATGCACCACCACGCCCGGCTAATTTTTTGTATCTTTAGTAGACACGGAGATTCACCATGCTGGCCAACTTGGTCTCAAACTCCTGACCTCGTGATCGGCCCACCTCGGCTTCCCAAAGTGCTGGGATTACAGGTGTGAGCCACTGTGCCTGGCCTTACCTCAATAATTTTTTAAGATCATATCTCAGCCAGGCATAGTGGCTCACGCCTGTAATCTCAGCACTTTCGGAGGCCAAGGTGGGAGGACTGCTTGAGCCCAGGAGTTCAAGACTAGCCTGGGCAACATGACAAAACCTCACCTCTACAAAAAATTTAAAAAATTAGCTGAGCATGGTGGCACACACCTGTAGTCCTACGTACTCAGGAGGCTAAGGTGGGAGGATCAATTGAGCCCGGAATGCTAAAGCTGCAGTGAGCCATAATCACACCACTGCATTCCAGCCTGGGCAACAGAGCAAGACTCTGTCTCAAAAAAATAAAAATTAAAATAAAAAAGGTCACGCTTCAGAGGAAAACTTTGTATCATAATGCAATATTTATGGGATTTTTTAAGTAAAAACAGAAAAAAGAATATCTGTGTATGCATGATTCCAAGTTGTGGTGAGGAATAATGTGCGTATATGCATGAGAAAGGAAAGACTGGCAGCGTAGACATGCAAACAGCCACAAAGAGTGATTAACTCTGGATGGAGGAATAATTAGTATAGTTTTTACTTTCCATCTCTGTGCTTTTCCTCTGTATTTCCCAAATTTTCTACGGTCTAATATGCATTATTTCTGCAATAAGAAAAAGAACTATTCTGCAAGTGCAAGATATACAGATGTATACATGGAGAATGTAAGACCTCAATAATATTTAAAATGTCCCCAAAATCTAGAAGGAAATATGCTAAAATCGTAGCTATCATAATCCTAGGATGGTAGGATTATAGGTGACTTATTTTCTACTTTGCTAATTGCTCAATTGCACAGCCGATGTAACCAGAGCAAAACATACTGAAAAGAAGAAGAAAGATGAACACTGTAACCCAGAAGCAGAATGGGCAGTACCCATTGGAAAAACAGAAGTGTCAATGCTGGGGTGGGTACAGGCGGGTGGGGGGAAAGAGGCCTAGAGCCCTACCTAAGCCAGGAAGCTCCTTTTGTTTACACTTGCTGGCTGGCCACCTGCCATTGCACCCTTTCAGACGTTAGCCCAGCTTCCCTGACACCACTGTTGTTTCGTTTTTTGTTTTTTGTTTTAACTTTTATTTTAGGTTTGTGGGTACATGTGAAGGTGTGTTACATACGTAAACACATGTCACATGGGTTTGTCGTACAGATTATTTCATCACCCAGGTATTAGGCCCAGGACCCAACAGTTATCTTTCTGCTCCCCTCTCTCCCCCTCAGGTAGACCCCAGTGTCTGTTGTTTCCTTCTTTGCTCTCATGAGTTCCCATCATTGAGCTCCCATGTCTATCCACTTTCAATCTCTCTCCATCCAGTCAGTGGGAATGGATGGAACTGTTAAAAAAACATGACAACTGGAAAGAAAATTCAAATCCTGTCTTGTGTGTGCCAGATTACCTCAGGAAACTGCAGAAAACATGTTTGTAAACGTTTAATAAAATTCACAGAGCCAAGAAATGTGCCTACATGCTTGGATTATCTTTTTTCAGGTTCAGCACCCAATGAGGGTGATGTGTGAGAGGCCAGGCCCATAGTGAATCAAGTTTGAAAAAGTGGACTAAGGAGAGCCATAAGAAGTAACATCAGGTCTGAACACCCAGGATAGTAACAGATGAGAATAATGAACCTGAATTGGCTCCGTGAAACCACAGTGGTATTGAAACCACCTTGATAGAAAGGCTGGAGCAACAAAAGGCCTACTCAGTTGAAATCTAATCTGTGTTAATTAACGCCCCTGAGAATGAAAACACTTCTTTATCAGTGTGTGGTTCCTGGCTAAAGCTCTCCCATAAAACCTGCTTCTGGAGGGGGTTGCGGGCTCCCCTCAGCAGCCCTGGAGGACTGTACCTACTTCCCCCCAGGTACCAGGAGGCAGGGCCTGCCTCCCCGGGCCAAGCCCAACTGAAGGAGCCCAGGTAAGGCTGCAGGATTGTCAGAGCTAAAACCTACTGCCCCCCAAGGGATCTACTGACAGACCAGAAGATGTGCAGTGGCAGGTCCTGCCCCCCAACCTCACTCCTGTGCCCTCCTTTCGCTGGCCCAGGCTGTGTGTGTGCACACACGCCTCCACATCCACACAGGTTCTCACGCCCTGCTCTGCTCCGGCTTCACTCTCCACTTTAGGCCACGTTCCTTTCAGGGGCCCCCTTCACTCCCGGACGCTGACCCTGTTCCCTTTTGTCCAGAATGCATAGCACCCCCACCAGCTCCCCTGCTTCCACAGCCAGGACCCAAGTCCAGGACTCAAGTCCCACCCGCCCTGGAGAAACATGCTACTGTTCCCAAGTGCCTGGCACCCAGAGCAGGAGGCATGGGCCCCAGAAGCCTGAGCTGGGCCAGGAAGTGGGAATGAGATAAGCCATCTAGATTCCAAATTCTCCCTGTATTTACTCAAACGTTGCCTGAGCTCTGAGTTGGGGGGCAGGGGAAGAAGGAGACATACACACCCCACCCACCTCCACCGCCATGGGCAGAAACAAGCACTGCAGAAGGTCACAGATGAGGCAAGCGTCGCCCTAGGGGTTCTAGGAAGGCCCTTCCCTCATCTGTGACCTTCCCATGTGAAGTATCCAGCACAGAGTCCCCTGCAACAGTAGGTGCTAACTATAAACAGGTGACTGCAGGGCAAAGAGGAGAAAGGGGAGCCACAGCCCAAGGTGATACTCAACCCCTGGGTCCCTGCTCAGCCACAGGAGAGGTGCTTAAATAATAAATAACAAACAACAACGACTGTGTAACAGCTACACCCCATGGCTGAGGCCTCCCAATGCCTTAGGGTGGGAACACTGCCATGAGGGACCCTACCTTCACCCCTAACAGACAGATGGGGACACCGAGGCACACAGGGGGCTGGCCTAGGCTGGGAAAGCAGCTCTCACTCCAGTTACCCACAACTCCTTGAACCCAAGCTCATCCTGAAACTTCCAGCTTCGTTTCACCACGTCAGCCCCTGCCTGTCTTTCCTCCACAACAAGAGACCCAGCCAGCAAGTCCCCCTCCACCCCACTCAAGGAAGGCCACTGCCCCGTGCCCAAGAGGGGGTCTCTGTCTAAAAAGCTTGATTCTCTGAAACATTCCTCCTCATTATCAGCTTTTTTCCAAATCCAAAACACAAAACCCTCAAGTTTTAGAAAAATCGGGTCATTCAGCGAAGTTTCCTCAGTGAGGTCCCCAAACCACCCTGTCCCCATCCCCAGTCCCAGCTGGTTTCTCTGCCACTCACTAGGATGACCAAGGCTCCAGAAGAAAGGACAGAATCTTGGCGACTCAGCCAGGCAGGGCTGTGGAAAGGCCGCCCAAGCGCCTTGAGGTGGTCCTAACGCCAGGCTATGCTCAGCTCATCGGAGAGTAAGACTCAAAGATGGGAAAAGTACCTGCTTCTCACACCAGCCCTGGCCTCTCAAAGGCTATGAGCCTTCCTCAGCTTCCAGCCAGGCAGCCAAGAGCTCCAGAGAGTTTACAATTACGGGCTACAGGCAACCGGAGAAGTGGCCCAGAAAAGAGGCCCTCCAACCCTGCACCCACCCCTGGCTGTGCCTGGAGGGTGACATCCTGAGCTGTTATTCTCCCCTGGGCAGCATCATCCCCAGAAGGGGACAGAGTTGTTTCAACCTTGGTCCTCAGACACACCCTGGCATCATCAAAGTGAGAGACAGGATTCTGGCAGGGCCCGGTGTGTGGAAGGTCACAGCAGACCCATGGCATCTTCCAGAGAGGGGGTGAGAAGGCCATGGACTTTTGAGTCAGATGGTCCTGAGATGAAATTCAGGTTATGCCATTAATTCGTGATTTAACTTAGGCAAGTCTTTCACTTCTCCGTGCTTCAGTTTTCTCACCTGTAAATTAGGATCAGTACCACCTGCCTCATTGGCTGCTGTGAGATAACATGAGTAAAACACCTATGGAAGGGTCTGGCACATAGTAAGTGCATGACGAATATGTCCTGTGGGGCCTGACCACAACACACCAGGTATAAAGCAGGAGCCTACGTTGCAAAATCAAGCTGATCCCACTCCCACTTCAGAAGGGAGGAAATGGGGGGAAGCAAGTCAACCTTTAATCGATTCTTTTTCCTAAAACAGTGCCCTGTGCTTCAGATGAGGAGGCAGCCCTGTGGCTTTGGCAGAAATGACTGATGTACATGGTGGCAAAGTGCTAGAGACAGACTGCCTGGATTCCAATCCCATCTTTGCCTCTCGCTGGCTGTGTGGCCATGAGGGGGCTAATTAGCCTATGTTTTCTCACTCTGAATGGGCATTATCACAGTGTCCACCTGATGGGGTGGTTGTGAGATCACTTGTGTAAAAAGACTCTTGGCGACCAGTCAATGAGCAGTAAGTGCCCAATATCTTTCCACCGTGGTTATTATCTCCACTGTGCAACACTCACGACCCAAAACCACCTTAAGTCTTCGCTCCCTGAGAACTCAAGTTCTGCCTGTAGCCACAAGCACCTTATTTTTGGATACAGTCTCATACCATTGCCCAGGCTGGAGTGTAGCAGTATGATCTCAGCTCACTGCAACCTGTATCTCCTGGGTTCAAGCGATTCTCCTGCCTCAGCCTCCTGAGTGGCTGGGACTACAGGTGCATACCACCATGCCCAGCTAATTTTTATATTTTTAGTAGAGATGTGGTTTCACCATGTTGGCCAGGCTGGTCTTGAACTCCTGACCTCAAGTGATCCACCCACCTCAGCCTCTGAAAGTGCTGGGATTACAGGCATGAGCCACTGCACCTGGCCCACAAGCACCTTGATGTGGTCCTTTGGCAGCCTCCCCTGAACTTGTGTTTCTAAGAATGTCTCATGTACCCACATCTCCCAGAAGCAACAACAACAACAACAAAAAGAAAATCACAGTGCTCAAGATATGGGGCCTGGCTACTGGTGCCTTGGGAACTAGATGGCACTGAGTGGAGCTCTGAGTTAAAGATACAAGAGAAGCAAATGCATACTTGTTCCTCCCACTGCAAGACAATCAGAGTGACGAGGAGCAAGGCAGCCACTGCAACCCTCTGGATTCAGCCTCCTTTTCTGTAGATGAGGTGGCCTTCCACTCCTTGACCCAGGATGTATCACGGAAAGACAAGGCCTTGTACACAGTGCAGTCCTCCTAGAGGAGGGCCATGCCACTTCTGTGCAGCTCCAGGACTGGGACAGGGATGGTGACATTAGAAAAGCAGAGAAGCAAGTGCCTGACCTATAACCATATTTGGTATTTTCTAGACTTCAGCATCTTTTATTTTTAGAGGTATGTGTTCCAATTTGGTTGAGGTAGCTGCAGGCTCCTTGTACCTTGCTTAATTTAGGACTTTTTTTTTTCTTTTTTGAGGGTGGAGTAGGAGTTAAATACAGCTTTACTCAGCCACCCCCTGGATTCTAAGCCCTAAATTTAACTCCAAAGAAACTTGTCTTGCCCTACTTCATGATTCCAAACCATAGACAGAAACTATTACCTGTTTCTGCAAATCAGAGAGCCCTGACAATGGAGCACCAGGGAGGTGTGTCATCCATCCTGGGGTGCTGGGCTGCAACACTGGAGCTGTCGTCAGCTGACTGGGGAGAGGGGCAAGAGGGGGAACAAACGGCCCTACTTTGTGGCCTAAATCTTGATGAACATGTCCCCTGGGGAGCCAGGAGAGCTATTTGTACAGCCAGTCAGAATGACCAGGGTGTGGCCACAAGTGTCCCATTCGAGTAGCCCTAATCTGGCAGCAGGTATCCAAAAGGACAGGGACACCCTGGCATCTGATCAGTAGGTGCACTGCATTTGGACAAAAGAATTAACTACCTGTTTCTCCAACCCTGCCCCCAGCCACCTCTCATTGCTTTTATGTTTAAGGTCTTATTCTTACTTTATTATATTCGCAATGTTGTGCAACCAACGCCACTATGTTCCTAAAACTTTGTTACTACCTCAAACAGAAGCACTCTTAGTTATCAACAACCCCCGATTTCTCCCTTCCCTCAGGCCCTAGAAACCTCTAATCTACTTTCTGTTTCTATGTATTTGGCTATTCTAGGTATCTCATAAAAGTGGAATCATAGAATTTGTCCTTTGGTAATTGGCTTATTTTACTCAGCATGATGTCTTTGAAGTTCCTCTGTGTTGTGGCATGTGTCAAAATTTCCTTCCTCTTCAGGGCTCAGTAATATTCAATTATATGTATATATCACATTTTGTTGATCCATTCATCTGTTGATGGAAACTTGAGTTCTTTTCACCTGTTGGCTACCATGAATAATGCTGCAATGCACCTAAGTGTACAAATATCTGTTTGAGCTCCTGCTTTCAATTCCTTTGGGTATATACCTAGACATGAAATGGCTGGATCACAGGGTAATGCTATTTAGATTTTTGAGGAACCACCAAAGCAGGGCAGCTGCACTATTTTACTTTCCCACCAGCAATGCACAACACACAAGAGTTCCAATTTCTCCACATCCTCACCAATCCTTGAGCTGTACCCAAGCCTAGGAAACAGCCTTTCCCTCATACCCCAGGATGTCTGCACACTCTTGGAACTTCCTGAGGGGCCTTGGGGTAACAGCAAAGGACTGCAACCAGAGAAGCAACTAGGAGTGTTTCACTCTGGGATTCCTTCAGTTTGGTAAAACTCCAGACAAAAAGCATGAGGGCTGGCTGGGCAGGGCCTTTCCTGCTTCTGAAAATCAGAGCACCTGAAATTGGAGGTCCAGCCAGCTGTGCGCTCTCTTACAGGGCACTGCGCTGCAGTAATAGAGCATTCCTTAGATACTGGGGGACACCAGGGGTCTCCAAAGTGCACAGCACTCAATCCTGAGGTGCTCAAGATGACCCACGGAGTTCTAGAAGAAAACAGTAGAACACCTATTCAGGTTTATTTTTATGCCATCCTTTTACAATTGTGTGTGTTTTCATTAGCACAGCAGGTATGTATATAATTTATAAATGAGCATACATGTGTTGGGGCAAATGCTCATTTATTAATGGGATATACATGATTTAAAAAAAAAAAAAAAAGGTTTGGGCCAGATACAGTGGCTCATGCCTGTAATCCCAGCACTTTGGGTGGCCGAGGCAGGCAAATCACTTGAGGTCAGGAGTTTGAGACCAGCCTGGCCAACATGGCGAAACCCCGTCTCTACAAAATATACAAAAAAAAACCCAAAAACATAAGTCAGGTGTGGTAGCGCGTGCCTATAGTCCCAGCTACTTGGGAAGCTGAGACACAAGAATCACTTGAACCTGGGAGGCAGAGGTTACAGTGAGCCAAGATCACACCACTGCGCTCTAGCCTGGATGACAGCACGAGACTGTCTCAAAAAGAAAAAAAAAGGTTTGAAGACCCCTATCTTAGACCAATTCTTCCTTTGTTGTAGTTTTTTCCTCTGAATTTTAATGTATTGTGTCAATGGCAATGAGAAAGATATCTGGGGGAAATAACTCACAAAACCCACCACCCTCATCCCCTTAGTGCCTGACACTTCTCTATTGCCAACTCACCTTTGGGTTCTCCTACTCCTGGGGGAAGTGAGAGACAGGCATCTGTAGACAGAGATGCAAGGGGAGGGGAGAATGGGCAGTGTATTTTCTTCTCCCTGAGACACATACCCTACTCCAGCTCAAAGCCCAGAAAAGGGAGGTCTGTATCCGAGAAGTGAAGAGCTCAGCTTTGGAATCAGAGATACCTGTGGGTGAGTAGTGGCAACCCCATTAACTTCTGAGGCAAATTAGGTCATTTCTTTTGGCCTCGATCTTCCCATCTATGAAATGGCAACAAAATACTAAGTATCTATGTCAGTGAGTGGCTGTAAGGAGTAAATGAGAGAGTCCAGATAAAAGCACTCAGTGCACTGCCTGCCCAGCACATTCCAGCTCTTTTAATAAAACAGGTAGAAAGGGCCAGGGGTGGTGGCTCACACCTGTAATCCCAGCACTTTGGGAGGCCAAGGCAGGTGGATCACCTGAGGTCAGGAGTTCGAGACCAGCCTGGCCAACATGGTAAAATCCCATCTCTACCAAAAATACAAAAATTACCCAGGAGTGGTGGCGCGTGCCTATAGTCCCAGTTACTCGGGAGGCTGAGGCAGGAGAATCACTTGAACTCAGGAGGTGGGGGTTGCAGTGAGCTGAGATCGCACCATTGCACTCCAGCCTGGGCGACAGAGCAAGACTCCATCTAAAACAAACAAACACATGCACAAGACACAGGAGAAGGAAAACTCTGGATAGAGGTGGAGAGAGTGAGGACAGATGCAGAAATGGGACTGGAGGCATGGTTGTGCATGTATGTGTGTGTGTGTGTGTGTGTGTGTGTGTGTGTGTGTCTAGGCTGCTCACAGTTATAAGAAACACCCCAGGTATCTCACAAACATCTACCAGGCAACCACTAGTGTGACACACCTTGAGGGATGAAGATATGAGTCAGGCAGAAAGTCCACCCTGTGGAGCCCATTTCCAAGGGCCACACTGTGAACCAGAAGCCCACTAGGGTACTGGGAAGAGCAAGCAAGGCTCAGGGGCATCTGGAGTCACTAGCCAGGGTGCACAAGTAAAACTGGGAGCTTAAGCAGAAGGGGCGTAACTGAGATCCAGGGCCTCTAACAAAAGGTACCAATCTGCAGTAACACACACCACTCAGAATCCAAGTGGAGCCTTGGGTTCCGTTTCCTTAAATTTTCCATTCGGATTTTTTTTTTTTTAACCTTTTCTCTTTTCCAGAGCAAACTCTGCAGGACTTTGTCATCTCAGATATCAGAGCAGAAACTCCACTCCCTGCTTTATTCCTTCAGTCAGCCCCACCCCTGCTCTGGCCATGAAGGTTTTATTGCTGTCGTCCACCTGGAGCCTGCCTGAATTCAGGCCACCGTTTCTACTGCCACCACCTTCACTGGGCTATCTCACAGCAAGAAGAGCTGCCCCAGCCTTGTGGCTTCATGAAGTGGCGAAATGGTTCATCTACAAATGGGCTACACATTAAATTACTTTTCAGGAACAAGGAGCCAAGCCTTAGGGCCTCCTGGAAAGGCCACCGAAGATACGGGGCCCTTGAAACTCTCCCAGTCAGCACAAAATCACTGATTCCAACAGAAATGCAGAAAGCATTCTAAGACACACATGCTCTCAATGTCCTTTGTTTTTAAATTCTCTACCTTATTTTTTAAACTGGCTGTTAAATTTCAGCTCAACAACTCATCAAGTACATTATTAACTGGCAAACGCTTCTGTGGCTTTGCTAGTTAAAGTTTAGAAAAGAACATTCCCATTAAAATATAATTTCTCCAGCAACCTCTAGGATAGCGCAGAAACCATTCCATTAGGGCAGACCCCAGCTAATCCACACTCCCTACCACTCAGTCAACACAGGATTTCCCCAAGTTGGCTTCTGTTCTCTTATAGCAAAATAAGCAAAAATCTAGGTGATTCAAATTGACCTTTGGCTGGGGAGCTCTAGGCGATGCTGGTCATGCTGTGTCTCTGCCACACAGGGGAAGGTGAGGGGAGGAAACAGCTCTGCTTAATGCCATGAGGCCCTCCATTCTTGGGGCCCACCCCTCACAAGGCACAGTGTAGGCACAAGTCACCTCCTGTCAGAGAGTCCTGGGCCTCACAGCACCCTAAGTCCAGGAGAGAACAGCCCCTACTCCATCACCCCTGCTTTGCCTCCCTCCAATCAGCTCCCCTTCTGCAACACTCAGGTGCACTCCAAACCAGCTTTCTCTGACGGACAGGCCAGGAGCCCAGAATGAGCACCACACAAGCACCTGTTTTATGCTCTCCAGGCACCAGAGTGATTCAGGCACCCCCATTTGACACACACACACTTGCCAGCTTGCTGCCTCACCCCACCCCTCACCAGCCAACTTCAGACCTTTCTTTAGACTAATTGCCCAGAAAGAGGTACCCATCTAAAGATAAGGAAGTCATTTCCTGTCTGACTACCTCCCATTCTCCCTTGGCATGGAAAGAGGGGCTCAGGGCATATAGGAAAGTGAGGAGGAGGCCTGGAGAGACGGAGGGAAAGAAGAAGGGAGAAGAATAGATAGAACCCCACTTAGCCCAAGTCAAAACCCCAACTGAGATCTAGAGCAGGCAGAGGGAATAGACTGCTAATGGGCTTTACCCACAGGAAGTCATCTAGGTGTCAAAGGACAGTTGCCAAGATCCTGAGGGGTTTGGCAAACGTACCTTGAAGTGAGGAGGCCTCACACACCTGCTGACACTCATCAGTAGAGATCTGCCTCCCTCTCCTCCCAAACAACCACAAGGGAAACTGTTCCAGACTCAGCTCTGGGCACAGAGACTCATGCACAGCACACACGAGGCTCCACAGTGGGCCACATGGAAAAGGCTGCTCTCCAGCTCTACTCCTGCTCAACTCATGGGCAAGCCAGCGCTGAGATCAGGCCTCCTCCTGGCCATGTCTGTGGGCTCAGGTCCTTCCAGGGCAAGGCTCTCTGCACTGCCCTCTGTCCTCCAGGGGTCCTCTGGATGCTGTTGTCCAACTGTTTCTGCCAGGCCATCTGGGGTGGTTCACCCCATGCCACATCAGATTAATGCAACATACTGCCAGAATTGCATGCCTGCACACCCTCCTTGAAGGGCTGCTTTGTGTTTCTTGCTTACAATGGAAAAAAACAATTTTTGCAGCGGAACAACACAGTTTGGAGTCTTCAATAGAGCAATGGAGGCCAAAGCCATCCAGTACACCCATGACTCCCCCACCACCAACAGCGCTTGCATGCAATGGCTGGCATGATAGGCCTGCAAACTCAACAAGCCTCATAGGGATTTCACATCCCCCACTTAACACTCTATACACTGCAGACTTCTCAGGAACACGCTAGTACCTGACAGCCTCCAGAAACGGATCTACTACTGCTTTCTCTAATATGCCCCCCATACCCACCTATGCCAAGAAGTTCTTAATGTCTAACCTAGGTCCTTCCTACTTAAGTCCATTTAGGGCCTCAGTAAAAAAGCAGAATGTGTGATGTCCTTCCTGGTGACCTTTAATATATCATGAACCCAGAAGGCCGAGCTTATGGGCCATGCAAAGGAAACTGAAGGGGTTTTAGGGTGTGTGGGAGGAGGTGAGAGAAGATTCTGGCTCTTTTGATGCAACTGACTGCCTGGTGCTGTCTCACTTTCCCATCTCCCATCCCCGCCACTCCCAAATGTCAGTTGCATCATATCACCTGACTGCAGAGTGCTTGAGCTGTGAGGGAGAAGCAGGAAGCCAGATGACAGAATTAGAGCTAAAAGATCTTAACAAGCTGATTCTCTGGACCTAATACAGCCATATGGAATCTAACAGAGATAAGCTTAAAGACCTAAATTTGAGACCAGCAGTTTAAGAGGAGAGAGAGAAGCTGAGCAGCAGTGCTTGATGTAATATGATTACATCTTAATAGGGAACCTATTTTGATTTTAGGTTGAATTGATTCAAGTATGATATTGAGGAAAAGACAGATGATGATCCCATGCTATTCTGAGCTGGCCAGTCACCAATTCTACATATTGCAATATGATGGACATGCATTGCTCATATGCATCCCTTCACTGGCAGAAGTCACACCTCCCATATCGTCATGCTGCAACTGTTCAGCCACCACGCTCTACCCCTAGGACAGGCCCATGTTCCAAGCAGGGGATCATAATCTCCCCTAAGAAGAGATGTATAGCTCCTGGGAGAGTGAGCATTTCTCTTCCTTGACAAAAGAGTTAGCAGACTTGAAAGATGGAGAAGGCAGGGCCCCCAAAATGCCCTTTGAGCACCAGAGTCCAACAGTGCCAAGGCCAGGTCAGGATTACACTGGGAGTTCCCAGATACTGGTGCCAATATCCTTCCTTTTCTCTTGAAGCTAGTTTGAGTTGGGTTTCTGTCACTTTCAACCTGAAGAGCTTACTAGTACATACACTATTAAGAGGATTACAGCTAAAGGGGAATATGCCCAGAGTGATGTCAAAGACAACGAGTAAACTAAAAGCCAAGTTTCATGAGGGAACAAGGATGATTTAACCTGGAAAGGAAAACACATAGGGCCACATGGGAGCCTCTTCAAACACTTAAAAGGTGAAAACTTTTTCTATGTGGGGACAGAGGACAGACCAGGACATTGGTAGAGGTTACAGAAAGGGGGTTTTCTCAGAACTTTGAATAATACAACAAAACAGATGAATCTGAACCTACCTCCTACTCCACTCCCTCAGACTCACTGGATTAAAGCAATTCCCTTTCTCACTCCAAAGTTGTTTCTTATCTTGAACAAATGGCAACTTCTAGAAGCCTCAGCTTCCAACCTTTATAATGGGGATAATAATCCTCCCCTACCAGCTTCAAGGTGTTATTTTAAGGATCAAAAGAGAAAATGTAGGCTGGGCACAGTGGCTCACTCCTGTAATCCCAGCACTTTGGAAGGCTGAGGCAGGGAGAATTGCTTCAGTCCAGGAGTTTAAGACCAGCCTGTGCAACAAAGTGAGACCTTGTCTCTGTAAAAAATAAAAAATAAAAAAAATAGCCAGATGTGGTGGTGTGTGCCTGTAGTCCCAGATACTACGGAGGTTGAGGCAGGAAGATCGCTTGAGCCCAGGAGGTCGAGGCTGCAGTGAGCCGTAATCGCACCACTGCACTCTAGCCTGGGCAACAAATCGAGACTCCATCTCAAAAAAAAACAAAAACAAAAACAAAAACTAGATACTGTGCATGAAATCACATTGTAGAAGAACAATTAACGAGGAATTGTCTATAACAGATTAGTTAAGGAAGCAAGAATCAAAACTATATGTACAACATGATCCCAATTTTATAAAATTTGTATTTGCAATGAGAAAAGACAGGAAGAAAAAAATGTTAATAGTAGTTAAACCTACAGGATTATAAATATTTTTTCCTTCTTGGGGCTTTTCTCTGCCTTCCTAATTATACAATAAATAGGTCATCTTTTAAAATCAGAAAAAGTTATATATCCTTTAAAGTGCTTTATCAACTGTAAAGAGCTATGCAAACAAAATAATGTGGGTGTCAAACAGGTCTCCCGGACTTTTCTGATCTGAGCATAGCAATGAGTCCTTGATTAGAGAATATCTTACTGTGTTTTTAATAGACAGAAACAGACGAGTATCACAAAGAAAGCACTTCAGTCTTAATTCAAAAGACCCAGATCTAAAATTCTGCATGACCTTTACACAAGTCAATTTCTTCACCAATAAAAGGAGGAGAGTGACAATATAGCTTTGTATGTAAGTGGATTTAAACACTCACTGAGAACCTCCAAATGCCAGCCTGTTCTGTAATTTTCTTTTATCTACTAATGTACAGGGAACAGTTTCCATTTCCTTAGTTAATATTTCACAGCACCATTTTTAATAGATGCATAATAATCCACTGTACAGAGGTGTCATGACTAATTTAGCCAACAAGTGGCAAAAGTTTTTTGTTTGGTTTGATTTCTGAAATACAGATATTTAATCTCTTCAGCAACCTTTCCAGGTTAGGTGAGTTCCAAGTGCTGAACTGTATAGGATACGCTCAATAATGGAAGCTGTTATTACTACCATAACCACTATTACTATTACCACACAGGTGCCAGGGACATATCCAAGTTCAGTTGAGTATTTGGGGCTTTGTTAAATGTTTCTCTGGAACCCAAGAAAGGTCAGGGCAGGAGATACATATTTGAATTATTATCTGGATACAAATACAGAGAAAAACATTTTTATTCTATTTTTTTCTTTTATAGTTTTTTTAAATATCTTTTTTTATTTTTAAGTGAAGGGATATTTTCGCAGATGTCATTAAGGACTCTTATCATTTTCCTGGTTTTTTTTTCTTTTTTATTGAGACAGGGCCTCGCTCTGTCCTCTAGGCTGGAGTGCAGTGGCACCATCTCAGCTTACTGCAACCTCTGCCTCCTGGGTTCAGGTGATTCTCATGCCTCAGCCTCCCAAGTAGCTATGATTACAGGCATGTGCCACCACATCTGGCTAATTTTTATATTTTTAGTAGAGATGGGGTTTTGTCATGTTGGCAGGCTGGTCTTGGACTCCAGGCCTCAAGTGATCCACCCACTTTGGCCTCCCAAAGTGTCAGGATTATAGGCATGAGCCACCATGCCCAGCAAATTTATTTTAAGTTTTTGAGATGGGGTCTCACTCTGTCTCCCTCGCTGGAGTGCAGTGGCATGATCCTAACTCACTGCAGCTTCAACCTCCCAGGCTCAACTGATCCTCCACCTCAGCCTCCTGAGTAGCTGGGACTACAAGCGCACACCACCACACTCAGCTAATTTTTGTATTTTTTGTACAGACGGGGTTTTGTCATGTTGCCCAGGCTGGTCTTAAACTCCTGGGCTGAAGCAATTCTCCTGCCTCAGCCTCCCAAAGTGCTGGGATTACAGGCGTGAGTCACTCCGCCCAGCTATTTTTATTTTTGAACCAGTCTCTCTGTTGCCCAGGCTGGAGTGCAGTGGTGTAATCACAGCTCACTGCAGCCTCCATCTCCAGGCTCAAGTGATCTTCCTGCCTCGGCTTCTCAAGTAGCTGGGACTGCTGGTGCGCACCACCATGCCTGGCTATTTTTTTCTTTTTTTTCAGTTTTTAGTAGAGATAAGGTCTTCCTGTGTCACCTAGGTTGGTCTCAAACTCCTGAGCTCAAACAATCCTCCTGCCTTGGCCTCCCAAAGTGCTGGGATTACAGGTGTGAGCCACTACACCTGGTCAAAACATATTTTAAAATCTTGCCTCCTTCTTGTTTTCCAAACACCTCCAAACATAAATAGCCATTAACTTACCAATACAATTACACACGTGCTGTGACTCAGCAGCTGGATTTTCATAAATGCCTAAAAAACTAGAAACCTCGGCCAGTAACCATACACCTTGACATAATAAAACAAAGTGTTTCCTAAAGAGGCATAAGCCCCAAGGCCTCCAGAAAATCCATTGGCCTAGATGGTTTTATAGAAAGAAAGTGGATTAATAGCCAAAAGAGAGAGGCTTGACTCTCGCTTGCTCCTTCCTTGAATCAAAGACCCTCTGTTTCCCTTTTTCTCCATTTCTGGCCCATCTGCCTTACAGGCTTATTGTGAAGACTGGGTGGGCCCATGTTGGAAAGCACCATATGACCCAAAAAGTGCCTGGATGTGTACTTTTATGTACTTTATGGTCTCCCTCTGATCCCACCAGGCACTTGCCAAGCCCCAGATCAGCTCTCTCACAGGGCCTTCCAGCCCCTTCTTCCCTCCAGATGGGCAAGAACACAGGCCACTAGAAAGCCATCACCTGCAGTGTTCAAATCATGCCCCACACAAGGTAAAGAGGTGATGTGGGGGCCAGAATCCCAAGTAAAGGGCCACCAACACAAAGACATCAGACTTGGCAGGGACCACCACACAGGGCTCCCAGATCGACCCCCTTCACACCACCATGCAACTGCCTCAAACTCTCCCCTGATGGCAGCAGAGGTGAAAAGAGAAGTTTCTCTTGGTGCCCCTTTTAAAAGCCATGCACTGTGCTGAATCATGATGTGAAAGAGTCTAACCACATGGTTCTCAACCCTCGCTGCACATTAAAATCACTTGGGGGCTTAAAGGAAAATACTGCCAGGGACCCAACCTCAGAGATTCTCATTCAATTGCAGGTGAGGCCTGGGGATCAGTGAGGGACAGGAACTTAGACTGAGCAGCTGCTTCCTATGATGGGCCCTATGCCTTGAGCCCACCCTGTCTGCCTCCAAAGTCCATGCCCTCCCCTGTCACCACTCTGCCCTCCAACCTGAGTCTCCCTCTGGAGTGTTCCTCCCCATCCACTGTGAGTATCAAACATGAAAGGCCCTGTTCAGTCGGGTGACTATCCACTCCTGCCACATCACCCACTTCCTCCCTGTGGACCAGCCCAGTCCTGGACAGTCTTGGACACCCCCAGGACATTCCTGCCATTGTCTTGAGCCTGCATGACCCCTCTCCCACCTTCTACCAAAGGGTTCTTCTTTATCATCACATACCTTTTACAGTGTCAATGTTATTCAACAAGCACATTTTTCATTTTTATTTGTTTTAAACTTTTCACTCTGAAAGAAAATTTAAGACTCACTTAAAAATTTTAAAATAGTTCAAACCAGATGTGGTGGTGCACGCCTATCATCCCAGCTACGTGGGTAAGATTCTCAGGTGGGAGGATTACCTGAGCCCAGGGAGGTCGAGGCTGCAGCGAGCCAGGATTGTGCCACCACACTCCAGCCTGGGTGACAAAGGGAGACCCTGTCTCCAAAAAAAAAAAAAATTGTTCAGAGAATTCTTTTTTTTTTTTTTTGGTAATGAAAACCACAATTTCGTCATTGGGTGCCACCCGTTTTTGCTTAGATTCACACTAGTTCCTTAGTGCTAATTAGCAGATACTGAAATGATCTTGACAGACTGCGCAAAATATGGAACGCTTCACAAATTTGCGTGTCATCCTTGCGCAGGGGCCATGCTAATCTTCTTGTTCAGAGAATTCTTGTGTACCGATCAGCCAGCTTCCCTCAGTGATAACATGTTATATTACAATAGTGCAATTGTCAAAAACAGAAAAACTGACATGGTAATACTATTAACTAAACTACAGACCTCACAGAGATTTCACAGGTTTTTTTTTTTTTTTTTTTTGAACATAAACTCAAGATTTTATTGTCTTCATAATAAAAGATGACACTTAGAACTGGATCACTTGGCCCTTTCTCTTCTTATCTCCTCCCAGTTCAAAATGCTTGCATCTTTTAATAGCCAGCATTCTCTTAGATCTGCAGTTGGGCTCAACGCACTCAAGCCTTAGCACAATCTTCTTTGTAGTTTTAGCCTTTTTCCGGAAAATCGGCTTAGTTTGCCCACCATAGCCACTCTGCTTCCTGTCATAACGCCGCTTTCCCTGGGCGTACAGAGAATCCTTGCCCTTCTTGTACTGTGTCACTTTATGGGGTTGGTGCTTGCCACACTTCTTACAGAAAGTCCGGCGGGTTTTAGGGACGTTAACCATGCTTGCGTGAGCGCTATCGGCGCGGAAAGAAGCCAGGTTTTTATATATACTATGTATATATGTACAGTTCTATGAGATTTCATCACATGCATACATTCATGTGTGCCCCACCACAATCAGGACACAGGACAGTTCCACCACTTCAAAGAAATGTACCCTCTTCTAAGTCTTCCGCTGATCTGTTCTCCATTACTATAATTTTGTCATTTCAAGAATTTTTTATCAATGAAATAATATACTATACAACCTTTTGAGACTAGCTTTTTTAAAAATTCAACATAAGCATGTATTTATTTTGTGATCAGCTACCACAATAAAGATACTCCCTTTTGGAAGACAACTCCAAAAAATTTTATCGATTACTGGCTAAGTAAATCGTAATTCAACTGTATAATGAAATCGTATGCAGCCATTAAAACTGATGAGATAAACATAAATTAAGGACATGTATATTTTTTCAAATACACAGTCAGCTCTCCATATCCATGGGTTCCATGTCAGAGAACCCATGGATATGGAGGCCAACTGTAAGAAACTTGAGCATCCACTGATTTTGCTATCTGTGGGGGCTCCTGGAACCAATCCCCAATGGATGCCGAGAGAGAAAACTATATAGTTAAGTGAGAAAATACAAAACTATATATTATCCCATTTTTGTTAAAACACACATATAAATACATAGATACACAGAGATAGACAACAAGATGTTAACAGGGATTATCTCTGGGTGATAGGATTACAAGGGATTTTTATTTTCTTGTTGCTTGTCTGCATTGTCTAAATTTACAACAGTGAATATAAGTAACTTTATGACTTTTTTAAATGCTTGAAGTAAAGCTCCAATTTTGCCATCTGTAACTCTTCCAGCCACAATCACGTTATTCTCTCAGCTAGCAAAGTATTGTGTGTGGGTCCCCATTCTAGGACTCACATCATTCAGAGGCTCAGCATAGCTGCTTGTGGGCTAGCCGGCCCCCACCTCAGGAAGGGGCTGTACTCATGAATGGTCTGCATCCCTCTGGCCCCTTTTGGCTCAGCCCTTGCCAGGCATAGGTACTCATCAATGGATCTGAGGCTGCAACCATACCAGGAGCTATTTGGCCAGAGCCCCAAGGCTCAAAAAGAAAGCCCCTGGAATTTCTCAGGGTATTTGGCATTCTAGAGTGAGTGACATCTTGGTCCCCACCACCTAGGCCTTAAGAAATAAGGCCTGGGAGTAAGCTATGAACTTTGGGAAATTGGCAAAGATCAGAGGCCATGCAATGTCTCTTTGAAATTCTGATGGGGGCTCCCTAGCCCACAGAAGAAGGGAGAGTGCTCCTCTGTGGTTTGCCCTATTTAAAATGGTTTTCTTATTCAATTTCTAATAGTCTACCCTATTCCCCTTGTTTCCTCCAGCACCCCTCTTCCCTCACTCAAGGGGAGAAAACAGGCTAGAAAGGCTGGCTCAGCCATAGAGCAGAGACGGTGTGGTACGGGGCCAGAATGCTGACAAGCACAGAGACGTAGCAATGTGCTGTACAACTTGAAGGAATTTCCCCAACTTCTGTGAGGCCCTATTTAACTTCCCTCTTATGAAGGTGGTTGGACTAGCTGCTATCTAAAATCCCCAGCCCTCTAGGCAAGATCTGTCCCAGACCCTCCTCTGTAAGCCACACTTCTGCAAAGAGAAGTAATGCTTTCCCTCTATTGGCACAACCAAGCTATGGAACAAACTGTTTTCTTAGAGCGGTTCGGATGTCTTCCTGTCATTTTTTTGGTCTCATAGGACATTTACTTTTAAAGCCAGACCCAAGGCAGGGGATCATGCCTGCTTAGCTCACTACCATAAGCCTAGCTCATGTGCCATGCTAGGCACTCAATAAATAATTGCTGAATGGATGCATACACGTATGCTTGCATGCCAGCCATTCAAGCTGAGCACCTGGCAGTGTGCAGTTACACTCCAGGACACAGAACACACAGCTATCTGTTTCTTCCTACCACCACACTGTCCAAGTCAAGACCTGAGATCCCCCAGTGCACCTCAGCCAGAGCATCCCCATCCCTCTCACTACTAATCTTGCAGATGGGTAAACTTTCTAGAAAAATGAGGTAACCTCCTCCTCTCTCCCTCCACCACTCTGCACTTTAAACAAACCATGGCCAGAAGAATCACCTTCAAACTGTTTCCCACCATGTCAACTCCTTGTTCAAAAGCTTACGACAGCTCCTAATTACTCAGAGAATCAGAGAGAACTCCTGGATCCAGTGCCCAAGGCCTCCTGACCACCTCCCTCCTTCCCTTTCCAAACAGGCTCCCACTTCTCAACTTCAAGAGCCCCCACTTCAGCCCAGACCTTCCACTGTTACACATTGCTCACACGTCTCCCTCCTCAATGAAACCTTCCCCACCCATGTCAGTCCTGCTAACTGTGCCTTTTCAGACTTCCTCTACCTCTTGTTTTCTATGCCCCTATTTATCCCTCCCGATCCCCTGGTGTATTTCTTTAGGTAAGAATGAATGACTTCAACCAAATGGTTAAATAGACAAGGACGGTGTCACCCTCTTCTCCATATCCCCTCAGTGCCCAGCACCATGCTGTTTACACAGCAGATATGAAATAAATACCTAGCTGGTTAACGCCCATCCTGCCCCAACTCAGAGCCTCCCACCCCTTTCCCATCATCCCAGTGCCAAACCTGCTCAGCAACTATGCCTAAGTGCCCAGACTGTGGCCCAGTAGCTGCTCTAGGATCTTTGGTAACTAGATCAAGGCACACAGTATGGTCAAATCCTCGCTTTGTCAGTTCCTAGCTGGGCAACTTAAGTAAGTTATTCAACCTCTCTGAGCCTTGGTATCCTTGTCTGTAAGATGAGGTAGAGTATTTCCCTCATCCTCGGTCTGCTGTGAGGATGAAACAAGACAACATCAGGGGCCCAGCACCCAGCAGACTTGAGGCAAGGCTTTCCCTCCCCCTTTGCCACTCCAACAAAAACCCACTGACTGAGATCTTGTGCATTAAAATCGGTTGGACAGCAGGCACACCTCCTGTCCCCTCACCTCCAGCTGGCTCCCTAAGACAGAGGAAACAAAGCCTGAATTTACTCCAGCTCCCCTCAAGCAGGGAGGTCTCTGGAAAGAGGTCTTTGTTAACACAACTTTAGTTTAAAAGCCTCTTTATGGGCCAGACACAGTTTCTATTTTGTAAGAGAGGGAGAATCAGCCTACAGCTTAATATCACTTAATGCTGATAACAAGGCCTTTTGTTCACGTCCCTCAATTAAATTCTGCAGTAATTAGTGGCCACCTACTCCTATTGCTTGAAGGAAACACGGGAAACAAAAGCAAGGCATGGTCCTTGTTCACAGAGACCTGATGCAAAACAGTTACATGAGTAACAAGAGAGAGAAAGTCAATCACAGGGAAAGAGGTGTAGCAGGCCTGAGCAAACCCAACCATGATGGGCTTTAGAATCACAGAGAATAATGGCAAAGTGGTAGCAGGCTAGATGCTGCACGTGTGGTTTTCCATTCTTTCATTTGATGTACATGTGTATCTTGCTGTATTTAGAAAAACAGATCTGCAGCATCATTTAATAGTTGGATGGTACCGAAATTTCATTAACCAGTTCCTAATGGATGGCCAGTTAGGTTGTTTGCAATTTCTTAGCATTATAAGCAAGTTGCAATGAACATCCCTGTATGCATACCTTTGCAACTTGTCTACTTACTACCCTGGAAGGACGGAGTCACCATAGTGATGGAACTGCTGGGTGTCTGTACTTTTGACTACCTCAATAAGCAATGAAATTATCCAATGTGCATATACAGAGTTTACCCTTTCCCAAAGCATATACATATAAACACACACAAGTACTCATACAAATATGCCTCCCCTTGTCTCCCACGCCCACACCCTGCTGCAGTTCAGGCCTGTATCATCTCTCATTTTATGGTCACAGGGGTCCTCTAAAACAGGCCTCCCTCCCCAGCCACCAGAACAAGATTTGTAAAGTTCCAACCTGATTCTTTTGTTGTTGTTGTTGTTGTTTTGTTTTTGAGACGCAGTCTTGTTGTGCTGCCCAGGCTGGAGCGCAGTGGCACGATCTTGGCTCATTGCAACCTCCGCCTCCCGGGTTCAAGCAATTCTCCTGCCTCACGAGTAGCTGGGATTACAGGCGCGCTACCACGCCTGGCTAATTTTTGTATTTTTAGTAGAGACGGGATTTCACCATGTTGGCCAGGCTGGTCTCGAACTCCTAACCTCACGACCCACCTGCCTCGGCCTCCCAGAGTGCTGGGATTACAGGCATGAGCCACCGCATCCAGCCTCCCAACCTGATTCTTTACTCGAGTGCCTCAAGTCATTCCACCTCCACCCCCACCACCTTCAGAGCAAAGCTCCAGCCCCACCTTCAGGGTAAGACATTCCCATTTTACAGACATGGGATCTGAGGCCCACCTTGCTCAAGGTCACACAGTCAGTTAGTGACAGAACCAGGATGATGCCCTAGCTCTCCTGAATATTAAACCCAATAATAGGGGAACTGAGGTGGCATAAACCATACATCACCATAGCTCCCTGAAACTAAAATTTTCCATTCTTTTTTCCTCCAACCCTTTCTAAAGCCTTTTACCATTTTTGTTGTTTTCAATGGAGATATACTTGCAAAATACTCAAACTTTGAGAACCTGGCCCTACAAAGTCAGCAAGATTAAAAAAAAAAAAGACATATTTCCTCCTTCTTTCACAGAGATTGGTTTCTCTGGCTAATCTTGAGTCGCAGCAATTCTCTTTGGTCTACCAATATTTCTCCTCATTTGGCTATCTAGTGACTGATTAACTCACAGGCAAGTCCATCATAAGCAAGCAGGTCTGTGTACACAGGCAGGGTCTCCACATCTTGTAAGGCTAACCTGTGTCTACCCCCAGCTATCCCACAAGGAGTGGCCACACTGGCAGGTACACTCAGTGGCTGAGAAGCAAGGGGTCCTGCCACAGGCAGACTAGAGGGAGGCAAAAATGGGTACGACCCACAGTAATGACCAACAGCCACAGGAAGTGCAAGGCAGAACAAAGGAACCCCTACTTAGACCTCCCTGATCCATGGAACCTCTTCAATGCTTGTTTCCTTCAAAGAAACTCAGTCCAGCATTGAGCCTAGAAAGACAGACATTCCAAACAGAAAACGGGAAGAATCACAATAGCAAGAACAGCTAGCATCTGCTGAGCCCTCGCAGCATGTCAGACACTGTACTCAAGGCTTTGTGTGGATTATCTCATCAACAAGCGTATGAGACGGGCACTAGTCTGAGGTCATGTCTAGGGCCACACAGTTAGTGGTGGAGCCAGGATTCAAACCAGAGCTGGTCCCACAGAGAGAGCCTGGCAAGTGGGCTCTCCACAGGCTGCCCCATGGGGGAGAATGGTAAGGAAATCCCCAGACACTCCCCAGTCCAGTCTGTTTTCCTGGATCCACAGCCGCCTCCCACAGGGCAATCCTGGCAGAAGGCAGAATGCTCAGTAAGGCATGGCGGATGAAAGCAGATGAGACATCAGAGAAGAACATGCTGTTCTTTGAGGTAGTTATGTTTTTGTTTGGTTTGGTTTGGGGGGGATAGGGGAATAAAAAACCAGCAAGATGGCCAGGTACAGTGGCTCACACCTATAATCCCTGCACTTTGGGAGGCCAAAGTGGATGGATCACCTGAGGTCAAGAGTTGAGACCAGCCTGGCCAACATGAAGAAACCCCGTCTCTACTAAAAATACAAAAAAATTAGCAGGAGGCTGAGGCAGGAGAATCGCTTGAACCCGGGAGGCGGAGGTTGCAGTGAGCCAAGATGGCACCACTGCACTCCAGCCTGGGCAACAAGAGCAAAATTCCATCTCAAAAACAACAACAAACCAGCAAGATACGGCCCAATGATGAAGGGTCTCACATATCAGTGTCTACTTTGGAGCTAATCTAAAAGAACACCAAGTACTCAGCACATAGTAGGCCTTTGATACCTTCAATAAACACAAGTCCCTCCTCTTTATGCAGAGAGATCAATGGGGACTCACTGAGGCTGTCTAGGACAGGGAGTGACAAAAGCAAATGTGCATTTTAGAAAGAGTGTTGCTCTGTTCCTCCTGCAGTCTCAGATGAGGCCCTTACAAGGAATGGAATATCGATGACCAGGACATAAGATTAAAATGACAAAATATAGTGATGGAGGCTCTTATCAGGTGTTTACTACATGCAGGTATGATTATCCTGAGTACTTCATATATGTTAATTTAATTCTCACAATGATTCTACGAGTAGACACTAGTATTATCCCCAATTTACACATAAGAAAACTGAGGCACAGAGAGGTTCAGCTGGCAGTGCTACCACCAGGATTCCAACCCAGTTGGCCTGACTTCAGAGCCAGTGTTCCTGACCACCCTGGTCCACGGAAGAGAAGAGCTTCCTGGAACACCTGCTGCTCTTCACCCCTCAGTGATGCTCCAGAACAGGCCACAGGATATCTCCCAGCCCCTCCAGCCCCCTACCCTCTCCCTTTCTCTCACTATTTCCAGTCAGCCCAGTGCAAACCATGCCCTGGCTAGAAACACCATTTTCCCCCAAGAGGCTGCTAATAGTAGACGGGGTTGGGGGGCGGGGCGGGGAAGGAGCTGCAATAACTTGGCTCTTGAGTTGCAAAGAGAAAAATGAAGGAATGAGGAGGAGTGGGCCACCAGATCCCCACAGATTCCAGGGTGGAGAATGTCCAATTAAAATGCATTCTGCCAGAGCCCAGCAGCAGCATTTCAACAGAGCCACCATTGTCTCCGTCTGAACTGCTGCTGCCCACAGCCCAGCAAGTGGCAACCAAACAGGCTGTCGTCATGGAGCCGGAATGCAGGGTCCTGGCCCTCCCCGAAGGCACCAGAAACACTGCTCTGTTTACCCACGTTGCCCTTATTTAAAAACAAAACAAAAAACCCCACTCCACCCTCGGCCCTTCGGCATGCAAGACACCAGGAAGGACAGACGGTGGTGAGAGGACACTCCATATGCCAGCAGCGTGAGGCAGGTCTGCCAGAAGGTTCCCAATGATCTGGCCAGGCTGGGGGGAACAAGTCTCCCCCAGGAAGCTGGGAAAGTACTTTGGAAATATATAAAAATCAGATACAAATAGATATCTGAATGGGGCATAAAGAAACTGTTAATGCCCTGGAAGGGCCCCAAGCCCCTTTACAAAAGCTTTATGCCCAAAGAATTTGGCCAAGGGCAAATGCAGGCTCCCTGCATAAATCAGAAACCTTGCAGGGCAGAGACAGACCTGTGTGTCCAGCCACCTCTGGGACACAGGCAAGCTTGAGGCGAGCCAGTTGCCCCTGGCTACAGCACCTGGCCCCCACCCCAACCCAGGAAAGGGGTGCAGGGGCTGAAAGCCTGGCTCATCCAGTGCTGAGCCCAGAAACAGAATGTCCAGGGTGACTAGCACATTCAAAGTGCTTACTGTCCCTGTCCCACTCTACAGAGATCTCAAGGACAGGTTTAATCAGGAACCCTAGACGAAAGCAGGAAGCAGAGTCAGTGGTGCTCAGAAAGCCATTCATCAGCTCTAGGCCAATGTGAAACCCGTGGTACCGGAGCCCCAAACAAACCAGTTCTAAAACCCGTCCTCCTGTGCAGCTCTCTGACCTCTGCCACCTGTGTCCACGACCTGACCCAGGCACAGGTGGCCCTCCATGCTTTAGCTTGGGTCTACCTCTCTTACCTCTCAGACTTCACCTCCCTCACTATCCCCTACACACACACACACACACACACACACGGAGAAAGAGAGACAGAGAGAGAGAGGGAGAGAGAGAGAGAGAAACTCCCAACTACTCCAGAGATACTGAACTATCTAGGATTCCTGGACTCCACACACTATTTCGAGACACTGCCTTACCTTCTGACTCAAAGGCCTTTCTTCCCTTCCTGACCTGGCTCACCCCTCACCCTTCAGGAGCCCACTCAAGCATCATGTGCTCTATTAAGCTTTCCTGGGCCTCCTACCAGATGATCAGGCTGAGTAACAGAGCAAGAACTGAACAGAGCCTCTTGGGACACCAGTAAACCTTTGCTTCATGGAGGTAGCACAGGGGATGGGAAGGTTGGAGAGGACTATAACTGACTCACTCTTATTTCAGAACCAAAAGCAATGGGGGAAGTCAGAGCAGAGAAGATTTCAGCTCAACCTGAAATGGAACTTCCTATCAATGAGAATGTGACAATTACAGGAGGGGCTTCCTTGTGAGGTAGTGAACTCTCCCTGTTATACAAAGTCATTGAGCAGAAGCAGTTTGGTCAGCACTGCTGCCGAAGGAGTCTCTATATCAGGTGAATAGGCAAACCACATCAGACCATGTGAGAGGCTTGAGACCTTTCCATAAAGGCCTGAGATTCCAGGGATGGAGGTAGTGAGGAGGGATGCCCACCATGAAGTCTGGGAGGAGGAGGGCAGCTCTGGGGTACAGCTGTAGCCCCTCCTGGGAACCCTAACAACCAGATAGGAAAAGCAGAATTCATAGGGCTGCTGATGTGGCATTTCTCGTTTACTGGCAGCTTCTGGCCTGCAGGTTGAGCTCCCCAGTCTAGATTTGTGGAGGCCAAGATTCTTCTCCTGTCTCCACTGCCGCACCACCACGCCTCACCATGACTACTAAACAGAAGATCCAGGCAGGAACAGCCAAAGAATCAGTCACCTTCTCCCTGCTCATTCCCAAGTCCAATACTCATCACTGTCCTCCTCAGGGAGAAGGCTCCCTGGATGCCGTAGCTCCCAAAAGGGCAGAAGATAGGTGGAATGAGGGCCCAGGCCAAGACTAGAAGGCACCCAGGTCCATCTTTAATAATATTACCCCAGCTTGGGCAACATGGCAAGACCCGGTCTCTACAAAAAAAAATTAACAATTAGCCAGGCATGGTGGCATACACCTGTGGCCCCAGCTACTCAGGAGGCTTAGGTGAGAGGGTCACTTGAGCCCAGGAGGTCGAGGCTGCAGCCTGGGCAACAGAGTGAGACCCTATCTCAAAAAATAATAAAAAATAAAAAGAATTTTAAAATAATATTATCATGAAGAACAAAACTACCATTTAATGAGGGCTTATTTCATACCAGGTACTGTGTTAAACATGCTACCTACATTATCTTTAATCAGTCTATTCTACGTACAACAACCATAATTTAACAGAGGAATGGCATGATCTGACTTTTCTTTAGAATAAGTATATTTTAGAATATTATCCTAAATAATTAAAATATTTAGAATAAGTACTTAGAATAATTAGAATATTTAGAATAAATATTTAGAATAATTATCCTTATTCTAAAGCAAAAGTCAGATCATGCCACTCCTCTGTTCAAAGCCTTCCATTGTTCAAAGCCGTCCAGTGAATTCTCTGCTGACTCAGGGTGAAAGCTCAAGTCAAGGGCCTGCACCTCTCCAGTCTCAACTCCTACTCCCTGAGCTCCATCCACTCTGGCCTCCTTGCTGTTTCCTCGTCATGGCATGTCCTGCCCCTACATGGCTTGATCAGATCTCTACCCAAATGTCATCTCCACAAAGAGGCCTCTTCTGACCATTCCACTCTCACACCCAGGCCTCCTGTCTCCTTTTCCTGCTCATTTTTCTCCATAGCACTTACCATCCTCTGATACTATATATTTTAACCATTTCGTTTGCTCTCTTTCTCTCCTGCTAATACGTAAGCTCCATGAGGGCAGAGACCTTTATTGATTTTGTTCACTATCCCATCCCAGCATTTAGAACAATGCCTGGCTCCAAGTAGGCACTCAATAAATATTCATTTAATAAAGGAATGAATGACCCTACAAGGTAGATGTTCTTACTAGCTACTGACTATAGATGTGGAAACTGAAGCTCAGAAAAGTTGACTCACTTGTCCAAGGTCACACAGCTGGCAAGCAACAGAAGTGGGATTAAAATTGAGGCCTGACAGCCCCCTTAACTCTGTGATGGCATCTTCTTTCATCAAAAGGAAGGATCCGGATATCCTATACCATAAGTGTCTTGGGTGCCAGCGGGCTGGGCACCTCCTCACCCTGTCTGCATGTTCTTCTTCCTCAAGGAAGGAAGCCTTCAGAAGCCCTTGAGGCAGATGCCTCTGCCTCATTCATCTAAGAATGCCCAGCACCTGGCCCAGGGTTGGCATGCAGGTGCCCACTACACGTTTATGAATAAACCAACCCACTCCTAGGCACCTAGTTGTGTCCTTACATTTTGATTTCTTTACACATTGCTTTGTGAATTGCTGTTCATTTTACTGAATGTGAGGACAGGCAGAAATTCCAAGTACACTTGCTTCTCAACCTTTTGGCTAATATCAAGTATAGAAATTCCAGATACACAAAACTGAACTAGAATGGACCCTGCCTTGAAGAAATTTACAACAATGTGAGAGAGATGTAGACACAAAAAGGTGTAACATGAAGCAGGACAGTCACGTGAGCAGCAAATGCAGTGCCAAGAGTGCAAGGGGCAAGAGAGCTCTTGGGGTGGGGGTGGGGACAGCCACACACAACAGCTAGACAGCCTAAGAGGGGCAGGGAAGGCGGAACCACTTATCCATCCGTTCATTCCGCATTAACATTTTAAGTTTTCTTGCTTGAAGAAACACTGTGCTTGTTACTTAATACTGTGCTGAGTGCTGGGGACAGATATGTGAATCAATCAAACATAAAGATAATTCACAGGCTAATGAGGGAGAGACAGAGAGACATTACACAGACTAAGGTGATATGTGGCAAGAGAGGATGCTAGCATGCAAGCTCCATGCCCACAGGCACCCTCCTTTTGTTCACTACTGTACTCCTCAGTACAACACTGTCAGGCTCAGAAAAGCTTCTCAGTACATAACAAATGAATGAAAGCACTGCTAACTAAATGAATGAAAGCACAAATGGAGGGATATCACAAACCCTTGATGGCGGGTGGCCACAGATGGCTTCCCAGGTAATGCCTGAGTCTTAAAGGATGCATAGGAATTACCTGGATGGAAGGGGGCATTCCTACAAAAGCAAAGACAAAGAAGCAAGAGAGTGCTACAGCTTATGATGTTGTGGAGTGTGTTCAGGCCAGAGGGGAATGGTGTGCTTTAACAGGACACAGACACAGGAAGAGAAGCCCAAGTCAGGACACCTCTGAAGGCCCTCATCAGGAAGCATATCAGGATGAGGTATTTGGGCCCCTGTAGGGAGAACAGGATGGAGGCAAGAAAACCAGTCGGAACCATCTGCACCGCTGCAGATATGAGTTGGTGACAGTGGGGTCTTTAGGAGGCACCAGAGAAAGGACTAATCACAAGAATCTGTTACAAATCACAGGTGCAAGACCCCATGGAGAAGGGAGGCATCGAATGAGCCCAGACACATTTTGAGTACATAAGAAAAGTGCAGCCCCACCAGAGCCCTCCTGGGAATGCTGCAAAGCTGCTGGGGAGATGCCAGCAGAACCATGTCACACCTTGCCCACAGTCACCAAAGTGGGGACCCTACTGACTGGCTGGAGGCAAGGAGGAAGTCAGGGGAGAGAAACCATAAAAATTGCTCACTATTTATTTCACTTTCACTTTGAGCACACAAGTGGGGAGAAGACGCCCTGGCCCAGGAGTAGAGAAACCTGGCTGGAGTCCCAGCTGTCACCAACAACCTGAGTAACCTTGGGCAGGTGACTTCACCGCTGGGGCTCAGCTTCCCCATCTATAAACCAGAGCTTCCACCATGAGCCCCACCTCTACCAACATCCTGGAAAGGCCCCAATCAGATAAGTATCAGCTCTGCATAGCTTTATGTAGCACCTACTATATGATCTTCCTTGTACCAGGAAGGGAGGCAGGAAAGGGGCAGGCCGAGCCCCTGCCCAGAGAAGGTTTTAACAAGGTGGTCCAAGCAGGTACTGCAGAACACCGGCAAGGGCATTTCCAGCCACATTCTCCAGCCAGTCTTACTGCCCAGCCCAACCCAGCCCAGGGAAGGCGGAGAGGAAGCAGTGAGCTGTTTTACAATCCATCAAATTAATTGCCCCAAATGGGAAATTTGCAGGCCTCCTACAGCCTCCTGTGTATTCCATAATCTCCCATGGCCCTAATCTGCTGAGAAAGAATGTGTGGGCTGTAATCTTTTCAGCCCACTGTTCACAGGGGCAATGCCTTGGAAAAACCTCAGTCCCCACCAGTGATCACTCCCTCCCAACCAAAAGCCTCCCCGACCTCCCATCCCCCACACCCCCCACTGACCTGGTGGCCAGCCAAGGCCTGGCTCCGCCCCCCAGAAGCCAGCTAGGCCAACCTTGGCCTTGACTTTGACCTCGGAAAGGAGACCTGCCCAACCAGCTCCTTTGGTAAATACAACTTTTGCTCCCTCCTTTTCCTCCTTAAGACAGAACAGCCTGGCAGGAGGCAGAACCAGGAGAAATGGCTTCCGAGTAGAGACGCACCCTTGAGGCGTGGTGAAAACAGCCCCAGGTGAGGTGCTGGGCATTGGTTCTAACCTTTGCTTACCCTATCCCTGCTAGGAAACCCACTTCCCATCTCTGGACCTCATCTTCATTTGAGAAATGAAGGGAATGTAAAACAGCCTCCCAGGAACTCCTTACCCCACCCCTTTAAACAAGTTGCTTCTTTGCTTCTGCTGTAACCTTTGCCTGCTCCTTTTCCTGCATAATGAAGCCTCTGTCTAGGCCCAACTCAAATGTCACTTTCCCCACGAAGGCTTCCTGGATCCCTCCCTTCTCAACACCTGTCCCAAACTCTTTCTGCCTCCTACACTCAACTAGCCTTGAGGGCAGAGGATTCTTTTACTCATTGCTACTGTCAGGAAACTCATTTGATAACATATTTCAGAGAGCTCTGGACAAACCTAGGGCCAAAACCTATTTCATTCTCTAAAATACCTGGCATGGCACAGATCCTGGGTCACCACCACTGGGTGAAGTTTTCTCAGACAGTGTGTGGAAGGCCAGGCTCCCTGAAGTTGACTGCACCTGTTAATAACCAGTGTCTGTACCCTCTCTCCTTAACAAAGTGCTTTCCTACTCACTACCTCACCTACAGGGGAAGGACTGATGTGATCCCCTTTCACAGAGAAGGCAAATGTCTTGCCCCAGGTCAGGCAGCTGTAAGGGGCTAAGCCAGGATCCAAACCCAGGTCTCCTAATTCTGGTTCTAACTTTGTGTTCCTCCCACCGTACCTGAGGGAACATGCAAAGCTGAGCCTATTGAGAAGATCTGGGCTTGGAGAGAGATGCAATCTAAACCTCTCCTTAGGGCTGCCCTGGGAGCCACATCCAGAGCAGCCAAGGGACAGTCAGGAACTCTGGGCAGAGGAATGGCAGAAGGCATTTACTCCATACTCTCCACTGCCTTCCTGCCTTCCTTCCTTCTTTCCTTCTTTCCTTCCTTCTTTCTTCCTTTCTTCCTTTCTTTGAGACAGAGTTTCACTCTTGTTGCCCAGGCTGGAGTGCAATGGTGTGATCTCAGCTCACTGCAACCTCTGCCTCCTGGGTTCAAGCGATTCTCCTGCCTCAGCCTCTCAAGTAGCTGGAATTACAGGCACCCACCACCATGCCCAGCTAATTTTTTGTATTTTTAGTAGAGACAAGGTTTCACCATGTTGGCCAGGCTGGTCGAACTCCTGACCTCAGGTCATCCACCCACCTCAGCCTCCCAAGGTGCTGGGATTATGGGCATGAGCCACCGCATCCAGCCCATCCCATGCTTGATTACCTCTGATGATAGTGAACTCACTACATCCCAAATATTTCAGAAGGTATCGTTGTAAACCTGGGGCCAAAACCTTTCTCCCTGTAGCTTTCACAGAGGATGAGACTCTTCTATGTGGCAGCCCTTCAGATATCTGCAGCCAGCCCTCATGTCCCTGTGGGTCTCCTCTTTTCCATGTAAAATACCCCCAGTTCATTCAGCTGTTGCTTGGGAGACAAGGTTTCCAGTGCCCATCACAGTCAACCCTTCAGAAGGACCCCAAATAGCCACATCTTCCTCAAAGGGGTGACCCATGAATGCGCCCCAGTGCTCCATCTGTGATCTCCCCAGAGCAGAGCAGCACCATCACCTCCTGTGTTCTGGGGATGAAACTTCCATTAATGCAGCTTAAAATCAAAACCAAAACCCCTTTGTCCCAGAGCTAATTTCTCAGAGGGCCCTGGCCATGTGGGAGCAAGGACAAAACTCATTCTCTTTACCTTGTTAGAGTGGGAAGAGCAGGAACTCTGGAATCAGACCTGGACTAGAATCCTGGTCCTGTCACTTATTTACTGAGAGACCATAGACAAATTACTCACTCTTTCCAAGTTTCAATTTCCTCAGCTACGAAATGAGCTACAAAATGGAGAAAATTTTTACCTCACTAGATAGATTTGAAGAATAAATGAGCTAAGGTATATAACTACTTAACACAGACCAAGAACTTCCCCAAAGTCAAAGCTGGTAAGTGGCTGGGTTAGGATGACATTCAAACTCAAGCCTGCCACCCTAAAGCTTTGTGACCGTAAGTTCCACACCACAGCTCTACTGCTTTCATGTCACACAGTCCCCACTACACTGCATGTCATCTTTGGTTTATCCATCTCCCCACACTGGACTGTGAATTCCCTGAAGATGTCCTTGTTTTTGTGGCCCCAGGATCTGGCATGGTGCCACCTGGCACAGAGTAGGAGCTAATAAAGGCTGATGAACAAGTGATTATATGAACAAGTCAATTACACTGGCTACAAGAAGACAGGTGCCTCTTTTGGCCCCCCCGCCCCCAATGCCCACATAAGCTTTGTGGCTGTGTACTACACACAGCTCTAATCCCACTACATGGGCTGAGTAGCAAGAAGCATTTATTTCATAAGGGCTTGAAGGGCCGAAGCATGCCAGCACCATCCCCCAAACCTGGACATAGCAATGTTCTGTCTTCCCCATCCACAAAACCTCCAACACTAGAGAGGTTTACTCTCCATTGCTCCTGGAGACTAGAGGCTGAGCTGTATGTACTCAGATAAGCATTGGCTGGGTTGGTCCCTGGTGACACCAAGAAGGCACAGGTCCTGTGTGGAGGAGAGTTGATGCCAGGGTTTCTCCAGAGTTCCTCAGCTCTCTGGGGCTTCATTTAAAACATTCTCTCAAAAAAATAAAAATAAAAATAAATAAATAAATAAAACACCCTCTCTTGCAGTGAGCTGAGATCACGCCACTGCATTCCAGCCTGGGCAACAGAGCAAGACCCTGTCTCAAAAAAAAAAAAAAAAAAAAAAAAAACTTCTCCCTGTTCCCAGGTAATCAGTAATAGGAAAAAGGAAGACACACCTGTTCATACTCAATGGGCCATCTCAAAACCATCCGGGCTCCACCTTATACAGCACTCGTACCTCACCATCTGTGCTACACTTGAGGCTGCACTGTTTCAGTGACAGGAATACCACCGGTCCTTCATGGCCTGCTTATGAGTCCTTCCTTGGAGCCTTTCTCAGTTACTCCTAAGGCTGTGGGGTCCATAAAAGCCTTGTTCCCATCGATTCAGAGCCTTAATTTCCCCATCCCATCAAATGGGCACACCATTATCAACCTCAAGGTTGTAACACTTTAAATTTCAAAGCAGAGCTGAGGGGATTTTAAAAGTTCCCTGGAAATGTGCCTGATGCCAGGTAGTCCTGGGCATTACCAAATACTCGTACTACCTAAGCACTGTGGCTGTGTACCACACACAGGAAGGATTCACTCAACATCAGTTTCTCTCCTTCTGGTCTATCACATCCCAGAGCATTGAGTGAATCCTATTGTTCTGGGCACAGCTTAGCTGCAACTCTACAGGGAGACCCTCAGGAGCATGGATGACATCTCCTCTGGCTACTGCCAGTATCTGTATGGCTCTGAGAACTCAATGGGCATTTGAATATCCCCAATGTTTAGCTGGTAAGCCAACCCATTTTAATTCACTGTTGTCATTGTGGGCAGATGAGATAGAAAATGTCTGTTTTCAGATAATTCCCCAGAAGGGGTGACTGGAAGCTAGTGCAGAGACAAACAAGGATGCCGGTGGTTCCCAAACTGGAGAGGAATCTTTGGGGAGCCCTCAGCCGGAGTACCCAAGGCCCAGCCCTCTGCCCCCGAGACTCCCAGGCTCCCTCAGATGCAGGGAGGGACCTCTCAGCAGCTGATTGGCTTCTCAGGCAGAGTCCCAAAGAGGGAAAATCATAGAGCTCAACTAACCATTTAATAAATTAATTCAATAATTATTTTTTAGGACCTACTTATTCCAACCACTATTCTAGGCACTAGAAGTACAGCCTTGAACAAGACAGGCTCGGTTCCTTGTCTTCATGGAGATGCATTCTAGCAGGGAGAGGAAAACAAATTGAAATATAACATGTCTGAGTCAGGCTGAGAACTCCAAAGAAAAAGAAAGCAGCACCGAGATAATAGAGTGTGCTGGAGAAGAAGAGTCAAGAAATGTCACCCTGAGAAGATGACATCTCAGCAGAGACCTGGAGAAAGTGAGGGAAGATCTGGAGGAAAACAGTCCAGACAGAGGGGACAGCAGTGCAAAGGCCCTAGGCTGGCTGCACTTCACATGTTTGAAAAACAGCAGCAGGGATGGGAGGAAATGAGGCCAGAGAGGTAATGGGGTTGGAGAGGGGACAAGATGACGTGGGCCTCATGGGCCACGAAGGATTCTGGAGTCCACTTTGTATGTGAGATAGGAGCCCACAGATGGTTCGAGCGGAGAGGTGCCATGACCCAACTTCCACCATTAAACAGTCCCTCCAGCTGCTATACTAGCAGACGGGGAGAGAAGCACAAAGACCAATTAGGAGGGAACTGCAGTTGTCCAGGCGGCAGATGACAGTGGCGTGGACTAGGGTGGTAGCAGCGGAGGGCATGAGAATGGTCTGATTCTGGATAAATTTCAAAGCAGGGCAGGGCTGACAGGATTTTAAAAGCTCCCCGGGAATGTGCCTGATGCCAGGTAGTCCTGGGCCTTACCAGATGCTGGTACTGGGTAGGCCAAAGGACAAACTGAATTTGGTCCAGGGACCCCCCCCAGCCTGGGCATGCAGGTCTGGGAGCTGCGTCTCTGCAGAGCTCCAGGCTGAAAGCTACGTGACTCTGTGTGGGAAGGGAGTGGGGGAAGCTCTCAGATCTGACTGGAAAGGGGATTCTCTCAGCAAGACTCACCACCCTGTGCCCCACTCCCCTCGCCACTGAAGGGCTGGGTGGCTCATGGGCAAATTGCTCCCGGCTTTCAAGGGTGGAAGGAGGAACTCCTTCATAAGGAAGCCCGGTGAGGCAGCTTGGTGATATGGGTTCAAGCCCTGGCTCTACTACCTCCTGTCTGTGGTCTCTGGGTCTGGGTCTCAGTCCTACATGGGTAAACAAGAATCATAATATGCCACCTGCAGGATTCTTATGAGGTTTTAAATGAATCAATATGGGCTGGGTGCAGTGGCTCACGCCTGTTATTCCCGGCACCTTGGGAGGCCGAGGCAGGAGGATCACTTGAGGTCAGCAGTTCGAGACCAGCCTGGCCAATGTGGTGAAACCTTGTCTCTACTAAAAATACAAAAATTAGCCAGGTGTGGTGGCACATACCTGTAGTCCCAGCTACATGGGAGGCAGAGGCAGGAGAATCACTTGAACCCAGGAGGCGGAGGTTGTGGTGAGTTGAGATCTCGCCACTGCACTCCAGCCTGGGCAACAGAGCAAGACTCTATCTCAAAAAAAAAAAAAAAAAAGAATTAACCTGGCCAACAGAATCAGAATACACCAACCATTCCTAGTTACAGCCTCCCTGGGCCTCTGTGTCCTCATCTACAAAATGCGAAGAATAACACCTTTTAGGGCTACCATGAGGATTAAAGCAAATAATGTGTAAAAAGTTTTGGTCACAGAAAAGTGCCTCACTGGTTGTGAAATTCCCTCCAGGCCCTTAAGTGATATTTGACGTGCTCTGATTGAATCCTCTTCCATACCAGCACCTCACCCTGCCAACTCTGCCACCTTTCCCTCTGCCCAGCCTGGGAGATAGCCAAGGCGTCAGGGAGACCCTCAGCTCTCTCTCCTCCCTCTGCCACATTCCTATCAGGCTCAGTACCAAGAAACCCTTTCTATGCAAGCCCCTGCAGGTAAATGATCAGCCATAGAAATCAGTTCCAAAGGCCTCAGAGAAATCAGGAGATACCAAAGGAAAATAAGGCAGTAGGCCAAAAAGAAAAGTGAATACCTTCTTCACTTTTCCTCTTTCCTACTATCTCTGGATGGACTTAAGGAAGGGGCTGGGTCGGGGCGGGCAGAGTGGGGGGCAGGCAGGAAACAATTCCTGCAGGTTCAGCAAAAGTCCCTGGCAGTTTTAAACATGTCCTCTGGCTCTACTCAACCAGAAACAACCAGCACCCATGGGTCATTCACAGAGATCCCAGCTCTCTCAGTTCCTGTGGCTCTCCTTGCTGGCAGAGTCATTGTGAAGAGCCACTGAGCATACAGTAGGCACTAGATAAATGGTGGTTACGTGAGTATAGAAATGAGCCAGGGACACTGTTTCCTTTCTTGTCTCTGGGCAACCTCCTGACACTAGATTGCAGACCATAAAAACTGCCCCAGCTGCAATGGTCTCAAATGGTTCCACTTGACATGCTTGCAAACATCAACACTCTGTCATACCCACAACCTCAGTTAAAGTTTAAAAGCCCTGCACAAGGACCTTTGGCAAGCCCTGTATATAAATGATCAGCCACAGAAATAAATCCCAAAGCCCTCAGAGAAATCAGGAGAGACCAAAGGAAAATAAGGCAATAGGCCAAAGAGAAAAGTGAAAGCCATCTCCATTTTCCCTCTTGCCTACTGTGTCTGGGTAGATTTAAGGAAGGGGGAGGAAACAAGGAGGTGCAAGGTGTTAGTATCAGATAATTATCTATGGCAGATAATTAAGTCCATGAGTAATTATGGTAAACTGTGGGGAACACAAGCTTAAGTATAAAGTAGATGTTTCCTCAAAGTCCTCTTCAACTGGGGACGATACACACATCAGTTTTATCAGCTTGAATTCACGGTCTTTCCCTATGGCCCCTACACCTGCCCCTAGAAGCACCAAGCACACAGGCCTGGAAGTCAGTCTTTCTCTGTCAGTAGGGTCAAGGCCACCAGGTGACAGGACTTCTGTGCACTGTGCAAAGCTGCGAGGAGGGCCAAGGTGTGGCAAGCAAGGTGGCCCTCAGCAGATGCCCCTTAGGAGGCCCTGGTGTCTGAGTGGAAGTGAGGGCTACCTGGAGTTGCAGTTCCAGGGGTCAGTTTTTAACTAGGTCCCCCAGGGACACTAATCACCCACTCTCTTCATCCCTTCTATTTTACAGCAGGAGTGCTGCCAGGCAGTAGTGGGGGCCACCTGCTTTCTCCTTGTTTGGAGGCCAACCCTCACCTGCTGCAGGGGAGCTCTCACTGGTGCCAACCTATGTCCAGCCCCACCCCTGCGGACATAGGTGGGGGCTGGAGTCTGAGTGAACACCAACCAGCATATTCCACCTTCCTCCCGTACAGCCTCAGAGGGCCCGGTCACAGCCCTGCTGGGACCCCTCCCTGGATCCTCTGAGAGGCCCATTCTGCAGGATCCTCTCTTCCAGTGTCCTAGAACACGACAGGCTCTCCTGGTTCTGCCTGTGCTATCCCTCTCCCAAAAACATCCAGACTCCCTTCTGTCAACCAACAAATCCCTGCTTGTTTCTCAAGATCCAGCTCGGGCTCTCCAACCCCAAGCCTCCCCTGGCCAGCCCTCCTCTGTGCCCCACCAGGCCCCATGCTTCCCTTCTCAAAGCATTTGCACAGTATCCTCTGGTCATTGACATGGCTGTGTCCCCACCAGAGCACAGGCTCCTGGGCTCCTTGAGGACACCAGTGTTGCTTTGATTCATTAACTGAGTGCCTACTATGTACAAGATGTATTCTACAGCAGTGAACACAACAGACAAAATGCCTGTCATGGAGCTAATATTCCAGTGACAATAAATATCCTACACACAGTAGTACTTTCTATATTCAAGACTATTCTGAGTACTTCCTATTAACTCATTTAATCCCTGCCACAATTATTACCATCCCCATTTTTCAGATGAGGAAACAGGCTCCAGAGTACACAACCTGCTCAGGATCACACCACAAGCTAGTCAGTGGCAGGGCTGGGATTCAAGCCGAGGCAACCACATAGCAGACCATGCTCCTGAGCACTGGGCCACTCTGGCTTTCAATGCTCTTTTCTCTACTCTGCTTCACTCTTGTTGGTATCTACTGTGCCCAGGCCAGTGCTTGGCACACATCCAGTGCTCAGTGAATGTCTGCTAAATGAAGGGACCCCTGAACAATGAGTGCCGGTCCCCTGCCTACAACACCCACACTGTCTCTCGTCCCCGCCCAATCCCAGTTCACAAGACCCCTGCACACACACCAAGTCTTCTGAGACTCATCCAGCCCCTGAACTGCTCCCTCCTGAGTGTTACTCTCCATGTAGCACCTGCACTATTATCCTGACAGTTAGTCACATGCCACCTGACCATCCTATCGCCTGAAGCATGTGGACATTTGCTTTGCCGGCTCCCTGATATCCCCCAGAGTATAACAAATATGATGTCAGGTAAATGGACTTAAAATTCAAAACTGAATCTGACCTCCCCTCTCCAGTCCTCCATCATCACTGGAGCTTTTTCTTCCTCTGCCCAGAGGAAGCAAGGCATGTCTCGAATCAAAAATAACCTTTGCTACAACTATATCCAGATTGCCTAAACCTATAAGCTATAACAGCCAAGGTCGTAATTAGGATGCAGGTGTGGTTAAAAACCACACGTAAAATTGGACATTTTAAAACCTTAGTTAAACCTATCAGGATGTTCATTGCCCTCCCTTAGAAAATGCCCAAAACTGAGAATCTGAGCTAACTGGACAGTATACACAGGTACGCTCTGTGTATATCAGAGTCCCTGCAGAAGTCAAGAAATTACCTAAATACATTTGGCCCACCATAGCCATTATAGAGAAAAGACAAAATATCTGCTGTTCATGGAAATAAATTATAAAATCTGTTGAACCATACTATGTTCTGGAGACTAAGTAGTTTACGTGTATTATTCTCATTTAATCTCTGCAAAAGACCTAAGGGGCAGATACCGGCATTTACCTCATTTTACAGAGGTTACATAACCTGGCAGAGTTCCATAGCCATGAAGTCTGGCTCCAAGCCTGTGTGCTCACCCATGACCCCATAGCTGCCCTATTTCAAGTCAGGAGTGAGAACAGCTGAACTGTGAGGGAGGCCAAGTCTGGTCAAAGGCCCTCAACATGGAGACAGTAGACTCTCAGGGGGGTGGTCCCTCCACCTATCCCATCTGAGAACCACACAGCAGGCAGGCAGGACTTCTCAGTGGAAAAGACCTATAACGTAGCCCCTGACAGCCTTGGGAATACAGGCCTGAGGTCACACCCAGTTCCAGAAAGGTTTCAGGTACACAGGGATGGGAGAGCCGGGAAATGCTTATAACCTGCAGGAAGGAAGTCAACAGCTTACGGTCCTCAGCCAGGACTGAGTTTCCTGTGCTGCAGAATGCTTCACATAACTTAAAAGCTGAATCTCAGAGGCCGGGCGCAGTGGCTCATGCCTGTAATCCCAGCACTTTGGGAGGCCGAGGCGGGCGGATCACGAGGTCACGAGATCGAGACCATCCTGGCTAACACGGTGAAACCCCGTCTCTACTAAAAATACAAAAAATTAGCTGGGCATGGTGGTGGTCGCCTGTGGTCCCAGCTACTCAGGAGGCTGAGGCAGGAGAATGGCGTGAACCTGGGAGGCAGAGCTTGCAGTGAGCCAAGATCGTGCCACTGCACTCCAGCCTGGGTGACACAGCAAGACTCCGTCTCAAAAAAAAAAAAAGTTGAATCTCAGAGTGGTTCTCTACCCTGTGGGTATCAGCTTCAAGTTCAGCCAGGTCCCAGCCTGGAGCTACCAGGCCCAAGCAAGCCCTTTTTCTGCCTCACACAGCATGGACTGATTTGTGGACACATCAGGACTGAGTGGAGTCCCCTGCCCCAAGGCTGTGCTTCTGGGCCAAGGTCATTTCTGTATTCACCCCAGGTCACCACTGCTCCCATCACCACCCCTCTAACAATACCCCTGAGGTGCCTATAGGGACTTCAGAGAGAAAAGCCTCCAATCTTCTCTCTGCTCCACCCCATAGTCTACCTCCTCCTCCTCCCATCAGAAATGTCCATGGACAAGGAGGTGAGCAATGACCCCAGAGTCTTCAGGAAAGCATTAGAGTGAGGTTTTCATGCTGAGTCTCAAAATGCCAAACCCTTCCACTGTGAAGAAGAGCCCATTTTCCCAATATTCTCTTAACTTTGTCTGAGTGGGGCTAGGGTGGGGGTTCCATCTCTAGAGGGAGTCAAGTCCAAAACAAAGACCGGCAATCTGTCTCCTCTCTCAGACCCCAGAAACAGGAGGGAGAATGCAGCTAACCAGACAGTGACTTCCTTCACTCACCTGGCACTCGATGGGCAGGAGGCAAGATAGCAAGACCCCAAAGCCTGCCTCAGCTAGCCTCTGAGCTCCAGGTCTCTGAGCCCCAGCACAGCCTATACCCTCCCTCAGGGGCTCTCTGCAACACCTGGGGGCTTCTCTACAGGTGCATGTGCTGGGGGGAGAGGTGACAATTCCTACTAAACCCAAAAGGGGTTGCTGACTCGACAGAAGGCCGCATGCAGTTTGCTTCCAGTGAGTCCCAGACTAACAGCCCTGGCTACACCCTCTCTTCCCTCACCATGCCCATGGACTCTGACCTGTGCGAAGCTCGAGTGTCTTCCTGAAATAAACTGGAGCAGTCTCCACGGCACAGCCTGTCACAGAACATGGTGGAGACAGGCCAAGCTGGACAGAGAGAGACTATGAGAACCCCAGATAGGGAACGCTGGGTGACCCCAGCTCTGCCGCCTTACACCTGTGCATCCAATTACTGGACTCAACCTCCCTGAGCCTCAGTTTCCCCATCTGTAAAATGAGGATGATAACCGTACCTACCTTATAAGGTTGGCATGAGGATTAAAGGAGGCTGTGTCTGTGAAGCCCTTAGAACAGTGTACGTGTGAACAGTGTCAGTACCAGATAAACATTTGTAAAATAAACAAATAAGTAGAAGCCATTGGCTTCTCAGTGTGAGAGCCTCACAGCCCCACCCCTCAGCTCACTAGCACCCTTGAACTGAGCAAAACCCAACACGAACCTTCAGGAAAAAAACAAACAAACAAACTCTCAAACCTTTCCACTGACTCAAGGAGGCAATCAGCACCAACCAAGACCTCCCTCCCCAAGGAGCAACCTGGAAAGGCCTGGCAAGATTACCCCACAATTCTTACATCGTATGTCACTAGGCTCCTCAGACACATGCGGCTTTTGGAGTAAAGAGTGTACTTGGGGTTCTAATTTAAATATCTATGTATTCACAGAACAGGAAGCCAATTACTTTCCTTTCCCCAAAAGAATTAATATCCCCTCTGAATTTTCAAAACCATCCAGTGCCAAACACACAAACACGTCTACACATTTTCAGGTGAGAAGGGCTGGAAAAGTTGAAGCAAAAACCGACTGAGCTCTCTTCAGCTCCCATCTACACACCAAAGCTAAAAAAAATATTCAAAACCTCCATAAGTGGATATAATTTCAAGTACCACCAATTACATCTAGAAATGCATTAAGGGGTACAGTTATTATAGATATTTAGCTTCATAGCATTCAACCATATTTTTTTAAATCCCCAGGTCAAAATGTGTTGAAAAAAAAAAATCTTGCCAAACACTTTCTTTGGTGGGTAGGAAATCATTTCTCTTCCCTGGGACTCTGACCACTGACTTATCCCCCTCCTCCCAGCCTCACCATACAATCCCCCACTCACTCCCAACTCCAACCAGCCCTCTATCCTCGTATATCTGCAATTTCAGGAGGGTAATGGCAAATGTCAAATCAACCAACACACACCTATTTGGCTGAGCACTGTCTCTGTGCCTGACACTGTCCCCAGGGAGTTGGGGAGCTCTTCATGGCAACTGAGTCACAATCCTGGCCCTGCCCCATTCCCCCAGGACCAGCTCAGGGACAACTGCAATGTCAGACATCTCTATGACTTGCTCATCACTGCCACTGTCTGCCGGGACACATGTATTCTCCCACACAGAGGAAGCCTTCCCACTTCTCAGCTTAATTGCCTTCTGCTTGCCTTCTCTGGCTATTAATGTCAATCACTCAGAACAACTTGTCACCCCAGGCCCTCCTCTGCCTGCAGGATCTCTAAGTGGTCACGGGGTTCCAAGATGTGGAGCTGCACACCTACCCCCAGGCAGACATAGGCCTCATTCAGTGGTCACTCACAAGCTCAGTCCCACCATTTCTAACTGGGACTGACAGCATCATCTCAGCAGAGGTGAAGGCAGCACATTCCCAACCCACACTGAGAAAACCAGAGGCTCCCCAGGAACCTGGCTTCCCAGGCTCCCTCCTGGGTAACGGGGTGTACATTCAGACAGCTGTACCCCACTGATACTCTCTCAAAGCCTTTTGCACAGCTTAACCCAATGACTTTAGACAGATGTTCTTCTACAAGGAAAGAGACTCACAATGCCTGAGCACCTATCATGTGCTGAATAGCATGGTAGGAGCTTCAGACAGGCTATCGCATTTCATTCTTAAATAACACTAGGGAGAAAAATATATCATTATTCTAGAGACAGAGAAGCTGAAGCTCAGAGATGCTTCTACTTTCAGTGTCCATAAGAATCACCTGTGGAGCTTGTGATAAATGCTGACTCCCAGCCCCACCCCACAGAAGCTCTAATTCATGTCTACCCTCACTGCCCCTTACCAATCCTCTAATACAGACACCAGGGTTACTGCCTCCCCACAAAAGAACCAGATGCAAACCCTAATACTCACATGTGGGAATCCTCTCCACTGGAGGGGGGATATGGACAGGGAGTATAAATCAAATGTGTCAATCAATGGTAAGTACAAGAAACCTGTCTTTGTTTTTGTTTTTTTGAGACAGAGTCTCACTCTGTCACCCAGACTGAAGTGCAGTGGTGGAATCTCGGCTCACTGTAACCTCTGTCTCCCAGGTTCATGCAATTCTCGTGCCTCAGCCTCCCGAGTGGCTGGAATTAACAGGCATGCATCACCATACCCAACTAATTTTTTTTGTTTTTGTATTTTTAGTAGAGATGGGGTTTCACCATATTGGCCAGGCTGGTCTTGAACTCTTGACCTCAAGTGATCCACCTGCCTCAGCCTCCCAAAGTGCTCGGATTACAGGCATGAGCCATGACACTCCTCAAGAAACCTGTTCATCTTCTCTCTGGTTGGACACAGCCACACAGGGCTTCTGAGATGAGAAATAGTTTCTTTGACATTTGGCACCAATCATTTACTGCCCAGCTTCCTTTTAAAGACAAGTCTCAACAAGGAAGCACAATTCTTTCTCCCTCTGGCTAGCCTGACCTTAGGAGATCTCCCCAAAGAGAACCAACCACAGCTCCTCTGCCAACCAGGCCACATTTCACCTTAGGAAGGGGCTTCCTTCATAGGAGTAGTAGTGATAATGGCTAATTCCTATATAGCATGTACAAGTTGCCAGATACCATTCTAAGTTGATAGGTACAGTCATTGTCCCCATCTTACAGATGAAGAAACATCTAAAGACACAGAGAGGTTCAAGTGACCTGCCAAAGCTAAAAGCAGAGTGAGGATTTCAACCCAGGCACTCTGATCCCAGAATCCATGTTTTGTAAACACCATGTGGCACCACCCTATAGACAAAGGAATTCAGGGAGCCCTCTAGGGCATAGCTCCCATACACCACACTCCTGCAGCCAAGCTACTAGTGAAGGATTTTATCTAAGGTCTGTCCCTACTCCTCAACTCAGCACTAACCTCTCTGAGACCCAAACAGGCACACAGGTACCATGGCCCTCACCCCTAATCCCCAGCTCCTTCACATTTTCTGCATTGGTCTCTCCTGCCTTGGGCTGCTCACTGCTCTGCTCCATGGCTGCCTGGCCTTCCTTGGTCACCCTCCGAAGCTCCCCAGCCCCAGGCACCCATATTGGAACTGTCCAGCATTCCTCTCCTGTCTTGGACTGGGCACTGCTGGAGGGCAGAAACAGTGAGCTTCATTTCTCTCCCCAGCACCGAGTGTCTGGCATAGAGTAGCTGCTTAATTGGAGTCTGGTGACTGAACAGATAATTCCTTGATCAAAAGCCAACCAGCCTCCAATTAAACTGCTCCTCTAATAAGCTGCCCACCACCCCTCAAGATGGCCAACTCATTCCATCTGTGGACAGGCACAGACAGCTCAATTTGCAAGTGGAGAAGATATGATTGTTGCAAAGGTGAGTGAACGAACCTAAACCATTGCTCTGGCTCCCCTCTTCCGAGACGAGGACAAGCTCATCTCCCGCCTCACCCAGCGGGAGAGAACACAGGAAGCTGTGCAGCCAGTGGCCTTGGTACAGGGCTGGAATGGGATCTCTGGCCCCTCCATCCCCCAAGCATGCTGCTCCCCTTCCCTGCACCATAGAGTGTGATGTAGGAAGTCACGAGAGGTAGCCAGCAGCCCCAGGAAGAGACTGCACACTAACTCCAAGCTACAAGAGGTAGCCAGCAGCCCCAGGAAGAGACTGCACACTAACTCCAAGCTACAAGAGGTAGCCAGCAGCCCCAGGAAGAGACTGCACACTAACTCCAAGCTACAAGAGGTAGCCAGCAGCCCCAGGAAGAGACTGCACACTAACTCCAAGCTGTGAGACCTCAAGAGGGCGAGGCTCTGTCTTGGCAAAAAAGCCCCTGAGAAACCCTGAGAAAATTGGCTGTGATATTGGAAATGCTCTTCTGGCAGGACCTGAAAGAGACAGCCTGGCTCTAAGCAGGCTTAAGAAGCTCATAGGCCCCTAAGCTAAGGTCAGCTGACATCTGTGGCGGGAGAGGGTGCCTCTCCAGCTTGAGGAGGTCCACTTCCCAGAGCACCAGCGACTGGCTCACAGTTCTGTGTGGGGACTATGCACCATCCATCACTCTTCTACCCTGCCTTTCTGAGGGAGGCCCAAGGGGGCTTCTGCCTCACAGTCATCAGGGAAGGTGCAGGCAGAGAACTGCTTCTGAGGGATAACCCTAGAGGGAGGAATCAGTAGAGAGGGAGTTAGCTGGGCATGGCAGTGCACGCCTGTAGTCGCAGCTACTCAGGAGGCTGAGGCGGGGGCATTGCTTGAGCCCAGGAGTTTGAAGTTACAGTGAGCTGAGATGGTACCACTGCACCCCAGCCTGGGCAACAGAACAAAACCTCAACACTTAAAGAAAAAAAAAAAAGGAACAGAAAGAGTGATGATGAGAGCCACAAGGCACCATGTACCACGTAGAAACTGCATAGAATTTGGAGCCAAGAAGACTTCGGTTCAAGTCTTAAACCCCTCGGTGATGCTGGGGCCTTGGGAAGATCTATTAACCACCACTCCCTGCCCCCATCAGCCTCAAATGCCTGATCTGTAAAATGAGGACAATCAAAATATCTGCCTCTACAACAAATGCATTTTTCAACTAGAAAGCACCACGAAGATTATTATTGTTGACACCTGTGACGTGAGACGTGCCAGACAATGCATTTGTCCTTTAGTGGTCAGAGCCGATAACCAGGTGGCTGCACAGATTAAGAAGCAGACATCTGTGCAGACTTCTAACTGCCCAGTAAAGAGGTAAACCAGGGGCCACTCCTAACTCAGACTCACCCACTGTTAATATTTTGTCCCATTTGCTCTGTCATCCACTCCTTCCCCCCAACACAATTTTCCCCCACACCACTTAACTACTTAAGAGCAAATAACCTCAGTGTGTATTTCCAAGAATAAGGACATCCTTTAAGTACCAGAATAGTTGTGCCTTTTTTTTTTTTTTTTTTTTGTGATGGAGTTTCGCTCTTGTTGCCTAGGCTGGCATGCAATGGCGCAATTTCGGCTCACTGCAACCTCTGCCTCCCGTTCAAGCGATTCTCCTGCCTCAGTCTCCTGAGTAACTGGGATTACAGGCATGCGCCACAGTGCCCGGCTAATTTTGATATTTTTAGTAGAGATGGGGTTTCTCCATGTTGGTCAGGCTGGTCTCGAACTCCTGACCTCAGGTGATCCGCCCACTTTGGCATCCCAAAGTGCTGGGATTACACATGTGAGCCACCACACCCAGCCCAAGGTTGTGCAGTTTTTATTGGTCCAAACCAATTTCTGAGTTGAGTTCTACAGTTTGCATGCCCCTGACTCCGGCAATCCTAGTTCAAGGGCACCAGACTTCTGCAGCCAATGAATGCAATTAGGACTCAGAAGTCATGTCTTCACCCTGCCCCATAGCTGTGTGGATGTACAGAAGAGGAGCTCACATTTATTGGGCATTTACAATGTGCCAGTAAACGTGGCACTACTACTTGCTAAACCCTTTCCATCCATCAATTAACTCACATAATCCTCACATTTAACCCCATTTTACTGGTGAGGAAGTGAGGCTTAAAGAGAGCAGGTAACCTGCCAAGGTCAGGGAGCTGTATGTGGTGGAGGTGAATTAGAGTCTAGGTAGTCTGACTCCAAAGTCCACACACTTGGATACCGTCTCTTTACACATGCTGTCACCCACATCAAAAGCCCTTTTCATACATTTTTCTGCATGATGAAGTTGCCTAGCTGTGCTTTGGGCTTCAACAAAAACCAACCCTGCTGCCCAGGCCAGTATCCTGAAGAGGGCTGGATGAGACAGAGAAGTGATCCGGCACAACTCACAACTCAGTACAAGCAAAAGACAATCCAAGGTTACCACAACTGCTGATACTTTCCTTAAGTCCTCCTGTACATCCTGTTTGGAGATGTAGGGCCCAGAGAGGCTGAAAAGCCAACAAGGAGTCTCTCCGCACTCCTCTGTCACCTAAGACTGAACAGGGGGAACTCGCATTCCTCTGCCGGTACACATTTCTATTTAGAACACAAAGCAATAAACATGATGCATCTGGCCGAAGAATTGATTTGAAAGGAAGATATAAGAAAGGATTACATAATAAATTAAATTGAGGGTAAAGTCTCAATTAATTTTAGTCTGTCAATGAGTTTTTGGACAGAACCAACATTTAATGGCACTTCCTGCATCCAGTCTCCTAGGTGAGTTGGCCTTCATTCTGTTCTGCCATTAGACCTATGGCTGAAATGTCTGAGAAGCCTGGATATGAGGAACAATATGTCCAGGCCTCTCCCTTGAACTTTGAAGAAGCTGAGCTAATGCAGTATACACCTTTTTTTTCCTTTTTCTTTTTCTTTTTTTTTTTTAAGACACTGTTTCACTCTTGTCGCCCAGGCTGGAGTGCAATGGCGCAATCTCAGTTCACTGTAACCTCTGCCTCCTGGGTTCAAGTGATTCTCCTACCTCAGCCTCCCGAGTAGCTGGGATTACAGGCACGCACCACCATACCCAGCTAATTTTTGTATTTTTAGTAGAGATGAGGTTTCACCACATTGGCCAAGCTTGTCTTAAACTTCTGACCTCAGGTGATCTGCCCACCTCGGCCTCCCAAAGTGCTGGGATTACAAGCATGAGTCACCATGCCCAGCCCAGTATACAACTTTAGAGAAGTCACTTTACCCCTCTGAGCCCAAATTCCCGCACTAAAAAAATGCAATAATTATGGGACAAACCAGAGAATGTTCGTGAAATACTCTGTAAATGATAAAACATTAACTCAAAATATTTCTCATTTCAGAAAATTGAAAAGCAAATGTTTTGACAGCCATTTAAAAACAACAGGCAAATACAACCATATTCCTCCGTGTTTTTCCCTCTGCCAATATTTACTTAAGATACCTGCCAGTTTGCTGAGATGATGCTGTCTTACACTGAGCAAAGAGATTCAAACCTGTGCTGTCCTCTGAAGATAGAAAACAAGAGCAGGTACCTCACTGAATTGCCAAATATTCCACATATTGAGGCTGAAAAGCCAACAAGCAGTCTTCCTACAGCCCTCTGTCACCTCAGACTTAACGGGGGGGGTAAACTGGCATCTCCCTGCCCCTGCACACGTTTCTGTTTAAAGTGCTGTCTTAATTTTTTTCCAAAGTTCTCAATTTAGGAAGCACCAAATTTACTCCCATAGACATCAAAAGAGAATGGAGGCTGGGCCCGGTGGCCCACGCCTGTAATCCCAGCACTTCCAGGAGGCCAAGGTGGGCAGATTACTTGAGGTCAGGAGTTTGAGACCAGCCTGGCCAACATGGTGAAACCCCGTCTCTACTAAAGATACAAAAATTAGCCAGGCGTGGTGGTGGGTGTCTGTAATCCCAGCTACCCAGGAGGCTGAGGCAAGAGAATTGCTTGAACCCAGGAGGCAGAGGTTGCAGTGAGCTGAGATCATGCCACTGCAGTCTAGCCTAGGTGACAGAGCAAAACTCTGTCTCAAAACAAAAAAAGAAAGAGAGAGAGAGAGAATGGAGAGGGTGCCATCAAGGCACAAGAAACCTACACCCACCCTCATCACATGAAAACACCTCTTCCCAACCCAGCATCTGTCCTATCTCTAAAACACACTCCTCTCATGGGTAAAGAGCCTTAAAAAGCAACTTGCAACCATTTTTCTTAAAGACGTTTCCTTAAAGAAGTTTCTTTTTGGAGATGTGGTATAAATCATGGCTCCTAATCCTTCCTTTCGCTTTCTAAACAACACTCACTGTTTTTCCTTTCCCACAGAACCTAACGTTTAAATCCATGAACCAGTTTTTACCCTTGAAAATGCAACCAGGAAGTGAAATATAAAGCATGGGATTCTGCCAAAACTTGCCAAGCTGGGAAAACCTTTCTTAACCTTCAATGAGGGGGTTCAGAATTTCTATTTTAGTATATATGTAAGCTGCTAGTTTCCCAGAAATTCTTTGTGGGACTATTACCCCCAGGTTTGAAATAAAGTTTCTGGGACTGCTGTTCCCAGCAACATCTCAATAAGAAGGATGACAAATAAGGCTGGGCATGGTGGCTCATGCCTGTAATCCCAGCACTTTAGGAAGCCAAGGCGGGTGGACAGCCTGAGGTCAGGAGTTCAAGACCAGCCTGACCAACATGTGAAACCCCGTCTCTACTAAATTACCCGGGCATGGTGGTGGGCGCCTGTAACACCAGCTACAAGGGAAGCGGAGGTTGCAGTGAGCCGAGATCACACCACTGCACTCCAGCCTGGGCAACAAGAATGAAACTCCATCTAAAAAAAAAAAAAAAACGTCCAGGCACGGTGGCTCACACCTGTAATCCTAGCACTCTGGGAGGCCAAGGCAGGCGGATTGCCTGAGGTTAGGAGTTCAAGGCCAGCTTGGCTAACATGGTGAAACCCCATCTGTACTAAAAATACAAAAAAATAGCCAGGCATGGTGGCGCATGCCTGTAGTCCCAGCTACTCAGGAGGCTGAGGTGGAAGAATCGCTTGAACCCGGGAAGCAGAGGTGCAGTGAGCCGAGATGCCGCCACTGCACTCCAGCCTGGGTGACACAGCAAGACTCAGTCTCAAAAAAAAAAAAAAAGGAAGATGATATATAAGTGAATCAATAGGTTTGACATTCTACAAGATAAATTTCACTGCCATGAAGTTCAACATTTATCTAGGGAGGAAAATATAGAAGACAGGACAGACTCCTTCCTAGGGGTGGCCCAGAAGACTGTCGGTTGGGTGAGGTCATAATTAAGGGCAGCCTCCTGGGCTGTCCAGTATTCACTGGCTTTCCTAAGGGCCTTCTAGGCCTGGTGTCTACAAAATCCCCAACTGAACATCTGTCACATTTGGTTCATCCTTCACTCTCCAACTCCCTTTGATTTCAGACTAAAAAATGGGTTGCTGAATACAAAACACACACCCTTGATACTTGGCATTATCTCCAGAGGTAACCTTCTGAAGGACTCATGCCTGGTCCCCACTCCCTGCCTCGGAGGACCAGGTTCTTAACTGCCCACTCCCAGCCTCCTGGAGCCCTAAGCCCTGCCTGGGCTCCCTGCTCCTCCCTGCTGCCCAGGGGGGCATGGATACAGGTGCTTGTGCTCTATGGTGTCTTGGAGTGGGGCATGGTGGTGGCAACTCCTAGCATATGAGGTAAATGCACTGATATTCACATTTAAAACATTATATTCTACAATATAGAAATAACTATAAAATTTATGCTAATAATTTAAACTTAATTTTTCTTTATGTAGAATTACATTAAATAGAAAAAAAAATTTTTTTTTTGAGACAGAGTTTTACTCTTGTTGCCTAGGCTGGAGTGCAATGGTGCAATCTTGGCTCACCGCAACCTTCACCTCCTGGGTTCAAGCGTTCCTCCTGGCTCAGCCTCCCAAGTAGCTGGGATTACAGGCACTCGCCACCATGCCCATAAATAGCAATTTTATTTTTTTTTAAATGACAAGTCAAGGGAAAAACTACAGAAGAACAAAATTTTACATTTTAGGATCTCTAAAGATGCTTTTTTTTTTTTTTTTTGAGACAGAGTCTCATTCTGTCGCCCAGGCTGGAGTGCAGTGGCGTGAGCTCAGTTCACGGCAACCTCCGCTTCCCAAGCTCAAGTGATCCTCCCACCTCAGCCTCCCTAATAGCTGGGACTATGGCCATGCACCATCACACCCGGCTAAGTTTTGTATTTTTTGTAAAGATAGGGTTTTACCATGTTGCCCAGGCTAGTCTCAAATTCCTGAGCCCAAGCAATCCTCCTGCTTTGGCCATTCAAAGTGCTGGGATTACTGGGTGTGAACCACCACGCCCGGCCTAAAGATATTCAGTTGGTGCAAAAGTAATTGCAGTTTTTACCATTAAAAGTAATAGCACTAACCGCAATTACATTTGCACCAAGCTAATACTTTTTCCTTCTTTTTCAATAAGGAGCCTTGCATTTTCATTTTACACTGAGGCTCTGCAAATTATGTAGCCAGTCCTGCCCCTAGGACCTGCTTCAGGTCCTAGGGGAGGGGAAAGTTAGCCTTACTCCAAGCCTCAGAAATGTCTTTCCCAGAGTCTAGCTGTCCTCACTTGGGGACAGGCACCCACAAGAAGAAAGTACCTACACAGGGTGGCTCCACACAACCCCAAAGCTAAAACTGAGAAACCTGAAGCTAGAAAGGGTCTTGTGCAATCAGCTGGTTCCTGCCAGCACCCTTGTGCCAAGTCACAGATGATGCCAAGGGCCCAGCAGCCAGGGAAGGAAGACAGCCTAGTCCAGTAGCCAACAGGTATCCCAGTCCCAGATGCAGAGCAATAAGGATATGAAATGAAGACGCAGAGGAGGCCGTTTGAGCCTCCACCAGCCAGCTTCCTGCTTTGAGCATTGTTCTCAACAGCAAGCGACTGTATCCAAGAAGCCTGGGTCTAGGCACCAGCCTTGACAGGCCTGTTCCTGGCTGTTGAGCTTCTCTCACCTTGCTTATTCTCCTCCACCCCAATCTCCTTCCCAGTAAGGAGTTTTCCAAGACCTGGAATACCTAGAAAACTCATTGGGTCTCTTTAAAACACTGATTCCTCAAGAGATGCCAAGTGCCTACTCAGCTCCCAGCCCTGGGCTGGGTGCCTAAGTCACAGAAGTGGGGAATAAGATGCCTGCCTTCAAGGAACAGCCTTGGCACAGGCAAGGTGGCTGAGCCCCTCTTCTCTGCCATCTCCTCATTGCCTCATGACCTATTTAATGCCTGCTGTAGGGGGAACGGAATTCACAAGGTTCCATGAAACCCCTGAAGAGCAGCCCAGTGTAATACTCTAACTCCCATGGCCTCTTCTAGAAACTTCTCCCTCATAGGTCCCATGTTTGAAAAAGCTGTGTCTGCCAAATTGTATTTACTAATAATCAATGTCTTCAATTTCTTACTAATCAGAGACATGTACCACCCCTAATCAACATAGGAGACCAGGGGGTACTGCCCTTCCAAAGTACCTCAATCCCCAGAAAAAGCAAAGATGGAGTCTGGCCCCATAAGCCTTGGGGAAGCCTAACTCAGAGCAATGGCATATGGGCATTCATCTCCTTCAAGATGCATGGCCTGGGGTAGGAGCTACCACTACTACTGTGGCTATCACATGAGGGACCAAAGACCTATGTTCCAGTCCCAGCTCTAACACTTCAGCAAAATCATTGAACCTTCATGGACCTGAGTTTCATCATCTGAAGAATGGGGATGATTCTTCCCCTCCTGCCTCCAGGGGCTGCTATAAGGATCAAATAAGAAAAGACACAAGAAAAAAAACCATCTGCTATAGGAATGTCCAGGATTACGGCAAGATTCTATGTCTGTAAAACGAAACTAGTAGTAGTTCCTACCTCATCAAACTATTGTGAGAATTAAATCAATGACAGTTACAGAACAGTTCCTAGCATTTTTCAAAGACCCAAAAAGATTAGGCTGTTATATAATTATTACTACTATTATTGCTACTTCTGTTAATGACACTATTATCACAATTACTATTATACCTTGCTACCCAGCTAAGGGATTCATAGTAGAGAAGTGCTAGAGTACAAAAAGTCTTCGTTTTATTTATTTATTTATTTATTTATTTACAGACAGGGTCTCACTCTGTCATCCAGGCTGGAGTACAGTATCACAATCATAGCTCATGGTAAACTCAGACTCCTGGGCTCAAGCAATCCTCACACTTAAGCCTCTCAAGTTGCTAGGATTACAGGAGCATACCACCATTAATTTTTTCATTTTTTGTACAGATGAGGCCTCTCCGTGTTGCCCAGGCTGATCTTGAACTCCTGGCCTCAAGTGATCCCCTCGCCTCCGCCTCCCAAAGTGTGGAATTGCAGGCATGAGCCACTATACCCAGCCAAAAAATCTTTTTAAAGGGGTTATCAACATCACTTAGTCTAGAACTGGGAGAACCAACAGTAGATTTCTTATACATTTTGTCCCTCATTAATGCAAAATTGAACAAAAAGTGCAGAAATCAAAACAAAAATTCACCTGCCTAACCTCAAGCTTTTCTGCTTCAAGAAATGGACTCCGAGGCCAGGCACAGTGGCTCATGCCTGTAATCCGAGCACTTTGGGAGGCTGAGGCAGGCGGATCACTTCAGGTCAGGAGTTTGAGACCAGCCTGGCCAACATGGTGAAACCCTGTCTCTACTAAAAATGCAAAAATTAGCCAGTCATGGTTGTGCACACCTGTAGTCCCAGCTACTTAGGGGGTGGCCGAGGCATGAGAATCACTTGAACCCAAGAGGCAGAGGTTGCAGTGAGCTGAGATCGTGCCACTGCACTCCAGCCTGGGCGACAGAGCAAAGCTGTCTTTAAAAAAAAAAAGAAAGAAAAAGAAAAGAAAGAAAAGAAATGGACTCTGGAGAGTATTAAAACATTTGCTGGCCAGGCATGGTGGCCTGCATTTGTAGTTCCAGCTACTTGGGAGGCTGAAGTGAGAGGATCACTTGGCCCCAGGAGTTCAAGGCTGCAGTGAGCTATGATTGCACCACTGCACTCCAGACTAGGAGACAGAGGAAGATTCTGTTTCTTAAAATTTTTTCAAAAATTAAAATGTTTTAATCTGCTAAATATGAGGAGCAACTGAATACATCCTGTAAAACCTCACACAACTTTCCTGTGCAAGGAGCCATTAGGAAAAATAAAATCAGCCATGTCAATGCTTTGTCGCTCTCACTTTATGAGCCAGATTAGAGGAGGCTCCTGCCCTCAACACAAAAATCAAACATTCAGAAATGCTCACGGCAAAGCTAAGAAATCAGACAACAGTAAAACATTTTTCATGTGGGGGGCGGGGGATGAGGGAGAGAACAATTACTCCCAAAACCCTTAAGTCTCTCAAAAAATTGTCACAGAAGGACGTCAGAAGTACAATCACCTGCCACAGGGCCCTGCCTTTGAGGGTAGGGAACACTGTCACACATTGCTTTTTCTAGGCCTGGGAGGAGTCAGCCAAGGCCCTGGGGGCACAGGAGCTCACTGTAGGAAAATCATTAGGGACCTCACAGACAAGTTACCATGGAAGAGTCAGCAAAGGTGTGGAAGGCTGTGCTCCAGCCTCCAGAGTCCCACACGCGGCCTCACACACCCAGCCCAAGGCTGCACCTGGTACTTTGGGACACTTGCAGCCCTTCCTCCCGCCAAATGAATGATGGGCCCTGCCCCTGGGTGACGCTAGTGAGATGCAGGCCATGGATCCCATCCCTCTCACCTTCTTAGAAACACTGCTCCAGCAACTGCCCCGTCTCTTTACTGCAGCATCGACTTCTTCCTCTCAGTGGGATCATTCCCATCAAAACAAACATGCTGTACAATCTCCCACCAAAAAAAAGAACCCTCCCTCAAACCCACATCCTCTCCAATTACCGGCTAATGTCTCAACTCCACTTTGCAACAAAACTACCTGGAAGATTTGCCTAACTGACTCCCTGTCTTCACCCCGTGTTTTATCTTCCACCTACTCCAGTCAGATTTTGTCCTTTAAGGCTTCTGTGACCATGCATTCTCCTGGGGTTTCTCCTACCTTCTCAGTCCTTCTCAGTCTCCTTGCTGGCTTCACCTCTCACCCCTCTAAACACTGCTTTGACCATCCAAAGCCTCAGAACATCTCTCTTCTGTCTGTACTCTCTTCCTAGGGGATTTCATCTAATCCCATGGCCTTGAATAACATCTATTATACCCAATGGGTCTCTTCTGTCCTCTCTCCCCACCAAGCTTCAGATCACACTATCTGACATACTCATATCTCAAATGTAAGATGGCAAAACAAGATCTCATGATTCTCCTCCACCCCAAACCGGCTCTTCCCATCTCAACGATATGAATGCTATCCACTCAGGTGCCCAAGCCCTGAGGAGTCATCTTTGCCTCTTCTCTTTCTCCCACAGACTATTCAGTCCATCATGAAGGTGTGAAGAGCCTATTTCCTAAACACAGCCTGAATGTGACCACTACTCCCTGTCTACTGTGCTACCACCCTCAGGCAAGCCACTTCTAACTCCTGCCTGGAAGAGGGCAACAGCCTCAGCTGCTCTCCTGCCTCCCCCTGCAGTGGCCACCTACAATCCAATCTCCTCACAGTGATCGTTCTAAAAACACACACCAAATCATGCCATTTCCCTGCTTAAAACCCTCCAATGACGTTTCACTGGGCTTAGAATAAAGTATGAAAATTCCTCACCCCGGCTCACAAAGCTTTGCGGCATTTACCTTTCTCCTACCTGTGACCTCTCCTCATGCCACTTTCTCCCTTGTGCACCACATTCCAGCCTTCCTGCTCCTTAAACTCCAAGCTCTTTTCTGCCTTAAGCCCTTGCCCTGGCTGTTCGCTCTTCCCGAAATGCTTTGCCAACTCATCATCACATGATGTCTCCTTCTTGTCATTCAAATTTTACTTTAAATGTTGCCTATTCAGAAACACCATCCCGATCTCCCAGTACAACCAAGCCACCCAGTCACTCCATGTCACATCACCTTATTTTAACTTTCTGCACAGTAGTAACCACGATCTGATATTATTATTTGTGTTTTTTACTTATTTTCTACTCCCTTCCCTCTCCTATTAGATTGCAAGCTCCATGAGCACCTAGAACTTTTCTGTTTTTTGTTCCCAATGCCTAGAACAACGTGTGAACGTGTGGCACACAGGAAAATTGTAATAACATCAACTGATGCAGTTATGAGCCAGAGAGGCCCACTGACAGCAAGACTCTGATGGCCCCAGCCAACTCCCCAACTTCACATACACACATATGAGGCAGGGCAATAGAACCGCAGCAAGGCCCTAGTCCTTAGGTCTGTAAATCTCACCCATCAGTATTTTCAACTATTATGCAAGAACCCAAACCAGAAAAGGAGGTTCCGGGGTTTTCTTGAAATAGGCTGCTTTATTCCTAACAGTAGTAGTTCTGACTCACAGTCGCCGAGGTACACCCAGTCAGTACTAGTCAGACCACCGTCCAGACCTTTGGCGAGCTGATTCATTCAGTGAACAAACATTTACCGAGTGCCTACTTGCTGTCCGGCACTGGGGCAAGGGGTCAAAGGCAGTGTCTGGCCTCCCGGAGCTCAGCAGGCAGAGGGAAACACGCTGCAACACAGACTCCCGCCGGAGTGGGAAAGCAAAGCCTGTACTGGCATAGGAGCCTGACCCGCGCCTTCACTTACTGCGCCCCAATCTGACATGGACTGATCCTACAGACCCAGGGTAACCTGGCTGGTGCGCCAACACTCCGGGGCTTTTGCGGAAAAGTCGCCCGTGGACTAACGGAAGCACCAGCAATCCCCCGGTTCAGCTCCGGCCGAAGAGACGCGGAGCGCTCGAGGAAAGTCATTGGTTGACCAGTTCCCTTCCCCACCCCCTCCCTCCCCGCAGGCCCGCGCAGTGGATGGAGGCCGGGGGCGAGGTTCCGACTCTCCAAGACCATCCCAGAGCCTGCGGCGGGAGAGGGGGCGTCCTCCTAAGCGAGATTCCCCTAGTCTCTCCCTCTCCCCACTCCAACCCCGCAGGCCCACACCAGGACAGAACTTCTCGTTCTACTCCTCCCACCCGAGCCCATCCAGGTCCCGGCACTCGCCTCTCCCGGCGGGGCGCAGCCCCAGACCCTAGAGGGGAGGCGTGCCCAGCCCGCACACCAGCACCCGAATCCAGCCGGATTGCAAGGTCCAGGGCGCAGAGTCTGCGGCCTCTTCCCCCCCGGCCCAGGTCCCCAGCGTAGGTGCGGCCCCCACCGCCTTCCTCTCGGAGGCCGCCAAACAACTTGGGCACACAAAACGTTGAGTGTGGCCGCGGCGCAGCGCGCGCCAACGAGCCCGGGCCGGCGGGAGCAGAGGAAGGGCGGGGCGCCCGGCGGGAACGGGGAGGGACCCCCCCCCCGCGGCACAGGTGCGAGCGCGGCGGCCCCACTCACTCACTCGATGAAGTAGCTGGCGCCCTCCTCCGTGAAGCCCTCCTCCCAGCCGCGGGGCAGGTCTGCGGAAACGCCAGAAAAGTCGGGTCAAACTTGGGCCGCCGCTGCGCGCGCCCCCCACCCGCCGGCCCGGCGCCCACCTGAGCGGATCATGTGGCCCGAGTTGACGGGCTCCCCGGTGCGCGGATGCAGCCAGGTCGTGCAGCGGAGCTGGTCACTGCGGGCAGAGAGGTGCACCTGTTAGCGCCGCCACAGCCCGCCGGGTGCCCGCCCGGCCCCCGCCCCCGCGCCCCCACCCGCGTCCCCGCGTCCCCGGGTCCTCGCGCCGCACTTGATGAAGAAGACGCGGCCATCCCGGCACACCCCGTAGGACCAATGCTCAGGTAAAGTGTCCCGCCCGACCGTCGCCGCCGCCATGTTCGCCGAGCGCGGAGCCGCCGCGGGGTGGGGGGGAGGGGGCGGGGGCGCGGGCAGGGGCGGAGGCGGGGGCGGTGGCGGGGGCTCGGCCTGCGCGTGGCCCGGCGGCGCCGCGAGGCGCTCCATCCAGGCGCGGGCTCCTGAGGGAGCGACCGCCCGGCCGGGTCCTGGCGCCCGGAGTTCGCAGCCGCTCCGGCCAACCCAGCGCAGTGCCCGCGGCCTTTGTCCCCGAGCCTTCCCCGCCCCCAGCCTGCTGGCACCGGCGCTCCCCTTTGCCCCCGAGGCCGGGAGACCCGGGCGGCGCGGGGGGCCGCTGGCGGGGGCCGCTGGCGGGCGCGCCTGGGCAGCTTCGGGGCGCGCGGTTGGACCCGACCAACTCCGAAAACGGCGAGCGCCCGAACGCTCAGTAAACCCCAGCCGACCCGCACCACAGAACTTCCCGACCCGGGAACTCCGCTTGTGTGTGAACCAAGTTAACACTCAGGTTCCTGCCATATTCCCAGCCTCCTTCTCTTCCCCTGTAAGGTTAATCGAGTCCACACGGGATTGTTGTGTAGATTAAATGAAGTAACAATCGCATAAAGTGCTTAACCGGACCATGGCATGTAGTAGGTGCTCTATCAACGGCAGGCCGAGCGCGATTTCATTTTCCCAAGTTTTCAGCTGGGATGTGAAACAGGAGGGAGCAGGGTTACCGCCACACACCACTGAGGTTGCAGGGATCGCAAGCTCTTGCCTTCAGTTTCTGTCAAGTAACAGAAAAAAGGGGTTTTGAGGGCTCGGCAGCACGTCCATCTCTGGAAGAGCGGTGGCCAGGCGGGGCCTCTAGGGGGCCCTGCAAAGCTCTTTGCAGTGGCGGCACCCTCTCATATTCGGGTCTTTACTCCTATCTTATCTCCTCGGGGAGCCCTCCCTGAGCCCTCTGCAAAGAAAATCCTTCCCCTCCTTCCCTCGCTATTTCATTACTTGTTTACATTTAATTGATATTTGTGTTTGTCTTGTTTGTTGTATATTAGTTCCAACATGTCAGCTGGATGAGAGAAGGGGCTTTGATCTACCTCATACACTGCCTGGTCTCCAATGCCTGGAACAGCACCTGACTCATGTATGCATTACGCATTCAATAACTGTAGGATGGGGTGGGGCACGGTGGCTCAGGCCTGTAATCCCAGCACTCTTGGAGGCCGAGGCGGGTGAATCACTTGAGGTCAGGAGTTCTATTCCAGCCTGGCCAACATGGTGAAACCCCGTCTCTACCAAAAAAATACAAAAGCTAGCCGGGCGTGGTGGCGGGCGCCTGTAATCCCAGCTACTCAGGAGGCTGAGGCGGGAAAATCGCTTGAACCAGGGAGGCAGAGGTTGCAGTGAGCCGAGATCGCGCCGCTGCCCTGCAACCTGTGCAACAGCGAGACTCAGTCTAAAAAAAAAAACTGCAGGATGAGTGAATGAAACATACTCCACACTCAGACTCCCGGCCACACACACACACACACACACACACACACACTGAGCAAAGACAGAGCAGCAGCTGGGCTCCAGCTGTTGTCAGGCCCAGCCTTCTCGGGACATAGGCTCTGATTGATGGGAGGAGGCGCGCCTGAAAGTGAGACTGTATGCAATGTGAGCACTAGTTATTCAGAAAGGTGCCCAAACAGGTGGAATTAGGCTGGACCCTGAAGGACTGGTTAGGTTTGACTGGGAAAAGAGCACTCCAGAGGGGAGGGATGGGAGAGCATGCACATAATTTTGGGAGGGCTGTGAGATGTTGATGAGACCATAAAGGGGCCCTTCCTTGGGAACAGACAGTGGTGTTGGGGAAGGAGGCATTTATGAGTTAGAAGAGGTAACTGGTTGCAGAGGACGGGGGACACCTGTCTGAAGGAACCTCCTGCCTCTGAGGAGGTTGTTGAGCAAATGAAAATAGGAAAGCGGTGTTTTGCTAGCTAAACATTGATTTTAAATAATACATTAAATGGGCAAAGGGTATGAACCCACAGTTAATAGAAAAGTAATACAGATAACTTTTAAGCAAATGAAAAGATACTGAGCCACTTCATAATAGAAGAACTGCAACTTACGGTGAAATACTATTTTTTTAGATGTCAGATTGGAAAAGATAAATTAGAAAAGATATTGGCCAGGCGTGGTGGCTCACGCCTGTAATCCCAGCACTTTGGGAGGCTGAGGCGGGTGGATCGCTTGAGATCAGCAATTCGAGACCAGCCTGGCCAACATGGTGAAACCTTGTCTCTACTAAAAACACAAAAATTAACTGGGCATGGTGGTGCATGCCTGTAATCCCAGCTACTTGGGAGGCTGAGGCAGGAGAATCACTTGAACCCTAGAGGTGGAGGTTTCAGTGAGCAGAGATCACGCCACTGCACTCCAGCCTGGGTGACAGAGTGAAACTCTGTCTCATAAAAGAAAGAAAGAAAAGATATTGTAGAGAAAGACATTCTTGTTCATTGTTGATGGGACTTTAAAATGTTTGAGCCTCTTCGAAGGCAATTTGGCACAGCTATTCCAACCTCAATGTCTTGACCTAGCAATTTCATGTCAGGAATTTATCCTACATTAGTGCTTACATGGGGCACAAATTCCAGTGTACTAGAGTATTCACTGCAGCATTGTCAGTAATTACAAAGAACTGGAAATAACCTTAATGTCTATCAAAAAAGACCTGGTTGATTAAACTGGCACATTCCTCAACAACAACAACAACAAAAACAGAATGCTATGCAAGCTGTAAAAAAGAATGAGAATAGATCCCTACGTACTGATATAGAATGGTCTGTAAGATATTAAATGGGCCAGATGCAGTGGCTTGTACCTATAATCCCAGTACTTTGGGAGGCTGAAACATGAGGATGGCTTGAGTCCAGGAATTCAAGACCAGCCTGGGCAACATGGCAAAACTCCATCTCTACAAAAGATACATTAGCCAGGCATGGGGCGCATACCTATAGTTACAGCTACTTGGGAGGCTGAGGTGGGAGGATCACTTGAGCCCTGGAAGTTGAGGCTTCAATGAGCTATGATTGGGCCACTACACTCTATTCTGGGTGACAGAGCAAGACATCATCTCTAAATAAATAAATAAATAAAGTGAAAAGGCAGGCTACAGTACTGTGCATGTGATATGCTACTGTTAACATACAGATATAGTCCCTACACTGTCAAGAATCAGGTAAAGTGATTGCCTCTGAGGAGGGAAACTCTAATAGGAATGGTACGAGATTTACTTTACCTTGTTTCCCCTTTCATACTGTTTGATCTTTTTATCATTTAAAACATATACATATAGATACATAGAATAATACAATTCATTAATAGGTCCAATAAGAGACACACTGAAATTATCTCAATAAATGCCAAAATATGTAATCAATAAAACTCAATGCCTATCACTGATTTTCAAAATTATATGTTAGAAACTAAAATAAAAAATAGTGACAAAAGAGTATGCAGAGAAACTTTATGTCTCATACATTGCTAGTGGGATGTAAAATGGTACAGCCACTCTGAAGAATAGTTTGGCAGTTTCTTTAAAAAGGAAACTTTTTTTTTTTTGAGCCAGAGTCTCACTCTGTCACCCAGGCTGGAGTGCAGCAGCACAATCTCAGCTCACTGCAACCTCTGTCTCCTGGGTTCAAGCAATTCTCCTGCCTCAGCCTCCCGAGTAGCTGGAATCACAGGCATATGCCACCAAGCCCAGCTAATTTTTGTGTTTTTAGCAGAGTCAGGGTTTCACCATGTTGGCCAGGCTGGTCTTGAATTCCTGACCTCAAATGATTCACCCACCTCAGCCTCCCAAAGTGCTGGGATTACAGGTGCAAGCCACTGAGACCAGCCAAAAACTAAACACTTACTTACCATATAACCCAGTATTCACACTCCTAGGCATTTATCCCAGAAAAATGAAACATTTTTCCACATAAAAACTTGTACATAATTATTCACAGCAACTTTACTTGTAATAGGGAAAAACTGGAAATAAGCAAATGTCCTATGATAGGTAAATGGTTAAACAACTGTGATATATCTATACCATGGAATAAAACTCAGTAATGAAAAGGAATTGATACATACAACTTGGATGGATCTCAAGACATTATGTTGAGAAAAAAAAAAAGCCAATCTGAAAAGGTCTATAATGTTCTCAAAATATATTTTTTTTAAATGTAGAGATGGCGAACTGATTATTAGTGGTTGCCAGGAGTTAGGGATGGTGGTGGGGAGTGGGAGGATGTAAGGATGTAACTACAAGGGAATAGCATGAGGGAGATCTTTGTAGTGATGAAATAATTCTATATTTTTCTGGGGTTTTGTGTTTTGTTTTTGTTGTTGTCGTTGTTGTTGTTTTTGAGACAGAGCCTCCTTCTGTCACCCAGACTAAAGTGCTGTGGTACAATCTCGGCTCACTGCAAACTCCACCACCAGGTTTAAGCTATTCTCATGCCTCAGCCCCCCCAAGTAGCTGGGATTACAGGCACACACCACCACGCCTGGCTAATTTTTTTGTATTTTTAGTAGAGCCAGGGTTTCACCATGTTGGCCAGGCTGGTCTTGAACTCCTGGCCTCAAGTGATCCACCCTCCTTGGCCTGCCAAAGTACTAGGATTACAGGCATGAGCCACTGCACTGACCATAATTCTTTATCTTGACTGCAATCATAGTTATACACAAATTGACACTCAAATAAAATAACAGAAGTATATAAACACATTGTATCAATGTCAGTTTCCTGGTTTTGATATTGTTCTGTAGTTTAATAAGATGTAACCATTGGGGGAAACTGAGTGAAGGGTAAACAGAGACCTCTCTATTATCTTTGCAAATTCATGTGTCTATAATTATCTCAAAATTAAAAATTATTTTAAAATGTGTTAGAAAATTACAAATAACCAAATGTTTCTTTTGAGAGTATCTCTCTTAGACAAACAGAAACATTCTTTAACAATGAAACATTAAAGACCAAAGATCATATGGCTAGTTATGTAACATAGACCAGACTCCAACACCTGTCCAGGGCCCTTTCCAGCCTAATTATCTCAGGACAAAGCACCATCAACTGTGATAATAGGCACTTTTTGTACAGAGGCTCTTTCTCTTGATTGGCCCTGGTGAAGGACTTTATTTTACACTAGATGCTCGTGATGTACATGGCACTAAGCCATCAACTTAAATGCAAAATAGTCCATGTTCAGAAATAAATCAAAATGTGATTCAGTCAACCAAACATGTGCCCAGGAATTTTCAGCTTCCGGGTAACCAATAATTCGTTACTCTCTTGTAAAAAGTCTCCTTTACTCTCAAGGAGACAGCATGGCATGATGGAAGAGCATGGCCTTTGGGGTCAAACAGATCTGGGTTGGACTCAGGGTGCTGCCCTCTCACTAAGTTCTGTGACCTTGGACACACCACATATCCTTATTTATTGAACATCTGTTGGTAGTAGATACTACAACATTCTAGCACTTCAATGGTCTATACACCATGGTCCCCACCCTAGGGCGTTCTCAGTATTGTGGAGAAGTGGATGCTTTAAATGCTGGAAGACAAGAGCTGCTCTGGAGCAAGCAGGGTTGGGGGTGGAGGAACACTGCAGGTACCTGAGGATAGAACACAATCAATGACTCCAACCTGAAGATAGAACACCCAGCATAGTCCTTGATGTTAGCCCCGCTCCTTTCCCACCTGCGATGGTGGTTGTAAAACTAGCCCTATACATTATATTTTTTAAAAAATAAATGTTTTTTGAGACAGTCTCACTCTGTTGCCTAGGCCGGAGTGCAGCAGCAAGATAACGGCTCATTGCAGCCCAGGCTCCTAAGTTCAAGTGATCCTCCCATCTCAGCCTCCTGAGTAGCTGGGTCTACATGTGGGTGCCACCACATCCAGCTAATTTTTGTATTTGTTGAAGAGACAGGGTTTTGCCATGTTGCCCAGGCTGCTCTCAAATTCTTGAGCTCAAGCGATCTGCCCGCCTCAGCCTCCTAAAGTTTTGGGATTATAGGTGTCAGCCACTGTGTGAGGCCTATAAAATTAATTATTGTTATTATTTTTTTCAGATGGAGTTTCACTCTTGTTGCCCAAGCTAGAGTGCAGTGGCACAATCTCGGCTCAATGCAACCTCCGCCTCCAGAGTTCAAGCAATTCTCCTGCCTCAGCCTCCCGAGTAGCTGGGATTACAGGCAAGTGCCACCATGCCAGGCTAATTTTGTATTTTTAGTAGAGACAGGGTTTCTCCATGTTGGTCAGGCTGGTCTCGAATTCCCGACCTCAGGTGATCCACCCGCCTTGGTCTCCCAAAGTGCTGGGATTACAGGCATGAGCCACTGCGCCTGGCCAAAATTAATTTTTAAAAAGATGAGAAAGAAAAACAAACCAATTGGTAGTCCACTCAGTATGAATCATGAGATCAACTTGTTCTCTGACCTGCTTCTTCATAGTTATTTGGTGTCTATTGTTCTGGAATCACATAGACCCTGGACTGTAGACCCTGGAATCACATAGACCCTGGACTATAATGTTTATAGACAACTTAAACATTATAAAATGTTAAGTTTTTCCTTTGAAATAGTACTTCAGGTCCTACATACTAATAAAACTACTGACTCTACTGGTCTGAAGGACCCCATGAAGAGCTGACTCACCAAAGAATGCAGTTTCCACATCCTGAGCTTTTCATCCCCCCCGTGCCCAACCAGTCAATGTCTTCAGTTTTCCAGCCCCTCACCCTCCACAATCCCCTTAAAAGCTCCAGCCCAAAACTCCACAAAAAAATAAATTTGAGGGTCTCCTCCTGTCTCCTCACTTGTCACCCTGCAATCATTAAACTCGTTCTCCACTACATCCCTGCTGTCTCAGTGTAATTGTTCTATTACTACACAACAGACATACTACACAACACACATACTACACAACAGACATACATACACAACATTTGGTCCTAAAGCGGTAGGGAGCAGGCAGCATCCATACAAGACGTTCACAGGTCCCAGAGCAGTGAAAGGACCCCACAAGGTCAGCTAAGGTTTCTTCATCTCTCACCCTTGTTCCCACCACCATGCTATTCTCTGTGCCTCTGACGTAATCACCCTCTGCCTTTATATTTTCATTTAAAAACTTTCTCTTAAGCATCTACTTTGTGTCAGTCCCGTAGTAGGAGACAATGTAAGCAAAGAGAGATAGCAGGAAAATAAACCATTAGAGTTCTCCAGAGAACAGAACCAATTGAGAGATTTATTATAAGGAATTCACTCACGTGATTCTGGAAGCCGATACGATCTGCAGTAGGCACGCTAGAGACCCAGCAGAGCCAATGGTGCAATTCCTACCCTCAGGCCAGGAAAAAAACCTCACATCCCAGCTTGCAGGCAGTCAGGCAGGAGGAATTCCCTTTTATTTGGGAAAGGGTCAGCCTTTCATTCTATTCAGACTTTCAGCTGATCGGTGGGCCCCCCAACATGCGCGCATCAGAGAGATCAATCTGCTTTACTTAGTCTCTTGATTTAAATGTTAAACTCGGCCATGTGAGCGCGGTGGCTCATGCCTGTAATGCTAGCACTTTGGGAAGTGGAAGCAGGTGGATGGCTTGTGCTCAGGAGTTCAAGGCCAGCCTGGGCAATGTGGCAAAACCCTGTCTCCACAAAAACAAAACAAAACAAAAAAATTAGCTGGGCGTGGTGGCATGTACCTGTAGTCCCAGCTACTTGGGAGGCTGAGGTGGGAGATTGCCTGAGCCTGGGAGGTTGAGACTGCAGTGAGCTGAGATCATGCCTCTGCACTCCAGCCTGGGCAACAGAGTGAGACCCTATCTCAAAAAAATAATGGTTAAAAAATTGAAAAAATGTTAAACTCATTTAAAACACCCTGACAGAAATGCCCAGTGTAATGTTTGACAAAATACCTGGGTATCCCGTGGCCTACTCCTGTTGATACATAAAATTAACCGTCACAGTAAGACACAGTCCCTTCCTCTTGGGGGTCTCTGGTATAGCAACAAGTAGTACCTTGCTGCTCTCAAATTAGAGAGGGCTTTCCAGGAAGAACGGAAGCCACCTGCCCATGAGCCTTCTGCCTTGTAACTTCAGATGAGGACTGCTTGTCCCCCCAGCCCCAGACTTTCAGTTCCCAACCCCCCAGCCTGTTTGCAGCACTGCCAGCTCAGGGGCTGCATCCCCTTTCCTTTTTGGTTCAGCCAAGAAGCCCACTCTCCCTGACACTTTTTCTCTTTTTAATTCTAATTTTCATTTTACAATCTGTGGAAGAGTTGCAAGTATAGTACAAAGAACTTTTTTTGTAAATATTTGACACATAAGTTGTGCATATGATGCCTCATTACCACCTCCCCAACACTTTAAGATGTTTTTGCTACATATAAGGATATTCTCCTATGTGATCACATTACAAACACCAAAAGTCAAAATCAGAAACTAATGTTGCCATATTACTAAAATCTTATCTTCAAACCCTATTCAGTTTTTCCCAGTTATCCCAACAATGTCCTTTCCAGCATGAGGATTCAGTTCAGGATCATGGGATGCATTTAGTTGTATCTACATCCTTCGTTCTGTAACAGTTCCTGATGTCTTTTGTTGGTTACTACAACATTGACACCTTTAGAGATCATAGGCCAGTTATATTGTTAAATGTCCCACATTTTGTGTTTGTCTGATGTTTCCTTATGATTAGATTTACTGTATGCATCTTTGGGAGAAATATCACATAAGGGATGCTGTATTCTTCTCATTGCACCCTATCAGGCAACACATGCCTTCAGGTTATCCCTGATGATTACTGATGATATTCGCTTTGATCCCTTAATTGTGATGGCTCCTGTCAAGCCTCTCTACTATGAAGTTACTCATTTCCCCTTTGTACTTTTTGAAATAAATATTTTGCAAAGAGATGCTTTAAAACCATGTAAATATGCCACATCTCACCAAATATTCAGTGTATTCATTTATTCGTGTCTGCATATGCACACAGTTTTCTCTTATTCAATGAGTTATAATCTGTTTCTATGGGTATTTATTTTGATACACAAATTGTCCCAGATCTTGCCAGTGTGAGCCCTTGGAGCTGGCTCTTGTGTTCATTTGATAATGTCACTATCATTCATTGAGTCCCTCCTTGCTTTCAGGTACATTAAGATGTTCCAGGCTCATCTTACACTTTGCTGTAAATTCAGCCATTTCTCCAAGAAGCCTCAGTTTCTTTTATTGGAAAATGGTGTTCAAAAACCAAGATGTATGTGCTAAGTATGCTCATGCTATTAGGGTGTTGCTATTTCCAGGCCTTCTCAGTGGGCAGAGCTCTACACACATTTATATATTTAATGATTTCTATATTTGCATATAGATATATAGCTAAATATTGAAAACTGTAAGTTCACACCAAGACCTCCAATTCTAATACAATACCCTGGTAACTTCTCCAACAGTGAGAGACCTAGCTCTCATGATTCTTAATGTACTCATTTGATCAATCCCCCTGTATGTAGCCAGTATTCCATTGGGTGCCTTCCTCATGCAGATGCCCGCCTTACCTTACTCAAGGCTCTGACATCCCACATCAACCACACTGCAGATCTTCCTCCATCCCCCCGACACTTGGACCCCCCCTTACTCTGTCCTTGTTCCAACTCCTGGTCTATGTCATCACACCCACCCCACAAATGCCTTCCTTGCCTTACCACCTTGATTGGGCAATTTCCTTATCCCACTGGAGTGCCAACACCTTAAGCAGAGCCATCCCTGTCGAGGGCACCCCCCCACCTGCATTGCCTCCTTGGTACCCTCCTTTTGGCATAGGAGGCTCCTCTTCCTCTCCCCATACCCCAAAACACACACACACACACACACACACACACATCCAACACATGCCTTGCTCACACCCTCCAATGGCTCTTGGACTAATTTCTTCAGGAGGGAGAGAAAAAAGTTAAGAGGCCCAAACACTTCTTTTTTTGTTTTGTTTTACTTTTGAGGCAGGGTCTTTCTCTGTCCCCTAGGCTGGAGTACAGTGGTGCCATATCAGCTCGCTGCAGCCTCCATCTCCTGGGCTCAAGGGATCCTTCTGCCTCAGTCTCCCAAGTAGCTGGGACTACAGGCATATGCCACCACATCTGGCTAATTTTTTTTTTAAATTTTTTTAGTAGAGGCAAGGTCTTGCTATACAGCCCAGGCTGGTTTTGGACTCCTGAGTTCAAGTAATCCTCCCATCTTGGCCTCCCAAAGTGCTGGGATTACAGGCTTGAGCCACAGTGCCTGCCCCACCACCCCCCAACACTTCTTAACAGGCCATCCTATTGTCATTTCCACTCCAATTATCATATCACTAGCCAGGCTCAGTCAGCTTCCCAGACCCACAGGGAAATACAAACCCACACACCTGTCACATTGTAGAGGGGTTTTAGACTGACACAGCCCTAAAGTACTGCTGCACAGCTCAGGGTCCATGCAGCATGTGCTTTGTCACACTGCTTTGGCAACTCCAGATATCAATGTCTTTGCCTCTTTTTCCAAAGCACTCAGACACACACCTAGGCCCATATCCCACAGCATCCACAACCCATCCTCAGAACACAATCCACAAGTCTTGGTCGTTGTTTTTCAATATATTGCAGAGCACATGAAAACACTTTACAGCATTTAAGGCAAAAAATAAATAAGTAAATAAATAAATAAATAAATAAATAAATAAATAAAGGTCCCAAACACCTCTTCTTATAAACATGGCCCTGCTTTAGCAACAGGTCTCCATTATGAAGCAATTTGGATTTGGACATCCTATCAAGTTACTTAAAACTAAACTCTGCCGTATAGTGTTTTACTTGGTATTTTTTGTGTGGCCACAGTCTAGTGTGATCAGAGAAGCCACACAGACATAAATTCCCAGTCCTGATTCCATTGATTATTAGATATGTACTTACCCTGAACATCTGTAAGATGGGAGTAATGATGTTTACCACAAAGAGTTAGTGTAAGGATTCGATGAGAGAACTTGCATTTGAGCCATCTGGAGAGAATGTTAGTTTTAGCACTAACGATCGTTTATAATACTGCTGAGGAGGAAGGACTGACATCACCCTGCTTGAGAATCTAGTATATGTTGGGCATTTCCTATCCATTCATGAGCCTGAGAGTACTTGAGAAGTTTTGATCTTGGACACTGCTGTGCAGCTTTAAGGATGATGAGGGGGAAATGGAAAGAGTCCTGAAGGGACCAGTGTCAGAGACAGATAGAAAAGGGCTGCCTGAGCCGGGCGCAGTGACTCACGCCTGTAATCCCAACACTTTGGGAGGCCAAGGCGGGTGGATCACCTGAGGTCGGGAGTTCGAGACCCGTCTAACCAACATGGAGAAACCCTGCTTCTACTAAAAATACAAAATTAGCCAGGTATGGTGGCACATGCCTGTTACCCCAACTACTTGGGAGGCTGAGGCAGGAGAATTGCTTGAGAGGCAGAGGTTGTTGTAAGCCAAGATCGCGCCATTGCACGCCAGCCTGGGCAACAAGATTGAAACTCCCATCTCAAAAAAAGAAAAGAAAAGGGCTGCCTGGGTCCCTGGGAAGACCCAGCTCCCCTCTGTATCCTAGCCAACTCCTTAAGTGCACACAACCTCAGCTGACCACATAGGTGGCAGTGATAGCAAATGGTGAGGTGGGTGGGGGTGGGGGTCCTGCAGCTCACTTTCTGTCCTGCGTAATAAGGGAGAGATCAGAGATGCATAGACTTTTAAACTGGTACGGTTCTTAGAGATGGTCCTTGGCCTTCTGTTGTTGTTGTTGTTTTTTTCTTTTTCTTCTTCTCCTTCTCCTTCTTCTTCTCTTCTCCTTCTTTCTTCTTTTTTTTTTCAGAGTCTTGCTCTGTCACCAAGACTGGAGTGAAGTGATGTGATCTCGGCTTACTGCAACCTCCACCTCCTGGGTTCAAACGATTCTCCTGCCTCAGCCTCACGATTAGCTGAGACTACAGGTGCCTGCCACCACACCCGGCTAAATTTTGTATTTTTAGTAGAGACAATGTTTCACCATGTTGCCCAGGCTGATCTCGAACTCCCAACCTCAGGGCATCCACCCACCTTGGCCTCCCAAAGTGCTGGGATTGCAAGTGTGAGCCATCACCCCGGCTCTCTGTTTCTTTTTCTATAAAGTGAGGAGCTGGAGTATTTGTCTGAGGACCCAAAGGGACCTTTGGGACCCAGGAAGAACTAGAATCCATGACTCCTGACCTCCAGCCCTAAGCACTTCCCCCAGATCAAAGGTCCCCTTTGGCTTGCCTGTCAGTCCTCTTTTAGAAATTGGCTGCATTTATAGGTGGAGAAACTGAGAGAGGGCAGAGCTGGTATGCTCAAAAGTGGAAGGCTCAGCAGGAGATCTGCCTCCTCCCTCTTGTGAAAACAAGGTCCTGTGCTTGTTTTTCCACATCTACTGTAAGACACTCAGGAGGATCCCCAGCCACTGTGGACTCACCCTGGTGCCCAGGCCACACTGTGGCAGTCATCATGAAGGGAGAACCTCCACACACTTGTCATGGAGTGGGAGCACGTGGCATCTCGTGAACTCTTCTGGTAGGTAGCTTGTGGCAGGTGGCAGGAGGCTGAGTTTAGGGAAGACAGCTAGGAAAGGAAGGAAGGAAATTAACAGTTACATAGCCCTTACTGTCTGTCAAGCTCAATCATCTCACTTCTCACAACTACCTATAGGTTTTGTTTTACAGATGACGAAACTAAAGCTTAAAAAGTGAAGTAAAGGCTGGGTGTGGTAACTGATGTCTGTAATGCCAGCCAAAGTGGAAGGAGTTCTCAACCAGCCTGAGCAACCTGGTGGGATCCTGTCTCTACAAAAAATGTTTTAAATGTTAGCTAGGCATGGTGGCACACCTGTTAGTCCCAGCTCCTCAAGGGGCTGAAGCAGGGGGATCACTTGAGCCCAAGAGGTCAAGGTTGCAATGAGCTGTGATGGTGCCACTGCACTTCAGCCTGAGCAACAGGGTGAGACTGTCTCAAAAAATATATATTTTTTTCTTTTTTTTGAGACAGAGTCTTGCTCTGTGGCCCAGGCTGAAGTGCAGTGGCACCATCACAGCTCATTGCAAGCTCCACCTCCCGGGTTCACGCCATTCTCCTAGCTCAGCCTCCCAAGTAGCTGGGACTACAGGCACCCACCACCATGCCCGGCTCATTTTTTGTATTTTTAGTAGAGACGGGGTTTCACCATGTTAGCCAGGATGGTCTCGATCTCCTGACCTCATGCTCCGCCCGCTTCAGCCTCCCAAAGTGCTGGGATTACAGGCGTGAGCCACCGCACCCAGCTTATTTTTTTCAATTAAAAATATGTATATATATATTTTTCAGTTAAAAAAATATATTTTTTTAATTTAAAAATATATATATTTTTTCAATTGAAAAATATATATATTTTTTCAATTAAAAATATTTTTTTTCAATTAAAAATATATCTAAAATAAATAAACACATAAAGTGAAGTAAGGGCAGGTGCAGTGGCTTACACCTGTAATCCCAACACTTTGGGAGGCTCAGGATGACAGATTACCTGAGGTCAGGAGTTCAAGACCAGCCGGGCCAACATGGCAAAACCCTGTCTCTACTAAAAATACAAAAGGAACCGGACGTGGTGGCGTGTGCCTGTAATCCCAGCTACAGGAGGCTGAGGCAGGAGAATCGCTTGAACCCAGGAGGCAGAGGTTACAGTGAGCCAAGATCGTGCCACTGCACTCCAGCCTGGGTGACAGAGCAAAACTCCACCTCAAAAAAACAAACAAAACAAAACAAAAACAGAAATTGGAGACCAGCCTGGGCAACACAACAAGATCCTTTCTCTACAGAAATGTTTTAAAAATAGCCAAGTGTAGAGACACGCCTCTGTAGCTTCTCAGGAGGATGAGATGGAAGGATCGCTTGAGCCCAGAAGTTTGAGGCTGCAGTGAGCTATGATTACGCTACTGCACTACAGCCCAAGTGACAGAGTGACACCCCATCTCTAAAAACAACCATGAAATAAAATAACAACAGCAATAATAATAATAATGCTTTTTCAAAAAGGAGGAAAGGGAAAGTTTTTTTTAATACTTTTTAAAATTATACTTTAAGTTTTAGGGTACATGTGCACATTGTGCAGGTTAGTTACATACGTATACATGTGCCATGCTGGTGCGCTGCACCCACTAACGTGTCATCTAGCATTAGGTATATCTCCCAATGCTATCCCTCCCCCCTCCCCCGACCCCACCACAGTCCCCAGAGTGTGATATTCCCCTTCCTGTGTCCATGTGATCTCATTGTTCAATTCCCACCTATGAGTGAGAATATGCGGTGTTTGGTTTTTTGTTCTTGTGATAGTTTACTGAGAATGATGGTTTCCAATTTCATCCATGTCCCTGCAAAGGACATGAACTCATCATTTTTTATGGCTGCATAGTATTCCATGGTGTATATGTGCCACATTTTCTTAATCCAGTCTATCATTGTTGGACATTTGGGTTGGTTCCAAGTCTTTGCTATTGTGAATAATGCCGCAATAAACATACGTGTGCATGTGTCTTTATAGCAGCATGATTTATAGTCATTTGGGTATATACCCAGTAATGGGATGGCTGGGTCAAATGGTATTTCTAGTTCTAGATCCCTGAGGAATCGCCACACTGACTTCCACAATGGTTGAACTAGTTTACAGTCCCACCAACAGTGTAAAAGTGTTCCTATTTCTCCACATCCTCTCCAGCACCTGTTGTTTCCTGACTTTTTAATGATTGCCATTCTAACTGGTGTGAGATGATATCTCATAGTGGTTTTGATTTGCATTTCTCTGATGGCCAGTGATGATGAGAATTTTTTCATGTGTTTTTTGGCTGCATAAATGTCTTCTTTTGAGAAGTGTCTGTTCATGTCCTTTGCCCACTTTTTGATGGGGTTGTTTGTTTTTTTCTTGTAAATTTGTTTGAGTTCATTGTAGATTCTGGATATTAGCCCTTTGTCAGATGAGTAGGTTGCGAAAATTTTCTCCCATGTTGTAGGTTGCCTGTTCACTCTGATGGTAGTTTCTTTTGCTGTGCAGAAGCTCTTTAGTTTAATTAGATCCCATTTGTCAATTTTGGCTTTTGTTGCCATTGCTTTTGGTGTTTTGGACATGAAGTCCTTGCCCATGCCTATGTCCTGAATGGTAATGCCTAGGTTTTCTTCTAGGGTTTTTATGGTTTTAGGTCTAACGTTTAAATCTTTAATCCATCTTGAATTGATTTTTGTATAAGGTGTAAGGAAGGGATCCAGTTTCAGCTTTCTACATATGGCTAGCCAGTTTTCCCAGCACCATTTATTAAATAGGGAATCCTTTCCCCATTGCTTGTTTTTCTCAGGTTTGTCAAAGATCAGATAGTTGTAGATATGCGGCATTATTTCTGAGGGCTCTGTTCTGTTCCATTGATCTATATCTCTGTTTTGGTACCAGTACCATGCTGTTTTGGTTACTGTAGCCTTGTAGTATAGTTTGAAGTCAGGTAGTGTGATGCCTCCAGCTTTGTTCTTTTGGCTGAAGATTGACTTGGCAATGCAGGCTCTTTTTTGGTTCCATATGAACTTTAAAGTAGTTTTTTCCAATTCTGTGAAGAAAGTCATTGGTAGCTTGATGGGGATGGCATTGAATCTGTAAATTACCTTGGGCAGTATGGCCATTTTCACGATATTGATTCTTCCTACCCATGAGCATGGAATGTTCTTCCATTCGTTTGTATCCTCTTTTACTTCCTTGAGCAGTGGTTTGTTGTTCTCCTTGAAAAGGTCCTTCACGTCCCTTGTAAGTTGGATTCCTAGGTATTTTATTCTCTTTGAAGCAATTGTGAATGGGAGTTCACTCATGATTTGTCTCTCTATTTGTCTGTTATTGGTGTATAAGAATGCTTGTGATTTTTGCACATTGATTTTGTATCCTGAGACTTTGCTGAAGTTGCCTATCAGCTTAAGGAGATTTTGGGCTGAGACAGTGGGGTTTTCTAGATATACAATCATGTCAACTGCAAACAGGGACACTTTGACTTCCTCTTTTCCTAATTGAATACCCTTTATTTCCTTCTCCTGCCTGATTGCCCTGGCCAGAACTTCCAACACTATGTTGAATAGGAGTGGTGAGAGAGGGCATCCCTGTCTTCTGCCAGTTTTCAAAGGGAATGCTTCCAGTTTTTGCCCATTCAGTATGATATTGGCTGTGGGTTTGTCATAGATAGCTCTTATTATTTTGAGCTACGTCCCATCAATACCTAATTTATTGAGAGTTTTTAGCATGAAGTGTTGTTGAATTTTGTCAAAGGCCTTTTCTGCATCTATTGAGATAATCATGTGGTTTTTGTCTTTGGTTCTGTTTATATGCTGGATTACATTTATTGATTTGCGTATATTGAACCAGCCTTGCATCCCAGGGATGAAGCCCACTTGATCATGGTGGATAAGCTTTTTGATGTGCTGCTGGATTTGGTTTGCCAGCATTTTATTGAGGATTTTTGCATTGATGTTCATCAGGGATATGGGTCTAAAGTTCTCTTTTTTTGTTGTGTCTCTGACAGGCTTTGCTATCAGGATGATGCTGGGCTCATAAAATGAGTTAGGGAGGATTCCCTCTTTTTCTATTGATTGGAATAATTTCAGAAGGAATGGTACCAGCTCCTCCTTGTACCTCTGGTAGAATTCGGCTGTGAATCCATCTGGTCCTGGACTTTTTTTGGTTGGTAAGCTATTAATTATTGCCTCAATTCAGAGCCTGTTATTGGTCTATTCAGAAATTCAACTTCTTCCTGGTTTAGTCTTGGGAGGGTGTATGTGTCAAGGAATTTATCCATTTCTTCTAGATTTTCTAGTTTATTTGCACAGAGGTGTTTATAGTATTCTCTGATGGTAGTTTGTATTTCTGTGGGATCGGTGGTGATATCCCCTTTATCATTTTTTATTGCATCTATTTGATTCTTCTCTCTTTTCTTTTTATTAGTCTTGCTAGCGTTCTATCAATTTTGTTGATCTTTTCAAAAAACCAGCTCCTGGATTCATTGATTTTTTGAAGGGTTTTTTTGTGTCTCTATTTCCTTCAGTTCTGCTCCGATCTTAGTTATTTCTTGCCTTCTGCTAGCTTTTGAACGTGTTTGCTCTTGCTTCTCTAGTTCTTTTAATTGTGATGTTAGGGTGTCAATTTTAGATCTTTCCTTCTTTCTCTTTTGGGCATTTAGTGCTATAAATTTCCCTGTACACGCTGCTTTGAATGTGTCCCAGAGATTCTGGTATGTTGTGTCTTTGTTCTTGTTGGCTTCAAAGAACATCTTTATTTCTGCCTTCATTTCGTTATGTACCCAGCAGTCATTCAGGAGCAGGTTGTTCAGTTTCCAAGTAGTTGAGCGGTTTTGAGTGAGTTTCTTAATGCTGAGTTCTAGTTGGATTGCACTGTGGTCTGAGAGACAGTTTGTTATAATTTCTGTTGTTTTACATTTGCTGAGGAGTGCTTTACTTCCAACTATGTGGTCAATTTTGGAATAGGTGTGGTGTGGTGCTGAAAAGAATGTATATTCTGTGGATTTGGGGTGGAGAGTTCTGCAGATGTCTGTTAGGTCTGCTTGGTGCAGAGCTGAGTTCAATTCCTGGATATCCTTGTTAACTTCCTGTCTCGTTGATCTGACTAATGTTGACAGTGGGGTGTTAAAGTCTCCCATTATTATTGTGTGGGAGTCTCAGTCTCTTTGCAGGTCTCTAAGGACTTGCTTTATGAATCTGGGTGCTCCTGTATTGGATGCATATATACTTAGGATAGTTAGCTCTTCTTGTTGAATTGGTCCCTTTACCATTATGTAATGGCCTTCTTTGTCTCTTCTGATCTTTGTTGGTTTAAAGTCTGTTTTATCAGAGACTAGGATTGCAACCCCTGCTTTTTTTTGTTTTCCATTTTCTTGGTAGATCTTCCTCCATCCCTTTATTTTGAGCCTATGTGTGTCTCTGCACGTGAGATGGGTTTCCTCAATGCAGCACACTGATGGGTCTTGACTCTTTATCCAATTTGCCAGTCTGTGTCTTTTAATTGGAGCATTTAGCCCATTTACATTTAAGGTTAGTATTGTTATGTGTGAATTTGATCGTGTCATTATGATGTTAGCTGGTTATTTTGCTCATTAGTTGATGCAGTTTCTTCCTAGCCTCGATGGTCTTTACAATTTGGCATGTTTTTGCAGTGGCTGGTACCGGTTGTTCCTTTCCATGTTTAGTGCTTCCTTCAGGAGCTCTTTTAGGGCAGGCCTGGTGGTGACAAAATCTCTCAGCATTTGCTTGTCTGTAAAGGATTTTATTTCTCCTTCACTTATGAAGCTTAGTTTGGCTGGATATGAAATTCTGGGTTGAAAATTCTTTTCTTTAAGAATGTTGAATATTGGCCCCCACTCTCTTCTGGCTTGTAGAGTTTCTGCCGAGAAATCAGCTGTTAGTCTGATGGGCTTCCCTTTGTGGGTAACCCAACCTTTCTCTCTGGCTGCCCTTAACATTTTTTCCTTCATTTCAACGTTGGTGAATCTGAAAATTATGTTCTTGGAGTTGCTGTTCTCGAGGAGTATCTTTGTGGCATTCTCTGTATTTCCTGAATTTGAATGTTGGCCTGCCTTGCTAGATTGGGGAAGTTCTCCTGGATAATATCCTGAAGAGTGTTTTCCAACTTGGTTCCATTCTCCCCATCACTTTCAGGTACACCAATCAGACGTAGATTTGGTCTTTTCACATAGTCCCATATTTCTTGGAGGCTTTGTTCATTTCTTTTTATTCTTTTTTCTCTAAACTTCTCTTCTCGCTTCATTTCATTCATTTCATCTTCCATCACTGATACCCTTTCTTCTAGTTGATCAAATCGGCTACTGAGGCTTGTGCATTCGTCATGTAGTTCTCGTGCCTTGGTTTTCAGCTCCATCAGGTCCTTTAAGGACTTCTCTGCATTGGTTATTCTAGTTAGCCATTTGTCTAATTTTTTTTCAAGGTTTTTAACTTCTTTACCATGGGTTCGAACTTCCTTCTTTAGCTTGGATTAGTTTGATCATCTGAAGCCTTCTTCTCTCAACTCGTCAAAGTCATTCTCCATCCAGCTTTGTTCTGTTGCTGGTGAGGAGCTGTGTTCCTTTGGAGGAGGAGAGGCGCTCTGATTTTTAGAGTTTCCAGTTTTTCTGCTCTGTTTTTTCCCCATCTTTTTGGTTTTATCTACCTTTGGTCTTTGATGATGGTGACATACAGATTGGGTTTTGGTGTGGATGTCTTTTCTGTTTGTTAGTTTTCCTTCTAACAGTCAGGACCCTCAGCTGCAGGTCTGTTGAAGTTTGCTGGAGGTCCACTCCAGACCCTGTTTGCCTGGGTATCAGCAGCAGAGGCTGCAGAACAGCGGATATTGGTGAACCGCAAATGTTGCTGCCTGATCGTTCCTCTGGAAGTTTTGTCTCAGAGGAATACCCGGCCGTGTGAGGTGTCAGTCTGCCCCTACTCGGGGGTGCCTCCCAGTTAGGCCACTTGGGGGTCAGGGACCCACTTGAAGAGGCAGTCTGTCCTGTCCATTCTCAGATCTCCAGCTGCGTGCTGGGAGAACCACTACTCTCTTCAAAGCTGTCAGACAGGGACATTTAAGTCTGCAGAGATTTCTGCTGCCTTTTGTTCGGCTATGCCCTGACCCCAGAGGTGGAGTCTACAGAGGCAGGCAGGCCTCTTTGAGCTGCGGTGGGCTCCACCCAGTTCAAGCTTCCCAGCTGCTTTGTTTACCTACTCAAGCCTGGGCAATGGCGGGTGCCCCTCCCCCAGCCTGGCTGCCTCCTTGCAGTTTGTTCTCAGGCTGCTGTGCTAGCAATGAGCGAGGCTCTGTGGGCGTAGGACCCTCCGAGCCAGGCACGGGATATAATCTCCTGGTGTGCCATTTGCTAAGACCGTTGGAAAAGCACAGTATTAGGGTGGGAGTGAACCGATTTTCCAGGTGCCGTCTGTCACCCCTTTCTTTGACTAGGAAAGGGAATTCCCTGACCCCTTGTGCTTCCCAGGTGAGGCGATGCCTTGCCCTACTTCGGCTCACGCTCAGTGCGCTGCACCCACTGTCCTGCACCCTCTGTCCGACAATCCCCAGTGAGATGAACCCAGTACCTCAGTTGGAAATGCAGAAATCACCCGTCTTCTGCGTCGCTCACGCTGGGAGCTGTAGACTGGAGCTGTTCCTATTCGGCCATCTTGGCTCCACCCCCGGGAAAGTGTTTCTTTACAGAAAAATGCCAACTAATGAATGAAGACAGAATGATAGCATTAGAAAATCACAATCTAACAAGTACCCTACAATAAATACTTCTGGCGAGAATCATCACTGGATGTTGAAACATTGGGTAAAAGGTTGTTGGAGGACAGGATGTTCCACACAGCCTCTAGATACCATCCTGTGTAAATTACAAAGAGAAAAATGTACCTTTACAGTGAAGAAATGTAGGCGACACCCCTGAACCAAATAAGAATCAAATATCACCCCCAGTAATAGGACAAACTGATATCACGTGCCTCCTGACGAGATGACGCACTGAGGACACACCACATATATAATATGTCTGCAAAAATGTCTAACCTATATCTGATCATGATGAGAAAATCAGACAAATCTATTCTTGTTTTTCCTTTTTTTTTTTTTGATACGGAGTCTCACTTCATTGCTCAGGCTGGAGTGCAATGGCGTGATCTTGACTTACTGCAACCTCCGCCTCCCGGGTTCAAGTAATTCTCCTGCCTCAGCCTCCCAAGTAGCTGGGACTACAGGTGCTTCCCACCACGCCCAGCCAATTTTTATATTTTTGGTAGAGACAGGGTTTCACCATGTTGGCCAGGCTGGTCTCAAATTCCTGACCTCATGTGATCCACCTGCCTTGGCTTCCCAAAGTGGTGGGATTACAGGCATGAGCCACCATGCCCGGCCCAGACAAGTCTATTCTAAAGGATGTTCTACAAAAAAAAAAAAAATTACGTATATATATATGTGTGTGTGTGTGTGTGTGTGTGTGTGTGTGTGTGTGTGTGTATAATGTATATATAAAAATTATATATGTATATATGTATATATAATATATATAATGTATATATATATATATATGGCTGGCTGGGCGTGGTGGCTCAAGCCTGTAATCCTAGCACTTTGGGAGGCTGAAGTGGGCTAATCATGAGGTCAGAAATTCAAGACCAGCCTGGCCAACATGGTGAAACCCTGTCTCTACTAAAAATACAAAAATTAGCCAGGCATGGTGGCACTCACCTGTAATCCCAGCTACTTGGGAGGCTAAGGTAGGAGAATCGCTTGAACCTGGGAGGCAGAGGTTGCTGTGAGCCAAGATCGCGCCACTGCACTCCAGCCTGGGCAACAGAGCAAGACTCCATCTCAAAAAAAAAAAAAAAAATGGCCTGAGCTGGACAGGCAGAGCAAAATGGCAGAATAGAAGGCTCCACCGATTATCCGATCATCATCTCCCCACCCACGAGGCTGCTAATTAAACAACTGTATGTACAGAAAAAACACCTTCATAAGAACCAAAAATCAGGTGAGCCCTCATAGTACCTGGTTTTATCTCGATATCACAGAAAGAAGCATGGAAGAGATAGAAAAAACAGTCTTGAACCACCAATGCCACCCCTCCCCGACCCCTGGCAGCCACAGCCTGGTACAGAGAGTGTCTCTGGGCACTGAGGGAGGAAAAGCACAGCAAGTATGAGGCATTGAATGCACTGCTGTCTTGTTACAGCAGAAAGGAAAACTGGACCAAACTCAGTTGCTGCCCATCCATGGAGGGAGCATTTAAACCAGCCCTAGCCACAGGGGAATTATTGATCCCAGTGGTCAGAACTTGAGTTCTTGCAAACCTTGCCACTTAAGGCTACTGTGCTCTGGGTCCCTAAGTAAACTTGAAAGGCAGTCTAGGCCATAAGGACTGAAACTCTAGGTGAGTCTTAGGGCTGAACAGAACTGGGCTGAGATTCAGGCGCCACATGACCTACTGAGACACCAGCTGGGGTTGCTAAGGGAGTGCTGCCATCTCCCCTATCCTAACCCCAGGGGCACAGCTCATGGCTCCACAAGAGACCTCTTCCTTCTACTTGAGGAAAGGAAAGGGAAGAGTAGAGAGGACTTTGTCTTGCATCTTGGATACCAGCTCAGCCACAGCTTGCTAGGACACCAGTCAGTGTTGTGAGGCTCCCATTACAGGTCCTAGCTCCCAGACATTTTTAGACATACCCTGAGCCAGAAGGGAACGAGTTGCCTTGAAGGGAAGGACTCAGTGCTGGCAACAGTCATCACCTACTAAATGAAGAGTGCTTGGGCTCTGAATAACCAGCAGAGATACCCAGGTACTACATGGAGGGCCTTGGGTGAGCCTCAGAGACTTGACTTGCTGGCTTCAGGTAAGATTCAGCACATTACCAGCTGGGGGTGCTACAGGGCAAAACTCTTGTGCTTGAGAAAAGCAGAGGGAAAAGTAAAGAGGACTTTGTTTTGCACCTTAGGTAACCAGCTCAGCCACAGTGGGGTAGAGCACCAAGCAGGCTCTTGAGGTCCCTGATTCTGGGACTTGATTCTTGGGTGGCATTTTTGGATCTGCCCTGGGCCAGAGGGGTGCCTACTGCCCTGAAGGGTGAGTCCCAAGCCAGGCAGCATTGCACCACAAGCATTCACCATGGGCCTTAAGGGAACATGAGCCGCAGTCGGGCAGTACTCCCCATGGCCTGCAGTGGTGGTGGCTACAGGGTAAGGCTCCTCTGCCTTTGGAAAGGGGAGGGAAGAGTGGGAAGGACTGTAGTCTTGCAGTTTGAGTGCCAGCTCGGCAGCAGTACAATAGAACACCAGGTAGACTTCTCAGGTTTTTGACTCTAGTCCCTGACTCCCAGACCGCACCTCTGGACCCACCCAGGGCCTGGGGGAACTCAGTGCCCTGAAGGGAAGGACAGAAGCCTTGCTGGCTTTGCCACCTGCTGATTGAAGAGCCCCAGGGCCTAGGCTGTAGCCAGGGAGTGGTTACAGCAGGCCTTGGGCAAGACCCAGTGCTATGTCAGCTTCAGGTCTGACCCAGGACAGTCATATTAGTAGTGGCCAGAGGGGTGCTTGTGTCACTCCACCCCCAGCTTTAGGTGGCTCAGAATACAGAGAGACTCTGTTTGCGAGAAAGTAAGAGAAGAAAACAAAAGTCTCTGCCTGGTAATCCAGAGAATTCTCCCAGATCTTGTCCAAAACCATCAAGGTGGTACCTCTACAAGTCTGTAAGAACCACAGTGTTACCGGGCTAGGGGTGCCCCCCTAAAGCAAATACAGCTTGGATTACAACACTCAAGTCCTTTCATATATATGGAAAGCCTTCCCAAGAAAGATGAGAAACAAGCCCTGACAGTGAAGACGATGATAAATACCTAACTCCTCAATGCCCAGATACCCAAGAACATCTACTAGCGTTAGCACCATCCAGAAAAACATTACCTCACCAAATGATTTAAATAAGTTACCAGGGACCAATCCTTAAGAAACAGAGATGTGACCTTTCAGACAGAATTCAAAATAGTGAGGAAACTCAGAGAAATTCAAGATAACAAAGAGAAGGAATTCAGAATTTTACCAGATACATTTAACAGAGATTGAATTTAAAAGAATGAAGCAGAAATTCTGGAGCTGAAAAAAGCAGTTCACATACTGAAGAATGCATCAGAGTCCTTTAATAGCAGAGTTGATCATGCAGAAGAAAGAATTACTGACCTTGAAGACAGACTATTTGAAAATATAGTCAGAGGAGACAAAAGAAAAAATAATAATAAAAAAAAGAAGCACACCTACAAGATCTAGAAAATAGCCTCAAAAGGGCAAATCTAAGAGTTATTGGCCTTAAAGCGGAAGTAGAGAAAGAGATAGACGTAAAAAGTTTATTCAAGGCCAGGCGCAGTGGCTCATGCCTATAATCCCAGAACTTTGGGAGGCCGAGGCGGGCGAGGTCAGGAGATGGAGACCATTCTGGCTAACACGGTGAAGCCCCCATCTCTACTAAAAATACAAAAAATTAGCTGGGCGTGGTGGCAGGCACCTGTAGTCCCAGCTACTCAGGAGGCTAAGGCAGGAGAATGGTGTGAACCCGGGAGGCGGAGCTTGCAGTGAGCCGAGATCGCACCACTGCACTCCAGCCTGGGGGACAAAGGGAGACTCCATCTCAAAAAACAAACAAACAAAAAAAAACCAGTTTATTCAAAGGGATAATAACAGAACTTCCCAAACCTAGAGAAAGATATCAATATCAGCCTGGCACGGTGCCTCACACCTGTAATCCCAGCACTTTGGGAGGCCGAGGCAGGTGGATCACAAGGTCAGGAGTTCGAGAACAGCCTGACCAACATAGTCAAACCCTGTCTGTACTAAAAATACAAAAATTAGCTGGGCGTGGTGGCATGCACCTGTAATTCCAGTTACTCAGGAGGCTGAGACAGGCGAATAGCGGAGGTTGTAGTGAGCCAAGATTGCACCACTGCACTCCAGCCTGGGCAACAGAGTGACAGAGTGAGAGTCTGTCAAAAAAAAAAAAGAAAAGAAATATATCAATACCAAAGTAAAAGAAGGTTATAGGACACCAAGCATATTTAACCCAAAGAAGACTACCTCAAAGCATTTCATAGTCAAATTCACAAAGATCAAGGATAAAGAAAGGATCCTAAAAGCAGTAAGAGAAAAGAAACAAATAACATACAAGAGAGCTCTTATCCATCTGGCAGGAGACTTTGCAGTGGAAACCTTACGGGCCAGGAGAGAGTGGCATGACATATTTAAAGTGCTAAAGGAAAAAAAAACTTTTACCCTAGAATAGTATATCTGGTGAAATTATCCTTCAAACATAAAGGAGAAATAAAGACTTTCTCAAACAAAAGCTAAAGGATTTCATCAACACCAGACCTATTCTACAAGAAATGTTAAAGGGAGTACTTCAATCAGAAAGAAAATTATGTTAATGATCAACAAGTAATCACCTGAAGCTACAAAACTCACTGGTAATAGTAAGCACACAGAAAAACACAGAATATTACAACTGTAACCGTGATGTATAAACTTCTCTTTTCCTTAATAGACTAAATGATGAAACAATAATAATAAAAAAAAAAAAACTGGCTGGGCCCGGTGGCTCACGCCTGTAACCCCAGCACTTTGAGAGCCCGAGGCCAATGTATCACCTGAGGTCAGGAGTTCGAGACCAGCCTCAACATGGAGAAACCCTGTCTCTACTAAAAATACAAAATTAGCCGGGCATGGTGGTGCATGCCTGTAATCTGTAATCCCAGCTACTCAGGAGACTAAGGGAGGAGAATTGCTTGAACCCGGGAGGCGGAGGTTGCGGTGAACCGAGATCGCGCCATTGCACTCCAGTCTGGCAACAAGAGTGAAACTCCATCTCAAAAAAAAAAAAAAAAAAAAAAAAAACTATAACAACTTTCCAAGACACAGACAGTACAATAAGATATATATTAGAAACAACAAAAAGTTAAAAAGCAGGAAGACAAAGTTAAGGCATACAGTTTTTTATTAGTTTTCTTTTTGCATATTTGTTTGTTTAGGTAAACAGTATTTTGTTGTTATCAGGTTAAAATAATGGGTTACAAGATAGCATTTGCAAGCCTCATGGTGACCTCAAACCAAAAAACATACAATGGATACACAAAAAATACAAAGCAATAAACAAAATCATATCACCAGAGAAAATCACCTTCACTAAAGGAAGACAGGAAGGTAAGAAGGAAGAGAAGACCACCAAACAATCAGAAAACAAATAACAAAATGGCAGGAGTAAGTCCTTACTTATCGATAATAACATTGAGTGTAAATGGACTAAACTCTCCAATCAAAAGACAAAGAATGGCTGAATGGATGAGAAGAGAAAACCCATTGTTCTGTTACCTACAAGACAGGGGGTGGACACCCCCTGCGATATGGAGAGTAATATCACCCCTCTCTAACCCCCTGGATATTATGAACCACATCGCAGGGGGGTGGACACCCCCGCGATATGGAGAGTAATATCACCCCTCTCCCTGCCTGAATATTATGAACCACATTGCAGGAGGGTGGACACACAGTATATTAACAATATTTCCAGTAATATTATCTGTCCCATTGAACATTGTGAACAATATCACAGAGGGGTGTACACCTCCTGCGATATTGAAGGTAATATCATTCTCTCCCCCACTGCATATTGGGAACAATATCACAGGGGTATGTATTCCCCCTTTGAAATTGGGAGTAATATCATATTTGCCTTCCAGATATTAAGAACAATATCACAGGGGTATGTACACTTTTATGATATTGGGAGTAATGTCATTCTCTTTACCCCTGGATATTAGCAGCAATATCACAGGGGGATGTACATTTCCTGTGATATTGAGGGTAGTATTATTGTCTCCCCTCTGGATATTAAAAGCAATACCACAAGGGGCGTCAAACCACCTGCCAGATTTGGGGTAATGTTAACCTCTCCTCTGGATATTAGAAACAATAACACAGGGGTAATGTACACCCACTGCAATATTGGGAGTAATATCACCCTTTTTTCCCCGGATATTAGGAACAATATCACAGGGTGGTGTAGAACCCATGCGATATTGAAAGTAATATTATCCTCTCCCCCTTTGGATATTAGAATCAATATTACAGGTGGGTTATACACGACCAGCAATATTGGAAGTAATATTATCCTCTTCCCTCCTTGATATTAGCAACAATGTCAGAGGGGGTGTGTACAATCCCTGCGATATTTGGAGTAATATCACCCTCTCGCACAACCCCTGTGATATTTGGAGTAATGTCACCCTCTTACCCCGTGGATATGAGAAACAATATCACAGGGGAGATGTACACCCCATATGATATTGGGAGTAATAACATTCTTCCCCACCCTGTATATTAGGAACAATATCACAGGGTGAATGTACACCTGCTCTGATATTGGGACTTATTCTCTTCCCCCCTGGATATTACGAACAATATCACCGGGGGTGGGGGTGTGCACTTTCTGCGATATTGGGAGTAATAGCATCTTTTTGCCCTCTGGATATTAGGAACAATATCACAAACGTGGTGTACAGCCAATGCGATATTGGGAGTAATATCATCCTTCCCCCCCCAATATTAGGAACAAAATCACAGGGGTTTGTACACCTACTGCGATATTGGGAGTAATATCTTCAACTCTCCCCCTGGATATTAGAAACAATATCACAGTGTAGGTGTACGCTTTCTGCGATATTGGGAGTAATATCAGCCTCTTCCCCTTTGGATATCAGAAACAATATCACAGAGGGGGTGTACTCTGCCGGCGATATTGGGAGTAATATCATTGTCTCCTGCAATGGATATTAGAAACAATATCACAGGAAGTGTATACACCGTCTGTGGTATTGAAAGTAATATCATTCCCTCCCCACCCCTGGGATATTAGACTAAATCACAGGAAGGGTGTACACTCCCTGCGATATTGTGAGTAATATCATCATCTTCTTCCTTGGATTTTAGGAACAAGATCGCAGGGTGGGTGTACACTTCCTTGCGACACAGGGAGTAATATCATCCTCTTCCCCCCTACATGTTAGGAACAATATCACAGGGCGGATGTATAGCCCCTGCAACATTTGCTGTAATATCATCCTCTCTCCCGTAGATATTAGGAGAAATATAACCGGGGGTGTGTACACCCCTGCGATATTGGGAGTAGTATCATCCTCTCCCCCTTGGATATTAGGAACAATACCACAGGTGGGGTGTACTGCCTGTGCGATATCGGGAGTAATATCATCCTTTCCTCCGCTGGATATTAGGAAGAGTATCAGAGAGGGAGGGTGTACATTCCCTGCGATATGCAATGTGATATTATTCTCTCCCTCCCTGGGTATTGAGAACAATATTACAGGAGGGGTGTACACCCTCTGCGATATTGGGAGTCATATCATCCTCTTTTGCTCTGGATATTAGGAACAATACCACAGGGTTTTGTACACCCCCTACGATATTGGGAGTAATATCATCCTCTTGCCCTCTGGATATTAGGAAGAGTATCACAGGGGTGTGTACACCCCCTGCAATATTGCAAGTAATATCCTCTCCCCCCCGGATGTTAAAACAAAATCACAGGGGCTTGTACACTTGCTGCGATATTGGGAGTCATATCTTTCTCTCTCCCCCTGGATATTAGGAGCAATATCACAGGGGTGGTTTACATCCTGTGTGATATTGGGAGTAACATCATCCTCTCTCCCCCTGGATATTAGGAACAACATCACGGGGGGAGGGTGTACACCCCCTGAAATATTGTAAGTAGTATCTTCCTCTCCCCCACCCTGGATATTAAGAGTAATATCATCCTCTCGCCCTCTGGATATTAGGAAAAATATTACGGGGGGGGGGGGGGCGGTGTACACCCGCGCAATATTGAAAGTAATATCATCCTCTACCCCATGGTTTTTAGAAACAAAATCACAGGGGGTTGTACACCTGGTACGATATTGGTAGTAATATCTTTCTCTCTGTCCCTGGATATTGCGAATAACATTACAGGGGGGTTGTACACCACCTGCGATATTGGGAGTAATATGATTCTTTGCCCACCTGGATATTAGGAACAATATCATGGCGCGGGGGACGTGGAAAACCCCGGCTATTTTGAAAGTAATGTCAGCTGGTCTCTCTTTGGATATTAAAAATGATATCACAGAAGGAATATACTCTTTCTGTGATATAGGGAGTAGTATCATCCTCTTCTTCCCTGGTTACTATGAACAATATTGCAGGAGGGGTGTACACCTTCTGCAATATTGGGAGTAATATTATCCTCTCCTGCCCTGAATATTTGGAAAAATATCACAGGGGGGTGTACACCCCTGCAATATTGGGAGTAATGTCGTCCTCCCCAAACCTGGATATTAGCAACAAGATCACAGAGGGGGTGTACACACCCTGCGATATTGGAAGTAATATGATCCTCTCTCCCCCTAGATATTAGGAAAAATATCACAGCGCGGGTGTACGTTTCCTACGCTGTTGGGAGTAATATCATTCTTTTCTCTCTGGATAGTAGGAACAATATCACAGCGGTGGTGTACATTTCCTTCGATATTGGGAGTAATAACATCCTCTCCCCGTTTGGATATTAGGAACAATATCCCAGGGGGGTGTCCACCCTCTGCAATACTGGGAGTAATATCATCCTCTATTTCCATGGATATTAGACACAATACCACAAAAAGGTGTACAGCCCCTGCGATATTGGGAGTAATATTATACTCTTCTTCCCTGGATATTAGAAACAATATCATAGGGAGTGAACACCCCCTGTGATAATGGGAGTAATATTTTCTCTTTCACAGGACATTAGGAACAATATCACAGGGGGTGTTTATGCACCCTGCGATATTGGAGGTAATATCCTCTACCCCCCGGAATAATACCAGCAATATCACAGGGGTGGTGTACACCCCCTGTGATATTGAGAGTAATATCATTCTCTCCACCCCCAGATATTAAGAACAATATCATGGCGGGGGGTTGTATATCCCCAGTGATATTGGGAATAATGTCATCCTCTCCTTCCCTGGAAATTAGGAACAATATCACAGGGGGGTGTACACCTTCTTTGATATTGGAAGCAATATCATCCTCTTCCCCGCTGGATATTAGAGAAAATATCACACATGGTGTACACCCACTGTGATATTAGGAAGAATGTTACAGGGTGTACACCCATCTTGACTTTAGGAGAAACATCTCCCTAAAATAATACAAAAATAACACAGGGTATACAGTAATATCTCCCTAGGATATTACAAATAATATCACAGGGTGTACACCCACTGTGAGATTAGGAGTAATATCTCCCTAGGATATTACGAATAGTATCACAGGGTGTACATCCACTGTGATAATAGGAGTAATACCTCCCTAGGATATTACGAATAATATCACAGGCTGTATACCCACTATGATTACAAATCCCATAGTGCTGGGATTAGAGACATGAGCAACCACACCCACCCATGCTGTGTGTTTATCTGTTGTCTGTTGTTGTTTGTTTTTGAGCCCAGAAATAAATTCTCACCTATATGTTCAAATGATTTTTAACATGACTGCCAAGAAAGTTCATTGGTGGAAAAGCAGCCTTTTCAATAAATGGTATTGGAGAAACTTGATTTCCACATGCAGAAGAATGAAGGTGGACCCTATGTCATACCAGGTGCAAAAATTAACACAAACTGGATGAAAGACCTAACCCCAAGAGCTAAAACTATAATATACCTAAAAGAAAACATTGGCCAAACTTTTATGACATCAGAGTGGGCAATTACTTCTGGGATATGACACCAAAAGCATAGGCAACAAAAGAAAATTAGATTCCTTGGATTACATCTAAATGAGAAACACTTTTGTGCATCAAAAAACACTGTGAACTGAGTGAAAAGATAACCCATGGATTAGGAAAAATATTTGCAAATCATATATGTGAAAAGAGACTGATATCCATAATATATAAAGAACAGCTAGAACTAAACAACAAGAAACCCAAGGCATTCCATTAACAATGGTCAGAAGACTTGAGTAGACATGTCCCTAAAGAAGGTACACCAATGGCCAATAAGCATATAAAATGATGTTCAAAATCACTAATCATAGGGAAGTGCAAATCAAACCAATAATGTGATACCACACATTAGGATAGATATGATAAACAAGCAATGGTGAGACTGGAGGGAAGTAGGAATGCTCAAACATGATCAGAGGGAACATAAAACTGTGCAGGAACAGGGAAAATAGTATGGAGTGTACTTGAAAAATTAGAAAGACAATTATCAGATGATCCCGCAGTTGCATTTGTGGGTACCTACCATCTAGAATTAGAAGCCAGGAGTGGAAGAGATATGTGTACACCCATATTCATAGCAGCGTTATTCACAACAGCCAAAATGTGGAAGCAACCCAAGGGACCATGGACAGACGAATGAAAAAGCGCACTGCAGTTCATTCATACAATGGAAGGCTATTCAGCCTTAAAAAGGCAGGCACTTCTGGCCAGCGCAGTGGCTGACGCCTGTAATCCCAGCATCTTGAGAGGCTGAGGTGGGCGGATCACCTGAGGTCAGGAGTTCAAGACCAGCCTGGCCATGATGGTGAAACCCTGTCTCTACTGAAAATGCAAAAAATTAGCAGAGCATGGTGGCACATGCCTGTAGTCCCAGCTACTCAGGAGGCTGAGGCACAAGAATCGCTTGAACCCGGGAGGCGGAGGTTGCAGTGAGCCCGGACTGTGCCGCTGCACTCCAGCCTTGGCAACAGAGAGAGACTCCATCAAAAAAAAAGAAAGAAAGAAAGAAAGAAACAGGCACTTCTGACACAGGCTGCAACACAGATGAACCTTGAAGACATTATCGTCAGTGAAATAAATAAATCACCAAAGGATAAACACAACTGGGCTCAGTGGCTCGCACCTGTAATCCCAGCACTTTGGGAGGCTGAGGTGGGCGGATCACTTGAGGTCAGGAGTTTGAGACCAGCCTGGCCAATATGGCGAAAACTTGTCTCTACTAAAAATACAAAAATTAGCTGGGTGTGGTAGCCCAGGCCTGTAATCCCAGCTACTCAGGAGACTAAGACACGAGAATTGCTTGAACCCAGGATGTGGAAGTTGCAGTGAGCCGAGATCGCGCCACTGCACTCCAGCCTAGGCGACAGAGAAAGACTTTGTCTCAAAAAAAAAAAAAAAAAAAATTAAACACAGTATGATTCCACTTATATCAAGTCTCTAGAGTAGTTAAACTCATAGAATTGCAAAATAGAACGGTGGCCCCCAGGGGTGCGGGAGAGAGAGGAATGGAGAGTTTGGTTAATGGGTCCAATGTCCATTTTGAAAGATAAAAATGTTCTGGAGATGAGGGAGGTGATGGTTGCTAAACAATGTGAATGTACTTAATGTCATGAAACTATAAACTTAAAAATAGTGGAAACTGTAAATGTTTATATTGGCCATTCTAAATGAAATAATATATATTTATAATTTTTAATATTTATACATGGTATATTTTACCATAATAAAAGATGAAAATTAAAGCAGTTGGATCTTTAAAAAGAAAAGAAAGAAGCGAATAGTATATACACACAAGCTTTCTCCTGATTAGAGGAAGAGTCCCAAAGCTTCTAGGGACACTCACTTTTCTCTTCTTGCTGCATTATTATGAGGAAATCCTTAGAGATTGGGGAACTTGGGTGAATTTGGATAATGAGGAGCTCTATGCCTTGAGCCCCCAAGGCCATAGAATAGTAAGTACTCAGTCTGTGCCTCCAGCCCTGCAGTGTGAGGTTCCAGTACAGTGGGCTACACACGTGTCACCTGCATCAGGAGGCTCATGTCTGACCCTGTCTTCTTGCCAGTCTTGAGGACGGAGTCTGAGCCTCCATCGTGCACCACACAGGGAGGACAGTGGACCTGTTCTCCGTGGTCATGACCCAGCAGAGAGGAAGCACAGTTCAGTGAGTGCTGAGGGACAGGTCAGGAGCCTTGTTTTGTTTCCTCATCCTCAGGACAAACAGGAGAGTGCGGTGGGCAGATGGGAGGAGACCAATGTGCAAACTGTCAGCTCAGCAGACTGTGGAGTTTCTATTCTTGGTTGTGGTGGGGGTCTCAGAAATCTTATTCAAAATTTTGCTTTCCTCCCACACTGGTTGTCCTTTTCATGAACATCTCACCCATGATAGCAGCAAATGAGTCCCTCTAAACTATTCCCTAAGCACAACAAAAAGATTATGAAGGTGATGAGGAGGATAAAGAGGACGATGACAGACACCATGGCATCATGAACCCTTACTGGGGGCTTCCTAAATGCCAGGCTCTGAGCTCTGTGGTCTATACAGCTTCTTTGATTTCATCTGCATGGTCTTCTCCCAGTTATTAGTGCACATTAAATTATTATTATACAGACTAGAAAAGAAGCAATGCATTTTCATATAAGTTGTACCAGATCATGAAGTCGAAAAGAGTAAAGTCCCATTTGAACCAGGCAGTCTAAGTCCAGACACGTGGCATTTGGCCAGTCCTCTCCCTGCATCCAACCTGCCCTCTCAAATCCTTGTCACTCGGGCAGATGCCCCTGCTCACTGTGCCCTTCCCTTTGGGGGTTCCTGATAGACCACAGCTAGCCCAGTGGGTGCCACATTCACTGTGTCAAGTATAGAAAGGGCAGCCGAGATCACATCAAAGATTCCAGAAAGAATTGGCACAGGATCATTCGGGACGCATCTCTCCCTTGCCCCTGTTCCTGTCTTTCCTTACAGCTCTCGACTTCCTCAAAGGAGTCATAAATTCAGAGTTTGGCTTCCATTCCTATTGAGGAAGCTGGAATCTGTTTCAAAATGCTCCTCAGATGTGCCTGTGGTTAAGACCTCTGAGCTCTGCTTTAAACTTTTTGAAGCTGGGCGCGGTGGCTCACGCCTGTAATCCCAGCACTTTGGGAGGTTGAGACAGGCGAATCACAAGGTCAGGAGTTCGAGACCAGCCTGGCCAACATGGTAAAACCCTGTCTCTACTAAAAATACAAAAAATTAGCCGGGCATAGCAGCAGGCGCCTGTAATCTCAGCTACTCAGGAGGCTGAGGCAGGAGAATAACTTGAACCTGGGATGCAGAGGTTGCAGTGAGCCGAGATCATTCCACTGCACTCCAGCCTGGGCAACAGAGTGAGACTCCATCTCAAAAAAAAAAAAAAACTTCTTGAGAGTTGGAAGACCATGAAGTTTAGTACCTGGGACTTAGAGACTGGTCATTAACTTTGAATACCACCTTTTCTGCTTATCTGTATGGCAAGGGGTGAGATGTCCATCCTCTGAGACTCAGCACTCTCGTCTGAGTTGATTTCTAGTTGATCCAATGGAAGTGAGCAATGATTAAACCGATCGTGGGTGCCTGCTCCGTGATCTCTATGTGATGGATGCATAAAGTAAAGGCAAAGTGAATTTTAGATACATTCATTAATATTTTAAGCTTCATCTCTATGCAATTCAATGGAAATATCCCCTGACCTGAAGTTCTGGTTTCCCTGCATTCCAGACAGGACATTTTATTTTGTCCTTATCTAAGTAAGTACTGAGTATTGTGAGAGGAACAAGTGAGTCTCTTTTGTTTCTGATTCCCCAGAGCCTATATCTTGCTTGGCACACAGGAGTTAGCCAAAGTAAACATCTATGTTAATTATTGAATAGACCCTTCCTTGGTTCACAAAAATTGGCTGTGATCAGTGTGACTTCGTCATGCTTGATTCCTTTTTTTTTTTTTTTGAGACGGAGTTTTGCTCTTGTTGCCCAGGCTGGAGTGCAGTGGCATGATCTCGGCTCACTGTAGCCTCTGCCTCCCGGGTTCAAGCCATTCTCCTGCCTCAACCTCCCAAGTAGCTGGGACTACAGGCACGCACCACCACGCCTGGCGAATTTTTTGTGTTTTTAGTCGAGGCGAGTTTTCACCATGTTGGCCAGGATGGTCTTGATCTCTGGACCTCATGATCCACCCTCCTCGGCTTCCCAAAGTGCTGGGATTACAGGCATGAGCCACCGCGTCCGGCCAAACTTTCTTATGAAAACTCTAAGTCCGGGTGGGGGGAGCGGGGAGGGATAGCATTAGGAGATATACCTAATGTAAATGATGAGTTAATGGGTGCCGCACACCAACATGGCACATGTATACCTATGTAACAAACCTGCACATTGTGCACATGTACCTTAGAACTTAAAGTATAATTAAAAAAAAAGAAAGAAAAATAAAAAGAAAACTCTAAGTCCACCTAAGCTAAGGACAGGAGTTATGTCTTACATGAATTTTTAAACAAGACCCACCTATTTGAGTAAGTAATTACTCTCTTGAAGGAGGAAAGTCAGAAAACATAATGATGAAATCACTAGACCATAACTGGCATGTGGAAATATTTTCTGCTTATGAACTATCAACTTTAATTTCACTTTTAGATGGCATGGTCTCAGCTGTTATGCAGTGTTTATAGAGTTCTAAATCAAGGGAATTTGTGGCATTCTATTAGAATAAAATAAAATATTTGAGTTCTTAATTTCCTTTAATTAGGATAAACTTTTTCTTTTTTTTTTTATTTTATTATTTTTTTTTTAATTTATTTTTTTATTGATAATTCTTGGGTGTTTCTCACAGAGGGGGATTTGGCAGGGTCATGGGACAATAGTGGAGGGAAGGTCAGCAGATAAACAAGTGAACAAAGGTCTCTGGTTTTCCTAGGCAGAGGACCCTGCGGCCTTCCGCAGTGTTTGTGTCCCTGATTACTTGAGATCAGGGATTGGTGATGACTCTTAACGAGCATGCTGCCTTCAAGCATCTGTTTAACAAAGCACATCTTGCACCGCCCTTAATCCATTTAACCCTGAGTGGACACAGCACATGTTTCAGAGAGCACAGGGTTGGGGGTAAGGTCACAGATCAACAGGATCCCAAGGCAGAAGAATCTTTCTTAGTACAGAACAAAATGAAAAGTCTCCCATGTCTACTTCTTTCTACACAGACACGGCAACCATCCGATTTCTCAATCTTTTCCCCACCTTTCCCGCCTTTCTATTCCACAAAGCCGCCATTGTCATCCTGGCCCGTTCTCAATGAGCTGTTGAGTACACCTCCCAGACGGGGTGGTGGCCGGGCAGAGGGGCTCCTCACTTCCCAGTAGGGGTGGCCGGGCAGAGGCGCCCCTCACCTCCCGGACGGGGCGGCTGGCCGGGCGGGGGGGCTGACCCCCCCCACCTCCTTCCCGGACGAGGCGGCTGGCCGGGCGGGGGGCTGACCCCCCCACCTCCCTCCCGGACGGGGCGGCTGGCCGGGCAGAGGGGCGCCTCACTTCCCAGTAGGGGCGGCCGGGCAGAGGCGCCCCTCACCTCCCGGACGGGGCGGCTGGCCGGGCAGGGGGGCTGACCCCCCCCACCTCCCTCCCGGACGGGGCGGCTGGCCGGGCAGAGGGGCTCCTCACTTCCCAGTAGGGGCGGGCGGGCAGAGGCGCCCCTCACCTCCCGGACGGGGCGGCTGGCCGGGCAGGGGGGCTGACCCCCCCACCTCCCTCCCGGACGGCACGGCTGGCCAGGCGGGGGGCTGACCCCCCCACCTCCCTCCCGGATGGCATGGCTGGCCGGGCGGGGGGGCTGACCCCCCACCTCCCTCCCGGATGGGGCAGCTGGCCGGGTGGGGGGCTGACCCCCCCCACCTCCCTCCTGGACGGGGTGGCTGCCGGGCGGAGAGGCTCCTCACCTCCCAGACGGGGCGGCTGCCGGGCGGAGGGGCTCCTCACTTTTCAGACGGGGTGGTTGCCAGGCAGAGGGTCTCCTCACTTCTCAGACGGGGCGGCCGGGCAGAGACGCTCCTCACCTCCCAGACGGGGTCTCGGCCGGGCAGAGGCGCTCCTCATATACCAGATGGGGCGGCGGGGCAGAGGCGCTCCCCACATCTCAGACGATGGGCGGCCGGGCAGAGACGCTCCTCACTTCCTAGATGTGATGGCGGCTGGGAAGAGGCGCTCCTCACTTCCTAGATGGGATGGCGGCCGGGCGGAGACGCTCCTCACTTTCCAGACTGGGCAGCCAGGCAGAGGGGCTCCTCACATCCCAGACGATGGGCGGCCAGGCAGAGACACTCCTCACTTCCCAGACGGGGTGGCGGCCGGGCAGAGGCTGCAATCTCGGCACTCTGGGAGGCCAAGGCAGGCGGCTGGGAGGTGTAGGCCGTAGCGAGCCGAGACCACGCCACTGCACTCCAGCCTGGGCACCATTGAGCACTGAGTGAACGAGACTCCCTCTGCAATCCCGGCACCTCAGGAGGCCAAGGCTGGCGGATCACTCGCGGCCAGGGGCTGGAGACCGGCCCGGCCAACACAGCGAAACCCCGTCTCCACCAAAACCAGTCAGGCGTGGCGGCGCGTGCCTGCAATCGCAGGCACTCGGCAGGCCAAGGCAGGAGAACCAGGCAGGGAGGCCGCAGTGAGCCGAGATGGCAGCAGCACAGTCCAGCTTCGGCTCCACATGAGAGGGAGACCGTGGGGAGAGGGAGAGGGAGACGGAGAGGGAGAGGGAGAGGGAGAGGGAGAGGGAGAGGGAGAGGGAGAGGGAGAGGGAGAGCGCTCACATCTTCTATCTGTCCAAACTGGGACCGAGTCCTCGGCCTCGGAGGCTCCACGCTCCCTCTTTCCAGGATAAACTTTTTCTTAAAGTGAAGAGAATGTTTTTATTACATATTTTTCTTCTGAAAAGATAGACTGTATTTTCTAGCAATTACGAATTTGTTATATATGATGATCTGGTTCTCGGAACATTCTTGAATCTAGTGTCTCTAAGGCAGGTGTGTACAGCAAGAAGTGAATAACACAAAAATCAATGATGAAAGAATTATAAGACAATTGAGTTTGTCACAACTGCAAAATATTGCTGAGTGTGGATTGCTCTGAAATCTGAAAACATTACTTGTGAATTGCTTATATCCAAAATGCAGACACAGTGCTGGGTGTTGGTGTGCTTGTTTCTGATTTTTCAACCCTCTTTTCTAGGCCAAAGGTGTCCAAACTATACAGACCCACAGAATCTAACAACAGATGTCTCAATATTCCTCGTCCTAGAACTCTCAGAGGATCCAGAACTACAGCCGGTCCTCGCTGGGCTGTTCCTGTCCATGTGCCTGGTCATGGTGCTGGGGAACCTGCTCATCATCCTGGCCGTCAGCCCTGACTCCCACCTCCACACCCCCATGTACTTCTTCCTCTCCAACCTGTCCTTGCCTGACATCGGTTTCACCTCCACCATGGTCCCCAAGATGATTGTGGACATCCAATCTCACAGCAGTCATCTCCTATGCGGGCTGCCTGACTCAGATGTCTCTTTTTGCCATTTTTGGAGGCATGGAAGAAAGACATGCTCCTGAGTGTGATGGCCCTATGACCGGTTTGTAGCCATCTGTCACCCTCTATATTATTCAGCCATCATGAACCCATGTTTCTGTGGCTTTCTAGTTCTGTTGTCTTGTTGTCTCAGTCTTTTAGACTCCCAGCTGCACAATTTGATTGCCTTGCAAATTACCTGCTTCAAGGATGTGGAAATTCCTAATTTCTTCTGTGACCCTTCTCAACTCCCCCACCATGCGTGTTGTGACACCTTCACCAATAACATAGTCATGTATTTCCCTGCTGCCATATTTGGTTTTCTTCCCACCTCGGGGATCCTTTTCTCTTACTATAAAATTGTTTCCTCCATTCTGAGGGTTTCATCATCAGGTGGGAACTATAAAGCCCTCTCTGCCTGTGGGTCTCACCTGTCAGTTGTTTGCTTATTTTATGGAACAGGCGTTGGAGGGTACCTCAGTTCAGATGTGTCATCTTCCCCCAGAAAGGGTGCAGTGGCCTCAGTGATGTACACGGTGGTCACCCCCATGCTGAACCCCTTCATCTACAGCCTGAGAAACAGGGATATTAAAAGTGTCCTGCGGCGCCTGCACGGCAGAACAGTCTAATCTCAATATCTTATTATCTGTTCCATTCCTTTTGTAGTGTGGGTTTAAAAAGGCAGCAAGGTCTGGCCGGGCGCGGTGGCTCATGCCTGTAATCCCAGCACTTTGGGAGGCTGAGGCAGATGGATCACCTGAGGTCGGGAGTTCAAGACCAGCCTGACCAGTATGGAGAAACCTCGTCTCTACTAAAAATACAAAATTAGCCAGGCGTGGTGGCACATGCCTGTAATCCCAGCTACTAGTGAGGCTGAGGCAGGATAATCGCTTGAACCTGGGAGGTGGAGGTTGTGGTGAGCTGAGATCACGCCATTGCACTCCAGCCTGGGCAACAAGAGCAAAACTCTGTCTCAAAAAAAAAAAAAAAAAAAAAAAAAGCAGCAAGGTCAAATATCAATAATATCACAGGGTGAACACCCACTGTGATATTAGGAGTAATACCTCCCTAGGATATAAAAAATACTATCACAGAGTGTACACACGGGGTATACCCACTGTGATATTAGAAGCAATATCTCCCTAAAATATTATGAAAAATATCACAGGGTGTGCATACACTGTGATACTAGGAGTAATATTTACCCTGGATATTAAGACTAATATCAAGGGTGTACACACACGGGGTATACCCACTGTGATATTAGGAGTTGTATCTCCCTAGGATATTATGAATAATATCACAGGGTATACGCCATGTGTGTAAATCCACTGTCATATTTGAAGTAATATCTCCCTATGAGATTACAAATAATATCAAAGGGTGTACACCCCCTGTGACATTAGAAGTAACATCCTTCTAGGATATTACAGATAACATCACAAGGTGTACACTTCTGTGACCTTTTGTACACTTTGTACACCCTTTGTGACATTAAAAGAAACATCCCCCTGGGATATTAAGAATAATATCACAGCAGGTATACACACATGGTGTACACCCCATGTGACATTAGGAGGAACATCCCCCTAGGATATTAGGGATCGTGTCACAGGCATTGAATACATATGGTATACACCCCCTGTGACATTAAAAGTAACATCCCCCTAGGATATTACGAATAATATCACAGGGAGTACACCCCGTGTGACATTAGGAGTAACATCCCCCGAGGATATAACGGATAATATCAGAGGGTGTACATGCATTGTGACCTTAGTAGTAATACCTCTTTGGGATATTACAAATAATATCACAGGGTGTACACGCATTGTGACATTAGTAGTAACATCCCACTAGGATATTACAAGTAATATCACGGGGTATACACGCCCTGTGACAATAGGAGTAACATTCCCCTAGAATATTACGAATAATATCACAGGAGGTACAGCCCCTGTGATTTACAAGTAACATTTCTATAGAATATTACAAGTAATATCACTGTGTGTACACCCCATGTGACATTAGGAGTAATATCCCACAAAACTATTACGAATAATATCACAGGGTGAACACCCCCTATGACATGAGGAGTAACGTAGTTTTAGGATATTATGAATAATATAATAAAGTGTACACACCTTGTGACGTTAGGAGTAATATCCCTCTAGGATATTAGAAATAATATAACAGGGAACACACCCCCTGTGACAATAGGAGTAACATCCCCTTAGGATATTACGAATAATATCACAAAGTGTACATGCATTGTGGCATTAGTACTAATATCCCTCTCATATACTATGAATAATATCACAGGGTGTACATCCCTGGGACATTAGGAGTAACATCCCCTTAGGATATTAGGAATAATGTCACAGGGAGTATACACCCTGTGACTTTAAAAGTATCATCCCCCTGCAATATTACGAATAATATCACAGGGTATTAACCCCCGTGACATGAGGAGTAACATCCCTCCAGGATATTAGGAATAATATGGAGTCCTAGTTTTGTAAGATATTATGAATAATATCACAATAGTGATATTATACACATAGCGTGTACACCTACTGTGATATTAAAAGTTATATATCTCCCTAGGGTATTGTGAATAATATCACAGTGGGTGTACACACATGGTGTGAAGTAATATCTCCCTGGGATATTATGAAAAATATCAAAGGGCGTACCCTGTCTGTGACATTAAAAGTAACATCCCTTTTGGATATTCCAAATAATATCACTGGGTGTACACCCCCTGTGATATTAGGAGTAGCATTCCCATAGGATATTCCAAATAATATCACAGGGTGTACACCCCATGTGACATTAAGAGTAACATCTTCTCAGGATGTTAGGAATAACATCACAGGGTGTACGCCCCCTGTGACTTTAAAAGTAATATCCCCCTAGAATATTACAAATAATATCATGGGTGTACAACCCCTGTGACATTAGGAGTAATATCTCTCTAGGATATTATGAAGAATATCACTGGGTGTACACCCTCTGTTATATTAGGAGTCACATCTTTCTAGGATATTATGAATAATATCACAAGGTGTATACCCACTGTGGTATCTGGAGAAATATCTCCCTAGGATATAAGGTATCATATCACAGAATGTACACACATGGTGTACACCCACTGTGATATTAGAAGCAATATCTCCCTATGATATTATGAAAAATATCACAGGGAGTACACTCTCTGTGATATTAGATGTAATGTTTACCATGGATATTACAAATAATATCACAGTGTGTACACACATGAGATACACCTGCTATGGTATTATTTGTACTATCTTAGAGAGATATAACTCTCTAATATAATACAGAGAGATATAACTCTGTAATATCTCTAAGATATTACAAATAACATCACAGTGGGTGTATACATAGTATACATAGTGTACACCCACTGTGATATTTACAGTAATATCTCCCTATAAGATTACAAATAATATAGAAGGGGGTACACCCCCTCTGACCTTAGGACTAACATCCTTCTCGATATTATGAATAGTATCATAAGGCATATACCCCCTGTGACATTTTGTACACCCTCTGTGACATTAAAAGTAACATCCCCCTAGTATATTACAAATAATATCAAAGGTGGTTTACACACATGGTGTACACTTCCTGTTACATTAGGCATAATCTTTTTCTGTGATATATGAATAGTATCACAGAAGGTGTACATACATCGTGTACACTGCATGTGACATTAGGAGCAACATCCCCCTAAGATATTAGGAATAATATCACCAGGGTTGCATACACCTGGTATACTCCCCCTGTGAATTTAGCAGTAACATCCTCCTAGAATATTACGAATAATATCAGAGGGGGTGTACACACATGGTGTACACACCTTGTAAAATTAGGAGTAGCATCTGTCTAAGATATTATGAATAATATCACAGAATGTGTACACACATGGCATATACCCCATGTAATGTTAGGAGTAACATCCTTCTAGTATATTAGGAATAATAGCACAAAGGTGTTCACACATGGTGAACAGCATATGTAATATTAGGATTAACATCCCTGGAGAATATTACAAATAACATCTCAGGGGGTGTGCACACACGATGTACATGCCCTGTTACATTAGGAATACATTTCCCTGAAATATTACGAGTAATATCACAGAGGGTACACCTTCTGTGACATTTGGAGTAACGTCCCCTAGGATATTATGAATAATATAACAGGGTGTACATCCCCTGTGACATGAGTAGTAACATCTTTCTAGGATATTGTGAATAATATCACAAAATGCACATCCCCTGTGACATTAGGAGGAACATTCACCTAGGATATTATGAATAATATCACAGGGAGTACACCCTGTGTGACAGTAGGAGTAACATCCCCTGAGGATATAACGAACAAATACAGAGGGTGTACGTGAATTGTGACATTAGCAGTAGCATCCATTTAGGATATTACGAATATTATCACAGTGTGAACACCCCCTGGAACATTAGGAGTAACATCCCCCTACAATATTGGGAACAATATCACATGGTGTACACCCCCTGTGACATTAGAGGTAACATTTCTTTAGGATATTACGAATAATATTACCAGGTGTAGATCCCCTGTGATATTAGGAGTAACATTTCCAAAAAAATATTACGAATAATATCACTGTTTGTACACCACGTGTGACATTAGGAGTAACAGCCCCCAATACTATTTTGAATAACTTCACAGGGTGTACACCTCTGTGACATTAGGAGTAACATCTTTCTAAATTATTATGAATAATATCGCAAAGTGTACACCCCCTGTGACATTCGAAGTAACATCCACCTAGGATATTAGGAATAATATCACAGGGAGTACACCCCCTGTGACATTCGAAGTAACACCCCCCGAGGATATAACAAATAATATCAGATTGTGTACATGCATTGTGACATCAGTAACATCCCTTTAGGATATTATGAATATCATCAGAGTGTGAACACCTTCTGTGACATTAGGGGTAACATCACCCTACAATATGGGGAATAATACCACACGGTGTACACAGCCTGTGACATTAGTGGTAACATTTTTTCATGATATTACGAATAATATGACAGGGTGTACAGCCCCTGTGATATCAGGAGTAACATTTCCAAAAAACATTACAACATTACAAATAATATCACTGTTTGTACACCATGTGTGACGTTAGGAGTAACATCCCCCAAAACTATTATGAATAACTTCACAGGTTGTCCACCTTCTGTGATATTAGGAATAACATCTTCCTAGAATGTGAAGAATCATATCACAGGATATACACCCCCGTGACATGAGGAGTAACATCATTCTAGGATATTACGAATAATATACCAAGGTGTACGCACTTTGTATGGTAGGAGTGACATCCCCCTGGGATACTACGAATCATAGCACAGAAAGTACACCCCCTGTGACAATAGGAGTAACTTCCCCTTAGGATATTACAAATAATATCACAAGGTGTACATGCATTGTGACATGAGTAATAATATCCAGCTAGTACACTGTGAATAATATCACAGGGTGTACATATTTGTGACAGTAGGAGTAACATCCCTCTAGAATATTATGAATAATATCACAGGGTGTACACACCCTGTGACTTTAAGAGAATTATCCCCCTGGTTTATTACAAATAATGTCACAGGGTGTTAACCCGCTGTGACAATAGGAGTAATCTACTTCTAGGATATGATGAATAATATCACAGTGTGTACACCCACTGTGATATTGAGTCATTTTTCCAAAAATATTACAAATAATATCACAGGGTGTACACCCATAGTGTACACCTACTGTAATAATAAAAGTTACACCTCCCTAGGATATTGTGAATAATATCACAGGGTATATGCCCTGTGTGTACACCCACTGTGATTTTTCAAGTAATATCTCCCTAGGATATTACGAATAATATCAAAGGGTGTACCCCATCTGTGACATTAAATGTAACATCCCTTTAGGATATTCCGAATATCACAGGGTGTTACATCCCCTGTGACATTGGGAGTAGCATCCCCATAGGATATTCCAAATAATATCACAGGGTGTACACCCCATGTGACATTAAGAGTTACATCTTCCTAGGATATTACAAATAACATCACAGGGTGTACACCTCCTATGATTTTAAAAGTACCCACTTAGAATATTACAAATAATATCACAGCATGTACACCCCTGTGACATTGGCAGTAACATCCCCCCAGTATATTACAAATAATATCAAAAGGTGTACACACATTGTGACATTAGTAGTAGTATACCGCTAGTATGTTGTGAATAATTATATCAGGGTGTAGACACCTGTTACATTAGGAGTAACATCCCCCTAGAATATTACCAATGATATCACAGGGTGTGCACCCTTTGCGACTTTAGAAGTATCATCCCCCTAGAATATTAACGAGTAATATCACCCCCATCTCCCACAATGGATATTACGAACCATATCACAGGGGGGTGGACACCCCCCACAATATGGCGAGTAATATCACCCTACTCTCCCCGCCTAGATATTACGAACCACTTCCCCTGTAAAGACACACATAGACTTAAAATAATGGGATGAAAAGATATATTTCATGTCAGTGGAAACCAAAAAAGAGCAGGAGTAGCTATACTTGTATCATACAAAATAGATTTGAAGACAAAAACTATAAGACAAAGAGGCCCAGGCGCAGTGGCTCACGCCTGTAATCCTAGCACTTTGGGAGGCCGAGGTGGGTGGATCACCTGAGGTCAGGAGTTCGATACCAGCCTGGCCAACATGGTGAAACCCCAACTCTATTAAAAATATCAAAATTAGCCAGGTGTGGTGGTGCGTGCCTATAATCCCAGCTACTTGGGAGGCTGAGGCAGGAGAATCACTGGAACCCGGGGGGCAGAGGTTGCAGTCAGCCGAGATCATGCCACTGCACTCCAGTCTGAGTGAAACAGCCAAACTCCATCCCAAAAAAAACCAAACGAAACAAAAGACAAAGAAGGACTCTATGTAATGATAAAGAGGTCAATTCAGCAAGAGGATACAACAATTTAAAATATATATGCACATAATACTGGAACACCCAGATATGCAAAGCAGACATTATTAGAGCTGAAGAGAGAGATAGGCTCCAATACAATAATAGTTGGAGATTTCAACACCCCTCTTTCAGATTTGGACAGATCTTCCAGACAGAAAATCAAGAAAGAAACATCAGACTTAATCTGCACTATACACCTAATGGATCTAACAGATATTTACAAAACATTTTGCCCAATGACTGCAGGATACACATTCTTTTCCTCAGCACATGGATCATTCTCAAGGATAGGCCATATGTTAGGTCACAAAACAAGTCTTAAAACATTGAAAAAAAAATTGGCTGGGCACAGTGGCTCACACGTATAATCCCAGCACTTTGGGAAGCTGAGGTGGGCGGATTACTTGAGGTCAGGCGTTCGAGACCAGCCTGGCCAACATGGTGAAACCCCATCTCTACAAAAATACAAAAATTAGCCAGGTGTGGTGGTGTGGATCTGTAATCCCAGCTGCTTGGGAGGCTGAGGTAGGATAATAGCTTGAACCCAGGAGGCAGAGCTTGCAGTGAGCCGAGATTTTGCCACTGCACTCCAGCCTGGGTGACAGAGCAACACCCTGTCTCAAAAAAAAAAAAAAAAAAAAAAAATTGAAATAATATCAAGCATATTCTCTGACCACAATGGAATAAAAATAGAAATTAATAGCAAGAATAGTTTTGGACACTATACAAATACACAGAAATTAAACAATGTTTCAGATGTCTTGGAGCACTGAAAAAAAAAAAAAAAAAAAAAAGAAACAACATTCTCTTGAATGTGCCAGTAGGTCAAAGAAGAAATTAAGAAGGAAACTTAAAATTTCCTTGAAACAAATGATAATGGAAACACAAGATACCGAAACAATACTAAGAGGGAAGTTTACAGCTATAAGTGCCTACGTTAAAAAAAAAAAAAAAAAAAAAAACACCTAATGCATCTTAAAGAACTAGAAAAGCAAGAGCAAACCAAATGCAAAATTAGTAGAAGAAAAGAAATAATGAAGATCAGAGCAGAAATAAATGAAATTGAAATAAAGAAAACAATACAAAAGATCAATGAAACAAAAAGTTGGTTGTTTGAAAAGTTAAACAAAATTGACAACACTTTAGCCAGACTAAGAAAAAAAAGAGAGAAGGGGCAGGCATGGTGGCTCATGCCTATAATCCCAGCACTTTGGGGGACTGAGGTGGGTGGATCATTTGAGGTCAGGAGTTCAAGACCAACCTGGCCAACATGGTAAAAACCCATCTCTACTAAAAGTGCGAAAATTAGCTAGGTGTGGTGGCACACGCATGTAGTCCCAGCCACTCAAGTGGCTGAGGCACAAGAATTGCTTGAACCTGGAAGGTAGAGGTTGCAGTGAGCCAAGATCACGCCACTGCACTCCAGCCTGGGCAACAGGGTGAGAGTCTGTCTCAAAAAAATAAAAAATAAAAAAGAGAGACTCAGATAAATAAAATCAGAAATGAAAAAGGAGACATTATAACTGATACTGAAGAAATTCAAAGGATCATTAGTGGCTACTACGAGCAAGTATATGCCAATAAATTGGAAAATCTAGAATAAATGGACAAATTCCTAGACAGATACAACCCACCAAGATTGAACCAGGAAGAAATCCAAAATCTGACAGATCAGTAACAGATAACAAGTTGAAAGCTGTAATAAAAAGTCTCCCAGCAAAGAAAAGCCCAGAACCTGATCCCTACCCTGCTGAATTTTACCAAGCATTTAAAGAAAAACTAATACCAATTCTACTCAAAGTATTCCAAAAAATAGTAAGAGGGGGGAATACTTCCAATCTCATTCTATGAGGCTAGTATGACCCTGATACCAAAACAAGACAAAGACACATCAAAAAAATAAAACTACAAGCTAGTACCTCTTATGAATATTAATGCAAAGATCCTCAAAAAACACAAGCAAATTCAGCAATATATTAGAAAGATCATTCATCATGACCAAGTGGGATTTGTCCCTGGGATGCAAGGATGGTTCAACATATGCAAATCAATTAATGTGATATATCATATCAACAGAATGAAGAATAAAAACAGTATGATCACTTCAATTGATGCTGAAACAGCATTTGATAAAATTTAACATCCCTTCAAGATAAAAACCCTCAAAAAAACTGGAATAGAAGGAATATACCTTAATATAATAAAAGCCCTATGTGACAGACAGCTAATATCATACTGAAAGCCTTTCCTCTAAGAACACAATGAGGATGCCCACTTTCATCACTGTTACTCAACATAGTACTGGAAGTCCTAGCTAGAGCAGTCAGACAAGAGAAAGAAATAATGGGCATCCAAATTGAAATGGAAGAAGTCAAATTATCCTTATTTATAGATGATATAATCTTATATTTCAAAAAAACCTAAAGACTCCACAAAAAACCTATTAGAAGTGATAAAAATTCAATAAATTTGCAAGATATAAAATCGACATACAAAAATTAGTAGCATTTCTACATGCCAACAATGAACAATCGGAAAAAGAAATTAAAATGTAATGCCATTTACAATAGCCACAAATAAAATTAAATACCTAGGAATTAACCAAAGAAGTTAAAGATCTCTATAATGAATATCATAAAACACTGATGAAAGAAACTAAAAAGGACACCAAAAAAATGGAAAAATATTCCACGTTCATGGATTGGAAGAATCAGTATTATTAAAATGTCCATACTACCCAAAGCAATCTACAGATTCAATGCAATCCCTATCTGAACCCTCTCCTCAGTGAGTGATTGTGTGAGTCCAGGCAGTGCTTCTCAAACTTTAATGGGCATCAGAATTCCCTACAGTTTGTTAAAATACAGATTCCCTTCCCTTGATTGTGTGGTTCTGTATGAGGCCTGAGATTCTGTTTTTCTTGTTTGTTTGTTTGTTTGTTTGTTTTTGAGACAGGGTCTCACTCTGTCGCTAAAGCTGGAGTGCAGTGACACGATCACGGCCCACTGCAGCCTCCATCTCCCAGGCTCAAACTATCCTCCTGCCTCAACCTCCCGAGTAGCTGGGACTACAGGTGTGCACCACCATGCCCAGCTAAGAGATTCTGCATGTTTAATAAGTTATATTCCCACCAGGTGATTCCGTTGAAGGAAGTTCCAGACTACACTTTGAAAAATGCTGCTCTAAGAGAATATGTGTCTGGAAGTTCTGAGAGACATGGAAGGGAGCAGGTGACCCGAGGTACATGTGTATAACATTTCTTTCTTTTTTTGTGTGTGAGATGGAGTCTCGCACTGTCACCCGGGCTGGAGTGCAATGGTGCAATCTCGGCTCACTGCAACCTCCGGCTCCTGGGTTCAAGCAATTCTCCTGCCTCAGCCTCCCGAGTAGCTGGGATTACAGGTGCCCGCCACCAAGCCCGGCTAATTTTTTATATTTTTAGTAGATATGGGGTTTCACTATGTTGGCCAGGCTGGTCTTAAACTCCTGACCTCGTGATCTGCCTGCCTCGGCCTCCCAAAGTGCTGGGATTATACGTGTGAGCCACTGTGCCCGGCCAACATGTGTATAACATTTCTAGAAAAATATGCAAAAAAACATTGTTAGCTTCTGAAAAGGAGGCTAGAAGTTCTGGTGTACGGGTAAGACCTGTTTTATATTTTAAAAAACTTTAATATTTTTTTCACCTTAAGCATGTACTACTTTCTTAGTTTAGAAACATTTAGCACATTGCCCAACAAAGAGTAGGTGCTCAGTAAGTAAAAGTTATTTTCTTTTTTGTCCTCTACCCAAACATTTGCTGCCCTTTCTCTTCCTCATTTCCTCCCCACCAGCAGTATTCCCATTCATGTCTTTGATTAATAAATATCAATGGAATACATATCATGTGCTAGGCACTGTTCTAACAGTATAGCTGCATACACACAACAGACACAGTTCTTGCCTGCAAGGAGCTTACATTCTAGTGCTCTCTTGTCCCCACCTTGGCACATTTTGATTCATGAATTCCTGCCTCCTTAGCTTTGTACAGGCCATGCCCTCACACAAACCTAAAGTACCCTTTCCAACTCCCCTCCTTCAGAACAGTACCTAAATTCTCCCTGAAGCTTTCCCTGAACCCCAGTGACATCCCCATGGGAGGCTTGATGGGAGCTCTGGACCAGGCTTCTGCTGCCCTCTGGTGGGGCTTCCTGGTGGCTCAAGGGCCAGTGCCCTGGGGACCTCTACTCTAGGGCCTGCCTCTCTCCACCTGGCATCTACGCAGTCTTGGGTGGGCCAGGCCCAGGGGATCTGTGTACCCAGAGTACACTGACTTCCCTGGACCTGGCTCAGACGTATGATCTGTGTGTCCCTAACTCTGAGCCAGACTGTCCCTAAAGGCCACAGTCTTTGTAGAGGCAATGCGGTATGGGACAGTAAGTAGTGCCACTGCCCGGGGGTGCTGGTAGTTGGGGAGGGAGGGAGGGTAGGGAAGTGGGGGAGGAGACACCAGGTAAAATAGCTTTAACAGAATTATCTTTTATTTCTTCCTTTTTTTTTTTTTTTTTTTTGAGACAGAGTCTCTCTCTGTTGTCCAGGCTAGAGTGCAGTGGTGTGATCTCAGCTCACTGCAACTTTCACCTCTTGGGTTCAAGCGATTCTCCTGCCTCAGCCTCCCAAGTAGCTAGGATTACAGGCATGAGCCACCAGGCCTGACTAATTTTTGTATATTTAGTAGAGACAGGGTCTCACCATGTCCCTGTGCCCAGGCTGGTCTTGAACTCCTGACCTCAAATGATCCACCTGCCTTGGCCTCCCAAAGTCCTGGGATTACAGGCATAAGCCACTGCACCTGGCCTTATCCTTTCTTTTATTCTTTGTTTTTATCTTGTGCCAAAAGCAACTGATACTCTTACAGAAACGTCAGAAAATAGAAACATGCAAAAGAATGATTCAAACAAATCCCATAATCCCACCTAGAGACAATTTCTTTTCACACCTGGAGCAAGAACAAAGAGGAAAGGGCAACTAGGCCAGGAGCCAGGAGGCCTGGACTCTAGTCCTTGTCATCCCTCCCACTGTGTGACCCTGAGCAAGTCCCTTCTTGGAGTCTAACTCACCCATACACAAAATGAGGACTGAATTAAGTACCTACTTGGTTTACTCTTCTGTGATTCTAAGTCAGGGGTCCCAATCCTAGATGCCTTTTAAAAATACAGATGTCTGGTTCCCCACTCCCAACCCACTCCCCATCCTAGCAGATTTCTGCTTTCCCAGACAGAGCTCAGGAATCTCTATCTATCTATCTATCTATCTATCTATCTATCTATCTACCTACCTACCTACCTACCTACCTACCTACCTATGTATCCATCTCTTCTTCTTCCCTTTCTGGAGTAAAGGAATCAATTTTTAAAAAATATTTTTTAGTGACCGGGTGCAGTGGCTCATGCCTGTAATCCCAGTACTTTGAGAGGCCGAGGTGGGTGGATCACCTGAGGTCAGGAATTCAAGACCAGCCTGGGCAACATACATAGTGAAACCCCCTCTCTACTAAAAATGCAAAAATTAGCTGGGCATGGCGACATGTGCCTGTAATCCCAGCTAATTGGGAGGTTGAGGCATAAGAATCGCTTGAACCCGGGAGGCAGAGGTTGCAGTGAGCCAAGATTGTGCCATTGCATTCCAGCCTGGGCCACAGAGCAAGACTCCGTCTCAAAAAAAAACCAAAACTGTTTTTACTTTTCAGAGACAGAGTCTTGCTCTGTGGTCCAGGCTAGAGTGTAGTAGTGATCTTCCTGCAGCTTTGATCTCCCAGGCTTAAGCAATCCTCCCATCTCAGCCTCCTGAGTAGCTGGGACTATAGGCATGTGCCACCATGAGTAATTTTTTTTTTTTTCCCCCTGAGATGGAGTCTTGCTCTGTCACCCAGGCTGGAGTGCAATGGTGCAATCCCAGCTCACTGCAACCTCCGCCTCCTGAGTTCAAGCAATTCTCCTGCCTCAGCCTCCCAAGTACCTGGGATTACAAGTGCCCGCCACCATACCTGGCTAATTTTTTTGTATTTTTAGTGGAGATGGGGTTTCACCACATTGGCCAGGCAGGTCTTGAACTCCTTACCTCGTGATCCGCCCACCTCGGCCTCCCAAAGTGCTGGGATTACAGGTATGCGCCACCGCACCTGGCCTAATTTTTTTATTTTTTGTTGAGACAGAGTCTTACTATTTTGCCCAAGCTAGTCTCACACTCCTGAACTCAAACGATCCTCCCACTTCAGCCTCCCAAAGTGCTGGGATTACAGGCATGAAGGAATCAGTATTTTAGGATGGGCACGGTGGCTCATACCTGTAATCCCGGCACTTTGGGAGGCCAAGGCTGGCGGATCACTTGAGACCAGGAGTTTCAGACTAGCTTGGCCAACATGATGAAACCCCCTCTCTACTAAAAACACAAAAATTAGCCAGGCATGGTGGCATTCACCTGTAGTCCCAGCTACTCAGGAGGCTGAGGCAGGAGAATTGCTTGAACCCAGAATGGGGAGACTGCAGTGAGCCGAGATTGCACCACTGCATTCTAGCCTGGGCAACAGAGCGAGACTCTGTCTCAAAAAAATAAATAAATAAATAAATCAGTATTTTAGGCCAGGAGCAGTGGCTCACACCTGTAATCCCAACACTTTGGGAGGCTGAGGCAGCAGGATCACCTGAGGTCAGGAGTTCGAGACTAGCCTGGCCAACATGGTGAAACCCCATCTCTACTAAAAATAGAAAAATTAGCCGGGTGTGGTGGTGGGTGCCTGTAGTCCCAGATACTCGGGAGGCTAAGGCACGAGAATCACTTGAACCCAGGAGGCAGAGGTTGCAGTGAGCTAATGCCACTGCACTCCAGCCTGGGCAACAGAGTGAGACTCGGTCTCAAAAGGAAAAGAAATCACTATTTTTAAAAGTCTTCTGGGAGTATCCCAGTGAATGCCTCCTGGTCAAGAAGCATTGGTGGATATCTTTCTAGATATTTGTATGTTTGTGCATAATTTTTTTTAACAAAACTGGAATTATTGTATATATGTTAATATATTGAGGTACATTTCATACCTTAATTTAAGCAGCCCACTAATCAGTTAGGCAGTTCCAATTTTGTACTATTACAAATATTGAAAAAACAGTAAAAGTGGGCTAAAAAACAAATTACAAATAATTAGGGAAAACCCCTGAAAAGTTCAGGAAAAGGACAAAAATGCTTAAAAACTTAAAGCATTGAAAATTGCTTGATAAAGCATGAGAATGACCAACATTATATATATTTAAAAAAACAACAACTGGGAAATACTCATTTTCAATCAAATCATTGTTTCAATCAAAATGTTGTATTCACCAGAATGCTTTCAGAAAAATTGCTTTCAGTCCAATCATATGCTTCTGTGGGAGGCAGCCAGCAAGAGCTTCCTTCCAGCTCCCACGAAGTCCTTGGAAAAGGTTTGGGATCCCCACTGCCAGCAGTTCTAACTGGGAAATAAACATCAGACCAACCGCTGTGCATGTACCCAGCAAGGATCTGCTGATTATCTTATGTGCCAGGCTCTGTGCTGGGCACTGGGAATATGAGGCAACCAAGACAGTTTCTGCCATCCTCCCCAACAGGGGCTCACAGTCCAGTCTGGTAGGGCAGACAGACACATCCACAGGTAATTCCAGTACAGGCTGAGATGAGATGAGAGCAGGGAGGCATGGCAAATGGGGAAAGGCAAGTGAAAGCTTCTGCCCTGTCCCTCCAGCAGCCGTAGGACCATAGAAACACAGCCTCTTTCTCCTCAACAAAATGTTCTCCTTACTTTTGCTATGAAACAAATTACCCCAAAAACCTAGTGGTTTAAAACAATCATTTGATTATGCTCAAGGATTCTGTAGGTCAAGAATTCAGGGCTAGGTGCAGTGGCTCATGCCTGTAATCCCAGCATTTTGCGAGGCCAAGGCAGGATAACTGCTTGACCCCGGGAGTTTGAGACCAGCCTGGGCAACATAGGGAGACCCCTGTCTCTATGAAAGAAAAAAAAAAGAATTCAGATAGGGTACTACAGGAATGGCTTCTCTACTCCAGAATGTCTGTAGTCTCAGCTGGGAAGATTGAGTGGCTGGGGCGACTCAAAGGCTCTGGAGGCAGGTATCATGTGGAGGTATCTTCACTCAGGAGCCTGGTGGTTAGCGCCGGCTGTCACATGGGACCTCCACCATGGCTGTTTTCCAGAGCACCCACACATGGCCGAGGCTTCCTCACAGCATGGAGGCCTCGGGGTGGGCCTGCACAGCAGCTCAGGATCCCAGACATGAGTGTCCCAGGCAACAAGGCATTTTCTGCCCTGGTCTCGGAATTCCTCAGGTGTCACTTCAGCTGAATTCTATTGTTACAGCCAGCCACAGCCTGCCATGTTGATAGGGAGAGGAATTAGACACCACATCTTGACTGGAGAGCAGTAAGGTTCAAGAAGACAAGTGGGACAGATTTTGTTGTGGTCATTTTTTTTTTTTTTTTTCCAGAGACAGGGTCCCTCTGTCCCAATCATAGCTCACTGCAGCCTCAAACTCTTGGGTTCAAGCAATCCTCTCACCTTGGCCTTCCAAGTTCTGGAAAAAAAAAAATCTAGCTAGCTTTTTTATTTTTTGTAGAGATGTGAGTCTCACTATGTTGCCCAGGCTGATCTCAAACTCCTAGCCTCAAGAGGTCCTCCTGCCTTGGCCTCCCAAGGTGCTGGGATTACAGGCATGAGCCACTGAATCTGGCCTGTTGTGGTCATACAGTCTACCACACCCGAGGTGGACCCAGGCACACCATTTACTGCCAGGAGGGCAGGCCTGAGAGGGGCCCAGCTGGGTGCAATGGAGGTAAGATGGGAAAGAAGCTGGACTCTTCTATCCTTAGGCAATTTCATGTGACCATGGCTTCACTTTCTGCTCCTCCATGATGACTTTTTTTTTTCTTTTTCTTTATTTTTTTTAAGACCGAGTCTCACACTGTTGCTCAGGCTGGAGTGCAGTGGCACAATCTCCGCTCACTGCAACCTCCACCTCCCGGGTTCAAGCAAGTCTTGTGCCTCAGCCTTCTGAGGAGTTGGGATTACAGGCACACGCCACCACGCCTGGCTAATTTTTGTATTTTTAGTAGAGATAGGGTTCCACCATGTTGGCCAGGCTGGTCTTGAACTCCTGACTTCAAGTGATCTGCCCACCTCGGCCTCCCAAAGTGCTGGGATGACAGGAGGGAGCGCCACCCAGCCTCCCTTATGACTTTTCCATCTCACCAGTGTGTCAAATTGTCTGCCTACTTTACCTTTTGTGCCTCAGTTTCTTCTGAATAATGGAGAGGCTAATACTATCTACCTCATAGAGTGACCATGAGGACTAAATGAGACAATATGGTAGTTCCCCAATGTCCGCAGAGCGTATGTCCCAAGGCCCCAGGGGTTGCCCGAAACTGTGGACAGTACAAAATCTTTTATATGCTATTTTTTTCTACACATATATACCTATGATAAGGTTTAATTTATAAATTAGGCACAGTAAGAAATTAGCAACAACTAATAATAAAATAGAACAATTATAACAATATACTGTAATAAAAGTTATTTTAAATTTATGAATTATTTCTAGAATTTTCCATTTTATATTTTCAGCCCACTATTGACCATGGATAAAGGAAACCATGAAAAAGGGGGGAAACTACCATACTTACAAAATACTCACTGCAAGGCCGGGCGCAGTGGCTCATGCCTGTAATCCCAACACTTTGGGAGGCCGAGGCGGGCAGATCACCTGCAGTCAGGAGTTCAAGACCAGCCTGACCAACATGGCGAAACCCCGTCTCTACTAAAAATACAAAAATTAGCCAGGCATGGTGGCAGGCATCTGTAATCCCAGCTATTCGACAGGCTGAGGCAGGAGAATCACTTGAACCTGGGAGGTGGAGGTTACAGTGAGCTGAGATCATGCCACTGCACTCCATCCTGGGGGATAGAGCAAGACTCTACCTCCAAAAAAAAAACGGAACAAGGATGAACTCTGAACTCTGAGCAGTGGTGCACTGGGGCTGGTTTGTATGGGCTCACAAGAGCCAACTCTCAAGCTTTCAGGAATGCTGCAAGCCAGTTAAACACAGGCATTAAAAATCATATAAACTCGCAGATAAAGTATATTCAAAACAAGTATAGTAAATCCTCAGAACTCACCACTTTCTAATTATTTCACACCATTTCACTATTATCCATGGTCTCCAAGTCATTTATGTCTGTTATATCTGCAGAGGAGAGATACAATGTAATGGTCTGCTCCTGAGCATCTCATACCAACCCCTGGTTGTAACATCCCATTAGTAACTTGAAATCGGCCATGGTGGGAGTTCCAGAAAGTCTAATGTACAAATAATGAGTTTTGCAAAGAGAACATAGAAAATAGTGGGGAAGGAAATTATTAAAGGAATAATTCAAGAAAATTTCCTAGAACTGCAAGACAATTTTCAGACTGAAATAGTTCACTGAGTTCCTTGCAAAACATGAAAAAAATAAAAGCCAAGGTATTTTTGCAAATTTCAGAAGATCAAGCACTAATAAGATGATCCTGAAAGCATCCAGTCAAAAAAGAAAAAAACAAACCACCAAGTTACAAAGGAGTAGGAATCAGCATAACATCTGACTTCTCGGCAATAGCATTTGGTTTTTGTTTTTAAAGCTATAAACAATAAGCGATGCTAAAAACGTTTAAGGAAAATTATTTCCGGCCAGGCACGGTGGCTTATGCCTGTAATCACAGCACTTTGGGAGGCCGAGGCGGGCGGATCACTTGAGGTCAGGAGTTTGAGATCAGCCTGGCCAACATGGTGAAACCATCTCTACTAAAAATACAAAAAATTAGCCAGGAGTGATGGTGGGCACCTGTAATCCCACCTACTGGGAGGCAGAGGCAGGAGAATCACTTGAACCTGGGAGGTGGAGGTTGCAGTGAGCCGAGATCGTGCCATTGCACTCCAGCCTGGGCAACAAGAATGAAACTCCGTCTCAAAAAAAAAAAAAAAAAAAAAAAGAGTCAAAATATCCGGTGTTTATCAGCAATTCAAGGGGGGATACAGAATAGGCAGATGCACACCTAAGTCTGGAGTCCAAGGAGGGTCTGCCCTGGAGATATGAATTTGAGTGTAGTAGCTTTAAAGATGGCATGGAAAGCCATAGATGAGATGAAGTTACAGGAGTTGAGATGAACAGAAAAAATGAGGTCCAAGGACTGAGCCTTTTGTTAGGGACTGCTAGAGGCGGTGTTTCCCACATCCTCCAAAAGGGAGCAAACCAAGAAAGAGGAAGACAGAAGATAAGGAAGGAGGAATCTGACACTGGAGACAGAATATTCAGATTGGTGGTGAACGGGGATTCCAGAACTACAGGTCTCAGGGTAAGATGTCTAAACTGGCACTAGAGGATGAAGCATCCTGGGAGGGTATCACCAAGGAAAAACAAAAAGAGCAACCCTGTTTGAATATACTGAGATTAAACTATGGCTCAAAGTTTGGGGATGAGATAGAAACAGGAACACAGAACTCTTAAGCACATGGAAAAACAAGGTAATTACTAACATTTTTTTGTAGATATATTTACAGAATTGTAAATATGGAATCACGTCAACACTGTATATAAAAGTCATAGAAATGTAAACACAGAATATTGATTGAACCATAAACGATTACAGAATTATGAGGATGCCAGGAAAGGGGCATAAAAATGTTATTTGGAGCAATTCTCCTAGATACACACCCCAAAAATTGAAAACAGGTACTCAAACAAGTACATGTACACAAATACTCAGAGCAGCACTATTTGAAACAGTCAAAAGGTGGAAACAATCCAAATATCCATCAACTAATAAATGCATAAACAAACTGTGGTACACATAGGGAAATACTATTCAGCCACAAAAAGGAATGAAGTACTGACACATGCTATGTTAGTGAACCTCAAAAACATCATGCTAAGTGAAAGACTGCCAGACACAAAAGGTCAGATACTGTATGAATCCACTTATATGAAATATCCAGAAAAGGCAAATCCATAAAAACGGAAAGCGGATTGGTGGCTGCTAGGGGTTGGTGGGGGGAGTGAAAAATGGGGATAACTGCTTAATGAGTATGGGCTTTTTGTTTTTTGAGACAGAAGTCTATGTTGCCTAGGCTGCTCTCTAAACTCCTGGGCTCAAGCGTTCCTCCCATCTCAGCCTCCCAAAATGCTGGGACTAAGTCAACAGGAGTGTGGGGTTTTGCTTCAAGGTGATGAAAAATGTTTTGGAACTACATAAAGGTGGTGGTTGTACAATATTATGAACAAACAAATGCCACTGAATTGTTCACTTTAAAATGGGGAATTTTATAATGTGAATTTCACCTCAATTTTTTTAAAAAGAATGTTACTTAGAAATAAGAAAGTGGGCCGGGCGCGGTGGCTCACACCTGTTATCCCAGCACTTTGTGAGGCCAAGGCGTGCAGATCACGAGGTCAGGAGTTCAAGACCAGCCTGACCAACATGGTGAAATCCCATCTCTACTAAAAACACAAAAATTAGTTGGGCATGGTGGCGTATGCCTGTAATCCCAGCTACTCGGGAGGCTGAGGCAAGAGAATTGCTTGAACCTGGGAGGTGGAGGTTGCAGTGAGCCGAGATCATGCCACTGCACTCCAGCCTGGGCAACGGAGCGAGACTCTGTCTCCAAAAGAAAATGATAAGAAGGCATATTATATACCAGAAAAACAGCTATGTATTTAAAGTGGTTGCCCTCATCTTCAGGAAGGTGGGGCTGCAAAAAGGAAAAGATTGTTTTTAGTTATGTCTTACCAAATGATTCAACAGGCTGGGCGCAGTGGCTCACACCTGTAATCCCAGCAATTTGGGAGGCCGAGGTGAGCAGATCTCTTGAGGCCAGGAGTTTGAGACCAGCCTGGCCAACACGGCAAAATCCCATTTCTACTGAAAATACGAAAATTAGCCAATCATGGTAGCAGGCACCGGTAACCCCAGCTACTCAGGAGGCTGAGGCACAAAAATTGCTTGAACCTAGGAGGTGAAGGTTGCAGTGACCCAAGATCACACCACCGCACTCCAGCCTGGGTGACAGTGAGACTGAAAAGATAAATAAAACCACATACATGTGTAAGTTTAAGAATAATAAGATGGGCCGGGCACAGTGGCTCACATGAGGTCAGGAGTTCAAAACCAGCCTGACCAACATGGTGAAACCCTGTTTCAACTAAAAAAAAAATACAAAATTAGCCAGGCATGGTAGCTCATGCCTGTAATCCCAGCTACTTGGGAAGCTGAGGCAGTAGAATCACCTGAACGCGGGATGCAGAGGTTGCAGTTGAAGAGATTGCGCCATTGGACTCCAGCCTGGGCAACAAGAGTGAAACTCCATCTCAAAAAAAAAAAAAAAAAAAAAAAAATCGGCTGGGCGCAGTGGCTCACGCCTGTAATCCTAGCACTTTGGGAGGCCAAGGTGGGTGGATCACGAAGTCAGGAGATCGAGACCATCCTGGCTAACACGGTGAAACCCCGTCTCTACTAAAAATACAAAAAATTAGCCGGGCATGATGGCAGGTGCCTGTAGTCCCAGCTACACAGGAGGCTGAGGCAGGAGAATGGCATTAACCCGGCAGGTAGAGCTTGCAGTGAGCTGAGATCACGCCACTGCACTCCAGCCCGGGCGACAGAGCGATACTGTAAGATGGACACCTACCACTTGAAAAGATGATTTTTCAAGGAAGAAAACAGTTGTTGCAGGAAACCTACAAATTCTAGGTGCTCACACGGATAGATTAGGAAAAATAATGTGCATATGCTATTTCCAACTGGGTCAAAGTAGATGTTAGGGAAAAAAAAAAAAGCATATAGATGCTTTTTTTTTGTTTTTTGGACGGAGTCTCACTGTCACCCAGGCTGGAGTGCAGTGATGTGATCTCAGCTCACTGCAACTTCCACCTCCTGGGTTACAGGTGCCTGCCACCATGCCCAGCTTATTTTTGTATTTTTAGTAATGACAGGGTTTCACCATGTTGGCCAGGCTAGTCTTGAACTTCTGACCTCAGGTGATCCACCCACCTTGGCCTCCCAAAGTGCGGGGATTACAGGCGTGAGCCAACACGTGCAGCCATTTCTGAATTCTGAAGGATCATGGCTCTGTCAACAAACACCAGCCAGACATGCAGCTTAACCATTTCTAAGTCTTATAACCTTGAACCACTCCCTAGGGTTGTCTGAGATTTTACTCATTCAAGCAGCAATACCCATGTACCCCATTAGGTTAAGAATTAAATTAAAACACAATACCAGAACAAGTAAATCTTACTTTAACCCATCCAAAGATTTTCAAAGGCCAGGAACCCAAGCCCACTTCAGATATTCTTCCTAAACCCCCAATGCTCCAGACGAACTGTGCCTGTTTACTGTCCCCTAGATTCCTTCATCTTTAACCCTCACCACAAGATCCAATGTCTCTCCATATCAGATTCCCCTCCCTCCAGTGACACTTTTATGTATTAGGTTAGTGCAAAAGTAAATGTGGTTTTTGCATTAAAGTAATGGCAAAAACCACAATTACTTTTGCACCAACCTAATATTACTATTTCTGATGCTACAAGTGGTTAACATCTGCCAGGGATCTGTCTCAGTCTTTTAACATTAAATGTATCAAAAATACTTAGAAACATTTTTGCCATGACACCAAAACAAACACAAAGGCATTATTTCCTAGTGTCTTCCAGTTCTCCATGTTTAAAGCAACCACCTATGAGGTTATAAGCTGCTCAACTGGTTTAAGGGGCCAATCAAGGGATGTGATGGACAGTATCTTACTGCTCCCTGGAATCCTAACATCAATCACCCAAAACACTTCCCCATCAAACAAGATCAACACATATGAACCACTGATATATATAATTTTTCTTCTAGGAAAATAAATATGAAACATGCTTTTAGTTAAACAATCATTTTATTGCTTGAGTACACAGACAAATTTATGCGACCAGGGCAGAGGCTGTAGATGATTCACTGAAAAAGAAAAAAGGGGAAAGAAAGAAAATCAGGATTAATACTAGTCCCTCCACATTCATTAACAGAATCTCCCCACTAATGGTGCTATTCTCAAACAGTTAATAAATCCAAACTATATAAAGTGCACCAAACTTCTGAATACCTGAACCAACTCATTGTGTTCAAGCACAATGAATGAAGATGCTCACTCAGACATCCAAGGAAGAACTGGCCAACATAAGGAAAAACATTTCTGGTGGAAACTGCGAATGTCTGGCAACCAATCATCATAGTGAGCAATTCATGTGAAAATTAATTCAAACTCCTGGGAGTAGAGGTATGAAAGGAAAATCTACCTACTATCTAAAAGAGAGTCAAAGGGCTTATTCATGGTCTAAATCTGGGGTCTGCAACTATGGCCCTCTGCTTGTCTTTATTAAAGACAAGCAGCCACACCCATTCGATTATGTATTGCCTGTGGCTGCTTTCCCACTACCAGGCCAGAGCTCAAAGAGCAGTTAACAAAATAGCCCCCAAGGCTGAACATATTTACTACTAGCCCCCAAGGCTGAACATATTTACTACTAGGACTTTTACTACTGGCTGACTCCTATTCTTGATAACAACGACAAAAGAGTTGATACTTACTATTTCCAATTGGGAGGGAGGACTCGCTTGGTCTTATAATATCGAGCCAAACGGTGAATCCGGCTCTCTATTAGAATCAGACGGAATTTAGCATCCTTATCCTAAAAATAAAATTTGGTGCAATTCAAGAAAACCACCCAAAATGACCTAACATTATCAAACATTAATAAGAGAATGTAGAGCTACCATGCACTTTCTATAATGAAAATCTCTTTGGATAGAATTTGAACTTCAAAGCAGCACTACACTGGTTTGTGTACTAAGCCTTGGATAATTCAAACCAGATGCATTACATTTTACCGAAAAAATTTAGTACAAGCAGTCCTACTTAGCACCAGGTTTTATTTATTAGCTTACCTTTCTGTTCCTCTCAAGATGCTTTCGAACAGCAACTGCTTTCTTAATTAAATGGTAGAGATCTTCAGGAAGATCAGGAGCAAGTCCCTTAGACTTAAGAATTCTTAAAATTTTATTGCCTGTCACAAAACGTACTTGTGCAACACCATGTGAATCTCTCAGGATTACACCTGAAAAGGGAATCACGTTTTAACTTTCAACACGAAACACAAACTGGAGAATGTGATGATGTCAAGGCTCAGAAATCAGGGCATAGTTTCCTATCTGTAAGATGGGGGTATACTTTTATACATCACAGAAACCAACGTGAGAATGCACATAAAGCTCACTCAGACATCCAAGGAAGGTTTACCCAACACTAAGGAAAACCTTTCTGGTGGAAACTGCGAATGTTGGAAAACCATCATCACAGTGAGCTTGCTGGAATACAGATGACCAAAGGGATTAATGAGATTCCACAGCTAACATTTACTGAGAACTCTGGTCAGATATTCTTCTAAAAACTTTACACGTTATTTCTTTTAAACCTCTAATGAGCTCTGACTACTTACAATCTATGACATATTTTCTTTTGATGTGTCATACCTCCAATTAGACTACAAGCTCCAGGAGTACAGATATTTTGCACCCCCCTCCCCCTTTTAAGAGGTGGGATCAGGTGGTGTGGCTCACGCCTGTAATCCCAGCACTTTGGGAGGCCGAGGCAGTGGATCATCTGAGGTCAGGAGTCTGAGACCAGCCTGGCCAACATGGTGAAACCTCGTCTCTACTAAAAATACAAAAATTAGCCGGGCGTGGTGGTGCGGCCTGTAGTCTCAGCTACTCCAGAGGCAGAGGCAGGAGAATTGCTTGCTTGAACCCAGGAGGCGGAGGTTGCAGTGAGCCGAGATCATACCACTGCACTCCAGCCTGGGTGACAAAGTGAGAATCGGTCTCAAACAAAAACACACAAATTAGCTGGGCCTGCTGGCGGGCGCCTGTAATCCCACCTATTCGGGAGGCTGAGGCAGGAGAATCGCTTGAATCCAGGAGGTGGAGGTTGCAGTGAGCTGAGATCGCGCCACTGCACTCCAGACTGGGCGACAAGAGCAAGACTGTCTCAAAAAAAAAAAAAAAAAGAGGTGGGGTCTCTCTGTCACCCAGGAGTGCAGTGGCTTCATCATAGCTCACTGCAGCCTGGGACTTCTAGGCTCTGGTGATCCTCTCACCTCTGCATCCCAAGTATCTGGGACTACAGGCACATTGCGGCTGGCTTTTTTGGGCGGGGGAGTCGGAGAGTAGTATGTTCTCAGGCCCCAGAACCATGTTCAGCACATAGAAGGTAAACATTTGCTGAATGAAGCCACTTGCACGAAGTCACACGCAGCTGAGATTCAAACCACACCTAACTGTGAGGAACTGTGTCAGGCACTCTGCTTAGCCAATTCCAACTCCTCCACTTGACAGCTGTGTGATTTGGGGCTGGTTAGTATCCAGCGGCAGTGTGCCTCTGCTTCCTCAACTGTAAACTGGGGTGAAAGCCATGAAGATTTATTTCAAAGTATTGTGGTCAGAATTAAACGAAATCAGTACATGTGAAGTGCTTACAATGATGCCTCTAGCACGGTGGCGAGACCAGAGTTTTGGCTATTTTTAAAATAACTTTACCACCTACTAGATCCTACAAGTCACACGAGGACAGGCGAAATAGGCTATGTTAGACACAAACACTCACCGATCTGTGAAGGAGTAAGGCCCTTCTTGGCCAGTTTGTAAATCTGCTCCTTCACGTCGTCAGATGTCAACTTCAACCACTGTTATGGAATAGAAAGCAGCCTTAGGATGAGAACCCAGGAATGGCGCCGCAGAACAGCGGTCTCTCCTTCCGCAAAACCGCGCTCCTCATACACGCAAGTTCCTCACCCTGGCGTCGCTTCACCCGAGACAAATGCCAACCCCCTCCCCGGATTCTCCCCGGTCCCAGCGCGCTACTTACAGTGGGGACGCTGCGTCGATAGGGTAAAGCCGACTGGGACAGGCCCTTCCTGGGGAGAGAAGCAGTCTCGAGGTGAGGTGGCGGCTAGTGCCAGAGCAGCCCAGAACATCATCCCCTCGGCCCGCTGCCCACACTCCCTGTCTTCCTCCCACCCCCCGCCCAGCAATCCGGCTTGATGCCCCGAGCTCACCCGGGAGCATGCATGCGACCCATGATGGCGGCGATCAGGCAACGAAAGGAGAGCGAGAGTGGAAACGCCGCAGGAAGCCACCCAACACGCAGGAAGTGACCTCACACGTCCCCGCTTCCTCTCACGCAGGAGGCGGAGCTACGCTGCGCAGCCACCGCCCGTCTGTGTGACTACATCTCCCGAAATGCATTTCAGCGTCGCAAGAGATCGTCAATCCAGCCTCATCCCGGCATGCATCGGTCTTTGGTCAGCCTTGTTGCCAGAGCGGGAATTTGAGGCTGACGCCAGCTTGCGTCGAAATTCCCTGTGGACGCCGAGATCACAAAGATTCGAATGCTGCGCTGGGGGTGGGTATGGAGCAGGTAGGGCTGGAAGAAGCAGCCATACACAGGTGTTTGCTCATTCACCAGTGCCTGGCTTTGTCCTGGCACTAGATCCCTCAGAGTCGGCCCTGCGCCTAATAAATTAACAGATACAATAGCATGTGATGAGGACCACACGGGAAGCCATGGCAGCGGCTACCGCCCAGCCAGCGCTTCCATTTCTCATTTCTAAATCCTACCCTAATCTGTCAGGGGAGAGTCGCTGACGGTGAAGAACCGGTCTAAGGAGTTGAACCAGGTCCCCACGGATGCCTGCCGCCCTCCGCACTCGAATTCCCCTGCGCAGGGCTCTGGGGCGCTGGGCTCGCCGGGGAGAAGGGTTGGGCAGAGGCTTACGGAGCTATGTTCCCAAGTGAGAGAGTTGGCGGGCAGGGAAGAGCCTTGGGAGCAAGACTGCAAAGGCCAAGAGGATGAGGGATAAAATGAAGCATTTGAATTTCATGGGAAAAGGGAACCGTCAAGGAAGAAGCTTTTTTTTTTTTTTGAGACGGAGTTTCGCTCTTGATTCGCAGGCTGGAGTGCAATGGCGCGATCTCGGCTTGCCGCACCCTCCGCCTCCCGGCTTCAAGCGATTCTCCTGCCTCAGCCTCCTGAATAGCTGGGATCACAGGCATGCGCCACCACTTCCAGCTAATTTTGTATTTTTAGTAGAGACGGGTTTTTCCATGTTGGTCAGGCTGGTCTTAAATTCCCGACCTCAGGTGATCCGCCCGCCTCGGCCTCCCAAAGTGCTGGGATTACAGGCGTGAGCCACCGCGCCTGGCCGGAAGAAGCTCTTTTAAGACAGACCTAGCCTGGGCAACATGGCGAAACCCCCTCTCTATAAATACAAAGAATTAGCCGGGCGTGCTCGCTCGTGCCTTTGGTTCCAGCTACGAAGGAGGCTGAGGTGGAGAATCTCTGGAGCCGGGAAGGACATTGCGGTGAGCCGAGATAGCACCACTGCGCGCCAGCCTGGGCAACAGAGCAAGACTCTGTCTTAAAAAAAAAAAAAAAAAAGGAAAGAAAGAAAAAGACTGACTCAGTGCCGGTACACAACAATGCGTTGAAAGAATGGGCAAATGAAGCAGCTTCTTAAAATTTTAAAAAGTAAGCATAGCTCTAGGAAGGAGGGAGGTCAGTGAAATCAAACTCCTGTCGACAAGCTTAAAGTAACTGGCAAGACGCTGGGAAACTAGATACTGAAACATCCGCTCTTAACTTTTAACCTGTCACTATTTGAAATAAAGTTATCAGGGATAGCCGGGCGCGGTGGCTCACGCCTGTAATCCCAGCACTTTGGGAGGCTGAGGCGGGCGGATCACGAGATCAAGAGATCGAGACCATCCTGGCTAACACGGTGAAACCCCGTCTCTACTAAAAATACAAAAAAATTAGACGGGCGTGGTGGCGGGCGCCTGTAGTCCCAGCTACTCAGGAGGCTGAGGCAGGAGAATGGCGTGAACCCGGGAGGCGGAGCTTGCAGTAAGCCACGATCGCACCACTGCACTCCAGCCTAGGTGGCAGAGCGAGACTCCGTCTCAAAAAAAAAGTATCAGGGATAAAGAGAGAACCCTTTATAACAACAAACGGGTCAGTTCTCCAAGAAAACAACACCCCTCCCCCCCAAAAAAGCCATAATCTGTCACTATTTGATTAATAACTTTTCCCAAAGCATTAGGAATTTTAGTCAAATCGGGTACCCTATTTGGGTAATGTTTTTTTCTAGCAAAGTTTATCATTAGCCAATTTTACATTTTTAGTTCAGATATGGAATAGGTATCTCAAATTTAATATGACTCCAATTCCCAAACCATGCCCCTTTGTTTCAGTTAAACACGATCCTGTTTGCTCAAACTTAATACAAACCTAGGCATCTCCGTTTTTCTCTGATTTCCCTCTGTCATCCCAGCTCTACCACAAGAATGTATCATGAATATGTTCCCTTTGCCCCATTTCCACCTTCAGTCCCAGCCACCATCACCTCCTATCTGGGCAACTCTGTAGTATCCACACCGTCTGGTCACGTCCCCACTCTAAACACAACCCACTCTCCACCTAGCAGTCAGAGTGATCCATTAAATACATAAAGCAGATTAATTCATTGCTCCCCTGTGTAAATCCCTCCCATACTTTCTCAATGCACCTAAGATCCAATCCCTGGACCCACGTCTTGCCACTATCCCCCGATTCTAAACGCTCTAACCGCACTTACTCCTTTCTGACTCTACAAGGTAGCAATGTGTTCCTTTCCTGCTTAGAGCCCTTCCTCTTGCTGTTGGCACTGCCTGAAGTGCTTGCTCTTCCTCAAGACCTTTTCAGGTCTCACTTTCACATCCTGGCCTCCATGTCATCTCAGGGTGGCTTTCCCTAAATAGGATCATCTAAAGTAGTCCTTCTTCCCAACACAATATCCTATTGATTACTTTCAAAGCACCCAAATCTCTAACATCCTTTCTAGTTGCTTGTTTGGTTGCCTGTCCACCTCCAATAAAAATTAGCTCTGAGAGTACAACGTTTATTGCTTTATCTCCAACACCCACAAGAGTGCCTGGCGGGAAGTTAGGTACTCAGTAATTATTTGAAAGAATGAACCTAAATAATGTCATTTTTCCCCCTTTGTAGATGTCTAGATTGTAGACTTTATTTCAGGAAGATGATGGGAATAGTAGATTTAGCAATCTAGTCCCAGATTACAGGATGTCTGTGTGTAATTTGGGTTGTCAGTTAGTTATACATGAAGATTTTTGTTTTTGTTTTTTGAGAGAGTCTCGTTCTGTCACCCAGGCTGGAGTGCAGTGGCCTGATCTTGGCTCACTGCAACCTGCACCTCCCGAGTTCAAGAGATTCTCCTGCCTCAGCCTCCCGAGTAGCTGGGACTACTGGCACCCGCCACCACGCCCGGCCAATTTTTGTATTTTAGTAGAGATGGGGGTTTCACCATGTTGGCCAGGCTGGTCTCAAACTCCTGATCTCAAGTGATCCGCCCGCCTCAGCCTCCCAAAGTGCTGGGATTACAGGTGTGAGCCACTGCACCCGGCCTGCCATAGTTATTTTATCTGGTAATGTTTGTATATTCAGTAATGATGATAAAATACGATGTAGTGCTGAGTTTTAATCAAACGGTGTTTACCTTCTATTAAGCCATGCTCCATTGCCTTTATATGTGGCATGCTTTTGTGAGAGCTGCTTTTGCAAATTGGAAACTTCTAATTTTTTAGACAAAGGGAAAGTTATAATTTTAGTATCTAGAAAATAGTTACTGTTAATGCATTTATTAAGGTCAGAAGTTCAGTGATCAAATAGCTTTACAAACTGAATTTTTAATATTTTTTTACTGAGGTAAATTCATACCATGAAATTCACTTTTTTACCATTTTGAAGTATACAGTTACTTCAGTAACTTTTATTGCACTCACAATGTTGTGCAGTCATTACCACTAATTCCTGATATGTTATTACCCCCAAAAGAAACCCGGTAACTATTAAGCTGTTGGCTCTCCAGTCTCCTCTCCCCACTCTAATCTGCTGTCTCATGGACTTGCCTATTCTGGACATTTCATATAAATAGAATCATAAGGCCAGGCACGGTGGCTCATGCCTGTAATCCCAGCATTTTGGGAGGCCGAGGCGGGTGGATCACGAGGTCAGAAGTTCAAGACCAGCCTGGCCAACATGGTGAAACCTCGTCTCTACTAAAAATACAAAAATTAGCCAGGTATGGTGGCAGGCACCTGTAATCCCAGCTACTCCGGAGGCTGAGGCAGAGAATCGCTTGAACCCAGGAGGTGGAGGTTGCAGTGAGCCGAGATGGTGCCACTGCACTCCAGCCTAGGCATGAGCCACCGCGTCCGGCCTTATGATTCTATTTATATGAAATGTCCAGAGATGGAGTTTTGTCATGTTTGCCAGGCTGGTCTCAAACTCCTGACCTCAGGTGATCCATCTGCCTCGGCCTCCCAAAGTGCTGGGATTACAGGTGTAAGCCACCGTGCCCAACTTTTTTTTAAAGGGACGGGGTTCTCACGATTTTGCTCAGGCTGGTCTTGAACTCCTGGGCTGATGCAACCCTCCAGCCTCAGCCTTCCAAAGTGCTGGGATTATAGGCATGAGCCACTCCCCAGCTTCCCGAGCATGTTTTCAGGGTTCATTCATGTTGTAGCACGTATCAGTACTTTTTCCCTTTTTATGACTGAATAAAAGTCCATTGTATGGACTTTTTTTTTTTTTTTTTTTTTTTTTTTTGAGACGATCAAGCGATTCTCCTGCCTCAGCCTCCCTAGTAGCTGGGATTACAGGCATGTACCACCATGCCCAGCTAATTTTGTATTTTTAGTAGAGACGGGGTTTCTCCATGCTGGTCAGGCTGGTCTGGAACTCCCAACCTCAGGTGATCTGCCCGCCTTGGCCTCCCAAAGTGCTGGCATTACAGGCGTGAGCCACCACGCCTGGCCCTTTGCCCATTTTATTTTTTTTATTTTTTCTTGCTCTGCAGTCATCCAGGCTGGAGTGCAGTGGCACGATCTTGGCTCACTGCAACCTCTGCCTTCCGGATTCAAGTGATCCTCGTGCTTCAGCCTCCTGAATAGCTGGGATCACAGGAGCTATTTTGAAGTATACAGTTACTTCGTAACTTTTATTACACTCACAATGTTGTGCAATCATTACCACTAATTCCTGATATGTTACTACCCACAAAAGAAACCCGGTAACTGGAGCGTGCCACCACGCCTAGCTAGTTTCTGTGTGTTTTTTTTTAGTAGAGTCAGGGTTTTGCCATGTTGGCCAGGCTGGTCTCGAACTCCTGACCTCAGATGATCCACCCGCCTCAGCCTCTCAAAGTGCTGGGATTACAGGCGTGAGCCACCATGCCCGGCCCTTTGCCCATTTTTAAATTGGACTGTCTTTTTGTTGTTGAGTTGTAAGAATTCTTTACATATATCTGATTCCTTTTATCAGATACACTATTGGGAAATATTTTTTCCCATTCTATGGGTTGTCTTTTATTTCTTTAATAGCGTCCTTTGATGCACAAAAGTTAATTTTGATGAAGTCCCAATTAATCCATTTTTTTCTTTTGTGGCTCATGCTTTTAGTGTCACATCTAAGAATCATCAAATCCAAGGTCATAAAGATGTGTGTACACCCAGGTTTTTGTTTTATTCTAAGAGTTTTATATTTTTGGCTTTTTTTTTTCTTTTTTTTTTTTTTTCCCAGAGACAAGGTCTCGCTCCGTCACCCATGCTGTAGCGCAGTGATGAGATCTGGCTTATTGCAGCCTTGAACTCCTGGGCTCAAGGGATCCTCCCACCTTGACCTGCCAAAGTACTGGGATTGCAGGTGTGAGCCACTGTGCCCAACCACTTTTAGCTCTTATGTTTAGGTCTTTGATCCATTTTGAGTTAATTTTTTTATGTGGTGTAAGAGTCCTACTGATGCTTTTGCATGTGGTTATCCAGTTGTACCAGCACCATTTATTGGAAAAACCTTTTCTTTTTTTAAATGGTCAAAAAAAACCACAACTTTTTTTCTTTAAATGGTCTTGACAGTGTTGGTGTGTGTCTTTCCTGGATCATGATTCAAACAAATAAAAAGAACTAAATACTGATTCTTGAAATGAAAAAATACAAGAATTGGCTGGGCATGATGGCTCCCGCCTGTAATCCCAACACTTTGGGAAGCCAAGGTGGACAGATTGCTTGAGCCCAGGTATTTGAGAGTTTGAGACCAGCCTGGGCAACATGGTGAAACCCCATTTCTACAAAAAATACAAAAATTAGCCAGGCATGGTGGCATGTGCCTGTAGTCCCAGCTATTTCAGAGGCTGAAGTGAGAGGATGATTTGAACCCAGGGAGGTTGAGGCTGCAGTGACCCATGATTGTGCCACTGCACTCCAACCTGGGCAACAGATTGAGACCCCGTCTCAAAAAAAGAAAAAGAAAATAGAACAACCAAAATTTAAAAACTAATGGATAGGTTAAACAGTTGGAAGTAGTGAATTAGAAAATAAGTCAGAAAAAATTATTGAGAATGCAGGGACAAAAAAAAAAGAGACATGAAGAGAAGACATGGAAGAAGAGTGGAAATGTCTATTATACATTATACATTTAATCAGAGTTCGAAAAGGTGGCAGACAAAATGTTTGAAACGATAATGGCTAGCAAGTATTCAGAACTGAAGAAAGCTACTGATCCAGTTTTTTTTTTGTTTTTTTTTTTTTGAGACGGAGTCTCACTCTGTTGCCCAGGCTGGAGTGCAATGGCACAGTCTCAGCTCACTGCAACCTCTGCCTCCCGGGTTCAAGCGATTCTCCTGCCTCAGCCTCCCGAGTAGCTGGGACTACAGGTGCGTGCCACCACACCCAGCTAATTTTCGTATTTTTAGTAGAGATGGGGTTTCAGTATTTTGGCCAGGCTGGTCTTGAACTCCTGACCTCGTGATCTGCCCACCTCAGCCTCCCAAAGTGCTGGGATTATAGGCGTGAGCCACCACACCCAACTTTTTGTTGTTGTTGTTGGAGACGAGTCTCGCTCTGTTGCCCAGGCTGGAATGCAGTGGCATGATCTCGGCTCACTGCCACCTCCGCTTCCCAGGTTCAAACAATTCTCCAGCCTCAGCTTCCTGAGTAGCTGGGATTATAGGCACGCGCCACCACGCCCGGCTAATTTTTAAATTTTTAGTAGAGGTGGGGGTTTCACCATATTGGCCAGGCTAGTCTCGAACTCCTAGCCTCGTGATCCGCCTGCCTCGGCCTCCCAAAGTGCTGGGATTATAGGGGTGAGCCACCGCACCCAGCCCTGATCCACGGTTTTAAGAATCTTAAATAGGGCGGCTGGGCATGGTGGCTCACGCCTGTAATCCCAGCACTTTGGGAGGCCGAGGCGGGTGGATCACGAGGTCAGGAGATCGAAACCATCCTGGCCAACACGGTGAAACCCCGTCTCTACTAAAAATACAAAAAATTAGACGGGTGTGGTGGCAGGCGCCTGTAGTCCCAGCTACTCGGGAGGCTGAGGCAAGAAAACGGCATGAACCCGGGAGGCGGAGCTTGCAGTAAGCCGAGATCGCGCCACTGCACTCCAGCCTGGGCGAGAGTGAGACTCCTTCTCAAAAAATAAATAAATAAATAATCTTAAATAGGATACATTCAAAGATATCCATACCTAGGAACATCTTAGTTAATACAGATGGAACAAGGTTAGCCCTAAGGTAATAACTATTGAAGCTGTGTGATGGATTCACCCATGGAGTTCATTATGCTGTTATCTGATTTTGTAAATGATTAAAGACTTGCATAATGAAGTTTTTCAGAAGAGTAAGGATGAAATAAAGATCCTTTTTTTTCTGACAGAAACTGTCACCCCCAAAGCTGGCTCTAATTGAGTTACTGCTCTTTCATGGTCTCTGGGCCCTTTCACATGTCATCTTAGGGTCAGAGAACCACACCTTCACACTGTTACCATTACAGGATGAAGGTACTGTATAAGAAGAATCCACATTTCTCAGTTCTGTAGATACGTCTGTAATATAACTGTTGCAGGACTACTTAATATCTTAAGTACCAAAGGCCAGGGACTATACTCACAGAAGCATTTCCCTTCTAAGAAATAGTGATGGACTGTAGCAAAGTGGTTGCAATCCAGACCTTCAAAGAGTAACTCTCAGGCCCGGCGTGGTGGCTGTAATCCCAGCACTTCGGGAGGCCGAGGCGGGCGGATCACTTGAGGTCAGGAATTTGAGACCAGCCTGGCCAACACGGCGAAACCCCATCTATTAATAAGGGAGGAGACCACCCCTCATATCGTCTTATGCCCAATTTCTGCCTCCAAAGAAAGAAGTAAAAACTAAAAGGCAGAAATGAAATCCACAGGCAGACAGCCCGGTGCCACACCCCAGGCCTGGTAGTTAAAGATTGACCCCTGACCTAATGGGTTATCTATAGATTACAGACATTGTATAGAAATGCACTGTGAAAATCCCTGTTTTGTTCCGATCTAATTACCGGTGCATGCAGCCCCCAGTCACATACCCCTGGCTTGCTCAATCAATCACGACCCTCTCACACGCACCCCCTTAGAGTTGTGAGCCCTTAAAAGGGACAGGAATTGCTCCCTGGGGGGGCTCGGCTCGAGACAGGAGTCTTGCCAATGCCCGCGGCCGAATAAACCCCTTCCTTTAACTCCGCGTCTGAGGAGTTTTGTCTGCGGCTTGTCCTGCTACACTAAAAATACAAAAATTAGCCGGGCGTGGTTGTGTGTGCCTGTAGTTCCAGCTACTCAGGAAGCTGAGGCAGGAGAATCGCTTTAACCCAGGAGATGGAGGTTGCAGTGAGCCGAGATGTCGCCACTGCACTCCAGGCCTGGGAGACAAAGTAAGACTCTGTCTCAAAAAAAAAAAAGAGTTAACACTCAGAAGTCAGAATCTCTATTTGAACATTTTTAGGGGCAACTAACAGGTTAGTTCTGAAATTCAGGATTATTAAACCTAATAGACTCCTGGGTGAGATGCAAAGAACATCAAGAGTGAGCTCATTGCAAAGTCTGGAACCAAAAATGTTAGTATGTCAACAAGGAAAGAAATGATAGCAGAGTTCTTTTATTCCAGAAATATTTTAATACAATCGTAGTACAGTTATGAAGTCACATTCAATCCACTGAATATATTCAAGGTATTAATAAAAATATTATACATCTTTATTCACTATCTTAATATAATTAAAGTATTTGGTTCTTATAGGTAAGATTAATTACCATATTCATTCATATATGCACTGCTAGTCAAACAACATGGAAATGAATGTATGGATTATGATAGTGGGGGTTCAGTCCTTTTTGATCTGAAGTCTAAGTTTCAAAAGTGAATGTTTTCTTTTTTAAATGTCACAATATTTGAATCCTAGAAAGAATAGGCAACTAATTTAAGGCAAGATATTGAAACTTTTATACAACTTTAATTTGAAAAAAGAAATGATCAAAGATCATACATGCCTTAACATTTAGATACCTATAGATTCATATAAAGGCAGTAATAAAAATATCAGTGCAAGTTCTACATTGGGTTCCTCAGTAGAGAAAATAATAGGTTCTTTGAGTGAACCATTATCTTCAAATCCCAAAACACTGGCAAGAAGAAATAATTCTTCTGATGCAGGACAACATGTAGCATAATTATTTTTAGTCAATAAAGGTGAGTATAAAATATTGTGATTATACATAAAAATTAGTGTCTTGGCCAGTTTGTTAAACTTTTTTTAGATTTACTTTAATGTCAGCTTTTAAAAAATGCTTAAAAATCCAACTGATTTAAAATTTATTGATAGTAGTAGTGCAAAGAGGCTCCACTCTACTTTTTGGTACGGGCTGAAGATTAGCATTTCATAAAGAAATAAACTATATGTAAAATGTATGTGTGTTTGAATGAGTAAAGAAGGCACAAAATGAGTTAAATTAAGAGAAAACATTACCACTTGTTCTGAACTCTTAACTGTACAGTATTATAATATACACTTAGATATGAATCCAGATTTCTTATAATGGAAGTGACAGGACATTTTTTAGCTCTATTATTTGTGCTAAAAGACACTGTCATAATAGACTGCAAAAAGGCAGTACATGTTGAGTCTAATTAACGACCTCTACCAAGACAGTTTTTGTTTGTTTGTTTGTTTTTAAATTACAGTGGCTAAGTGATAACTGGTGGAATGGAATTCGGTCTCAAAAGCTTAAGTGAAAATTACTAGTACATTTGCATTTGCAAAGGTACTTACATACTTTAAGGAAATGTTAATGATCTGTGGAAAAAGCAAATGGTGGTGCTTTGATCTGCATTTTAATTAACATTAAATAGACAACACATTTTAACATTTAAAAAAGACATTCATATACCATACTCATGGGTTTAACTACATATGGACCATTAGTGTTAGGCACCAAAAATTTCAAGTCTTTCCCCCACCCCGTCCCAGTGATATATTATCAACTCTTCTATTTCTTCCCTGTAGGTATCACCATTTACATTAAACATTTGTGCAGTTCATAAAAATTCTGTTCTGGGAAACTGAATTGGCGATTGTCCTTTCTCTCTTGGTATTCTTTATTGCATATTTTGTCAGTTTTCTCACAGCAACCTGATTGGTACAATTTCTATTACCATTTTTAAAGTATCTGTATTTCTATTCTAACCATGAGTTCTTATTATATATATGTATATATCCAAATTAACAAAATTGTGTCTGAAGTTGAGTAACTAATAAAAATGAATCTTACTCTTTTTTTCTTTTTTTTTAAGATGGAGTTTTGCTCTTGTCACCCAGGCGGGAGTGCAGTGGCGTGATCTCGGCTCACTGCAACCTCCGCCTCCTGGGTTCAAGCGATTCTCCTGCCTCAGCCCCCCAAGTAGCTGGGATTACAGATGCCCGCTACCACGCCTGGCTAATTTTTGTGTAGAGACGGGGTTTCACCATGTTGGCCAGGCTGGTCTCAAACTCCTGACCTCAGGTGATCCGCCCACCTTGGCCTCCCAAAGTGTTGGGATTACAGGCAGGAGCCACCGTGCCCGGCCGAATCTTATTCTTACTGGTTACTGTAGAATAATTTCAGTCCTGTCCCTTATGATTCTGAATCCAATTATATAAAGGAAAATAACTTTTCATGTGAATGTAAAATGTTTACACACATAAGTAAGACAGTTTACAAGACAAACTGGTCTACACAGACAAAGGTCTATATTAAAGTTCAATCTGGACCCTAGAATTCTTGTCATGGGCCTCTTGTGAAGAGTCTGCCCTACTCAGGAATGGGCACATGGGTTAACAATTTTCACTTATTTACTGAGGGAGTGGAGTATAGATGTAGGGAGGTGAAATTACCATTCCTGGGAATAAATGTAGGATTTTAATGGAATGATAGAATTTATTGTACAATCACATTGGTGAGTCTTATTCAGGTATTAGGCTTAACTATTTAGATAACTAATTCATACATCAGAAGTAAAGGATTTTTTTGTGGGAAAAACATTAGTACATGTACATAATTTCTTGTCTTTAGTAAGCTGCAAGTGAGTGAAAACTATGTACTAATTATTTATCAAATCAGGAAAAAAATCAGAAACGAAGTGCCAGGGAAGCATATAAAGTTAAGGCACCATTATTTACAACATCAGTGATTGGCACTTATTCTGAAAAAGGCTTTAAAGACATGAATAAAAAGCAGTATTACGTTTTTCCCTACTTCTATAAACTACTTAGTAGTTCTTAACTTAGCTATCTATTATTTGTGCTTTGTTTTTCAGCTCCATGAATAGCAGCTGGATTTTACGGTAACATCCTGCATTTTTCCTTTACTTTGGTGTTTGTGAACATTACACAGTGGTAAAGGCTATAAAAGGTGCATAACAGGAAAACACATATGCTTTGCCTCCTTATAGAAAACAATGCAAAATAGGTGGCTGAACTGACATAGTACTGTCTCAAAGTCTTTTTCAGGAATTAGTATATATTAAGTTTAGGGTTTGTAGCATTCTACATAATGACTTTAAAACAGCAATGGCTTCCAAAAATTCAAAAAGGTTAGTTATGTGACTGTTGGTCCAACAGATGTGTTGAAATGCAGCAAGTATATTTAACTTTATAAGTTCTGTCCAAGTATAAAAATACTATACAAAATTAACAAGTGTGTGTGTGTGTGTCTGTGTGTGTGTGCATGTATGCATGCACGTTTATAACTGTTCATGCTTCCAAAGCTCAAACATTCACTAGTTTACAAGTATGTTGCCGCAGTCAGCTGATACCATTTAACCGTCTCTTTGCTCAAGTTGAAATCTTTCAAAGGCAGGGTTACTCCACCCAAGAAAAAATTCTCCCGCAGAGATTCTGCACTGAGTACACTTAGTTGAAGTTCTCGCTGTCTTAGGGTTTCTTTGCTATATCCACTGTATACAAGCTACAACAAAGGAAAAAAGAACAGTAAATCACAAATTAAAGTTTGTTTGGTTTCTTGGAACATTTCAAGTGAAAACGTGAGAATATTAGCCAAAGAGTGACCACAATGAGTGACACTGATTATGACACATCCGGTAGGTTTTGTCTGAATACTTTAGAAGGACATTTTGTGTTTCAGGAGTCTTGGATTGTACTATCATTCCTGTGATGTCTGACATAGAGAGATACAAAGCAAGACTAATCATTAGCTAAAAAATAAAAACTAGAGGCCAGGCATGGTGGCTCACGCCTGTAATCCCAGCACTTTGGGAGGCTGAGGCGGGTAGATCACCTGAGGTTGGGAGTTTACAACTAGCCTGACCAACATGGAGAAACCTGTCTCTACTAAAAATACAAAATCAGCCAGGCGTGGTGGCACATGCCTGTAATCCCAGCTACTCAGGAGGCTGAGGCAGGAGAATCACTTGAACTCAGGAGGCGGAGGTTGCAGTGAGCCAACATGGCTCTATTGCACTCTAGCCTGGGTAACAACAGCGAAACTCTGCCTCTAAAAATAAATAAAATAATATAATAATAATAATCATCTAAGAGGTGGAGTGATCTAAGACAAACTGAATAGTCTGGAAGTAATTAAGCACAGACTAGACAACCACTTTTTGTGACTATTATAGAGGGGGGTTCACACACTGGAAACGTAGTTGAATTATGGCTCCTAAGGTCTATGAGGGCTCTATTTTATATCATTTTGTTAAATACTATTGGACTGTTATTGGTGTACACTGTATAACAAATAGTTCAGCAACTGATACCTAAAAACTTAAAATTTTTTTTTTTTTGGGACAGGGTCTCTCACTCTGTTGCCCAGTCTGGAGTGCAGTGGCATGATCATGACTCACTGTGGCCTTGACCTCCTGGGCTCAAGCAATCCTTTGACCTCAGCCTCCCGAGGAGCTGGGATTACAGGTGCGTGCCACCATGCCTAGCTAATTTTTTTCTTTTTTTTTTTTTGTAGAGATGGAATTTCATCATGTTGCCCAGGCTGGTCTCAAACTCCTGAGCTCAAGGGATGTATCCACCTCGGCCTCCCAAATTGCTAGGATTACAGGCATGAGCCACTGCGCCTGGCCTTAAAATGTTTTAAAATTTAAAATCTCAAAACAATGGACACAGAGAAGGGGACAACACACACTGGGGCCTGTTGGGGGATGGGATGGTGGGAGGGAGAGCATTAGGAAAAATAGCTAATGCATGCTGGGCTTAATACCTAGGTGATAGGTTGATAGGTATGCAGACCACAATGGTACGTTTAGCTATGTAACAAACTTGCACATCCTGCTTACGCACGTCAGAACTTAAAAATGAAAATTAAAAAAATAATAAACCAAGGAAACTTCTAGAAATGATTTTAACTTACCATTTCATTGAATGTCGGATTCCTCGTTTTTCGTGAAATTTTGGTTTTACGTTTGGATGTTTTGTGGTTATCTGGAAGTAGGTATGTTTTGACATATGGATTTGGGTCAGCTCCATCTTCAGTAACCTAAAAAGAAAAGCAGTCCCTTAATAGTAATGCTTCCTACCAAGGTAAGGGTTTCCTCTACAACCATCATTCTTTGTAATCACTCACAAGATCTTTGATATGCATCACCATGATGAAAAGAGTACCATTTCGGTAAGAGATGGATAATTTCACAGCTCCTCCTATTTGGCCTGGAGTAGGACTGAAGGAACCTGCATCTGAAAATACAAATATTTTCATCTTTATTTACTGGTTGTAGTGGTTCAAGCTGCAATAAAAGGATTTTGCTTTATTTTCAAGACTGTCACATGTGGTGCGGACAGAAGGGAGGGGAAAAAGGAGTAAACAACCTGATAGGTCATTGATTTATACTTCTTTAGTAATCACATCTATTAGGAAAGTTATATTTATTCAGAAATAGACTGGCTTAGAAAGAATACTCTCCTCCCATTCTCAGACTACAGCTAGTAAGCCTGCTGTCATTCTACCACATTCATCGAGAAGTTACAGACTTGCAGATCATGAGTTACCAATAAAGAGAAAAAAAATAATCTCACCTGCAGACCTAGCTATCCCTTCAGCTTTCTCATCACGAAGTAAAGGGTGGAAGAAAGTACAAACAAGATCACACTAAGAATAAAGAGAAAGCAATTCATTAGTTTAAATATTATGTAACACAAAAGGTATAAGATGTTATTACTTCTCATTTAGTAAGGTTACCTCTGCTACATCCGTTGAAGCATTCATCAAACTCTGTAAGTAACTGTTTAACTCAATTTTCCTTTTGGCTGCTACATCTTTTATGTGTGTTCTTCCTAGAACCATCCTATTAGGAAAGCTACAAAAGAAAAACAAAAACAAGTGGGATTTAAATAAGTACAATATTTCCTTAGAAATACACTTTTTCATATATACTTAAAGACAAAGTAGTCTTAATCCATTATAAAGTAATATTTTGTGGCCGGGCACGGTGGCTCATGGCCTTTGGGAGGCCAAGGCGGGTGGATCACTTGAGGTCAGGAGTTTGAAACCAGGTTGGCCAACATGATAAAACCCTGTCTCTACTAAAAATACAAAAATTAGCGTGCTGATGCCTATAATCAGATACCTATAATCCCAGCTACTCGGAAGGCTGAGGCAGAAAAATCACTTGAACCTGGGAAGCGGAAGTTGCAGTGAGCCGAGATCACTTACACTCCAGCCTGGGTGACAGAGCAAGTCTCCGTCTCAAAATAAAATAAGTAATTTTTTGTGATTTCTCTTCAAAGTATTGGAGATGACATCGTTCAGTCACCCATTATCCTTTTATGAGCCTTGGTTGAAAAGGTGTATGTGTTGATTTCCTATATTTATTATTAGCTTGGTGCAAAAGTAACTGTGGTTTTTGACATTAAAAGTAATGGCAAAAAACGCAATTACTTTTGTACCTACTTAATACTTATTTTCTAATATTTCTTCTCAAGTTTAATCACTCATAAATATTTTATCCAGATCTGATCCCTAAAAAATAAAATCACTACTCAATCAGCCATAAATATTACATATACCAGTAAAATCCACAAATAATAACATAAGGCCTAAGTAAGGTGCTGAAAGGATAATCTTAATTCCACTTATTTTGGTGGCAGTGGAAAAATGAAACTGTACACGGAAACAAACTCTAATACCCACTTCACCTCATCCTCACTTTTGAAATCTAGTCTGAAGAAAATATGAAAAAACTCGACACAGGAAATCTACTGGTCATTGAGCTACATTAAAACTGAAGACTCCCAAAGGGTATCAGATACAAAACTAAGATTTTGATTGACAGTCTCGATGATGTTTGCTTGTTATTTATTTTTTTGAGACGGAGTCTCGCTCTGTTGCCCAGGCTGGAGTGCAGTGGTGCCATCTCAGCTCACTGCAAGCTCCACCTTCTGGGTTCACGCCATTCTCCTGCCTCAGCCTCCCAAGTAGCTGGGACTACAGGCGCCTGCCACCATGCCCAGCTAATTTTTTGTATTTTTTAGAAGAGACGGTTCACCGTGTTAGCCAGGATGGTCTCCATCTCCTGACCTCGTGATCCGCCCGCCTTGGCCTCCCAAAATGCTGGGATTATAGGTGTGAGCCACCGCGCCCGGCCATGCTTCAGTTTTTTTAGCAGAGGAGCTCAGTATGGCCCATGATAGATTATTTCTACACTGATTTAGCATATGACTTTTTTTTTGGGGGGGGGGGACAGGGTCTCATTCTGTCACCCAGGCTGTAATGCAGTGATGTGATCTTCGCTCACTGCAACCTCCACATCCTGGTATCAATCAATCCTCTCACTTCAGCCTCCTGAGTAGCTGGGACTTCAGACATGTGCCACCAGCCCAGCTAATTTTTGTATTTTTTATAGAGATGGGGTTTCGCCATGGTGCCCAGGCTAGTCTCCAACTCCTGGACTCAAGGTATCTCCCTGCCTCGGCCTCCCAAAGTGCTGGGATTATAAGCTTGTGAGCCACCACACCTGGCAGGATATGACTTTTTTCAAAACCAAGATGCCAAATTATTATCTTGTGTTGCTTACTATGGTAGAGACAGCAAAGTTAAAGCTTCAATAAGAGTTAGAAGTCTGAAAATCTCATATTTTAACATCCCGATCATTTATTCATTCAACAAAAACTTCCAGTTCCTTGTTTATGTCTGCTTTTGTATTAGGTCTTTATGACACAAAGGAAAATAAGCCACACATGGCCGATAATATCTTACTAAGTGTTAACACAAAGCTTTCTACCTACATTTGATAACAAGTTGTTTCCTACAAAAAGGATTAATGTACAAGGATGAATACATACCCTGGTAACTTCCAAAGTGGAAAAATAATACTGAGCTTATTGTGAAGTTCCTGAAATTCGTCAAATGTTCGGAAGACAAATGATGGTTCAATCTGTCCTTCCCTCAAAATTCGGACTACATAAATCTGAAAAGAAATCACACCACAAACACATAAAATTTATATTTAAAACCTTCTTTCCAGGCCGGGTGCAGTGGCTCATGCCTGTAATCCCAGCACTTTGGGAGGCCGAGGTGGGTGGATCAGCTGAGGTCAGGAGTTTGAGACCAGCCTGGGCAACATAGTAAAAGCACGTCTCTACTAAACAAACAAAAATTAGCTGGGCATAGTGGTGCGTGCCTGTAATCCCAGCTACTTGGGAGGCTGAGGCAGGCAAATCACTTGAACCTGGGAGACAGAGGTTGCAGTGAACCGAGATGGCACTGTACTCCAGCCTGGGCAACAGAGCGAGACTCCATCTCAAAAAAACCTTCTTTCCTATATTGATCTTAGCTAAAAGACCAAGAAGCAAAAAAACCTCCTTTCCTGACAGAAAAGAAATTTATAGCTTAATTGTTATATGCAGTTCAAGTACTTTTATCTTGGTAATATATATGTCACCAATAGGAAAAAGCAAATATAAGTCATTGTATTTATAACACATCTAACTACATTTTAAGAGTGATCATAACCATCCTAAGATAGATAAACTAGAACTTAAAAGTGTAAGCTGGGCACGGTTGCTCATGCCTATAATCCTAGCACTTTGAGGGGCCAAGGTGAGAGGATCATTTCAGCCCTGGAGTTAGAGACCAGCCTGTGCAACATAGTAAGGCTCTGTTTCTATAAAAAATATAAAGATTAGCCAACTGTGGTGGCACATGCCTGTAGCCCCAGCTACTTGGGAAGCTAAGGTGGGAGGATCAACTCAGCCCAGGTGTCAAGGCTACAGTGAGCCAAGTGAGCCAAATGAGCCAACACTGCATCACTGCACTCCAGCCAGGGTAATAGAGCGAGACCGTTTCTCAAAAAGTAGAAATAAAAATAGTCCAGGCAGCCGGGCGCAGTGGTTCACGCCTGTAATCCCAGCACTTTGGAAGGCTGAGGCAGGTGGATCACAAGGTCAGGATATTGAGACCATCCTGGCTAACATGGTGAAATCCTGTCTCTACTAAAAAAAAAAAAAAAAAAAAATACAAAAAATGAGCCGGGCGTGGTGGTGGGTACCTGTAGTCCCAGCTACTTGGGAGGCTGAGGCAGGAGAATGGCGTGAACCCGGGAGGCAGAGCTTGCAGTGAGCTGAGATCACACCTCTGCACTCCAGCCTGGGCAACAGAGCAAGACTCCGTCTCAAAAAAATAAAAAAATAAAAAAATAAATAATAAATAAAATAGTCCAGGCATGGTGGCTCACATAATCCCAGAACTTCGAGAGGCCGAAATGAGTGGATTACTTGGGGCCAGGAATTCGCCTGGCCATGTGCCTGGGCAACATGGCGAAACCCCATCTCTACTAAAAATACAAAAATTAGCCGGGTGTGCTGGCGCATGCCTGTAGTCCCAGCTAGCCATTCAGGAGCTGAGGCATGAGAATTGCTTGAACCTGGGAGGCACAGGTTTCAGGAGACGAGATTGCGCCACTGCACTCCAGCCTGGGCAACAGAGTGAGACTCTTTTATATTTATAAAATAAAATAAAATAACATAACATAAAATAAAATAAAAATAAATAAAAAGTCAGTTAAAAAAAGGCAAAAGGTTTATGGGGGGTAGTGAAGGAAAACTTGTTTTGCTGGCTAGTTAAACTTTTTTTTTTTTTTGATACAGCGTCTTGCTCTGTTGCCCAGCCTGGAGCGCAATGGCACAATATTGGCTTACTGCAACCTCTGCCTCTCGGGTTCAAGCGATTCTCCTGCCTCAGCCTCCTGAGTAGCTGGGACTACAGACACATGCCACCACATCCAGCTAATTTTCATATTTTTATTAGAGACGGGGTTTCACCATGTTGGCCAGGCTGGTCTTGAACTCCTGACCTCAGGTGATCACCTGCCTCGGGCTCCCAAAGTGCTGGGATTATAGGCATGAGCCACTGCGCCCGGCCTATTTAAACTTTTATAAAGTTACAATACTTTAAAGCATATAATACTGGTGCCAAGTAGGATCTATCTATAGCAGGCCAGAAACAAATTTGGGGATATATATATAAACTTAAAGGTAGTAGTATATATTGGGGAGAGAATGGACTATGCAATAAAATGGTGTTAGGATAACTTTAATAAACACACAAAAAGATACTAAAATTTATTAACAGAATAGATGAAAAACAGTAGTAAAATAGCTTTTTAAAGACTATCTATTTGCCAAAAATTTAAAAACTGGCAGTTCTGGAAAGTATTATCTAACAAAAAAGGTAGCACAAGGGTGAAAAGTAGCAACAAAAAAGATAACACTACAGTCTCGAAGAGGAAAAAGCATGCTGAAGTTCCTGTATCTGTTCAAAGACAATGTGTGCGTGTTTTGTATCAGAGACTGGAATAGGAACTTTGACTTTTTACTTTACATACTTCTCTATTGATTAAATTTGTTACAACAAGCACACTTTACCACTCGGTCCTTATTGTTTGAAGCAAATATAGCAAGAATTAAATACCAAAAAAGTTAGGGATGCTTCAAGTACATTTACTTATTTATGGACCATTCATGAAAGAAACAAGCATGAATAGAACAAATGCTTGCAACTTTAGCAGAATCAGCAAAGGAAGTAGAAAGGACAACAATAATACATGCATGATTGTTTATGAATATTGAAATCAAACTTACATAATGTTTATCTGGGTTGTATTTCTTATGATATGTAAAAACAGAGACTTCCTTGATTCGACCATCTTGTCTAAAGGAGTATGTTTTAGGTGAAAATGAAAGGATGGGCTCATCATTAGAAGGAAGACCAGAAAAACGAAGCTGAGCAAGGTTGTGAATGAAGAAGTTAAACTTTGTGGCAATGCTTCCCAAACTTGATTCAATAAGCCTACAAAATAATCAGAAAATTCGTTAACAGTAAATGAGAACACATGGTAAATTCTTTCAATGTAATAAATGACAAAAACCACTTTCATTCCTTTAAAAATATTAAGCAGATTGTCACTTTGCCAAGGATTCCCTTTGTTCTACAGGCCAAAGGTTTGTTAAAACACATCTCACCCCAACAAAATAATTTAGCCCAAGAAAGAATTCATGCTTGGTTTTCTTGAACCCTGTAGGGTCCCCAAGACTAATTAAAGAGCTATTATAGATAGATGATGATTGGTATAATGCTAAAAAGATGACTTCATTACTTTATTTCCTTTTAATAAAGGAGAAAGATGACAAATAGGTGGGAAAGAAAGTAATCCAAGGGCTGGGCACGGTGGCTCACGCCTGTAATCCCAGCACTTTGGGAGGCCAAGGGGAGCGGATCACTTGAGGCCAGGAGTTCGAGACCAGCCTGGCCAACATGGCAAAACCCTGACTCTACTAAAAATAGAAAAATTAGCCAGGTGTGGTGGTGTGCGCCTATAATCCCAGCTACTCGGGAGGCAGAGGCAGGAGAATTGCTTGAACCCAGGAGGAAAGAGGTTGCAGTGAGCTGAGATTGCGCCACTGCACTCCACACTGGGTGCTGGAGTGAGACTGTCTCCAAAAAACCACAAAAACAAAAGAACAAAAACAAAGTAATCCAAATTTTAAAAATTCTCTCCTATCAAACAGTAGAACTGTAGAATTCAGTGTCAGACTCCTTCAGGTAATCATATTTTCATTCAGTTGGAAAAAGAAGTTTTGACAGGATGGAAAGTAGGTCTGGAAAGAACATTTTAGGCAAGCAAAGGAAATAAGTCTCAGAAACAAGGTTAAGGAAGCTAGAAAGAAGAAGGATATTCAAAAAGAGAAGTGAGAGAATCTCAAACACAGGCTTTTGCCCCACTATGGACTGAATGTTTGTGTTCCCTCAAATTCATATGCTGAAGCCCCAACACTGCCACTGTATTTAGAGATAGGGCCTTTATGGAAGTAATAAAGGTTAAATGAGGCCATAAACAGTAGAGCCCTAATCCAATAGGAGTGTCCGTCTAAGAAGAGATGAGAGAGCTAGTTCTCCCTACCATGTGAGGACACACTGTGAAGGTGGCCATCTGCAATCTGGCAAGGGAGCCCTCAACAGTAATGTAATTGGCTGGCACCTTGATTTTGGACCTCATAGACTCCAGAACTGTGAGAAAATAAATATCTGTTGTTTAAGCCACTAGTCTATAGTATTTTGTTATGGAAGTCTAAGCAGGCAGACGAATACATGCCTGCTTTGTGGTTTTGCCCAGGGGAGCCAATGAATCTCTCTTAAAAAACAAAGCAAAAGAAAACCCATCAATACCTAAATTGTCAGGATTAGTTTGGAAGGCTATACAAAAGTCAGCTTCCTTCAATTCATTTCAGCCCAGACTCTTGAGACTAGGGAAGTCCAGTCAGTGTTTTATACCTCTTCTCCACTGAGAGGAAGAAGGCAAGAGAAAAAGGAGAGAAAAGAACATGAGCTCAGGTACCCCTCCCTGCTGTGGTATTGTGATGATGTGGCAGCAGCAGTCAGTAACCAGCCTGATCACCAGACCTTTAGAACATATTTGTCAAGAAGATCTGTTTTTTTTGACACAGAGTTTCGCTTTTGTTCCTCAGGCTGGAGTGCAATGGCGCAATCTCGGCTCATCACAACCTCCATCTCCCAGGTTCAAGCGATTCTCCTGTCTCAGTCTCCTGAGTAGCTGGGATTTCAGGCATGCGCCACTATGCCCGGCTAATTTTGTATTTTTAGTGCAGACGGGGTTTCTCCATGTTGGTCAGGATGGTCTTGAACTCCCAACCTCAGGTAATCCGCCCGCCTCGGCCTTCCAAAGTGCTGGGATTACAGGCGTGAGCCACTGCGCCTGGCTGGAAGATCTGTTTTTAAAGCAATAACAAATTCAAGTACCAGTCATTGGTATATGTGTTTCAAGTACTATGCCATGTAATAGTTTACTTGCAGCAGTGACCAGGGTTTGCTGGATTAAAAACACCAAAGGTCTCCATGGAAATTGTTAAGACAAAATCCTGAAAAATAGATTAGTACAGATAACATTTTAGAAAGAGACTTTAATTAGCTGGGCTTAGTGGTGTGCGCCTGTAGTCCCAGCTATTCAGGAGGCTGAGGCAGGAGAATCGCTTGAACCCAGGAAGCGAGGTTGCAGTGAACTGAGATTGCACCACTGCACTCTAGCCTGGATGAAACAGCAAGACTCAGTCTCAAAATAAAAAATTAAAAAAGATTTTAAAATGGCACATGGCACTGTAGAAAAATATGTTTTTATCATTGAAATTACATATTAAATAAACCTTGAGATATTTTGAGGCAAATAAGTATATTTTAAAAAATATTATTGCAAATCCTTTGTATTTATTAGTAAATCAACTTTTGACAGCCTACTATGTGCAATTACTATGAATCAGAATTTGTTCCTATAAATTAGAATTTTGATAAATAGCATTTGTTTAAACTAAGGTAAAACAAATCAAAGCAATATTTTATGTTCCTTCTGCAATATACTTAAATATGCTTTACCTAGTAAAGAAAATTGTAGCTTCTGCGTCTGTAGTTTGGGGTTGAAGTGCATCTCTAACGTATTTCAAATCTTGAATACTTGTAAGTTCTGGTAACCCTGAAGGAATCATCTGTAGAAGAAAACAAAAAGTTCTGTGAGTTAAATTTTTTAAAACATTTGTTCCTCACTCCTTCCTGTGGGCTGCTCAAGTAATCAGAACTAAAGCAAACAAAAATAATCAGTCTTGAGGGGTTCATTAGTGTATTGGGGACCTAGGTGATTATCTAACAAATAAGGAAATGGACACCAAGGAAGTCAAGCAATTTGTTGGTGGTGGTCAAAAACCCAGTTTATAGAATTAAACCTGTGAGATCCAGATCTCCTTTTGTCTAGGCTCTTTTTTTGGGGGCGGGGGGGGGGGGCAGGGAGCCGGGTGCGATCTTGGCTCACTGCATCCTCTGCCTCCAGGGTTCAAGCAATTCTCCTGCCTCAGCCTCCTGAGTAGTTGGGATTACAGATACGTACCACTATGCCTGGCGAACTTTTTTTTTTTTGTATTTTTGATAGAGATGGGGTTTTGCCATGTTGGCCAGGCTGGTCTCGAACTCCTGACCTCAAGCAATCCGCCTGCCTTAGCCTCCCAAAGTGCTGGGATTACAGGCATGAGCCACCGCGCCTGGCCTAGGCCACTGTTTTTACTTTTATAGATTTAGGGGGTACAAGTACAATTTTGGTACATGTATGTATCACATAGTGATAAAGTCTGGGCTTTTAGTGCATCACTTGAATAGTATACATTGTACCCACTAAGTAACTTCTCATCTCCCATCCACCATCCCCCTTCCTACCCTCCCAAGTCTCCAATGTCTATTATTCTACTCTTTATGTCCATGTATACATATTATTTAACTCCTACTTATAAGTGAGAACACACAATATTTAACTTTCTATTTCTGAGTTATTTCACTTAAGACAATTGTAGCCTTCTGTTTATTACCATATCAATTTACTCATAATAATCATAGTGGGTTCGTGTTTTTTACTTTTTACTTAACGATAATATATACCCAGGAAAGTACAGAAATCTTCATTGTACAGCTGAGTGAATGTTGACAATTCACACCCATATTAATACACAAAACATTCATTAGCATATCAGATGCCTGCCTTGGGGTCCAGCTACTAATACTTCCCATCCCAAGGGGAGCCACTCTACTGACTTATTTTTTGTATTTTATACAAATGGAGTCAGACAGTAGGTACTCTTGTGTCTGGCTTATTTCACACGGCAGTAAGTTTAAAATATCTGAGCAATAATGTATCTGACATTTGTGACTAAAGCAAATTTTATTCCAAAATCACAAAATAATCTTTTTTAAGTATTGAAACATAGATGCATTAATATAAAACTAATTAAGTGCTTATAAAGAATAGTTACCAGTGAAAGGAGGTTAAGAAAAAGGTTTGTCTGCTTTCTTATCAAGTTGTAGGCCTGACAGCAGAGGTCCACAAACAACTGAAAACGAATGGTGGGCTTTTCACCCCCATTAATGACATATGCCATATCAGAGGTCAGCACAAAAGGAGCCCGATCCCTATTTAAAATGAAAGTACATACAAAATATTATTTACAGAAGATACTCCAATAGTGCTATTACATGATTATTAAACTAAGCTATCTGAGGTACAGCCATTTCCAACTAGGAAACTTAATACCACACACTTTTGAATTTCCATAATTTTAAAATAACATTTTTCTTTTTTTTTCTTTTTTTTTTTTTTGAGACAGAGTCCTGCTCTGTCGCCCAGGCTGGAGTGCAGTGGCGCGATCTAGGCTCACTGCAAGCTCCGCCTCCTGGGTTCATGACATTCTCCTGCCTCAGCCTCCCGAGTAGCCGGGACCACAGGGGCCCGCCACCACGCCCGGCTAATTTTTTGTATTTTTAGTAGAGGCGGGGTTTCACCGTGTTAGCCAGGATGGTCTCGATCTCCTGACCTTGTGATCCGCCCGCCTTGGCCTCCCAAAGTGCTGGGATTACAGGCGTGAGCCACTGCACCCGGCCTCTAAAATAACATTTTTCAAGAAAGCTATCACATAATAATCTCATTATTTAGAGAGAACTTATGTATGAAATTTCCTTACATATGAAAATAAGGTGATATTTATAAATCCACATACCCAAAGAGATCAAACAGTAGTTACAAACATAGAAAACTACTTACTGCCGTTATACACACGAAATCATTTCTTTCTAAGAGTTATCGCTAAGTAGATAAAAAAAATATATGTCCCTTAATTCATTTCAACAAAGTTTAGCTGCGCATGGTGGCTCACGCCTGTAATCCCAGCACTTTGGGAGGCCGAGGCGGGTAGATCACTTGGTCAGGAGATCGAGACCATCCTGGCTAACACGGTGAAACCCCGTCTCTACTAAAAATACAAAAAAATTAGCCGGGCGTGGTGGCGGGCGCCTGTAGTCCCAGCTACTCAGGAGGCTGAGGCAGGAGAATGGCGTGAACCCGGGAGGCGGAGCTTGCAGTGAGCCGAGATCGTGCCACTGCACTCCAGCCTGGGCGACACAGCAAGACTCCGTCTCAAAAAAATACCAAAAGAACAAAACAACAACAACAACAACAAAACAAAGTTTATACACATTTACACACATTCTTGTCTACTATGTGGTATGGTCATATCTTTGGGCCTTTTTCATTCCCAGTTATGTTCAAATGGAGCCGCGAGGCAAAACACAAAGCTTGAGACAAACTTTAATTTGTGAAACAGGAAGTGCCTCATTTCTTTGGCAACAGCAATAACATTATACCTTTTGAAGCTGCCAAACATCTGTGCATGTCCCAAAAACTTTCCAAAGTCAATGTGAAACATGTGTCCCGTGCTTCGAAGCATTATATTGTCATTGTGTCGATCACAGATGCCTAAAACATAGGTGGCTACACAGCATCCAGCACAGGAATAGATAAAGTTCTCTGAAGCCTATAAAAAACATACACAATTATTTTAGAAAATGAATTATTTTTAAAAGAGGCAGAGTTTATAAATAGTAAAGTAATTTATCACTCTTTAAAAACACTATTGTAATCCACTCTCTCAATAGCATACAAACTGGGATATAGTAATAAAAGCCAATCTTTTCATATTTCAAAAACAAAAACACTCTTCTAAGGGTGGTTACTGCCCCTTCTCTAGCTTTTCTCTTTTAAAAGTCTGGGATCTCTACCAGTCCCTACTTAGGTACGTGCTGCCTTCAAACATCTTTTAAGCGTCATGTTTGTGGAATCCTGCACCTCTCTGACTCTGCTGCTTAGAATCGGTGAGGTGCAGGATTCCACAAACATGATGGATAGAAGATTTTTTGCTTTTTTTCCTCTGCCTGCAGGGAAGACATGTGTAAGGAAAATCAGCTTATATCTGAAAACATCCAAGAATACAAGTAATGTGTTTTGTTTCCCATGTGGTGATTCCCTGTGTGTCATCTTAAGTCCTCCCTCTCCTGGGGATTATTAAAATTACTAATATAATATTGTATAGAAGGATACAGCAAGACACATACAATGAGGTTTTTCTTTAATCTAAAGCATGTGTATTTAGTTTATTTATACAAAATACTGTATTTCTGAGTGGTACATTCACTTGGCCTGACTTGCCCATGTAGTTAATTTTATTCCATAATTCCCCAGAAATCATTACCAATGATGATAACAGCAAATGTTTATATAGCATTTAGCACAAACCAGGCACTTCTCTGTGTATGTGTGTATATGTGTGTGTGTGTGTATACATTAACATATTTAGAATCTCACAACAATCAATGACTTAGGTACTATCATCATAACAATTGTACAGATGGAAAACTGAAACAGAGGTTGTTTGCCCAAGATCACATAATTGTTAAGTTGCAGAGTGAGGATTCAAATCCAGGCAATATGACTTCACTAAGTTATATTCCCTCTTACTTATTAAATCACATTAAAAAGCCAAATTCATAAAAGATGCTTAATGTATGCTACTTGGCAATTATTTCCTCACCAGGAATCACAAAAGGGCCAACATTACTAAAACAAGTATTGGCTTCTGCTGCACTGCTTTTTTTCCCCAGATCACAAAGAAGTATGAAAAGGGAGTGATCTCACAGTTTAAAAGATCTAACAAAGGTCAAAATTCCCCTGCATTAGCTTTGTAGGTCAACAGATGGCACGTGTATGTCTATAAAGATGATCCATTAATGAAACATAAACTAGGCAGCTCCATGACATTAAAATGGGAGTCTTCCTACATCACCACTCAGTTTTCTTGGGTCTTCCTTAGGCCAAGTTAGGATCATTAGAGGCCTATGTCCTGAAAGACTGCCCTTTCCTCATATGTAATTCTAAATAATAGTAAAACAGAAAATTGATGTTTCCAGTAATAAGAGCTATCAATTATACAACTTTCACTATGCAGTGCTTCATATATATTAAATCATTTAATTTTCACAAAAATCTCAATGCTTATGTTTACAGCCATAGTATATGCTATAATACCATAATATATACAATACTTTATAGCAGAGGTCACTGAGGCACAAAGATGTTAAATAATCTGCATAGGTCAGGTGCGGTGGCTCACGCCTGTAATCCCAGCACTTTGGGAGACTGAAGCGGGCGGATCACAAGGTCAGGAGATCGAGACCATCCCGGCTAACACAGTGAAACCCCACCTCTACTAAAAATACAAAAAATTGCCTGGGCGTGGTGGTGGGCGCCTGTAGCCCCAGCTACTTGGGAGGCTGAGGCAGGAGAATGGCGTGAACCCAGGAGGCGGAGCTTGCAGTGAGCCGAGATAGCGCCACTGCACTCCAGCCTGGGTGACAGAGTGAGACTCCATCTCAAAAAAAAAAAAAAAAAAAAAATTTGCATAAGGCCCTGTTGCTGAGTGACTTGGGACGGGACCTGAATTCAAACCCAGAGAGTTTGGCCCCTAATTTATGTTCTTAACTACCACATGATGCAGCCCATTTTACTCATTTCCCTACCTTCCTCCAAGATCTTTGGGAAATATAACATTCTGCATTAGAAAAATGCCTCTGTTTTGCTGGCCTCTAAGTATGTGTTTGGAAATTTTTGGGGGTGTAATTTAGCATTGGTTTCACTCAGATTCCTGCCATTAAATGCGTCTTGTTTTACATTCTTTCCTATACTTAGAAAAAGATGCTCTTTTCCTGACTTAGACTAAATGACTATTTGGTCACCAGAGCTGGAAAATGAAAGAACTTAAAACCTCTGTAACACATTTTTGACAAAGCTTTTTAGAATGAGGAGACATGCTAATTACCTTTTCATATTCTTCTTCAGAGGGATTGTATTTCCTTAGCCACTCTGCAAGTGGTTTATCTTTAAAGGATCCTGTCACACCATATTCCACTTGGATTTTCCTGAGGGTATCGGAAGCAGGAACCAGCTCCACCATGCCTTTAATGATAAAATATTAAGCTATGTAAAACTGTCTCTCCAAAGTAAGCCTTTAAACATTTTTAAAAATTATTATTACTTTTTAAATTTCACTTTAAGTTCTGGGATACACGTGCAGAATGTGCAAGTTTGTTACATAGGTATACATGTGCCATGGTGGTTTGCTACACCTACCAACCCGTCATCTAGGTTTTAAGCCCCGCATACATTAGGTATTTGTCCTAATGCTCTTCCTCCCCTTGCCTCCCACCTGCCAACAGGCCCTGGTGTGTGATGTTCCCCTCCCTGTGTCCACGTGTTCTCACTGTTCAACTCCCACATATGAGTGGGAACATGAGATGTTTGGTTTTCTGTTCCTGTGTTAGTTTGCTGAGAATGATGGCTTCCAGCTTCATTCATGTCCCTGCAAAGGACATGAACTCATTCTTTTTATGGCTGCATGCCTTTTAAAAAGTTATAGTTTTCAATCTTTGACATAGGAAACCAGCTAGCAATTGTTACCTTCAAAAAAATTCAAGTCTGCCTGGGTGCAGTGACTCACGCCTGCAGTCCTAGCACTCTGGGAGGCCGAGGTGGGTGGATCACTTGAGGTCAGGAGTTTGAGACCAGCCTGGCCAACATGGCAAAACCCCGTCTCTACTAAAAATACAAAAATTAGCGGGGCGTGGTGGTAGGCACCTGTAATCCCAGCTACTCAGGAGGCTGAGGCAGGAGAATCCCTTGAACCCAGGAGGCAGAGGTTGCAGTGAGCCAAGATAGCACTACTGCACTCCAGCCTGGGCAACAGAGCCAGACTCTATCTCAAAAAAAAAAAAATCAAGTCTGGCCAGGAATGGTGGCTCATACCTGTAATTCCAGCACTTTTGGAGGCTGAGGTGGGTGGATCACTTGAGCTCAGGAGTTTGAGACCATCCTGACCAACATAGCAAAACCCCACCACTACTAAAAATACAAACATTAACCAGGCATGGTGACACACACCTGCAGTCCCAGCTACTTTGGAGGCTGATGCATGAGAATTACTTGAACCCAGGAGGCAGAGGTTGCAGTGAGTCAAGATGACACCACTGCGCTCCAGCCTGGACGACAGCGAGACCCTGTCTTCAAAAAAAATAAAAAATAAAAAAAATCAAGTCTGGCCGCCAATCAAAATTGTTCTTTATTTTCAAAAGTATCTAACATGTAAACATCAATTTTGACTATTTGAGACTCTCTAGTCTGTACATCCATGTACTAATTCCCAAAGGAAAACTAGCTGAGATCACAGATGCCCAACACCATGCCCAGCTAATTTTTGTATTTATTTATTTATTTTTAGTTGAGACAGGGTTTCACCATGTTGGCCAGGCTGGTCTTGAACTCCCATCCTTCAGTGATCCGCCTGTCTCAGCTTCCCAGAGTGCTGGGATTACAGGCGTGAGCCACCGTGCCCAGTGAGGAAAACTATTTTAATTACAAACAAGAAGACACTGACCTAGCTGGTAAAGTTACATATAAGACACACACTGTCCCACTTCAGCACAAAAAAATTTCTTTAATCATATATTTGGGCAAGATAAGAACCTTCCAGAATACGTTAGCACTTTCGAAAGGAAGAAGAGATGAAGACTGACCTTGTGATATGATTAAATCTCAAGTATATATTTTGGCCTCCTAATTGAAATATAAATGCCTGGCTGAACAAATTGTTTTTTGTTTTCTCTCTGACTCCTTTAAAACAAGTATCTGCCAGGCGTGGTGGCTCATGCCTGTAATCCCAGCACTTTGGGAGGCCGAGGCGGGCAGATCACAAGGTCAGGAGATCGAGACCATCCTGGCTAACATGGTGAAACCCCATCTCTACTAAAAGTACAAAAAATTAGCCGGGTGTCGTGGCGGAAGCCTGTAGTCCCAGCTACTCGGGAGGCTAAGGCAGGAGAATGGCATGAACCCAGGAGGCGGAGCTTGCAGTGAGCTGAGATGGCGCCATTGCACTCCAGCCTGGGCAACAGTGCAAGGCTCCGTCTCAAAAAATAAAAAAAAATAAAATAAGTATCAAACAATAAATTATGTGATATTTACACAAAAGAAAACAATGAGGGAGGAATTATGTGCTTTGATAGAAAGATCTCAAAAATAATGTTAAAGACAAAATCCAGATGGAGAACTGTATTTCTGTGTTTGAAAAGAAGGATGGTTGTGCATATTAGAATATACACAAAACATTTCCAGAAGGCTACATAAGTAGTTATATTGTGGAAAGACGGTACCTAGAATTGAGGATAAAGGTATGAGAGAAAACGAACATTTACTTTTCAATTTATTCTACTATATGCTATCTGGATATCCTACTATGTGCAAATATTATTTATACAATTAAAATATTAATTGATACATTTTTAAAATGAAGGAGATGCATTTGTGTTAAAATAAAATATATGAAAACAGAGCTCTGCTTTGGACAAAGGATTGGAGGAAACAGAAGTTGACCAAGGCTGCCAGGGTACCCCGATAGAAAGTATGTGGGGACAGATTGTAATTCTAGTAGTCTAGTTACATATGGCAGAATGAATTCATTTGGCTCCTTTTTTTCTGGTTGTTTTCTGAGACAGAGTCTCACTCTGTTTTCCAGGCTGGAGTGCAGTGGCGCCACCTGGGCTCACTGCAACCTCTGCCTCCCGGATTCAAGTGATTCTAGTGCCTGAGCCTCCCAGCAGCCAGGACTACAGACATGCACCACCACGCCTGGCTAATTTTTTGTATTTTTAGTAGAGGTGGGGTTTCACCATATTGGCTAGGCTGGTCTCAAACTTCTGGCCTCAAGGGATCTGCCCGCCTCGGCCTCCCAAAGTGCTGGGATTACAGGCATGAGCCACTGCGCCCAGCCTCTGCTATGTGAATTCTAAAAGAGCTGTAACACTCAAAAATCAGGTTTTAAAACGAACTCAACAAATTGAAAAGTAGTGTATCAAATATAACAAAGTTAATAGCTAACGTCCTACACATGGTTCTAAGACACAAAAATGTACAAGTACATAGCTGGACACAGCGGTGCATGCCTACACTCCCTGCTACTTGGGAGGCTGAGGTGGTAGGATTTCGTGAGACCAGTTCGAGGCCGGCCTCGACAACATAGTGAGACCCCTGTCTTTATGAAAAATTTTAAAAATTAGCTGGGTGTGGTGGCATGTCACAGGTGCATGCCATCATATCAAGCTAATTTTGGGAGGCTGAGGCAAGTGGATTGCTTGAGCCCAGGAGTTTGAGGCTGCAGTGAGCTATGATCACACCACTGCACTCCAGCCTGTATGACAGACAGAGTAAGATCCCATCTCTGAAAAAAGAAAGAAAACAAAAAGAAAATGTACAAGTTACAGGATGGCCAAGACATGGCTTAGCAGAAGCTGGTATGATGACAACTTACTGATTTTATTTATGAATAGTTTCACATGTGTGACACTATGCCCACCCTTTTGTATTCTACAAAATCCAGGTGCCATTCTTAGAGACAACAGATTACCTGAACCATTTGCAAGGAGAATAATAAGGTGATAAGGTAATTTAAAGTAATATTTCATAAATGGCTGAAGAATTTGGAATTCAGAATCTGAAGCCACACTACTGGTAAGGGTGAAGATGGATTTAACTTAATTATATGATAGTCTCTGAACAGAACTGGAACCAATGGGTAAAAGACACCAGGACTCAGTTCCCATTAATCACCTGAATATGAAAAAGAAATCTATAGCTATCAGAGCTACACAGGATAGAATGAACCGCCTTGAAATGCAGTGAATTCCCCTTCACTACAGGCATTTAAGCATAAATTGAATGGCAAATATTGGAAGGACGATTATCTTTCAGGTGATTTCCTAGTGCCTATGCATAGAATTTGTGAAGTGTTTCTCATTTCCACCAACAGCAGATGATCTTTCGTTTAAAACCTGATGGTATTGCCTTTACAACTTTTAGAGCTTTCAGCTTATTAAAGCATACTCTGATTACTTGTACATATTATTGCTTCCTTCTAAAATATGAGTACCATATATTCTTACCATTTTATAGATGGTAAACAACAAACATTTGTTGAATAAGAATAATGATGGCTGCCATTTATTGAGCACATAATACATATCAGATATTAGGATGTTTTACATCCATTATTTCAAAACAGTTCAATAAATAGTAAGATAGAAATCTGCTATTAGTAGAAAATAACTTTGTATGACTTTATTTTATAAAAATGAAATCAAAGTTGATTTAACTTAGATATGGCCTTATTTATTTATTAGGTTTTGAGACAAGGTCTCACTGTTTTACCTGGGTTGGAGTGCAGTAGCATGATCATGGTTCACTGAAGCCTTAACCTCCTAGGCTCAAGTAATCCTCTCACCCCATCCTCCAGAGCAGCTGAGACTATTTATTCATTTTTGTAGAGACAGGGTCTCCCTGTGTTGCCTGGGCTGGTCTCAAACTCCTAGACTCAAGTGATCCTCCTGCCTTGGCCTCCTAAAATGCTGGGATTACAGGTGAGAGCCACTGCACCCAGAGATATGGCATTATTTTTAAGTTTAAAAGCTAAAGACCATACAGTCCTCACTGGGTCAATTAATGGACACCTCTGATTACTGCAAAGCATTTATTTAGGCTACACTAGGTTAAAAAAATTTTTTTTTAATTTATTTTGAGATAGAGTCTCACTGTGTCACCGAGCCTAGAATACAGTGATGCAATCTCGGCTCACTGCAGCCTCCGCCTCCCAAGTTCAAGCTATTCTCCCATCTCAGCCTCCTAAGCAGCTGGGATTACAGGGGCACGCCACCACACCTGGCTAATTTTTGCATTTTTAGTAGAAACAGGGTTTCACCATGTTGCCCAGGTTGGACTCAAACTCCTGACCTCATGTGATCCACCCACCTTGGCCTCCCAAAGTGCTGGGATTACAGGCATGAGCCACTATGCCCGGCCACTAAGTTATTTTTCAAAGAGACTTAATTATGAGCAACTGAATCAATAAAGTAACACTGGATTAAAATAAGAAACAACTGTGATACCAGGGTATCTGCATCAGGATGTTTACGGCAGGTACACTTTAAGCTAAGTTCAAGGAAAAAAATAAGACATCAAGACACAGCTAATAAACTTACCTCGATCTCTGCCAGTTGAGAGACATTTGAAAATTACCATCCTCAGATCTAGTCCTTCTTTAAGCCAGATCTTATCCATAATCTTTATCATCTGTAAAGCTAACATATCTTGCCGAAGATCTTCACCAACCTTGAAATCAAGGAAACAAAATGAAACTTGTACATCTCCAAAAGACTTAACAGATTACATACTATGAAAGCTGTAATCCCAGCACTTTGGGAGGCCAAAGTGGGCAGAACACCTGAGGTCAGGAGTTCGAGATCAGCCTGGCCAACATGGTGGAAACCCCGCCTCTACTAAAAACACAAAAATTAGCTGGGCATGGTTGCACACACCTATAAAATGAACTGCCTTTTTATTTTTCTGCAGCATTCTAGGGAAAGGTACTTAACCTCTTCATATCTCAGTTCCCTGAACTGTACACTTTAAAAGGTTCAGTTTTATGGTATGTGAATTATATTCAATTATTTATTTATTTATTTATTTATTTTTTGAGACTGAGTCTTGCTCTATCACCCAGGCTGGAGTGCAGAGGGGTCATCTCGGCTCACTGCAATCTCCGCCTCCTAGGTTCAACTGATTCTCCTGCCTCAGCCTCCTGAGTAGCTGGGATTATAGGTGCCTGCCACCACACCTGGCTAATTTTTGTATTTTTAGTAGAGATGGGGTTTCACCACGTTGGCCAGGCTGGTCTCGAACTTCTGACCTCAGGTGATCTGCCTGCCTCAGCCTCCCAAAGTGCTGGGATTACAGGCATGAGCCACCATATGTGGCCTATATTCAATTTTCTAAAAAGGCAACATGGAGAATCTGTGGGATGATGAAATGTTCTACATTTTGACTGTATCAATGCCAATATCCTGATTGTGATACTGCACTACAGTTATACAAGATATTACTATGAAGAAGAGTACACAGGATTCCTCTGTACAGTTTGTTACAATTGCCTATGAATCTATAATTATCTCAAAATGAAAAGTTTACTTAAAAAAATTAACCCCCCAAAATGAATTACTTTTTAACTAAAACTTGAATAAGTTTTCATTTTCTTTAAACTGGATAAAATAATTTAAAAACACATAATAAGGAATACATTCTGAGACTAGCCAAGAAAATTATGGAAAAGAATAAGGAGAATTTGCCTTAAAAAATATTAAAACTTGGCTGGGCATGGTGGCTAACGCCTGTAATCCCAGCACTTTGGGAGACCGAGACGGGCAGATCACCTGAAGTTAGGAGTTCGAGACCAGCCTGGCCAACATGGTGAAACCCTGTCTGTACTAAAAATAAAAAAATTAGTTGGACGTGGTGGCACGTGTCTGTAATCCCAGCTACTTGGGAGGCTGAAGCAGGAGAACTGCATGAACTAGGGAGGTGAAGGTTGCAGTGAGCTGAGATCACGCCATTGCACTCCAGCCTGGGCAATAAGAGCAAACTCAGTCTCCAAAACAAAAAAAAAAAAAAAAAAATTCAAAAAAAAAAAAAACTTAACACATAAAATTCTTGTATTCAAAACAGATATTACTGGTTTAGAAAAAGGCACCTACATCAATAAAACCAAATATAGAGTTCAAAACCAGATGTGAGTACAAAGGAATTTATTATATATATATCAAAAGTGGTTCAAGTAGAAGCAATCTTTATGAACCTCCACGTGTCCAACTCATTGAATTAAACTAAAATTCTTCATCCTGTCTTCAAAATGTACAAATCATGATCAAAACACGTAAAATTTTTGGCTGGGCGCGATGGCTCACACCTGTAATCCCAGCACTCTGGGAGGCCGAGGTGGGTGGATCACCTGAGGTCAGGAGTTCAAGACCAGCCTGGCCAACATGGCGAAACCCCGTCTCTACTAAAAAATACAAAAATTAGCCGGGCATGGTGGCAGGTGCCTGTAATCTCAGCTACTTGGGAGGCTGAGGCAGGAGAATCACTTGAACCCAGGATGTGGAGGTTGCAGTAAGCCGAGATGGTGCCACTGCACTCCAGCCTGAGCGTCAGAACAAGACCCTGTGTAAAAATAAATAAATAAATAATAAAAAAAATATTAAACAAAATCACCTTTGCAATTTTGGGAAAGTAATTTGATAAAAAAATTTCTAAATTGCCATTAAAAAACAGTAACATTATTTACTCACCTTAAACATGACATTAATTTCTTCTCCCATAGGGTCAGCATTCACCATTGTGACTTTTAGGGGGACAGCATTAGAACTGAAGAAGGAACACGACTGCAAATACAACATGTTAAGCATTAGAAAGATAAATGAAAATGGATTTAGAATTTTTTTTTGTCCTACGCATTTCCCCTTTCACTTCTTCCTTTGTGTCTTGTTTTTAGATTTATTTTTTATTTTTATTTCTGTTAGAGACAGCGTCTTGCTTTGTTACCCAGGCTGGAATGCAGTGATGCAACCATAGCTTCCCACAACCTCTAACTCCTGGGCTCAAGTGATCCTCCTGCCTCAGCCTCCTGAGTAGCTGGGACTACAGGCATGCACCAACATGCCCAGCTAAACACCTGTTCCTTTGAATTACAGCAAATGAAATAACACATGAGAATTGCTTTTTCATTTTATTTATTTATTTTTTTGAGATAGAGTTTTGCTCTTGTTGCCCAGGCTGGACTGCAATGGTGCAATCTCAGCTCACTGCAATCTCTGCCTCCTGGGTTCAAGCAATTCTCCTGCCTCAGCCTCCCGAGTAGCTGGGATTACAGGCACCCGCCACCACACCCGGCTAATTTAGAATTGCTTTTCTAGACTCTCTGGAAGATAACAGATACGCAAAAATACTTTTTGAAACTTAAACATAGCATATATGACTAAAATATCATCTCGCTAGGCAGAGAAGCAAAAACTTGAGACACAAACTTTAAAGTTTGAGCTTTGTAAATGTCTTAATCCATCAACAGAACACAACGTCTTGTGATATCCTTTTCCTTCTTCTAAATCACTGTGATGTGAGACCTCCATTCTTCTGTTTATGGTACTATTGTAATTAATTAGCCATGGAAGTATTCACAAAAACTAAAAATTTTATTAGCAATGATCAAATCTTACTTTTAAAATGAAACCGACTAAAAAGCTAATTTAAGACAGTGAGACCAGCTGGGCATGGTGGCTCACCTGAGGTCAGGAGTTCGAGACCAGCCTGGCCAACACGGCGAAACCCCGTCTCTACTAAACATACAAATATTAGCCAGGCGTGGTGGCAGGCACCTGTAATCCCGGCTACTTGGGAGGCTGAGGCAGGAGAATCACTTGAACCTGGGAGGCGGAGGTCGCAATGAGCCGAGATTGCACCATTGCATTCCAGCCTGAGTGACAGAGCAAGACTCCATCTCAAAAAAAAAAAAAAAAAAGGCCAGGCATGGTGGCTCATGCCTGTAATCTCAGCATTTTGGGAGGCCGAGGTGGGCGAATCACGAGGTCAGGAGTTCAAGACCAGCCTGGTCAACAAAGTGAAACCCCATCTCTACTAAAAATACAAAAATTAGCTGGGCATGGTGGCGTGTGCCTGTAGTCCCAGCTACTCAGGAGGATGAGGCAGGAGAATCGCTTGAACTTGGGAGGTGGAGGTTGCAGTGAGCCAAGATCGCACCACTGCACTCCAGCTTGGGCAAGAGTGAGACTTTGTCTCAAAAAATAAATAAATAAATAAATAAATAAATAAATAAAAAGGTGAGACCAATTTAAAAAAATGAAGCCCAAGGCAGTAAATAATTTTATACTTTTTTTTTCCCAGGAATGGTGGTTAGGTAAAAAAATATGCTAAGATAAATATGGATCCTAATCACAACCATCCATGCTTATAACCAACCTGTGCAGGTTTTACCTTCATTTGCCTTAAGCATACCTGCCCATTTGCCTTCTTCCTATTATTTTCAAATGTAATATGAACTTATAAGTATTTTATGTGTCACCTTAATATTTAATTCTTTTGCCACTAGACTTGGCTTGAGAGGGAGACGGCATTTATTTTTCTGAAAAAAGGACTGTACTCGTTCCATACTTCTTTGGAGAACAACCTATAGAAAGAGATGTGATACTGTAAGTACATAATGAAAATGAAGATCTATTTTTCAGACAAGTTATGCTGTGGATACAATTTATAAAATGCCCAGTTGTCAAACGGTGAAAAAAAGGTTGTTACTAAAGAGAGTTAATTTTTACTATAAAACTAGAATGGCCAAAGGCTATAAATATAGTGGGCAAAGGTACATTTGGCCAACCAATGTATACGAAAATGTTAAAGCTCACTAATAGTCAAAGAAATAGAAGCCAAACAAAAATGAATGCAGTTTTTCACCTATCAGATGAAAATTTAAAACAACATCCTGTGTTAGGAAACGATTTCATAACTTATTGGTAGGGAGAGAGGTGTACACAGGTGTAGCTTCTTTTGTAGAGCAATGTAACAACTATTATAACTAAAAATACATGTCGCTCTTGACTCAGCTATTTCACCTGTAGGAATTTTCTGAAAGAAATACTAGCAAAGAAATAAAAATGTACACACCAACCAAAGTTCATTGCAGTATTGTTTAGTAAAGAGAAAACAGGTAAACAATGTATATAGAGGTAATAGTTTATAATTAAGATTGTATGTAATATTTCCCCAAATTAATCTATAATTCTTATCAAAATTCCAACTGCCTTTTTGCAGCAATGGATACACGGTTCCTAAAATTCATATGAAATTGCAAGTGTCCCCTGAATAGCCAAAAATAATAATGAAAAAGAACAAAGTAGGAGGACTTACATTGTCCAATTTCAAAACTTACTATAAAACTATGGTAATTAAAAAAAGTATAGGCTGGGTGGATGGCTCATATCTATAATCCTAGGACTTTGGGAGGCCAAAATGGGAGGACTGCTTGAGCCCAGGAGTTCAAGACCAGCCTGGGAAACATGGCAAAACCCTGTCCCTACAAGAAAAAAAAAAAAAAAAAAAAAAGACAGGCATGGTGGCAAACACCTGTGGTCCCAGCTACTTGGGAGGCTGAAGCGAGAAGATCACTTGAGCCCAGGAGGCTGAGGCTGTGGTGAATTGTGATCACACCACTGCACTCCAGCCTGGGCAACAGAGAGACCTCATCTCAAGGAAAAAAAGGAAAAAAAAAAAAAAAACAAATATAGCATATGGATAGACATATATGATATAGAATTGAGAGTCTAGAAAAAAACCCATATATGTGGTCAACTTTTTTATTTAAAAATTTTTAACAGAACACTTCACGAATTTGCATGTCATCGTAGTGTAGGGGGCATGCTAATCTTCTCTGTATCATTCCAATTTTAGTATATGTGTTACCGAAGCAAGCACAGGGTCAACTGATTTTTGACAAGTACGCCAAAACCATTCAAGAGGAAGGAGGGGGTCTCTTTAACAAATGGTGCTAAGACAACTGGATAACCTCATTCAAAAGAATAAAGTTGGGCCTCTACTTCATACCACAACGGATCAAAGACCTAAACATAAGAGCTAAAACTAGAAAAGCTTAGAAGAAAACACAGGTGTACATCTTTATGGCATTAGATTTAATGATGGATTCTTAGATATGACACTAAAAGCATGAGCCACAAAAGAAAAAAATAGATAAACTGGACTTCATCAAACTTAAACATTTTTGTATTAATATATTAAAGGACACTATTAAGGAATTAAAAAGACAACTGCAGAATGAAAAAAATATTTGCAAATAGTGTATGTGATAAAGGTCTAGTATCCAAAATATATAAATAACTCTTACAACTCAACAACAAAAAAGACATTCCAATTTAAAATGGACAAAGGACTTTGAATAGATATTTCTCCAAAGAATACAAATGGCCAATAAACATATGAGAATGTGCTCAATATCATTAGTCACTAGGGAAATTCAACTCAAAACCACAACGAGATACTGCTTCACACCCACTAGAATGGCCATAATCAAAAAACAGGAAAAAAAACAATGTTGGTGAGGATGTGGTGAAACTGGAACCCTTCTATATTGCTGGTGGGAATGTAAAGTGATATAGCTGCTACAGACAATAATTCTATGATTCCCCAAAAAGTTAAGCACAGAACTACCATATGACCTAGCTCTGCCATTCCTAAGTGGAAACAGTTGTTTAAACACAAATTTATACATGAATATTCATAGCAGTATTCTTTTTTTTTTTTTGAGACAGAGTCTTGCTCTGTCGCCCAGGCTGGAGTATAGTGGCTCGATCTCGGTTCACTGCAAGCTCCGCCTCCCGGGTTCACGCCATTCTCCTGCCTCAGCCTCCCGAGCAGCTGGGACTGCAGGCGCCCGCCACCATGCCTGGCTAATTTTTTGTATTTTTAGTAGAGACGGGGTTTCACCATGTTAACCAGGATGGTCTCGATCTCCTGACCTCGTGATCTGCCCGCCTGGGCCTCCCAAAGTGCTGGGATTACAGGCATGAGCCACCACGCCTGGCCAGCAGTATTATTATTAATAGTCAAAAAGTGGAAACAACCCAAATGTCCACCAACTGATGAATGTTTAAACCAAATGTGGTATATCCACACAATGGAATATTATTCAACCAAAAATGGCATGTAGTACACATGCTAGAACACAGATGAACTCTGAAAACTTTATGCTAAGTGAAAGAAACTAGACAGAAAAGTCCATGAAGTGTCCAGAATATCCATATAGAAGTATAGACGTATCCATATTGACAGAAAACAGTTTAGTGGCTGGGAGGGGAAAATGGGGACATGCTTTCTTTTTGGTGTGATGAAAATACTGTGGACTTTGATAGTGGAGGTAAAGGAATTCAAGAAAACAATTTTCATCAGAAAGGAATAAATAAGCATGGAAATAAATAAGCATGGGAAAATCACTGATTTTAATAGGTTGTGAAATATGTTCCTATATATTTTAAACAATCTTTGAATTTATCTGCCCCAAATAGCATGGGTATAGTTAGAGTTCTACTGGGAGTCTACCAATAAAGAATAGCAACTTAATTAGTCAGCACCATAAAGATCCTTCCTTTAACATTAACACATTTATATTACCTTTTATGGGTACATACCTGTCTGGCTGATCCACTAGCCTGCCTTACTTTTTCTGCTACTCCTCCTAAAAGCTGTACAAGTTTCGTCTGTTTTAGAAGTTCTTCTCTAAGTCGTTTTCCTCCTACTGACAGGAGAGCACCCAAAACATGTTCGTATCGGGTACTAAACTGTACATCATGCAGGGCATCTTTGAGAAGCCTAATACAGCAAAATATTTATGTTAGTCACGTCTTGGTTTTTTTTTTTTTTTTTTTTTTTTGAGACGGAGCCTCACTCGTCACCCAGGCTGGAGTGCAGTGGCGCCATCTCGGCTCACTGCAAGCTCTGCCTCCCGGGTTCACGCCATTCTCCTGCCTCAGCCTCCCGAATAGCTGGGACTATAGGCGCCCGCCACCACACCCGGCTAATTTTTTGTATTTTTAGTAGAGATGGGGTTTCACTGTGTTAGCCAGGATGGTCTCGATCTCCTGACCTTGTGATCCGCCCACTTCGGCCTCCCAAAGTGCTGGGATTACAGGCGTGAGCCACCATGCCCGGCCATGTTAGTCACTTCTAAGAACTAGGTGAACCTCTCTGAAAAATAACAAGTTCAATTTTTTTTTCTTTTTTTTTTTTTGAGACCAGGTCTGGCTCTGTTGCCCAGGCTGGAGTCCAGTGGCATGACCTTGCCTCACTGCAACCTCCACCTCCCAGGCTCGAGCAATCCTCCCACCTCAGCATCCCAACTAGCTGGGACCACAGGCACATGCCACCATGTTCGGCTAATTTTTTATATTTTTGGTAGAGATGAGGTTTCACCATGATTGTTAGGCTGGTCTTAAACTCCTGAGATCAAGCGATCCACTAGCTTCAGCCTCCCAAAGTGCTGGGATTACAAGCATGAGCCACCACGCTTGGCCTCAATTTTTGATAACCAGAAATGTATTTTAAGCTATATAAGCAAGTCGAAACCCATTCATTATTACAGAGCTATAAGACACCAAATTTTTGCAATGAGGGTTTTCAAATTTTTGCATTAGAGGGTAAATTTAGCTCCTTTAAAATAATACCTTCAATAAAATATCTTGTATCCACAATAAGTAGTGTGGCATACCATTTAGACTTACAGGGTATGCCATTTCTATAAATTCTAGGAATGGAAATACGGTAATCAATAAAATTTAAATCTTACCAATATAAATTGTGTGCTATCTGGATATTTCCCAATGCCCTGGACAAAAGGAATTGCACTAATGAACTATTCAAGTAAATTTCATATTTCAAAGCCTACAGTAAAAGAAAATAAGAATTATTAGTGGTCTAACCCATACTAAATTGTTCCAATAAAACTATCAAAAGAGAAACTATATAAAGCAAGTATTACTCTTACTGATGAAAGATGATACTTATAAAAATTAAATAGATGAATTAACCTATGCCAAACTAATTTAAATCAAACACAAAAGTATAGAGTAACATTCATTAGCTATGTTGAACTCACCAGTAAAGAAAAATCAAGGAAAAGCTCAAGTCTGGTTTGTTCTAAAAAGTCTGAAAACTAAAAATACAGGTGCCTATATACAATATTCAAATGGGGCAGATGACAATAGTGGGGAAAAAATTCACACTAAATCCAAATGCAATGCCCCTCAATGTTCCCACACTAAAAAACGACTTTTAATCTAAACAGAATGGGGATCCCTTAGCAAGTTCCCATAAAAAACTAGAGTGAAAGTATAAAGGGAGGTAATCTAGTAAAAAACTCACTTGTACAAACTGTGGAAGAAGATCTGTTAGCTCATCATCACTAATGGCCTCAATCCAGGTCACAGCTAGGGATCTTACTTCCTGATCAGCAAATCTAGAAGATTACCATAAAACCAAGATTGGACAGTGATTTCTTTCCAGTGAAGCTGTATTTTTTGAAAACACAATCTCAATCTGGTCCTGACAAAGAACACTAAGATATCTCTTTTATTCAAAAGCAATGTATTTCTTCTTTTTGTAAGAAGACAATCTTATTGTGCTATACAGATTCAATTTAGGGATTATTTAGGAATCTTAAGTTTATGAAAATTAATTCTGGCCCACATCATAAAAATATAAATTATTCAAAATTTACAACCTAACCCTTCCTTTAGGCTAGTTTTAAAGGACATGCAATGCTTTATTGACAACTTCAATGCAGAAGATATGTTTGTATAAATATACATTTACACATTTGGATTATATTGAATTGCTTTCATGTTAAAAGGAAAGGAAATACTTCTGGCAACATACCTTACTGGAAAAACTGACAATAAAACAAGAGCAAATAAATGTATTTGACTTACTTTGAATCAAGAAGTTCCAATGCAATTAGTGGGTACAATGCAGGCCACTGGTGAAGCAATGAGTAAGTTTTGGCAAGATTAACCCATTTCCAGTTTGGGGCGCTTGCTAATATTTTAGGAAGACAATTTGGGTGTTTGAAGCAATAATAACGTTTCTCCCATAAAAAAGCTTTATCTTCTTTAGAAAGTCTGCATATATAATAGAATTAAATTACTTCTCAGTGATAACATAATGATATAATCTCAATGATTAAAAATACAAAGAAGAAATTTATTTATTTGGGACAGCTACTTCTTCATAAAATCATTAATACTAATTTGGAATAGAAAAATGCAATGTATGGCAAATGCCAGTAATTAATGCTAATCCGGGAACTGAAAGGAATGATTATGTCTTGATAAAAGATGCTTAGTTAGGAAAATGAAGGATAATTCAGTATAATAAAAATTTATTGAGCTCTAACTAGATGCCAGGCACTAGAAATCAGAGTTGAAAAAGCAGATCCCACCCTAAGAGATAGCAAGGATTTCATCCATTTCGTACAAATAAAATCAAATGCTATGAAAAAAAAAATACTACTATAAAATTTTGGAACATATTTATACAGTTCAAATGAAAAGGACTTGTTTTGAAGATCCTAATTGTTTTAAGCTTAATCACAAATGTTTACGTGAATGAAATATTTCACCATTTTACTATCCATCCATATATATATAAATATATATATACATATACATGCACTGAAATTTATTCATTTCATGTGGAGTAATGAAAAAATTCAAACACTGCAAAAGGTATACAGTGAAATCTCTCTCCTTCTAATTCCCCTTCTAAGAGGCAACCACCTAAGCTTGTATGCTCTTCTAGAGAGTTTATTCATACAGAGGCACACACACGGATATATGTAGATCCTCTTTTTTCCTTTATTTTCGTGGTAATACACTATATACACTATTCTACTCCTGGTTTTCTTCAGCTAACCTATTTTAAAAATTAGTACATACAGCTATAATCTCATTTTTATTTATTTTATTTTTGTTTGAGATGGAGTCTCGCTCTGTCACCCAGGCTGGAATGCAGTGGCACGATCTTGGCTCACTGCAACCTCCGCCTCCCAGGTTCAAGCGATTCTCCTGCCTCAGCCTCCCAAGTAGCTGGGATTACAGGCATGTGCCACCATCTCAGCCTCCCAAAGTGCTGAGATTACAGGTGTGAGCCACCACGTTCAGCCTACAATCTCATTTTTAATAGTTACATGGTTCTCTACCAGATAAATGTACCTTAATTTAATCCCTATTGATGGACATTTCCAATCAATTTTTCTTTTCTTTTCTTTTCTTTTCTTTTTTGAGACAGGGTATTGCTCTGTTGCCCAGGCTGCAGTGCAGTGATGAGATCATAGATCACTGCAGCCTTGACCTCCTGGGCTCAAGCAATTCTCCCACCTCAGCCTCCTGAGTCGCTAGGACTACAGATGCACAACACTGTGCCTGGCTACTTTTAATTTTTTTGTAGAGACAGGGTCTCACTATATTGTCAGTGTTGGTCTCCAACTCCTGGGCTCAAGCAATCCTCCCACCTCAGCCTTCCAAAGTGTCAAGAGTACAGGCATGAGCCACCACGCCCAGTCTCCGAACAGTTTTTCAATAATCCAAATAAGTACTGCAATGAATATTCTTGACTCCATAAGCAAATATAAAAGAGTTTTATATAACTGCAAATGGCACTGCTGGGACAGAATATACACATTATAACCTTGTAGATTTTGCCAAATTGCTCTCCAAAGGAGACATAGCTTTTTATACTTCTGCAAATAGTATAATTCCCATTTTATGTATCCTTATCAACACTTTTCACAAGGTATTTTAATTTTTGCCACTCTGATGTGTTAGATGGTATCTTGAATTAATTTATATTTCCCTGATTACTGAGAAATTGAACATCTTTTCAGATTGTTTAAAAGTATTGTATTTTTCTAAAAAAATTGCTTGTTCCTACTTAGTCTCCTTGACTACTGAGTTCTTGGTCTTAATCTTATTAATAAGAAAAAGTTCCTTACGGTTAAAAAAATCTCTTGATATGTATTGTAAATATAGTTTCCAGTCTATTGTTTGCCTTTTAAGTAAAAAGGTTTGACTTGACAAATTTCTAAAATTTTATGCAGTTATGTAGTCTTTTTATATAATTTTAAAAATAACTTAAATACTAGCTGGCCCTCGAGACAAAAGTTTTGTAGATTATTAAAAAAAAAAAAAAGGAAAAAAAGTAAGTTAAATAGAAAACTTTCCACACCAAGAAAGCTGATAAATCATGAACAGAATCAGGTTATTTAATGTAAGTCCTAACTTGACTTTTACATTACAGGAGATACTTAGCCCAAAACAGAATAAACAGAACATACCCAAGTGATGAGTCTTTATGAAGAATATCAAGAAGTTTCCCTTTTATATCATTCTCTAGTGTTTCTAAGTTATGTTGCTGTATAATGCTTCTGTCAACTTGAGGAGTTGTATAAATAATATCAAATGCAGGAGAAGGAAAATCAACCTTTAAAATTTAACAGAAATTGATCAAATTACAGTCTACGTATTTGCCACATTAACCTCTTTGTCTTTAAGAAAACAGATTTTTCTTAGCAATCGGGGCATATTTACATTGAATATTAAATTAATGCTTCTTGTTGCAATTGATTACCATTGTTGGTAATTCTCAACAGCACATACATATTTCTTGGGATAAGTACAGTGCATGTTTTACTGCTTCTCAGAAATATTGATATTAAAATAGAAGATAGATCCTGAGACTAAAACAAGATCAGTTAGGTTTCTTTAACAACCCAAATCATGGTATACACACACACATTTTATGAAGAAATTTAAATGTACACCTCTCTACATGTCAAGAAGTACCATTACCTGTAGCACTATTCTTTCCATGACATATCCTTTTTTGGTAACTGTTCCAGGAACAGAATTTGTATGTGATGAAGTCCAAAGATATAGAAGTTTAGTTCCACATGTTAAAAACCTTCACGGATGTAAAAATAATAATGTGATTTTCATTTTAAAAATCAATTCAAAATTTACAACACATGTAATGAATTTGAAAAGTTAGTATGAGATCAACTAAATAAAAAGGATATCTTTAAGAACATATCAGAAGGATTCACTCTCCACATTGTACTGAAACTTTTCAGGTGTAGGGTAAATGTATTGAAATGTAGGGTGGGAACAAAGAGAGGGAGAATTAAAGGACATTATCTTGGGGAAAATGGTGTTGAGGACAGAACACAAAAAAGGTAAGGACTCAGAAAACAACTTCTAGAAATAGGAAGTTTAAGAATAGTCTTTGAAGATTTTCTACAAAGAAATATATCTCAAGGTGGTGGTTTGGATTACAGAACTGCTTCCTGACTTTAATCATTAGATCAAAAATACAAGCCAAAGAAAACAAAACACGTTTTTTTGTTTTGTTTTGTTTTGAGACAGGGTCTTGCTGTCACCCAGACTGGAGTGTAGTAGCACAACTATGGCTAAGTGCAGCCTTGACCTCCCTGGGCTCAGATGATTGTTCCATTGCAGCCTCCCAAGTAGCTAGGACTATAGGCACGTGGCACCATGCTCAGCTAATTCTTGTTTTTTTTTTTTTTTTTTGTAGAGAAGGGGTTTCGCCATGTTGCCCAAGCTCGTCTTGAACTCCTGAGGCTCATATGATCTGCCTGTCTCAGCCTCCCAAAGTGCCGGGATTACAGGCATGAGCCACCGCACCTGGCCAGATATGAGAAGTTTTATCTGTTTCCTAGACTAGGGGTCTGCCAACTTTTTCTATAAAGAGCCAGAGAGTAAATATTTTAGGCTTTGTGGACCATAAAGTCTCTGCTGCAAGACTAAATTTTCCTGTTGTAGTTCAAATTTGCCATGAACAACATATAAATGTATATGCATGCTATGCTCTAACAAACTGTATTTGTATTTATAAAAAGAAGCAATGGGCCAAGTATGCTGACCCTTGCCCTAGACTACTAATTTATGGCCTACTCAATCAAAACATTCTTTCAAAGATATTGACATATCTTTACACAGAAGAAATTTCTGAAAACAACGTAAGATATACAAAAGCAGAAAACTATAGTTTGTCAAATCTTTGTTCATTTTATTCAAACAGCAAATATCTTTACCAAAACTAGACTCCAGTTTTAAAATTTTCTCTTGACAAACAGGCTTTGAATCTTTGATACCTTATAATCCATCATATATATATATATATGGGGATGGGCCTCACTCTGTCGCCCTGGTTGGAATGCGCGGTGTGATCATAGCTCACTGAAGCCTTGAACTCCTGAGCTGCTGGAATTACAGGTGTGAGCCACCACACCGGGCTATAGTCTGTTATGTCTAAGAACCACCCTTACTTCCAACTAGACTTAAGGCAAATCCTGATCATATTATTTCATCTACAAATACTGTTATATATCTCTAAAAAATAAAGTTTCCTGTAATAAGTACAATACCATTATCCCTCCTAAAATAATTAACAATAATTACTTAAGACCATAAAATATCTAGTCACTATTCAAATTTCTCTGATTGTCCCATAAATGATGTTTTTTAAAAACAGTTGGTTTGCTTAAAACAAGATCCAAGCAAGGCCTAACACTTGCATTTGGATGTCTTTTTTTTTTTTTTTTGAGACGGAGTCTTGTTCTGTCGCCCAGGCTGAAGTGCAGTGGCACAATACATTTGGATGTCTTTTTAAGCATCTTTTAATTCAGGGTCAGCAAACTCCAACCTGCCTTTACAGAGTTTATTTATAGCCACATGTAAACAAACTGGCCTTCACACCTGGCTTTGTAAATAAACTTTTACCAGACATAGCCATGCTCATTTGTTAATGTACTGTCTACGACTGCTTTTGCATTTGTGACAGAGTCTATATGGTCTGCAAAGCCTAAACTACTTTTATCTGGCACCCTTTACAGAAAAAGTTTGTTAACTCTTGTTTGGTCTCCTTCTCTTTTTTTCTATTTATTTGTTGATGATACCAGGCCTTTTGTTCTGTAGAATTTTCCATATCCTGAATTTTGCTGGTTATACTCCTCTGGTGTCATTTCACATGTCCTCCTGTATTTTCCATAGAGAAGAAGTTAGACCTAGAGGCCTGATTTGATTCAGATTTAGTTCTTTGGCAAGAATACTTACTATTTTGCAGTTGGTATTGTATACTACTTCTAATTCTATCAAATTAAAAGGTACACACTCTTTGGGTTATCTCTCTGTGATGTTACTATTGATCAGTTTAGTTCTAGTGCCATCAGTTTAAGCCATCAATTATGAAGTTGCAGAAAAACTATTTAATGGTTTTAGGAAGGCATTTTCACAGATTTTAAGGTTTTAAAACAAAAAACAAAAAAGGCGGCACTGATGATCACTGCTTACATCAATGGTTCTCAACTGGGAGTGATTTTCCTTCCAGCAGACATTTGGTAATTTGGAAATAATTTTGGTTGTAAACTGAGGGGGACAACTGGCATCTAATGGGTAGAATCTAGGGATGCCGCTAAACATCCTACAATGCACAGAACAGTCTTCCACAACAAAAAATTATTTGGTCTGAAATGTCAATACTGCCAAGATTGAGAAACCCTGGCCGAAATCTATTATTTCAGCATGGGTTGCAAAATTATAATATTCTAATTCTATCATTCCTTCTGCATCTATTATCTAAAGATTTTCACTGTTTTTTTTTGAGATGGAGTCTCGTTCTGTCGCCCAGGCTGGAGTGTAGTGGTGCAATTTCGCCTCACTGCAAAACTCCACCTCCCGGGTTCAAGCAATTCTCCCGTCTCAGCCTCCCAAGTAGCTGGGACTATAGGCACGAGCCACCATACCTGGCTATAACTTTTTTGTATTTTTAGTAGAGACAGGGTTTCGCCATATTGGCCAGAGTTGTCTCAAACTCCCGCCTTGGCTTCCCAAAGTGCTGGGATTACAGGCATGAGCCACCATAACGGGCTAGCTAAAGATTTTCTATAAAAAAAACTTTGTCATATCAATTACTGCTAGGCATGGTGGCTCACACCTGTAATCCCAGCACTTGGGAGGCTAAGGCAGGTGGATCACTCGAGGCCAGGAGTTCGAGACCAACCTGGCCAACATTGCAAAACCCTGTCTCTACCCAAAACACAAAAATTAGCCAGGCATGGTAGCACACACCTGTAATCTCAGCTACTCTGGAGGCTGAGGCATGAGAATCACTTGAACCTAGGAGGCAGAGGTTGCAGTGAGCCAAGATCATGCCATTGCACTCCAACCTGAGTGACAGAGTGAGACTCTGTCTCAAAAAACAAAAACAAAAACAAAAAAAACTTTGCCACCTCAATTATTTAGTAACCCTCAGAAATAACTGTAAAGGAAAGACAGGTTAACTGCTTAATTCTGTTTATATGCCAGTTTTCAGAAAAATTAGTTAAGAACTCATTTGTGCTGGACATGGTAGCTCACGCCTATAATCTGAGCTACCGGATGGGATCGGATGGCGGGAAGATGGATCACTTGAGGCCAGGAGTTTGAGACCAGCCTGGGCAACAGTGAGACTCCATCTCTACAAAAAAAAAGTTTTTTAAAAAAGAACTCATTTGTTATTAAGGCTGAATGAAATGCCTTTGAGTCATTTGGCTTCAATAATAGTGACCATTAGGTCATATAAGATTGCATCTTCAACAGAAATTATTTCATAAAGAATTTCAAGACTAGGATTACTAATCATTATAACACAGTGGTTAACTCAACTATATTATATACTGTTTCTCTACATGTACTAATGTAGAGAAACAAAGTGTAATAATAATAATCATCTCTCTTAATCATCTTCCCTCTTAATTTCTGAGTATTCCTTGAACGTGAAGTCCTAACATTACCAAGATCGCCTGCACTACTTGGCAGTCTCAAGCTTAATACAATCTATTCACTATTTTAACAGCAGAGTGTTGGATGCAAACTATTTAAATGTCTAGCAGAAGTCAACTGCCCTTCACTTGATAGTCTCTTGAATTATGAAAGAATATTATATCATTTATCTAACAAAACCATTTATTACTAGACAATAAAAGTGGCAAAATGTGATAGTTCTCTAATTATGCAAAGACTCCTGGTGCTTTCAAGAGCAAGAAGGTTTTCAGAATTTATTTATAAAAATTAATGATAATGATGAAATTGTATTTAACTTTCATATAACTGCTCTCTGACACTAATTTATCAAAGACAGTGGTGAATACAATTCTTCACAGTATATAAGCATATTCTGTTTTAGAGTAGTAATGTATTATATTTAGCAAAAGGTTCCTAATACACACCATTAACAGTAATCCCTTCAACTGCCTTTCTTTAGCCTTTGGTAGTTCAAAATTATGTCAGGTATTAAAATCTGAATCCACCAAAATGTAGAGAACAAAAAATCTTATACTGCCTCCTCAAATAGGGGGGAAGCGACTAAAATAAAGAAAAATATTTTTAAAATAAATATGTGTTTTTTTTTTCTTTTGGAGACAGAGTCTCGCTCTGTCACCCAGGCTGGAGTCCAGTGGCGCAGTCTTGACTCACAGCAACCTCTGCCTCCCAGCCTCAAGCAATTCTCTTGCCTCAGCATCCCAAGTAGCTGGGATTACAGATGTGCGCCACCACACCTGGCTAATTTTTGTATTTTTAGTAGAGATGGGGTTTCACCATGTTGGCCAGACTGGTCTCGAACTCCTGACCTCAAGTGATCCACCCACCTCAGCCTCCCAAAATGATGGGATTACAGGTGTGAGCCACTGTGCCCAGCCAATAAATGTTATTTTTAAGCACATGGGAAAAGAATATTTCAAGAACAAATTTGTCAAGTCAGTGTTTTGAACATCCTATTATTGTCAACAGATGATTACTGGCAAATCAAATGGTGTATTTGCCATTTAAGAAGAAAAAGTATTAGATTAGCAGAAATTTTCATTCTCGGTATTTGTTTTAAGTTAAATAGATCTATTATTAAAGCATTTCCCAAACTGTCCCAAGGGACACAAGGTTTCAAAAGATATATTCTAGAACAACAAAAAAGTGTCATGGTATCAACTAAGTTTCAGTATGTTAATATAGGGTAATAGTTCAGAATGTAGACCCTGTAGCCAAACTGCCTGGTTCAAATCCCAATTCTACCACATACTAGCTAAGTGCCCTGGGGAAAGTCACTTAATCTCTGTACTTTGATTCCCCCCACTCCGTAAAAAGGGATAAAATCACCACTTATTTCATAGAGCAGTTGTGAGAAATATAAGGATACCTATGTAGCACTCAGATGAATACCTAGCACATAGTAAGTGCTACATAAGTGTTTGTTATTATAGTAAATATATTGCCATAAGACCCAGTTAAATAGGCTTCTTGACTACAAAGCTTTAGGGATGCTTTTTTCTCCTTTTTTTTTTTAATTTTTCTTTTAGAACTTTAGAGATGCTTTTTTTTTTTTTTGGCGGGGGGTGGGGAGGGGCTCACTGAAACCTCTGCCTCCAGGTTCAAGTGATTCTCATGCCTCAGCCTACAGAGTAGGTGGGATTACAGGGGTGTGCCTCTATGCCCAGCTAGCTAATGTTTATATTTTTGGCAGAGGTGGGATTTCACCATGTTGGCCAGGCTGTTCTCAAACTGCTGACCTCAAGTGATCTGCCTACCTTGGACTACCAAATTGCTGGGGTTACAAGCATGAGCCACAGAGCCCTGCCTAGAGATGCTTTAATATGCCAATGTGCATCATCTATTCTCCAGAATGCACCCATGTGCTGAATGTAACATATCCCGAACTTACCCAATTATTTTTCCTTTGGAAAACTCTTGATCATCTCATGAAACATTATTCCTTAAAACATAATTAAAATATTCAGCTGAAAGGCCATATAGATTATACTATCCCAGTGGCTATTAACAGACACCAAGCTCAAAAGAAGTTCCTTTACCCCTAAGGATAAGGGAAAGAATCCCTAATAGGGTTTTGCATACTTGTGGGATGTATGGCAATTAAAGACTAGGGGCATTTGGCAGTAAGGGATAGATTAGTAAAGAGAATTAAGGAAGGGAATAATGTGCACCTATAGATTCTCTAAAACTGGAGAAGAGTAGGAAAGAAATGGGAAAAGGAAAAACGAAGTTCTTTGGTTAACATCAAGGGAACTTACAAGACTGTGGTATTATGTCAACAATGTAGTACTTTATATAAACGACAGTCATTGGCTGCTGCTTTTCTCCATGGAACAGTGAGTGGCAAACAAAGCTGTGCATACCTATTCAGATATGTTTAGAATATAGCAGACTAACTTTGATTTCCTCTAATCTGTGTCTCTGAACTGACCTCCTTTTATCACATTAGAAAAACTGAAGAGGCTCATTCACTCATCTATGTTCCTCCCCTCACCTCCTTGTCATCTAGCCAATTCTGATGTGCAGATGTGTCCACAGTGACTCACCATTACAATTCGGTAATACTTACCGTTTAAAGTCAAAAAGAGGTAAAGAAACTTTGCCCAAAGCTTCTGGTCCCTTTCTCTGCTTATTAGAATCAGGGGAACTTCCACTGCTCTGATTTAAAATTCCAAAAAGAGTAAGGTGAAGAACTGATTCTAATGGCAATTGTGATATCTGGATAGGAAAAATGATTCTATGGGGGGAAAAATGTATTAATAGAACAAATTAGATTGAATGATTTTGAAATTTAACACTTTAATGAGACTGACAATTTTAGGTATTGTATTTAACCTTTCAAATAATCTTTATTTTGGTATTTTTATTTTATTTTATTGAGAAGGCGTTTTTGCTCTGTTGCCTAGGCTGGAGTGCAATGGCACGATCTTGGCTCACTGCAACCTCCGCCTCCTGGGTTCAAGTGATTCTCCTGCCTCCGACTCTCAAGTAGCTGGGATTATAGGCACCCACCACCACGCCCAGCTAATTTTCGTATTTTTAGTAGAGACGGGGTTTCACCATGTTGGCCAGGCTGGTCTCAAACCCCTGACCTCAGGTGATCCACTCAGCCTCCCAAAGTGCTAGGATTACAGGCGTGAGCCACCACGCCAGCCTCAAATAATCTTTAATACTGAGTAACCTTTAGCTAAATAGAAGTCTGGCTAACTTGTCCTATTAACAATTTTAAATAAATTTTATTAACAGTATAAAATTTCAAAATATAACATTTCTTTCTTTAAAGACTTACAAATGCCTTTGAGATTTCTAGTGTCAATTTCCAGGCAAAATAATATTAGTCATTTTTATTTCCTTTTGGAAAAACTAGATGAATGTTTATGAGAATTTCTGTTTTGGGATGTAAGAATTCACACAAACATATATAATAAGTATATACACAAACAGCCTTCCTTCCTCCTTCCTTTCCTCCCTCTCTTCCCTCCCATGAAAAAAAGAAAAGTATATACACCAACAGACATATGTTTACCAATGCATTATTTTTTTAAGTCTGAAAGAACACTTGAAGTCAACAGTAGGCACTCTGATAGCAAATGTTGAAAATAGTGACACTTTCTACTTATATGCATTTTTGTGTTACTTGATTGCTTTCACAGACATGTATTATTTTATAATATAAAAGAAAATAAGACAATAGGAAAACATTTAATAAATGTGGAACGAATAGTAAAAAGTTCTGCAACTGTCTATCTGCCTAAATAATGAGAGTTCCCTTAGTTTAAAAACACTATTTTAGGCCGGGCACAGTGGCTCACACCTGTAATCCCAGCACTTTGGGAGGCCAAGGTGGGCGGATCACCTGAGGTCAGGAATTCAAGACTAGCCTGGCCAACATGGCAAAACCCCTTTTCTACTAAAAATACAAAAAAATTAGCCAGGCATGGTGGCACACACCTGTAATCTCAGCTACTCAGGAGGCTGAGGCAGGAGAATCACTTGAACCCGGGAAGCTGAGGTTACAGTGGGCCAAGATTGCACCACTGCACTCCAGCCTGGGTGACAGAGTGAGACTCCATCTCAAAAAAAAAAAAAAAAGAAAAAAGAAAAAACACTATTTAAAAAATATGAATAGTACAAAATATCATCTTGTACATGGATTTAAGATAATGTTTTTTTCGGCTAGACGCGGTGGCTCACGCCTGTAATCCCAGCACTTTGGGAGGCCGAGGTGGGCGGATCACCTGAGGTCAGGAGTTCAAGACCAGCCTGGCCAACATGGTGAAACCCCAACTCTACTAAACATACAAAAAATTAGCCAGGCGTGGTGGCGCATGCCTGTAATCCCAGTTACTCAGGAGGCTGAGACAGGAGAATTGCTTGAACTCGAGAGGTGGAGCTTGCAGTGAGCTGAGATCATGCCACTGCACTCTAGCCTGGGCAACAAGGGCAAAACTCCGCCTCAAAAAAGTAAAAAGATAACTTTTTTCGTTAAGTGTTGATTAATCTAAGAGCCAGAATTGTTATATAGTGTTACAGAATAAATACTGAAGCAAGCAATGCTATAAAATACCGTCTTTCTATAACTTTCATTCCTTTCTATAACTATAAATTTATATCTTTAACTTGACAAAGTCTAAAAAGAATGGTATGTTTTTGTAATTTCATAATATAAAGGCTTAAAAGGGTATTTCATTTTTTTTTTTTTTTTTTTTGAGATGGAGTCTTGCTCTGTTGCCTAGGCTGGAGTGCGGTGGCTCAATCTCAGCTCACTGAAAGCTCTGCCTCCCGGATTCATGACATTCTCCTGCCTCAGCCTCCCGAGTAGCTGGGACCACAGGCGCCCGCCACCACGCCCGGCTAATTTTTTGTATTTTTAGTAGAGACGGGGTTTCACCGTGTTAACCAGGATGGTCTCGATCTCCTGACCTCATGATCCGCCCGCCTTGGCCTCCCAAAGTGCTGGGATTACAGGTGTGAGCCACTGCGCCCGGTCGGTATTTAATATTTTTTAATGAGAATTTCAGTCTGTTCTATAAAATCATATCTAGAAGAGAGATCTTAAGACATAAGTCAGAAGTTAATGAATTTCAATGAAAATTGCAATAAAAATTAAAGCTAGGATGCATACATTGGAAAAAGTAAACAACAGGACACACTGAAAGAATAAAAAGCCAGAAATTTCACTTACAGTTCATCCCATTTAATAAGATAGAAGAAATTCTTGTAAGTGCCAACCTTCTTTGATTGAATAGGTTTAAAAAGATCCTTTCCATTGTGAGACAGTGAACATATCAAGTAGTATTTTTCATAACTGAGAAAAGAAAGTTTAACTTGATTTCTATCATGATAATACAAATTAGTTAACTAATACAAATACATTAGCAGTTCTTCCTCCAAAGAGACTAATATCTGAAATAATCTGGTCACCTTTCATTTGAGTTTTTAGAAGTCCATCTGAAATTTAACCACTGCAAATTCTATGAAAATAGAAAAGAGGTTTGGTAAAGGGGATAAAAAGGGGAATGTAAGTTCCTAGGTCCCAGTTTAAAGCATGGTCATAATAACACCAGCTGAATAATTAACTTTAATTTTTTTTTTTTTTTTTTTTTTTTTGAGACGGAGTCTCGCTCTGTCGCCCAGGACGGACTGCGGACTGCAGTGGCGCAATCTCGGCTCACTGCAAGCTCTGCTTCCCGGGTTCACGCCATTCTCCTGCCTCAGCCTCCCGAGTAGCTGGGACTACAGGCGCCCGCCACCGCGCCCGGCTAATTTTTTGTATTTTTAGTAGAGACGGGGTTTCACCTTGTTAGCCAGGATGGTCTTGATCTCCTGACCTCATGATCCACCCGCCTCGGCCTCCCAAAGTGCTGGGATTACAGGCGTGAGCCACCGCGCCCGGCCAATTTACTTTAATTTTGTGCTCAGTTAGTTATTAGCTTCAGATTTTAGTTGAACAACACTGAATAATGTATTTATTCATTTCTAGGTAGAAAGAGTACAAACATTACCTTCCCTAGGTGCATTTTCCTTTGCTAAGCTACTGAAATAGAGTCAGCTAAGCATGTGCCTGACTTGCATCAAGCCAATCTTCCTAGTCTATTGGGAGTCTTCCATTTATGGGGACAGATGCTATTGAATTCTCTCATTAGATTGCAGTGACTCAGCCACTAATTGCCAAGTACACAGCTGGTTGGATACAGTCAGGTAATCTTGTAAAGCAGGAGTCTTAGATTCAATAAAATTGTATTCTACTTAATCTAACTTACTGCTAGCCTTACATGTTAACCACTCTGTTCATATATACAATTTATTTATCATTCTAAATTTAATTCAAATCAAATTTCGTTGGTTCACACAATACCCCTAAGCAAACTATTTGGTTATTTTTCTCAACTTTATTCCATTTACTCCTATTTATGTCAGCATTTTATTCACTTACTTTCTATTTTTATCACCGTTTTCTGTATTGTCTTCTACTGGGTATTTGTTCACCTCATTAGTGTCCCTATGTATATTTGTGTGTGTCTATGTACAAACGTGTGTGTGTGTGTGTGTGCCTATGGAGAATGTGAAGATTATTATCCCTGTAATGAAATACCTTCAGATACCATCAATATCCATTTAAATCCAAGTTCCAGAAGAGTACAGGTTTTTTGCCGCCTTGTACTACTGAATCCCCGGTACTAAGAATACTGCCCACAGATGGTGCTCAATAAATATTTATTGAATAAATTAAAACATCACTTTTAAGTCACTAAATTATTATATTTTAATCTAAAGCCCAATTTAAGCAAAACTTAGGTTTGATATTTCTTCAGTAGACTTTTTTATAGCATTAAGCTACTATAAAACTATTTCACTAAAAATATTTCTGACTTTTCAGTTCATACATTGATTTTCAAATAAAGTAAAACTGGCGGCTGGGTGTGGTGACTCATGCCTGTAATCCCAGAACTTTGGGAGACCGAGGTGGGCAGATCACTTGAGGTCAGGAGTTTGAGACCAGCCTGGCCAACAAGGTGAAATCTCGTCTCTACTAAAAATACAAAAATTAGCTAGGCATGGTGGTGCACACCTGTAATCCTAGCTACTGGGGAGGCTGAGGCACAAGAATTGCTTGAACCCTGGAATCAGAGGTTGCAGTGAGCCGAGATCACGCCACTGCACTCTACCATGGGCAACAATGCAAGACTCCATCTCAAAAAAAAAAATAATAATAATGAACGAACACCAGTCTTAAATTGCCTAATTAACTGACATTTGCTCTGTTTTCCTGCTATATTTGCTCTGTTTTCCTGCTATATTTTCCTGCTTTTGGCATGTAAAGAGTTACATTTTTTTTACTGGAAGTGCTTCAAATACCTCTGTAATTTTTAAGAAAATAACAAAGGTATCTGCTGGTTAGTCATTTAAACACCAAGATAACTGGTTGCTGACATTTTACAAGATCAGAATAGTTGCTAGATAAAGCTGCACATATTTTCTTTTTATTTTTTTGAGACAGAGTCTTGCTCTGTCACCCAGGCTGGAGTGCAGTGGCATGATATAGCTCACTGCAGTCTTCATTTCCTGGCTCGAGCAATACTCCTGCCTCAGCCTTCTGAGTAGCTGGGACTACAGGTGCACACCACCACTGGCTATTTTTTTTTTTTTAATGGAGTTTAGCTCTTGTTGACAAGGCTGGAGTGCAATGGTGCAATCTTGGCTCACCGCAACCTCCACCTCCTGGGTCCAAGTGATTCTCCTGCCTCAGCCTCCCAAATAGCTGGGATTACAGGCATGTGCCACCACACCCAGCTAATTTTGTATTTTTAGTAGAGACAGGTTCTCTCCATGTTTGTCAGGCTGGTCTCGAACTCCTGACCTCAGGTGATCCACCCGCTTCAGCCTCCCAAAGTGCTGGGATTACAGGCATGAGCCACCGTGCCTGACTGGCTAATTTTTTTAAAATTCTTTTTAGTAGAGATGAGGTCTCATTGCCAAGGCTGGTCTCCAACTCCTGGGGTCAAGCAATCCTCCCACTGTGGCCTCACAAAGCCTTGGGATTACAGGTGCAAGCCACCATGCCTGGCTGCTTAAACAGTTACTTACTTTGATACCCAATTACTTGAAATTCCATGAGCAGCAAAAATAGTAAACTGGAGCTGCTCTGTTGTAGTCCATGCTTCCTTGACACTCTTGCTACTTTGGGCACAGTCTGTAGGACTCCTACCAGAATTTGCATGGAGTCTGAGAAGATCATAAATTGCTGCAGTTAATTGGTTTATGCTTACTTGAACAGGATTTTCAGGATTAAGTGAGCCTAGATTAAAGAAAAAAAAAGTTAATAGATTCTCTGAAAAGGCGATGATTATTGCTAAAATTTAAAGATTTAAACACATACCCCTAGTTGAACTCCTGCTAGTGTCTTCTCCTCCAAACAAAGAAGTCACCTACACATGCACACACACACACAATAGTCAGAAAACTGCCTATGACATAATATAAAATGTCAAATACTATGTCCAAGAAACTCTTTCCAGGGGAAACCTCCCAAGTATCTACAGAATTAATAAAACGATAAATAAATAATGCAAAAAGAAAGGGAAAACCACAAACCAAGATTATTTTTAGTATTAAGAAAATCAGAATAACTAAAAACTACTGTGAAATATCACAGAAACACAACAAAATCTGCTTGGTTAATACTAATTTGAAATCTAGAAGTGACAAGTACAGTATTTTTCCATTAGTTGCTCTAAAACAACATAAGAATATCCTTAAAGAAAAAAATCTAGAACTGTATTTATTACCACTTGGTTGGTGACTCAAAAAAGTGCTTATAATTATCTAAACTGACTCCTCTCCCATCTATTGTCTGCTCCTTTATCCATCAAATGGGTAAAATAAATAGAAGCCTCAGACAAAATTAGGTCCATGGTAGTTGATCACCTTCAAGTAATTTCATATATGTGTGTGTGTGTGTGTGTGTGTGTGTGTGTGTGTGTGTGTATAAGTTTCTAAAAAGAAGCACATAAAAAAGTAGAAAAAAAGAAACCCACATCTCTACATACCACATGGATAGGATCTTTCTGAGAATGCATGGACTATGTTATCTTCTAGATATCGAGGGGCACACCATCAACGTAACTTTTCTATCCTTTATATTTATCATGGCCTTTGAGATGCACCCCTTCTTTTATCCTTGCAATTAAAGATATAAATGTCTCTATGAAGCAAGTTAATTAAATCCCCTGGAAATGTCATGACGGACAGCTTTTATTAAAAGCAACAGTATAATCTAAAGGGAAGGCCCCTAACTTGGCTGCTTCTGAGGCATTACAGCTGAGGCCCTTGGTCTTTTCTACAGGAAGTATTAGCCACTTCCCCCACTGATTATCAGTGATTAGAACTTCCCTCACTGATAATCAGGATGCTTCCACCCCAAGGGAGAAGTGATAGTTACTGTCCTCCAGGTCTTCTAAGCTCAATATCTATCCTTAAACCCCAAACCAACTCATTTATGCCAGAGGTCCTCCTCTATACACAAAGGGTTCACAGTTTGACATCCACCTGTTGAATGTCAACTCTCATAAAGCTCTTCCAAGGCAGCCCAACTTCTTACCAAGGAATCCCCACCTAACCAAGTAAGTGATTCAACCCAAAAGTAAAAGCCAAAGTTAAAATGACAATATTTTGTCTAGGATAAGGCAAAAATCTCCTGTTTAAGTACATATTTGCATGTAATAAAATCCTAGTTACCAAAAATACTCACATCAGCAGTTTTACTCCTTGGAAGATTAACTGCTCTCTTTAGCTTCTTTACTGATTCTGTAATGGCAAGAGTCTCGACACCATCTAAAGCACTACAGATTTTTCTTACAGCTTTAATTACTTGATCTACTGCTCGGTGTTGGTTCTTTAAAAATAAAAAATAAAATAAAAATAGGTAGGTGAAATTTAAAGGACCAATTCCAGAGACGAAGTCAGAAACTAGATATCTTAGATATCCCTAACAGATATCCTCTACTCTTTTGTGATGACAAAGAAAAAACATAGCTTTTCAATTGTATAGTTTATTTCAAAGTAGGAAAAGGCAAGGCCGGGTTAATTTTCACTTCGTCTGACACAATTATTCATATGCAAATTGCTATTAATTTTACATTAGAATCAGAAGTAGAAGCATAAATTAGTAGCAAATCACTAAAACTAGAGCTATTTTTTTCTTATTCTCATTTGGAAATAATTTCCACATTGAAAATAACCCTTCTCTTCCTCCTGCAAAAATATGGTATCAAAAACCAAGTTCTTCAGAGGTCGGTCACATATTAATAACACTGGGCAACATTTACCGGAGAAGTACATATTAAGAAACATTCTTATATAATGTATTAATTCATAAAACATTTATGCCAAACTTTTATGCCAAGTACTGTTAGAATGGGCTGAAACTCAGTACTATACCACCCCTTAAAAATTTAAATTTTTCCACCCTTGAGGCTTGGCTACTATAAACCTTCACCTTCAAGCTTAAATGAAACCACCTAATTTTCTCAAATACCCAATTACCCTGTAGTCCTCGGAGCCTGTTTTCTAGCTCCTCATTTTTGCTTATTTGACTTATACTTCCTGCTTCCTTTTACTTCACATTCATGCAAAAATCTTTCCAGTTTTGAAGGTCATGCCATTCTCCTATATTACTTCATATTACTTTGCCTTTTTTTTTGAGACGGACTCTCATTCTGCTGCCCAGGCTGGAGTGCAGTGGTGGGATCTTGGCTCACTGCAACCTCCTGGGTTCAAGTGATTCTCCTGCCTCAGCCTCCCGAGTAGCTGGGATTACAGGTGTCTGCCACCATGCCTGGCTAATTTTTGTATTTTTAGTAGAGATGGGGTTTCACCATGTTGGTCAGGCTGGTCTCAAACTCCTGACCTCAGATGATCCGCCCGCCTCAGCCTCCCAAAGTGCTGGGATGACAGGCGTGAGCCACTGCGCCTGGCCTACACTACTCTTTAAGTGCCAATTATCAATTTATTGTCTATCAGTTCCAAATCCACCCTTCCTCTGCTTTCCTTTCTGATACTAGAGCTAGACCCTATAAACATTTCTCTTTGCCAAGCTAGCGCATTTTTAGATTTTGTCAATTGAACACACAGAAAGGACCCTCCAAGGCCAAGAGCATTAGGAAGACACTTCCCATCTGGGTTCCTGCCTTCTAATTTTTTTAAAAAGTCTTTTAATTTTTATTACTCAAAAAAGCTTCATCTTTTATTTAGCTTTCTGACTCCCTGCTTGTGCTTTCAACACTTTCACAATGATTTTCTGCTCCTTGATAAGGAAAGCATGCTTGATCCTGTCACTAACACATTTAGCACACATGGAATCACCATAGGCCCTGCTGACATGTTTTTTGTTTTGGACAATCTCATAAGGGCTTTAGGTCTCACAGCACGAACCCCTCAAAGTCTACCTGGGTACACACCACATGCAGATTTTGGTGCTTTCCCAACCTTCTTGGTACAAAGGTAAACAATTCTATTACCAGGGGTTCAGGACAGGCTAGGAAAGCCTATGAGGATATGCCAAATGCCCCGGAAGACGAAAAACAGCCAGCTTCCTTTTTTTTTTTTTTTTAATTCAGTGTGAGAGCTGAGTAGTCCTCAAAGACTACCTCTAGCTGCACCCTCATGCTATGTTCTCCTACCTGACACCTTTGGCTAAATTTATCTAGCAGGTTTCTTTGCCATAGGCAACTATGTATTCCTGTGAGAGCCATACTCTCTTCAAAGAGACTAAATTTCAGTCTAAGGTTCGGGGAGAGACTTTATCACAGTCCTCAGAGTGTTTTACTGTCCTTTTTTCCTCAGCCTAGAGGTGACAGCTGCTTTTATGCACCTCCTATCGCTGGACCCCTTAGAGTAGGGTTGGCAAACTTTTCCTTTAAAAGGCCAGTTAGTAAATATTTTAGGCTTTGTGGGCCATACAGTCTCTGGCACCAATTCAGCTCTGCCATTAAAACGTGAACACAGACACAAACAATACATAAACAAATGACCAAATGACTGTCACTATAGGTCCAATAAAACTTTATTTACAAAAACAGAGAGCAGGCCAGATTTGGTGTGTGAGCCATAGTATGCCAATTCCTGCCTTAGAGTCCTCTTTCACCCCTTAAAGCAATTAATCATCTTTTACTAATTAATGATTTTTTTTTTTTGAGACGAAATCTCGCTTTTGTCCCCCAGGCTGGAGTGCGATGGCGCGATCTTGGCTCACTGCAACCTCCGCCTCCCAGGTTCAAGCGTTTCTCCTGCCGCAGCCTCCTAAGTAGCTGGGATTACAGGTGCCTGCCACCACGCCCAGCTAATTTTTGTATTTTTTTTAAAGTAGAGACGAGGTTTCACCACGTTGGCCAGGCTGGTCTCAAACTCCTGACCTCAGGTGATCCACCTGCCTCGGCCTCCCCAAGTGCTGGGATTACAGGCATGAGCCACCACGCCCGGCCTAATGATTCTTTAAATTTCCCTTTTTTTTTTTTGAGGTGGAATCTCACTCTGTCACCCAGGCTGGAGTGCAGTGGCATGATCTCAGCTCACTGCAACCTTCGCCTCCTGGGTTCAAATGATTCTCCTGCCTCAGCCTCCCGAGAAGGTGGGATTACAAGCATGTGCCACCATGCCCGGCTAATTTTTGTAATTTTAGTAGAGACCGGCTTTCGCCATATTGGGCTGGTCTCCAACCCCTGACCTCAGGTGATCTGCCCACCTCCACCTCCTAAAGTGCTAGGATTACAGGCATGAGCCACCATGCCCTGTCTAAATTTCCCTTTTCAAGTAACTAGTACAATTTCCGTCTCCTGGCTGGCCCACGCTGATACATCTTACTACCGACATGGTCATTTCCCCAACGGCATGCCATATTTTTGCATTGGATATTTATCTAACTTTCTACCCTACATCCTGTAATACAAGCCTCCGTTACATAAACGTCCATGTGGAAAATTCACAATATATTCAACCCCCAAATGGTATCCTATTGAAACCTTAACCACAATATCATATCTGGTTACAACCCCTTTGCTTCCAGTCCTCACACTCTGATTCTGACCAAACTCTCTTCTGTCCTCACTCCCTCATTCTGACTAAACTCTTCTCTGCTTCTTCTACCAGGCAGCTGAGCACTTTTAGGAAAATCTTATAGATTCAACAGTCCTCAATTTCAGCACAAACTTCCACGGCACCTAAAATTCCTTTAATCTGCCCTTGGTCAGCTCTCCTTCCCATTCCCTATAGGATATTAAACCAAACCATTATTCCTTGCCTCAAAACCCCTACTGCCATCCTGACTTCATTTTAGCAAATTGAATTAACATCCTATCTTCAGAAAACTAAAGGCCAGGAGTAATCAAAACCTCTGCAACTTCCTAGCTGGGCACAGTGGTGTGTGGCTGTAATCCTAGCTACCTGAGAAGCTGAGGTGGGAGGATCTCTTGAGCCCAGGAGTTTGAAGCCAGCCTGGGTAAGACAGTGAGACCTCCATTTCTTTAAAAAAGATAAAATAAACAACAATAAAAAAAACTTCAGCAACTTCTTGATCTCCCCCTAAAATCCATCCAAAAGAAATTAAAACATATATCCATGGGCTCATACATAAATGTTTATAACAGCATTATTCATGATAACCAAAAATTATAAAGTTTAAGTCCAAATGCTAATCATTTGGCAAATAAACAAAATGTGGGGTAGCCTGGAATATTTTTCAGCAAGAAAAAAGTGAACTATAGATGCCTACTACAACATGGATGAACCTCAAAAACAGTATGGTGTGTGAAAGAAACCAGATGTAAAAAACTACATAGTACATGATTCCATGTACATGAAATGTCCAGAAAAGGCAAAGCTATAGAAATAGGAACCAGATTAGTAGTTGTCTGGGGCTGAGGCTGGGAGTGAGGATTGACTGCAAATCAGTACAAGGAAACTTTTTTGGGAGTGATGAGAATGTTCTAAAACTGGATTGTGGTGATAATTATACAACTCTATGCATTGGCTAAGAATCACTGAATTGTGTGCATATAATGGGTACATTTTATGATATATAAATTATACCTCAATAAAGCTATAAAAATAAAGGAGGGGGATAAGTATAATATAGAGTTACTATTTTAGATAAGATGGTGAGTAAAGAAATCTCTGGTGATATTTGGGCACTGACCTTAAAAAAGTGTAAGGGTGAGCCATGCAAATGTCACAGGGAAAAGCATTTAGAGGGGAACAACATGCACAGGGGTCCCCAGTGGGGAACATAACTGGCAGATAATCAACCAGAAAAAAAACAAAGGGAAGTGATAAGAAGCCAGATCAGAGAGGTAGTGAGTCCATACTGTGCGGAACCTTGAAGCTACAATTAGGGCTTTGAATTTTACTAAGTAAGAGAGTAAACAGGATTCTCAGTGAAGGAGTGACATGATCTAACACTTTTTAAAGGATTTACAAACGTTATCTTTTCAAAGCCCCACCTTCTGCCTTTGATTTTCTCTTATTTTGCTTTCTGCTCTTCTTTTCTTTTCCTTTTTTTTTTTTTTTTTAAGACAGGTCTCATTCACCCAGACTGGACTGCAGCAGTGTGATCTCAGCTCACTGCAACCTCTGCCTCCCGGTTTCAACCAATTCTCCTACCTCAGCCCCGAGTAGCTGAGATTACAGGTACACGCCACCATACCCGGCTAATTTTCCTATTTTCATTTTTAAAATCTTTACCTTTTAATAATTTTAAATTTATAGACAGTTATAAAAAAATACAAAGTTCCCATATAATGTTGGAAAACTAGACTAAGTAAATCTTACATAAACCACGTTACATTTGTCTAAGCTAGACATTAACACTGGTATATTGCTATTAAGTAAATTTCAAACTTTATTCAGATTTCACCAACTTTTCCACTAATGAGCTTTTTATCTTCCAGAATATAATCCAGGATATCACATTACATTTAGTGACTTATTTTCAAAAGATCATTTTGGTTGCCTGTGGAAGACATACTGTAGAGGGCAGGGGTAGACACTGGGAAATTAGTAAGAAACTACTGCAGTTGACTAGAGTATAGCTTTGGTAATGATGAAAGTGCTCACATTCTAAATGTATTTTCAAGGTGGAGCTGACCAGAATTAGACTGAATGTGAAATGTATAAGATCTTTTTCTTGAGACATCAAGGATGACTCCAGGGTTTTGGTCTGAGCAAATGGAAGACAAAGTTGCCATTTATTAAAAAGGGAAATAATGAGGTCAAGTTATGCATGTGTAGGGAAGGGGGTATATGAGGTATCTCTGTACCTTCCTCTCAGTTTGCTCTGAACCTAACATTGCTCTCAAAAAATAAACTCTTAAAAAGAGAAAGGAAAGGTCGATGGATGAATAGATATGATGGGTACTATAAAAAATTCAGTTTTGTACATCTTAAATTTGAGATGTCAATTAATTAGATATTCACATAAAGATGTCAAGTAATAGATATTTGAGTCTGGAGATGTGGAAAAGGTTAAGGTTAGACATATAAATTTCAGAGTCAATCAGTATAGGGATATACCAAGATCACCTAGGATGTGAATACAGAGAGAAGAGGTCCTAGAACTGAGCCCTGGGGATATGCTAATGTTTGGTAGTCAGGAAGATAAGGAAGAAGCCACAAGTAAGAGTGAGACAGAGCAGCTAATGGAAATAAGGAAAGCAGAAGGTGGTATCCCAGATGCCAACTAAGTATTTCAAAAAGAAAGACATGATCAACTGTATCAAAAAATACAGACAGGTTGAGAAAAATAAAGACTTGGTGGGCACAGTGGCTCACACCTGTAATCTTAACACTTTGGGAGGCCGAAGCAAGATGATTGTTTGAGCCCAGGAGTTCAAGACCAGCCCAGACAACACAGAGAAATCTGCAGGGGGTTGCAGCTGCAGTGATCTGTGATCACACCACTGCACTCCAGCTTGGGTGACAGAGTGACACCCTGTCATCCATCCATCCATCGATCCATCCATCAACAGATTAGGAACTGACTACTGAATTCAGGATCATGGAAGTCCTTGATGACCTTAATAAGTACAGTTTCAGGGAAGTACTAAACTGATTGGAGTGGGCATATAAGAGAATGGGAAGAAAGGAATTGGAAGCTGTAAAACCACTTAACTTTCAGAAGTTTTGTGGCAAGGAGAATAGAGAAATGGTGTGGCTCCTGCGGCAGGGGGCGGGGTGGGGATTTTTTTTTTTTTAAGATGGGCAACTCTTCATCTACAATGATTTTCCTGGTGACCTCATCCTGCCTATGGCTGCAAAATACAATTTATATTCTGATGATTTCCAAGTTTATTATCTCTAGCCTGGACACTCCATACGAAACTCCAGATTCTAGTAAACTCCAGCTTACCAGAGATATTCAGTGAATATTTTTGAATAAATATATTTATATGTTGATAAGAATGTACTTGTAGATAAAAATATGGAAGCCATCCTACACTCATACTCTTTCCCCTTCACTCACATCTCATCACCTATTAAAATCTTTTCAATTTTATCTCCTAAATATTGTTAATCAGTTCTCTCCTTTTTAACTTCTCCATGCTCTTTATCTTTCACCTGGACTGCTATAAAAACCTTTCTAAATATTCGCTCTGAAACCAATCCCAACCTGAAATCTAACTTCCACAATACAGCCAGAGTGATTTCAGATCACAGGACTAAACAATTCACCCAACCCACCCTAGGCTAAAAACACCTTAAGTGGCTAGAGCAGGAGTCGGCCAACTTTTTCTGTACAGGGCCAAACAGTAACAGCTTAGGTTTTCAGGATACACAATCTCTGTTCCAACTACTCAACTCTAGTGTTGGAGCACAAATGTAAATGACAAGAAAGAATATGTTAAAAAAAAAAAAAACAAAAAAAAAAGGGTATGGGGCCAGGCGCAGTGGCTCACGCCCAATTCCAGCACTATGGGAGGCCAAGGCGAGTGGATCACTTGAGGTCAGGAGTTCGAAACCAGCCTGACCAACATGGTGAAACCCTGTCTCTACCAAAAATACAAAAATTAGCCAGGCGTGGTGGCACACACCTGTAATCCCAGCTACTAGGGAGGCTGAGGTGGGAGAATCACCTGAACCCAGGAGGCAGAGATTACAGTGAACCAAGATCACATCACTGAATTCCAGCCTGGGTGACAAGGTAAGACTCTGTCTCAAAAAACAAAAAACAACAACAACAAAAAATCCAGGGGTGTGGTTTTGTTAATTTTTTTTTTTAATTTACAAATTAGAAAGTAGACTGGATATGGTCTCCTGACCTAGAAGATAAAGTAAAATTCCTTAACATGGATTATAAGGATAATAATCACATAGCTATCTCCAATGTCATCTGCCAATCTTCATTTTATACTTTGTACTCTATCACAGAATTGCTTATACTTCCATGTAAATATCACACCTATCTGCTTTTGTTTATATACCCTTCCCAATTTTTTCTTGCTAACTGTGTAAGACTTGGTTCAGGGAACATCCCTTCTAAGAGGCCTTCTTTGAACCCTCAACTTAGGTAAGGTGCTCTTCCTTGATTTCCATAACTGCAAGGCATACCTCTATAATACATTTTACTATACTATATTGAAGTTTTGTTTAAATCCCTCACCACTAGTTTTTAAGTTCCTGATAGGTGGGGACTAGGTCATTCATTTTCATAACTCTAGCATTCAGCATATAGTAAGCATCCAATAAATGCTTTTAGAGATGAACTGAAGGTTCTTCTTGGCAACAGAGCTGAAGTGAGAATAAACATGTTAATTTAAGCATTACTGAAAATTTTGGGGGTAAGTTAGGTCCGAAAACAAGACATGAAACATTAATGTCAAGAATATAGTCTTGGCTGGGCACGGTGTCTCATGCCTGTAACCCTAGCACTTTAGATGGCCAAGGTGGGAGGATCACTTGAGGTCAGGAATTCGAGACCAGCCTGGCCAACATGGTGAAACCCCATCTCTACTAAAAAATATAAAAATTAACCAGACATGGTGATGCATGCCTCTAATCCCAGCTACTCAGGAGGCTGAGGCAGGAGAATCATTTGAACCAGGAGGCAGAGGTTGCAGAGAGCCGAGATCGTGCCACTGCACTCCAGCCTGAGCAACACATGGAGACTCAGCCTCAAAAAAAAAAAAAAAAAAAAAAAAAAAAGTCTTTAAGCTTTAATGACTGCCCTATTGGATTTTGGACTTGCATGGGGCCTGTAGCCCCTTTGTTTTGGCCAATCTCTCCCATTTGGAACGGCTGTATTTACCCCACGCCTGTACCTCCATTGTATCCAGGAAGTAACTAACTTGCTTTTGATTTTACAGGCTCATAGGTGGAAGGGATTTGCCTTGTCTCAGATGAGACTTTGGACTTGAACTTTTGGGTTAATGCTGGAATGAGTTAAGACCTTGGGAGACTATTTGAAGGGCATGATTGTGTTTTGAAATGTGAGGACATGACATTTAGGAGGGGCCAGGGGCACAATGATGTGGTTTGGCTCTATGTCCCCCCCAAATCTCACCTTGAAATGTAATAATCCCCACGTGTCAAGGGTGGGACCAGATGGCAATAAACTGAATCATGGGGGTGGTTTCCCCCATGCTGTTCTCATGATAGTGAGTGAGTTTTCATGAGATCTGACGATTTTATAATGGGTCCCGTTCACTTGACACTCATTCTCTCTTGCTGCCCTATGAAGAGGTGCCTTCTTCCATGATTTAAGTTTCCTGAGGCCTCCCCAGTCATGTTGAACTGTAAGTCAATTAAACCTATTTTCTTTATAAATTAAAAAGAAGAATATAGTCTTAAAAGTCCTAAAATATTTAATCCAATGCCAACACTACCATTTAAGAGAAAGAAGCAGCAAGAATCTTTAAGTCATTATGCCAAAATGTGAATTAAGACTTACTTCAATTTGAAGAGCCAGTTCTACTTGGTTGTGATAAGAATCTAAGAGTTCTTCAACAGGGTGTCTGAAAGAAACAACAGTTATTGTGGCTGAAGGATGCTACACACAAAATGATTGTTTTCATCACCAAAATAAGTGTATTTGCATCCAAAAACAAAGTCTGAAAACCTGCAATTAATGCTTTAGATGATATACCTCGTCATGGCTTCTTTGCAAGGTTTTTCTATTTGATACAGGTGTTTGTTTAAATCCACGGGTGTTTCATCATCTTCTGCCTAAACAAACACATATACACAAAAAAATCACATCCACTCTTTGGTCTTTCTATTGTCAAATTAAATATAGTTAAGTGTATGATAAAATCTTGCAACTAAAGTGTTTTTCTGAGAACTGAAAATAAAATTCTATCAGAATTAAATATTATTTGTAACTGACTCAGAAAAAAAGTGAGTCAACATCCTGAAAAAAAACTTGTTTGTTAAATGGAAAACATAAATGCTTTCAAGCCTACTTTCAGATATATAAATAGCTTTTGGAACAAAAACTACTTCTGTTCTATATATAGAGAATAGAGAGCTAAAAACACTAAAGATGGCTGATAGCCAAATGCATATGGGGTAGAAAACAGATGGAGGTCATTTAAATTTCTGCATTATTTTTTCTAATGATAATCAATTTTCCTCCCACTCCCCATCATGAACAAGGTACTCGCTCTTCTACCCTAAGTCTACATTACGCAAATGTAGTCAAGAACATCATTCCTGACAGGGCGCGGTGGCTCACGCCTGTAATCCCAGCACTTTGGGAGACCAAGGTAGGTGAATCATTTGAGGCCAGGAGTTCGAGACCAGCCTGGCCAACACACCAAAAACCCGTCTCTACTAAAAATACAAAAAAAAAAAAATTAGCTGGGTGGGTTGGTGCATGCCCGCAGTTCCAGCTATTCCAGAGGCTGAGGCATGAGAATCGCTTGAGGGTGGGTGGCAGAGGTTGCAGTGAGCTAAGATCACATCATTGCACTCCAGCCTGGATGACAGAGGGAAACTCTGTCTCCAAAAGAAAAAAAAAAAGAACATCATTCCTTAAGAAACTAAGAAGAAAAGTTACCAATGACTGCTAAAATGTACCAAATTTTATGAAATAGTCTTTACCCAATTGAAATGAATTCTACCTAACATAAAAGCAAAACTCAAGAAAACCAAGAAAAAAAGAAAGCAGACATCACTGATATTTTTCCATCCAAAATTCTAACAAATAAAGAATAATTCTCTTTAGAGATTAAAAATTCGATTTTAAGTTCATCAAGGGTTCACGCAGTAAAACAAAATGGCTAAATTTGCTGCATTCTATTTTGCTTTAACCTCAAAAGAAAGCATTGAAAGCACTTTTTTTTTTAAACAGCATCCACCTACTGAAAGTAGTGAACTTTTAAAACAGGGAATTAGTTTTCATTTTGTGATGAATAATTTATTTTTCTCAGTTTGGTACAAAGGTCAGTGTGGATTTTCTTTTCATCCCCAACCCATATTTAGTATTCAAAATTTTTCCTTCTTCCCCATTTTTCCCTGACTCACCCTGATGTTTTCACTCTTGTATAAAGCTATTACCAACCAAATTTTAATTTCTCCACTTTGATTTTCAAATATGCCTCTACCTCTAAGGACTATGTTACCTAAACCTCCATGATTGAACATCTCCCCTCATTTGCTAAGAAGATTCCTGTTGAGGATGAGTTCATCACCCCATTCTAACTATGAAATCATGAAAAATGTACAAGTTGAAAATTGGCAAATTAGCAGAATTATTCAGATTCAAACAAATGGAATTCAGTTATGAGGTACACACTTACTGTTCGGGCCAGATTTTGACACATTGCACTGAAGGTCAAGAGTTGTAGTCTAATTTCTGTGTCCCATTTTCGACAGTTTTGAATATGCTCATGACTTCCAAGGCAATGATTACTGTTAAGATATATTAATTATTCACTATTCTATTCAAATTAGAAATTATAAAGGTGAGGGTAAAATTTAAATTGCACCTGCATCAGAAATTGAAGAGAATGGTGAAACAGAGACAGTTTTAAAATCAAGTCTGAGCATTTAAACAGAGAAATTATTCTGTACGAGAAGAGTCAATGTAAAAAAGAAAGAAGATGAAGACAAAGATGAAGAAGGAAATAAGAAAAATCGGGACAGGGCATTTCTAGCAGCCTAGGAGAATAAAATCTGTAAAACAACTGGACTAAATGCTAGATATAATGAATTACAAGGCTGGGCACAGTGGCTGACACCTGTAATCCCAGCACTTTGGGAGGCCGAGGCGGGTGGATCACCTGAGGTCGAGAGTTCGAGACCAGCCTGACCAACAGGCTGTATTGTGTAAAAATACAAAATTAGCCAGGCGTGGTGGTGCATGCCTGTAATCCCAGCTACTCAGGAGGCTGAGGCAGGAGAATCGCTTGAACCCGGGAGGTGGAGGTTGTGGTGAGCCAAGACTGTGCCACTGCACTCCAGCCTGGGTAACGAGTGAAACTCCGTCTCAAAAAAAAAAAAAAAAAGATATAATAAATACCTGGGTAAGAAAAAGATTCATATAATGATTATTTCAGGCAACTAAAAGGAAATCACAGCTGACTACTGTGCATAAAGTAACAGTGCATGTTGCAAGAGGAATATAGTCTATAATGATGTGACTATTGACTCTTTACAGTAAGAAAGACCCATTATATCACTTATTAACCAACTGCCTGAAACTCTTCCTGTAAAGACTACAAGCTCCTTAAGGGAATACAATGTCTCACTTATCTCTGAAACCCCACCACTGTCTTAGACATGACATCTTAGACATTATATATTTCAATAAAAGTTTATTGATTCAATAAATCAATTCAATAGGATCCAATGTATTTCTGCATTATAAATTTAACTTGAAATTTTTCTAGATTAAACCATTAAAAATGAAATTTCCAAGGATGTTGCTCAGTAGTTAAATAAACTTACTTCTGCAGCACTTCCTCTTGACCACAAACTTTTAGAACATAGCTGCCAACATCTACTTGATTCAAGTCATCATGTACCCAGCAAAGGGCTTGCATTATAATGATTTCTACAGTAGAACTCACTGTAAAAGAGTTAGTCATTATTTTCACTTTGCTCATTTATATTTATTCAAGACTGTATTACTTATAATTTAAGACAGCAGTATACAATAGAAATATAATGTAGTCCACAAATGTAGGCCACATATATAATTTTAAATTTTCTAGTTGCCACATTGAAAAAAGTAAATGGAAAGAGGTGAAGCTAATTTTAATAATATGTTTTATTTAACCTAATACAGTTGGCCCTCTATATATGTTGGTTCTGCATCTGTGGATTCACCAATCTTGGAACAAAAATACTTGAAAAGAAAAAAACTGCATCTGTACTGAATATGTACACACTTTTTTTCTTGTCATTATTCCTTAAACAATACAGTACAGCATATATTTACATAGCATTTACATTGTATTAGGTATTATAACTAATCTAGAGATGATTTAAAATATACAGGAGTATTACACATTGTATGCCTGTATCAAAACATCACGTTACCCTTTCCCTTTGATACTTTAAAAAAAATCACATGTACCCCATAAATATATATATACCTACTATGTACCCATACAAGTTAAAAATTTAAAAATTAAACTAAAAATAAATAAGGTATACAGGAGGATGTGCATCAGTTGTATGATAATACTATGTCTTTTATATCAGGGATTTGAGCATCCTGGGATTTTGGTATCTGAAGGGGGTCCTGGAAACAATCCCCCACAGATGATATTTAGCAGTATCTAGCAAACAATGATTTAAAATGAATTATAAGAAAAAGATTCACCATTTTAAATGTTTGACATTTGCCTGGTATATTTTCCAATGAAAAATAAAAATACAGCAGGTAGGCTGTATTTTTGAGATGGGGTCTAACTCTGTCACCCTCACTGCAGTGAGCCAAGATCATGCCACTGCACTCCTGCCTGGGTGGCAGAGTGAGACTCTCTCTCAAAAAACAACAACAACAACAAAAAAACACAAAACTTTTCCTTTAACAACTAAAAGAATAATTGTTACAGTAGCTAATGGTTTTCTGTTTCAGATTTATATTTTTTCAAAGGGCCTTCAAAAGTACAAAGCTAGAAAGAATGTATCTGAATATTAGACACATTCCTAGTCATAACCATTAAAGAATAAAAACAGCATAATTCTTAGGCCAAAGTACTGTAGAAATACAGGATCTCATTCCTTGGTTGGAATCCCGTTAAGATAATATATATTATGAAATGCAATAAACTCTGCAAGGAAATAAAATTAGTTTTTAAAACTATAAAAAAAATTTCCTACAGACTTTGGGAATACATCTCTAGAGAGGACACCCATACCAAGTTTGGAAGAAAGGATTAAAATAAAAGAGAATTATCTTCTCCACAGAAGAACTTAGCAAGATATCTGGAATTTCAATTTCACTGACAGCTCTTTATAAGCAAGCATGCTTCCTGTCATAAAATGAAGGAGAAAAATAAAGAATTAAATTATAATTAGCTTTTCTATCTAATGCTTTTCAGCCTTGGCCAAGAGCCACTGATTAACAAAAGTTACTTAGCACTTTTCAGATAATTATCTATTTATAAAGGTAACCTGATTCCCCACTAGTTCTAACGAGAAAACTATCCATATGAATGCCAAAAAGACACATAACAAAATTGGTTTATTAAAAGAATGATAATATTGATATTTTAAACATTTCCCCCTAACAGAGCAAAACGAGAGGCTTGAGGAACCATAAACCTACCATCACACGTAAAAGTAACTGGTAGCTGAAATCCTTCAATGTCAATGGAGACCTTCACACTAGCATTTTCTCCGCATATGTTTCTTTGTGCTGTGACTGGACTTAACAAATAGCCTGGGTTTGTGCGGTGATTGGTATATGGAAATTTGGTCTTCAATCTGTTCACAAGAAAGAAGAAATTAAATTCTTTTTTAAAAAAACTTCATTTGAGGGCTCTGAACAAGGCTTTACATGTTTACAGCCACTCAGTTCTGTGTCTTTGTCCAACTCAAGCAGCTCATGAAACTGCAATGAATGAGCTCCTGTTGAAACTCCAAATACCAGCATTTTCCTTTTAAATAAAAGAAACCCAAGGAAAAGGAAGAGATGAACTACTGCCAGGATATCTTTGGTAACATTATCAACACTACCCAAGCACATGCTTGGATAAATGGCATTTTAAATGAGGTCCTCTGCTTAAAAATCTTTTGCCACACAGTACAATTACACAAAATGGTACCTTTTAAATTATTCTATAGGCAATGTAGTCCTAAAACTATAATGGCCAAAAGGATAACAAGTTGGTTGTCTTAAAAAATATTTTTCTTCTAAGGACCTTTTTCGTACAAACATTGTTTTTGGCTGCTAGATAATGAACAAAATATAGACAATGGTTTTTTACAGTGCTACAAGGCCTTTCTTCCCTCAAAGTGATTTCTAAAACTTAGGGAATTGAAAGAACTGCCTGTGAAGGTATTCATAGGAGCAACACAGTTCAAAATTAAATACATGAATGTGGTGTATGGCTCATCTCCAGCCAGCACTGCTGTTATCGTAAGACAAAGATTTGATAACTTCTTTACACTTGTGAGCTCTTTTAAACTGACTTTTTAGAAGACAGGTACCAGTCCTCCTTCCTGCTTTTCATAGGGCTATGAATGGAATGAATGCTAGAAGTATTGTATACTTGCTTCTGTAGAGATTAAAATAATCAGGTCACATAAGTAGAATAAAACAGCTTGAGATGACAGAAAAAGGTTCTGGAGAGGTAGCACATGTAACCATTAGTGCATAGCCTCTAGAGCCAGGTTACCTTAGATTGAATCCTGATTATACTACTTATTAGCTGTGTGAACTTATTCAAGTTATTAAATTTCCTTGTTGCTTCTGTTTTTTCTTCTATAAACTGGGGGTAATACTACTACTTACCTGATAGGGTTGTTGTGAGAATTATGTGAATTTAGTTTATAAAGCGTTTAGAACAGTGCCTAGTACACAGTAAGTGCTTTAACCTTCTTGTCAAATAACTGAGTTAGTGAAGGAATAAATCTGGTTTTTGCACTGAAATCCTAAGCAACAATATTAAAAATATAATACACCTTTTCTTTATAAATTACTCAGTCTCAAGCATTCCTTTATAGTAATACAAACACTAAGACAGAGGCTCACATCAAATCACGAAATTAATGTATAAAATGTTAGAGAATTTTTTCTACATCTAAGCAAGCTTTCAATTTTCAGAAACCGTTAAGGATGACAAAAGTAAAAGCAGAAATTCTTGATAGCTAAGACAAGAATTTATTAGACAAAAATTCCAGTGATAAAACTTAGCTTGGTTTGAGAGGAGGAAACCTGCATTTCCCTTTCTTAAAATAAGTCCTTTCTTTTACACAACAATGTGAATGTAATTATGTCACTGAACCGTACACTTATAAACAGTTAAAATGGTAATTTTTGTTACGTATATTTTATCACAATTTAAGAAATGTTTTTATAATGAGTCTTTTTTGTATTTACTTGGTACCATGGAAGATACCAGATCCAGAAAATACACTAATTACCTTTTTCTGTAAAATTGATTTCTTCTAATCCATGGTTTGTTTGCTTTATAAAAATTGCCAAAAACCATAAAACACCTAAGATTTAAGATTCCTTACAATTGAGGTTTTTTTGTGGGGTTTTTTTGTAGCGAAATCTTTAAGCATTTAAACATACAAAATCAAATTAAATTATTAAATGAATAACTGCTGACTGAGTAAATTATTCACTTTCAATATAGACCAGATAAGGTATTTTTATGGATACTCTAAGCCACACATTACAGTTTGATGTTCTTAAGTAACTATCTATAAAGAGTATTTAACTCTAATTTTTTATTTTCTCTAAAATTTCTACTTCCCTATCACCCAAATAAAAGGCTTTGTCTATTTAGTGTGGCTCTACAGTTCAGGAAATTCAGTATCTCTATGCAGAAATGAAAATCCTTTATGGTTTATTTTTCTACTTTTGTGTGCTCAATCAGACTAAAATTCTGCACAGATAACCAAATCATGCAAAATCAGAACATAAAAAGAAGAAAAGAGATAAAAATGAGGGTTTTGAAAAATTTCAAATAAATTAATATTATTCTATAGGAAAGTACAGTCAGCACTGTTTAGAATAAAATTAACCAAATGCAGAGTTGAAGTCCTTGAAAACATACAGGAAGTTTTTGGGGTCAAGATACTAGTATAGGATATAAATAGTATATATATGAATATATGAATACTATATGACCATAAAGCTATTCAGAAAGACAGGTGTAGAATGTGGTTTCTCATCTTATCCTAAAGGACCACAAATAAAGTGGCAATAACTTCTACTGGTATTTAACACTATTAGATGAACTTTCTCGACCGGGTGTGGTGGCTCACACCTGTAATGCCAGCACTTTGGGAGGCCGAGGTGGGCAGATCACCTGAGGTCAGGAGTTCAAGACCAGCTTGGCCAATGTAGTGAAACCTCGTTTCTACTAAAAATACAAAAAAAATTAGCTGAGCATGGTGGCACATGCCTACAGTCCTAGCTACTAAGGAGGCTGAGGCAGGAGAATCGCTTGAACCTGGAAGGCAAAGGTTGCAGTGAACTGAGATCGCACCACTGCATTCCACCCTGGGCAACAAGAGTGAAAACTCCATTTCAAAAAAAAAAAAAAAGAACCTTTTCAGCACCTGTAACTAGTAGATATAGCAAGCTTTGTCAATTATGATAGGTGTAAAAGGAAAGAAATAGGACAAAAAACTCAGTAATAATGAAAAGTAGTCCTGAATCAATGTATTACAGAATCTTAAACTGAAAGAGATCTTTGAAATCACTAGTCCAACTCTTTAATTTCACAGATGAGAAACAACAACAAAAACCAATACCTAGAACTGGTAATAAATTCCAAGTCTGTTTTGTATTTTATCTTAACTATAAACAAATATCATTCTGACAGCCTGACACTAATTTCACAGCTGAATTTAAATGAATAAATGAATAATTTTAGGAGATCTCAAAAAGCAAAGAACTGGCTCTCTAATTAAAAGCCTACATACTTGTTTTAAAAATCCACTGCAAAATGAGCACAATGGAAAAAACAGAGCCACTAATTTCAAAGTACATCTCCTCATCTCAATCTCCATGGTCACCACAGGGGAAGTTCCTAGAACATGCCTTCAAAAACACCAGTACTTCTTACTGCTCTAGTATTTGTTGCAGTCATAGTCTACTAATGAAAATAAAATTACAAAGAGAACTCATTCTCTCTTTAGTCCATTTGCAGTTTCGTATCACATTTAAGTGTGTGCGTGTGTGTGTGTGTGTAAACAAAAACAATCATTTTCAATTAGTGGCAGAGTTTGTATAAATAGCTCTAAGATTCAAATGGGAGAAAAAAGGTAGGTCTCAGAGAGCCTAACTTCTCAACTTGCAAAGCTTAAATGTAGTAGTTACTTAACATGGCCTAACAGGAAAATACAAGGCCTGTCTGGGGAGAGTAACCTTTGCCAAGAAAAAGTGACTCTACTGATAATATTTTTTTCCTAAGGTATTCTGAAGAAAAGAAATGCTGGTTAAAAGGTAACATAAAGGAAGACAGAGTTTTAATAAAATATCACCAATGGTCCAGAAAATCTCATTAAATATTAAGTTCTTTAACATTAAAATAATGTACATACTCAAAAATGTTCTGGGAACCCCAAATCCTGCTATGCTTAAAGCAGACCACACTGAAGACAATGCTGGATTCAGAAAAAAATCTCCCAGTGGTGATCTACTTCCCTTTTTTAGATAACAGATCTCTCATCCTCTTGGCCACAAGGACTGTTGTTCCACTCTTTCCTCCTATGGGTGTTTCCTATCTGGCTAGCTAAGGGGACTCCTTTTTCTTCTCTGCTACTGAGACCATTAAATTGCATGGAGGAAAGGCAGAGGAAGAAAAGTGAGGAAGGTGAAGGAAAGGAAATGGAGTGGACAAGGAGAATTGAAGGAAGGGGGGATGATTTATAGTAATGAATTCCTGAATCTTGCTGTTAATGAACTCTATCCCATCCTTCCTCTATCTGCTATTTGGGTTGTGAACCAATACATGACCCTTTTTAAGTTCAAGATGGGTTTCTAGCACTCGTAACAGAAGTCACAACTAATATAGTGATATAATGGGAAGAAAACATGCTTAACCAGAAGCAAAAGAGAGTTGGTTCTACTACTGATATTACTGACTAGCCAAGTAAAGTTTGTTAGGTTACTTCTCTGAGTCTCAGTTTCCTCACCTATAATGAATGTTAGACACATTTAAGATTGAGAGAACATTCTATAAATGTGTTTTTCTAAACTTCAGAAAATATATTTGCTCTTCTAAACTTGCCTATTATAATATCATCTCTTAAATATGTTGAACAGTATTTTGAATGCTAGAAAGTTTACAGCAAAATTAAGTCTCTCTAAAACAAAAGTAGGTATTTTTTAAGTGTACTGAAGCTTACAGGTAAGTCATATTTTTCACTGGTTATTACAGTATCAGAAGTCTACTGTCTGACCTCAATTTTTTCTTCCAAATATTAAGAAATCTAACAGGTGAAGATACAAGTTCAACTGTGGTTTGTGATAACGTGCCAATTAACTCTTTGACTTGAAATGTTAGCCACAAGAAGAAAATAATTAAAATTTTTAAAATTTTAGAATTATTAGCACTAAACTGGTTTTCAAGTGAATTTTTCAAATGAACATTTATAAAGAAAAATTCCTTACTTTGTAATGGATCGACAAAAAGCTGCCATCTCCTCATTCTGTACTTCAACTTCTTGAAGAAGAGAACTTCCAGTTGGCAAACTACTGGTCCCATTTGGGTCTTTCTGTAATTAAAAAAGTGTTTTTATTTTAAAAGTGGAAGATCCACAAAATGCTACATAGCAGCACAGCACAAACACATTTTTATGAAAATATGTACAAAGCAATGGAGGTAAAATAAATCATATCAATAACAAATTTTTAAATTATATATTTCTATCTTTGTAAAAGTAATGTCAACTAAGCCTTATTTTCGTTCCTTGGTTTTACTTGCTCAATAGTAGAAACAGGCTATACCGGTCAGTAAGAATGGAATGCTAAAGACCTTTCCATTCAAAATATTCCTAAAATAGACACTTTAGAAATTTTACAACTAAATGAAATTAAAGGACTCTCTGTTTTAAGAATATGAAGAGATCAAGCCCATTTGGGACTCTTCTAATCAGCCAGAAATTCTATATATTCAACTAGGACCCAAATCCCAAGAAAGATGGTTTTTTATGTAAGAGAATGGGCATTTTCTAGGTTAATAAACTTATACTAACATCCTCACAATCCCTAAAAAGCTAAGTTTACGTCTGGTCAAAAACTGTTTACAGCTTTCAGGGAGATCAATTCACCACCCAAGCATAGCCAAACAGCAGAGTCCATTGAGAGTGTTTTGACACTACATAAAAATAACTTGATTTGGTGCAAATTTCAAATATAAATTCCCTTTAAAATTAGAATTGGAACATTCTCAATTCAAAATTCAGTGAGAACAAAGTGCGTATATTTCAAGAGCTATAACAGATTTCAATGACTATGGCACACAAAAAGACTTTTTTTTCTTTGTTTTTTGAGACAAGGACTCATTCTGTCACCTAGGTTAGAGCACAGTCACTCAACAATGGCTCACTGCAGCTTTGACCTCCTGAGGTCAGGTGATCCACCTCAGCCTCCCAAGTAGCTGGGACTACAGGCATGGGCCACCCCACCTGGCTAATTTTTGTATTTTTTGTAGAGTCGGGGTTTTACCATGTTGCCCAGGATGATCTCAATCTCCTGGGCTCAAGCAATCTGCCTGCCTCAGCACACAAGATGATTCTGTGTGAGAAAATTAAACTGAAAATTTAGGTCAACAATTCCTTTATGAGTTTCCTTCCTTTAAAACATGTCAGAGCCCTTTCTGCTAGAATGTGATATACACATTTGGAGAAAAAAATAAATACTTCGAGTGCTACAAAACCACAATTAAAAGTAACAAGTCTCCTGGGGAAAAGAGAGTTAAGGTAGACTACTGAATATCAATGTAGCCAGGTGTGGCATTGCACACTTGTAGTCCCAGGTACCCAGGAGGCTAAATTAAGAGGGTCACTTGAGCCCAGAAGTTCGAGGCCAGCCCAAGCAACACAGTGAAGCCCCATCTCTAAAAATAAAAATAATTTTTTATATCAATATAACTCTGTAATCAAAGCCCTAACTAAAACGATAATAGGACCTTATAAAAATACTAGCACAGTTAAATGTCTGCTCCCATTTGCACCTAGCATTTCATCCTTTGAAGCCTAAAACCCTGGGGCTCTTGTTTCCTCATTTGAGATATGAATTCTTCAGGACATATGCTTCTAGTCAACACCAATTGCAATGAAGTTAAAAGTACAGTACCACTGTGGGAGGCCAAGGCAGGCGGATCACCTGAGGTCAGGAGTTCAAGACCAGCCTGGCCAACATGGTGAAACCTTGTCTCTACTAAAAATACAAAAATTAGCCAGGCGTGGTGGCAAGTGCTTGTAATTCAAGCTACTCAGGAGGCTGAGGCGGGAAAATTGCTTGAACCTGGGAGGCAGAGGTTGCAGTGAGCTGAGATCGTGCCACTGCACTCCAGCCTGGGCAACAAAGTGAGACTCTGTCTCAAAAAAAAAAAAAAAAAAAAAATTCAAAGAGAAATGTTTTTGCAGCCTCTTGGTCTGCAAACATCGTTATAGCTGACAGATTAATACTGTGGAATGTGAAACTGTTCTTGAAGCCACTCATTTTCATTAATAAGAGGACACTTCTGCAGGATTCTCAGTGTTTTCCTAATATCTTCATATAGTGCTAAAGCTTTCCCTTAGGTTGTGAGAAGTTTGTTTCTGATTATTTCAAAAAGTTAATATGCCGGGAAAGATTACGTCTGAACTAATGCTACTTCCCCATTGTATTGACCTCAGTCTCATAGTTACCAATCACATATCAATCAATTTGTATTACAGAAGCAACCACTATGACAAATAGACTATATTACTCTAAAGAATGGGATTTTATATTTCCTAGCAAATCCTCTGGTTTCACACTCCAAATCTGCCACAATCTAATCCAATCTTATTTCCCAGAATCTCCCTAAAGATTTCTATGTTCCAGTTAGCTTGAATCATATCCTGTTCCTATAAAACACAAATCAAGCTATCCTGCCTCTGGACTTTTCCCTTCACCTTCCTCTTAAACTTCCTTCACCACATGTGTCAAAAATCTATTAATTTTTGGCTGGGCACGGTGGCTCATGCCTGTAATCCCAGCACTTTGGGACGCCGAGGCAGGCAAATCACCTGAGGTCGGGAGTTCAAGACCAGCCTGACCAACTGGAGAAACCCCATCTCTACTAAAAATACAAAATTAGCCGGGCGTGGTGGTGCATGCCTGTAATCCCAGCTACTCGGGAGGCTGAGGCAGGAGAATCACTTGAACCCGGGAGGCGGAGGTTGCAGTGAGCCGAGATCGTGCCATTGTACTCCAGCCTGGGCAATAAGAGCAAAACTCCGTCTCAAAAAAAAATAATAATAATAATAAATATATATATATATAATTATATATCTACAGGCATTCATTTATATACTTATTTATCAAAAAAGCTCTAATAGGTGGGAACTATTATTACTCCCATTTTATGGAAAAAATGAGGCACAGATGAGTTAATTAACTCACAAGGTCATACAGCTAATATAGGCAGAGTGTGAATTTCAACCCAGGCAGTCTGGCTTCAATGTCACATGCTTAATCACCATGCTAATCTGTCTCTCAAAAGAATATCCTTAAAAATCCTTAAAAACACAATGTGAAAAACAACGTTGTGACCTTTGTGGGAGCAGTGCTGGGAAAACCTAAAGCTTTGCTTGACCCAAGAATCATCTTTCCCTGAAGAACTGTTCTTCATGTTTTACTTATTTTAAAAACAGATTCTGAATCTCCTTAGGTGGCATTTTAGGATTTAAAAAAAATAATAATAGTTGTATTTTTTGCTGTGTCTCTCGTGAATTAGGTCTTTCCTTTTATTCAAGTTACGAGTTTGAATTAACAAAAACTGAATATAATAATTATCTAGTCACACATCAAGGTAATAATAGAATCTGGAAAGTTAACTCAAATGTTAAAGTCTGTAAAGGGTAAAAAATAGCTAGGCTGCCAATATTTCACCTCAAACATTAACAGTTTTGGGTTTTTCCCTCTGCTCTTTCTGGAATAAAAAATACATATATTTTACACCTATTCCCTTCACCCATACTCCCACCCCACTTCCAAACTCCACACAAACAAACCAAAGCATCAAATCATCTCTTTTCTCCATGGATCTTGCACAGACTTTTCTTCTGTGGCACTCAAGACTTTCTATTTTGTACTGCATTTATACACATTCACATCTTGTCTCCCCTTTCTAGCCCAAGTTCTTTAATGGTGAAGTCCACAAATGATTAGTATGTGCAATCCTCACACTGTATAACCACACACATTTTTTAACAAATGAAAGAGATATATGATAATCAATAAGAAAACACTGCCAATGCATTAGCCAATACCTGGAACAAAGAAAGAAGTTTGCAGGGGAAGATACAAAGTTCTCTAGTAAATATGTTGTGTTTGAAAATCCATGTAGATGTTTAGGTCATCGTCTAGAAATGTTCTACTCCAGAAATATTCTATTCCAGAGCTAGAAACAAAGATTTAGTGATCATCCAATTTCTGTAATTTTTTACAGGGAACTCACTCTCTCTGTTAACTGCTGTCAGCATCCATCAGGATCACTGAGACAGCAAATTCTCAGTCAGTAGTCTTTGGGTCAAGCTCCATTAAGAGGAAACAGTCTCTTTGGGAAGCTAAAGGAGACATAAGGGCCTGTATCTGTGAGGCACAGAACTGGGACATCTCTTTATTTTCGTATATATGGAATGGCTTATGCAATTATGAGCTGACAAGTCTCCAGATCTGCAGCTGGCAAGCTGGAGACAAAGGAGAGCAATGGTGCAGTTGCAGAACGCAGGAAGGGCCAATGCTTCTGTTTTAGTCCAAAGGTAGGAAAAAAATTGATGTTCCAGCTTCAAAGCAGTCAAGCAGGAGGAGTTTCCCCCTTACTTTTGGGAGGGTCATTCTGCAGGCCTTCAACTAATTGGATGAGGCTCACTCACATTAAGCAGGGAATTTGCTTTATCCAGCTGACCAATTCAAACATTAATCTGACCCAAAAACACGCTCATAGAAATACCCAGAATAATGTCTGATCAGATATCTGGACACCTCATGGCCTAGTCAAGCTGAAACATAAAATTAACCATCACAGCATCTCGAGCATAGACAGCCAAGGAGTCACATTACTACAAGGGTCTAGATCAGTAGCTTTCAATTTAAGTAAATTGGAGCCTCAAGAATAAAGCACTGGCCAAGGGAAAACAAGTAAAGCATTATTAAAAACAACCAAGAACAAAACCTTTGGAGGAATGCCTATGTTTAAAGGCTAGACAAAGAAAAAGGAGTCAAAAATCACAGGAAGAAAAATAGGAAGTAGATTTACCCAGGGCAACAGAAGTTTCAAGAAAAGGATGTAGTCAATTTTTAAAAAATAAGCAAAAGGGCTAAATGGTGAATATGGTCGAGGGATTGGCAATTCTATAACATAATGGGAATAACAGAAGGAGAGCAAGAGACTGGAAAGGCAGTGAGTACAAATTCCTTTTTAAAGAGTAATAACTTTAAGGACAGGTGTGGTAGCTCATATCTGTAATCCTAGCACTTTGGGAGGCAGGTGGATAGCTCTAGTCCAGGAGATGGAGACCAGCCTAGGCAACATAGTGAAACCCCATCTCTACACAATATACAAAACTTAGCTAGGTATGATGGCATGCCCCTGTAGTCCCAGCTACTCAGGAGGTTGAGGCAGGAGGATGGCTCGAACCCAGGAGACAGAGGTTGCAGTTAGCCGAGGTTGCACCATTACACTCTAGCCTGGATGACAGAGCAAGACCCTGCCTTAACAAAACCAAACCAAAACAAAACAAACAAACAAACAGTAATAACTTTGGGGAAGACAGGAACAAACAGGAACAAAAAAAACAGTTAAGTTTTGGAAAAGGGAAGGAACATCTCTTCCTTTCAAACCAGAAAGATGAGGGAAATGTGAGGTGAGCAGTTCACACATGGATGGCCTTGACCTCAATTTAAAAGAAAAAAAATGGTAGAGAGTTGGCAGAGGTGAGTTTGGAGGTTTAAGGAAAGTGGTGAAGGTTTAAAATAATTCACAAAAATTTATCATTAATACTCTGTAAAGTAGTTACAAGAATATGGGGAAGATTTATACCTATACAAGTTCAAGGTTCATGCCACATTACCCAGAAATTATATGGAACACAACACCAAGTTTTCAATAAATGCACTTTAAACATTAAATACATATTACTTTTCAGAAGAAAGTTGGTTACATCCTTAATTGGACTTTTTCCCAAAGAAACTTATATTTACTGTTCAAATATACTCAGTCAGACTATGAAAATCACATTTTGTTTAACTTTTGCTCTTCTTTAAAATTAATAATAGACATTTTGCCAATGGGGATATGTTTAAAATGTTAATACAATTAACTTTTAGAAAGAGTTTACAACCAAAGAACTTTGCAAAGCCACCTCTATGACAATAATTTGATCTATTATAAAATTCTTTGAAATCTGCTCAAAGTAGTTAAATTCACAGCTATTAACTAAAAGCCTGATTTAAACTTAAATTTCCAGAAGACAGTTTTAAGTATTATGTCTTTTACTGGTTTTGGTCACAAAAAATTGGAACTAATGTATTTAGGTTATTATTAATAAAACAAAGGACACTAGATGGAAACAGGAAGTAAGCTTGCTGAGTGAGAAGAAAAATACCCTCTGTGTTGAGTTTTTACCACAAAGCACAAAATTCTTACAGGAAATGAACACTTAAGCATGTGAAGTAATTATAAAGAATAGGCATTGCAATATTATTTTCCAATAAAAAATATCAGGGAAAAGTTTGTAAGTAGAGATGAATGGTGTGTGAAAAATTAAAAGCTCCGTGCCAATGAATTGTGCCATGGATTTCCAAAGTCAGCCTATTACCAGTGTTCAGTTTATCTCCCTATTTTGGTCTACATAAAACCAAACTTTATCTTCCTGTACACAAACAAAATGAAATCTTAGCACTAACAAGAAGGCTTAGAACTTTTTCATACAAAAATCCATTCTGGGCCGGGCGCAGTGGCTCACATCTGTCATCCCAGCACTTTGGGAGGCTGAGGTGGGTGGATCACCTGAGGTCACGAGTTCAAGACCAGCCTGACCAATAATGGTGAAACCCCATCTCTACTAAAAATAGAAAAATTTGCCGGGTGTGGTGGCAGGTGCCTGTAATCCCAGCTACTCAGGAGGGAGGCTGAGAGAGGAGAATTGCTTGAACCCGAGACGTGGAGGTTGCAGTGAGCCAAGATTGCATCACTGCACTCCAGCCTGGGCGACAGAGTGAGACTCCATCTAAAAAAAAAAAACAAAAACAAAAACAAAATCCTATCTATAGCATTTATAACAGGTGCATGCCAAGCCTCTAAGTCAATGTCTCAAATAATTGTGTTTACAACTGTTAAATTTAGCCTAAACCTGCCTCCTAACACATTTTAAGTTCAGCCTAACAATTTCTCCATGCATAGTGAACTGTAACCTAACTGGATGTGTACAACAAACTGTAACCTACTCTTGTGCCAATCACCAAGTTTCGGCCAATCAAGGGTGGCCAACTGTTCAAAACCTGTTCAAATAAGGCAAACATCAAGCCATAACCAATTCAGCTGCTTCTGTACCTCGTTTCCATTTTCTGTACATCACTTTCCTTTTCTGACCATAAATCTTCCACCACATGGCTGCACTGGAGTCTCCCTGAACCCATTCTGCTTCAGGGGCTGCCTGATTTGTGATCTCTTCTTTGCTGAATTAAACTATGTTAAATATGTCTAAAGTTTTTCTCTTAACACAACCTGAGAGCAACCATCATGAAATGTCTCTTTCTAAGTTCCTTTATAGATATTTAACCATGAAACCTGTCTCCCTGACTTTCTTCCCCATTGGTTCTTGTTCTACTTTTTAGGACAACAGATTTTAAAATTAAGCTACTAAACTGAATTCTCAATTCACAGAAAAAAATATATAAACAAATAGGACTTGTTTGGCCAGGCACGGTGGCCACGCCTATAATCCCAGCACTTGGGGGGACTGAGGCGGGTGGATCACTTGAGGTCAGGAGCTCGAGACCAGCCTAGTCAACATGGTGTAACCCCAACTCTACTAAAAATACAAAAATTAGCAGGGCATGGTGGCATGCACCTGTAGTCCCAGCTACTCGGGAAGCTGAGCCAGGAGAATCACTTGAACCTGGGAGGTGGAGGTTGCAGTGTGCCGAGATCACGCCACTGCACTCCAGAGCCTGGGTGACAGAGCGAGACCCTGTTTCAAAAAAACAAACAAAAACAAACAAACAAATAGGACTTGTTTAATTTTAAGTTTTTCTATGCAATGTATTTTAACTTTCAGCCCTTACTATCAGTTATTCCTTTGTTTTTTAGACACAGGGTCTCATTCTGTAGCCTTGGCTGGAGTACAAGGGCCTTATCATCATAGCTCATTGCAGCCTCAAACTCCTGGGCTTGAGATCCTCCTACTGCAGCTTCTTGAGTAGCTGGGACTACAGAATAGCTGTAGTCCCAGCGTGCATCACCACACACAGCTATTTTTTTTTTCTATAGACACGGGTCTCCCTACATTCCCCAGATTGGTCTCGAATTCTTGGCCTCAAGCAATCCTCCCACCTCGGCCTCCCAAAGCACTGGGTTTACAGGCATGAGCCACCAAACCCACCATTCTACCAGTTGTTTCTATTATAATCTAGCACAGATTGTCATCTAATGTAACACAAAGTAGTATACTTAATATATTTAACGTACTGAAAAAATTAGTATATCAACATTTCATCCTGTTTTATAAGAGCACCATGACTTTCAGGTATTCTACTTCCTGAATTGGTTTGAAAATGTATGTCCAAAATACAAAACCTTAAAAAAAAAAAAAAAGTCCACTTCCTCTTCCACATGGCAACTTCCCAAATTTTAACTATTATTTATGAAAGGATCTAGTCTAGCCAACTTTATTTCATAGATAAAGAAACTCAGATTCAGTGATTTAACTCCAATTAATATTCTCTTCTTCAGACAAAATGCCTCCAACAGTTCCTCAAATGGCATACGTTCTAGATCCTGAAAACTACAGTCTTCTCTTTTCAAGACATACTCTAGGCTGGGCACAATGGCTTACACCACAGGGAGACCTCATCTTCACAAAACCCAAAAAAATTAGCTGGGTGTGGTGGCGTGTACCTATAGTCCCAGCCACTCAGGAGGCTGCATTAGAAGAATCACTTGAGTATGGGAGGTAGAGGCTACAGTGAGCCGTGATCGCACTGCTGCACTCCACCCTAGGTAAAACAGTGTGAGACCCTGTCTTAAAAAAAAAAAAAAAAAAGACAAACTTCAGTTTCCTTACTGGTGGCCCCTCTTAGGATATACTCAAACAAAATTATTAGATGGGGTTTGATTAGAGTATAATGGAATGATGAACACTTCCTCAGCCATGCTGCAGTTAGACTGCCTTAAGACTGGCAAGTAGCCTAAGCCATGTCAGTTCAGATAGCATGCTATCAGTAAAGCTGTTGATATGCTACACTGTAGTAATCTAGCTCCACTCTCTGATTGATCCCCTGATCAAGTCATATTATTGCTTACCCAGTTTCTGACTCATATCTCTCATAATCCATTTGCTTACTACTTTAATCCTTCCCCTATATTTTTTAACTAAGATCTAGGAACTTGTTTCTGCTAAAACTAATCCTGTTTGGCAGCCTAGTTAATTAATTCCTAGAGTTTGAGCAACTAGCAGCTCTCTGTAACACCTATGTGACTTGATTACCCAGATCTTGCTAGGCAAACTTCTTCCTATCTTTAGGAAACCACCCATCCTCATTATTCCTCCAAGATACTTTCTGAAAGCACCCCAAATAAGGAAAATATCAAGATGGTACTGTGACAAATATTTTAAATACATAAGAAAAAATAAATGTAGGGAGACTTACATGGGTGTCACACCCCTGCCCCACCAAAGGAAAGGGTGGAGAACACATGTGTTGAACTAGGAGTGACCAATCTAAACTAAAAAGGTCAAGCAGGGGCAGGAAGTTGAGTTTCGCAATGAAAGCATTAACAACCTGTGCTTTGGGTTTTGAGCTGAAAAGAAACTGTTCCCAGGGTACTCTATTTTCACATTTGCTATTTGTCTTGTCATTTTCCCAACTTTATAGGCTCCTGAGTATGAATAAACTTTAAAATAACCTAGTCAAGAGGTCCCAAATGGAGGTCCAAGGGGGAAAGTTTTGAAAAAACTGGTTATCTTCCCCCTGAAATTCCATACTGTCCTTTGACACCCCTTCCTCCAAATCAGGACTGAGTAGGCCTAAACTCTCTAGGATACTGTGACATATAACTAAATTTGGGAAGCCATTTGAACCATATTTGAATATCTCCTATGACAGGGAACTTACTCCTTCCAAAATAGCATGTTGTATCACTGGAGTTTGAAAAAGGGAGGGCTGGCAGACCTTGGTGGCTCACGCCTGTAATCCCAGCACGTTGGAAGGCTGAGGCAGGCAGATCACCTGAGGTCGGGAGTTTGAGACCAATCTGACCAACATGGAGAAACCGCGTCTCTACTAAAAATACAAAATTAGCCGGTCGTGGTGGTGCATGACTGTAATCCCAGCTACTCGGGAGGCTGAGGCAATAGAATCGCTTGAACCCAGCAGGCAGAGGTTGCGGTGAGCTGAGATCACGCAATTGCACTCCAGCCTGGGCAACAAGAGAGAAACTGTCTCAAAAAAGTGAAAAAAAAAAAAAAAAAAAAAAAAAAGGGAGGGCTTTTAGAGTCAGATGGGTTTGAATGTCAGAACTTTGCTGCTTGCAAAGAGTTCTGCAGCCCTCTCCTTGACCTCCAACTTGTTATCATGAAAATTTTCAAATATACACAAAGTAAATAATAGAATAAACACCCAGGTATCCATCATCGGCTTCAACAATTATCAACATATAGCCAATCTTGTTTCATCTATAAGCCCTCCAAACCCCAATACCTCACTTGATTTTACTACATTTTAAATTCTACAGTATACATCTCTAAATATAAGATTCATTTAATTAATTGCAATACCATTATTACACCAAAATATTAACAGTAATTCCTTTTAACTTCTTTACATCTCAGTTTCCTCAACTGTAAAATAGGGATGGGTCATACTCTGGCCTCATAGGATTCTTGTGAGCTTTCTGTCTCAGTGATTAAAAAAAAAATGCAGAAGAGTCCTTTGGCTTTGGCAACATATTGGTAAAAATAATAATAAATAAAGAGTTCGGTTTGAGTATGTACAACATAGATAAAAAGCATGTAAGTTCTTGGGTTCCGAATCCCAGTCTTGGAGCTTTGGACAGTAAATAACCCACCTACCCAGAAACCTCAACTTGCTTAAGATGATGACTACATTGCATCTGGAATGGTAATATCAGCTTAGCTGGGATAATCTATTTCTCTCAGTAGGTAAATGACTTTTCAATAATGGGAAGTTCAGAATTTAAGATATAATTAAATTAATCAAGGTAATTTATAAACATCTGTATTAACTTCAAGACAATCTATTGTAGCTACAATGCATTCATTGTGGGGCTCTGCCTTCTACCAGTGCAAGGCTTGAGCCTAAGCGCAGCTCCCTACAAGACAAGGGGCTTCCTTTTCTTTGATAGCAAGACTAACTTATCAGAGCCCCAATGTCTGTCTCCAGGTTCAAGGCAGTTGCCCTTCCCAAACAACTATAAACAGCTGACATCTTAAATCCAGACTACATCTCAAATCCTGACTCCAGGCACTAAACACAGAATTCATTTCTCTCATGAGAAACCTATAAAATAGAGACCCACAGCTGGGGAGTCATCTGCCTATTAGAAATTGACCCGAATATGAATCCAGCAGTGACCTGGGCCCTGCAGGATGGGAAAATTAGGGGGACCAGTGCCTTCCCCCCAACTGCCCCTTTTTTTTTGAGATAGAGTCTTGCTCTGTCGCCCAGGCTGGAGTACAGTGGTACAATCATGGGTCACAGCAGTCTCAACCTCCTGGTCTCACACGATCCTCCCACCTCAGCCTCCCAAGTAGCTGGGACCACAGGAGTATGCCATCACGCCCAGCTAATTTTTTTGTAATTGTGTTAGAGACAGGTTCTCATTATGTTGCCCAGGCTGGTCTCAAACTCCTGGGCTCAAGTGATTCTCCCACCGTAGTCTTCCAAAGTGCTGGGATTATAAACATGAGCCATCATGCTGTCTAAACCTTCTTAACACCGATTTCTCTTCCTTCCAGACATCCAAAATGTTTTTTTTTTAAGTCAACAATTTGGCCGGGCATGGTGGCTCACGCCTGTAATCCCAGCATACTGGGAGGCCAAGGTGGGCTGATCACCTGAGGTCGGGAGTTCGAGACCAGCCTGACTAACATGGAGAAACCCGGTTTCTACTAAAAATACAAAACCAGCCAGTGTAGTGGCACATGCCTGTAATCCCAGCTACTTAGGAAGCTGAGGCAGGAGAATCGCTTGAACCTGGGAGGTGGAGGTTGCAGTGAGCCAAGACTGCACCACTGCACTCCACCCTGGGCAACAAGAGCAAAACTTCATCTCAAAATAATAATAGTAATAAATAAAGTCAACAATTCAACATAAACCGATCCAAATCATGCAAAATCCATCCCTCCCTTCCCCATCTAAATGCTAGTTAACTCCCAATGATAAAATAGTAGGTAAGTGCTGATCTAATTAGCTGAATATTAATTCACGTTAAAGTGAGAATGAGGCTTAAACATTCCCAGGATACACAGATATAAAAGCAAAACACAAATCTGCAATGGTAATATTTCATTCTTCACTTTTATCGACAAAAGTGTTTAAAGGGAGAGTCCTTTAAATTGCTCTTCTCTCTGGGGTTATTTATTCATTGATTCATGGTTAAAAACAACAAAACAAAATGCGTGAGAATTTCTATAATGGGGCTAAAAACCAAAATTTCTTATTTGCATTTAAAAAAAAACAGGAATAAGGAAGAGAAAGAAGGGAGCATATGTAATGAGGAGACATGGACAGACAAATTTAAAATATCTTAAATGCCTCTCAGTGACAGCCAGTTCCTTCATTAGAGGCTTTTTATTTACAATCCTAGAAAAATATTAATAGCAAGCAATTTTTCAATTGGCCTAATCACATTTCATCCTTTGCCACACAAGCAAAGAATCAAAGCACACTTGAGAGCAAAGAAAAACAAAATTCAAAGTGAAAAATATTTTTTTTTCTTAACAAATTATGGGCTGGGCGCAGTGGCTCACGCCTGTAATCTCAGCACTTTGGGAGGCTGAGACGGGTGGATCACGAGGTCAGGAGATCGAGACCATTCTTGCTAACACAGTGAAACCCCGTCTCTATTAAAAATACACAAAATTAGCCGGGTGTGGTGGCGGGTGCCTGTAGTCCCAGCCACTCGGGAGGCTGAGGCAGGAGAAGGGTGTGAACCTGGGAGGCGGAGCTTGCAGTGAGCCGAAATCACGCCACTGCACTCCAGCCTGGGCGACAGAGCGAGACTCCTTCTTAAAAACAAAAACAAAAACAAAAAAACACAAATTATGTACACAAATATGAACTCTGTGTTATACTAAGTTTGAGAAGTTAGTAAGAAAAGACTATACCTGAGATATATGGCCCTGGGCTTTTGCAAGCTGAGTTGTTCGAATATTTAAAGACTGGCTTCTTGTAACAGTTGCCACAGAAAGGGATTTTCCATTCACCTTTCTTTCAAGATGACAATTTGCTGTCGATCTCTCTTCAAGAAGAACAGCATCCCAAGGATCCTTTGCTAGCAAACTTGAAACATTTTTCTCTTCCTCATGGTCTAATACCTCCACATTATCCACCTTAGGCTTACTTAGAGGATCCAAGTCTAACCAGTCAAATTTACTGATATCCTCAGACTTTGGAGATACCTGTAGATTGCTGACTTTTGAATCTGTTATCTCCAAATCAGTCCTTGCTTTCCCATTTTTTAAAAATTCTGATGTACTAGCTATTTTGTCAAATAGTTTTGCCATGTCAGTACTGACTACTGGACGATAGATAGGTAAGCTTCCTTGTGGATGAAAGGGTGTGGCAGGTGTCAAAGGATATGAGAAATATGGAGATTGTCCCGGAAGACTTAAATATATAGGTTCTGTAGATGGAAAAGTGGGCATTCTTGGATTGAAGCCATTTTGGAATGCAGCCTGTTTACTGTAAGTAGAAGGATAAATAGAAGGTAAAGCATAAGTGGAAGGCCCAGGTAATCCAGGTGGCCACTGTCCTCTCTGAATAGTAGGTCTAAAATAGAGCTGTGCTGAAAAGGAAGGGCTCAGAATAGGAGTAACTGGTAATACAGGTGTTTTTTTAGTCTCGAAACTGTCATCCAGCAATAGTTTCTCAAGTTCAGCTTGGGTGAGCTTTTCTACATCAATATCTAATGCTCTTTTTTGGGAATCTGATTCAGGAAACACCATGAGATCATAATCCTGCTTGTTATAAACCTGTGCTTTTTTTCTGGTGCTGCTTGACAACTCAAAGCCTCTCTGATTGTCAGTCACTTGTCTATCCTTTTGCAGTTTTGCTAAAGCCTCTGCTTCCATCTGTAATGCTTCTTCTTTGTCCACATCTTTTGCTCTTGTTGGTTCCGGATGTGAAGATGGACATTCTTTAAATCCGCTGTTGCTAGATATCTGAGCCATGTCCACTAAAAAGACCAAACCTTCCTTCCTCTATTTTTTTCTTGTAGCTTCCAAAATAGCAAGGCCTATACATAAAAATAAACATAACACTCAATTAGATTTCTAAACATAAATATATTTTGTTTGCAACCTACCCCATATGACTTTGGACTTTAAGCCACTTAGAAAAATATACTACAAAATAAACAAAATAAAACAGATAAAATCTGGGTGAAGGAACACTTAACACCTTATACACTGTTGGGTTACAGAAGATGTTCAGATACACATTACTTTAACCCCATTTCCTGACACAACTGGAAAGCTGGCACAGTAAATGAACTTTAGACGCTTTCATTTTAGCAGTCAAAATGGCTGCCATTAACCAGTGGTACTTCTGGCAGAATTCTTAGCATGAAATGACTTAAGTGCTAGTCACATATTTTCAACAGTTCAGACAGGGTTTACCAATATGCAGAAATAGCAAGTCAAAATGGTTTTTGATCTTTTGCTATTTGTTAAATTGCTCAAAAGCCAATTAGCAATAAAAACATCCAATACCTAGTCAATAAAACAGGAAACTATTATTTTATCAAAATACTATGTGCAAAACTGATAAAGGTTTAATAATCTTCCAGAAATATTAAAAATGTATAATGTAACATGGATTTGAATAATAAGACAAAGTGTTAAGGCTTATTAGAAGTTCTGAGGCAATATTTCACTCAAAGATTAAATTATAGCTGAATTGGCCATATAGTTTTAATTACATTTCTATTCTGATTCTCTGCAGTTAAATCAATAGTTATAATACCAAAATTTCTCCTTTTCAAAATCCTTAAATATTTTTATTCTTCACGAAAAGATGAGAAGATAATTTTTAAACTTTGTCATAGTTTAGCTTATAAAAATTTATACTCCTCTATTTAAGACAAACACTTAATTCAGACCAAGATTACCCTGTGAAGCAATACGACCAACTGAAAGGTTGCTTAGCTACTCTGTAACACCGAGCACATTTCCTGCTTCTAATCAATATGATAAAAGGGTTAAATATGGATTCTGGAGTCACATCACCTTAGTTTAAGAAGGTATATGACTGGCCGGGCTCGGTGGCTCACACCTGTAATCTCAGCACTTTGGGAGGCCGAGGTGGGCAGATCACAAGGTCAGGAGATCGAGACCATCCTGGCTAACACAGTGAAACCCCGTCTCTACTAAATATACAAAAAATTAGCCGGGCATGGTGGCGGGCACCTGTAGTCCCAGCTACTCAGGAGGCTGAGGCAGGAGAATGGCATGAACCCGGGAGGCGGAGCTTGCAGTGAGCCGAGATCACGTCACTGCATTCCAGCCTGGGCGACAGAGAGAGACTCCGTCTCAAAAAAAATAAAAAGAAGGTATATGACCTTGGGCAAATGAAAACTTTTCTGTATGTCTTAGTTTCCTAATTTTTAAAATAAAAAAGTATCAATCTAAATTAGTACACAAACTAAATGAAATAATACACATAAAAGTGCCTCTCATTGGCCTTGGGCATAAGCATTAAATAAATGGTACGTATTATTAATCTAATCTGGTTTGTGATACATCCAGTTTAAATACCTAGAAAGCAAGAGAGCTCCTGTTTACATTCTATGGTCTTTCTTTCTAGCAAACACAATGCTTGTCTACCGTATATGCTCAATATATACGTGAGACAAGGAGGTAGGGAAAAACCCAAAATAAATTCAAATTAGTATAATACAAATGAAAATCCTAAGTGTTGAGGTAATACTAAACAAAAAAAAAAATTTTTACTAAGGAGGTCATGAAGAAAGAGGAATTCAAAGAATGTCCTTGGAATGTTCTTAGTGTATTATTTTGCAATTCCTTCATACAACTATTTTCCCTTCTGTGGTAGACTACAAAGCATGGGCACAATGTATATTTAAAATATACACACTTTACTGTATGTAAACTTTATATCAAAAGAAAAAGCTGTAAATATGGAACTCTTGCTACATATGCACAAAGCACTTAGAGGAAAGTACTAATGTCTACAATTTACTTTGTTGTTCTTGTCGTTTAGAGATGGGGGAGGTCTCATTATGTTACCCAGGCTGGTCTTGAACTCCTGGCCTCAAGCAAGCCTCCTGCCTCAGCTGGGATTACAGGCATGATCCACTGTGCCTGGCTCTTACAATTTACTTTGAAATGCATTTTTTTTAAAAGGTAAACTAATGGATAGCAGGATAGATGGATAAATATGTGATTAGACAGGTATAGAAAAATGTTAATAGTAGAATCTAGGTGATACAAATATGAGTATTCACTTTGAAATTCTTTTAACTTGGTTGCCAAGACTGAAAATTTTCAAAATAAAAGGCTGGATAGTAGGGAATAGGAGGAGCACAAATTCCTCCCATTTCAACACATACTCCCACTACTTGGGATGTGATTTTCTTGTTCCTCTCATAAAGAGGAGGGATCTATTTCTTTACTCTCTTGAGCTAAGCGGGCCTTATGACTTGGCTTTTACCAATGAAATGGAAGTGACACTGTGGGAATAGGAGTTCCAAATCTAGGTCCTAAGAGGCTTTACTACCTCAGTTCTTTGTCTCTTGAAATGCAGCCACTGCTATGTGAATGCTCACTGAGGATGAGAGGGGCCAGCTAACAGCCAGCACCAACCACCAAACATGTGAGTGAAGCCACCATCTTAGACCATCCATCCACACTCCAGATGACCACAACTCCATGAGTGACTGAAGGTGAGACCAGCAGAAGAAATCACCAAGCTGAGCTAAAGCCAAATTGATAACCCACAGAATCATTTTGGAATGATTCTGTTACATAGCAATAGATAACTGATAAACTTTTTCTTATTAGTTTTAGAAAACAAAGCGCAAGCCATTTTTACTATTTAGCAACAAACTTCTGTTTTAACTTCCACCACCACCTTCCTTCACTTATCCTCAGGGAACAAACGGTTTTCTTTTCCTTTCTAAGGCGACTTCCTCCATGTGTATCCTTAACCTTAGATTTCTAAACATAAATGTATTTTCCCCTCCACTTCATCATCAATGATTACCCTCCACTTCATCATCGGTGATTACCTCCTTTGCATTGTTAACTTATTTACTTGCTTAGGGTCCTGTGCCACAAAAAAGCTTAAGTCTTCTCCATATTGAAGGGGGGGAAATCTTAACATTCCCGTTTAGATTCCAGTAGCTTCCATTTTAATTTTCTTTTTTCACTGTCAAACTTCTCCAATGAGGGACCTACAGAATCTTTTCTTTACACATTCTGCCTTGGAAAAACTCTACTTGTCCTTCAGGGCCCAATTCAAATACTGTCTCCTCTCTTTAGCCTTCCCTAAGCAGCTCTTATCAGAATTCATCTTTTTAGATCAACCAAAACATTTTTATCACAGCTTTCTCTTCTTCACTTCTGTAGACCTTTTGCTGTTTTTGCCTATCAACATCTTTGCTTCTGGTTGCAGAACCTACGGCTTCCATTTTGGAGACTGATCTCCCTTTATCCCACATAGTTAATTAAAATAGAACTGGCCATTTCTACCCTTGTCCCCCATTCCCATCCACTCCAGAGGATCCAAATATGGCCCATCAGAGTTAACTCCTGGACTTCTGCTGAAACTATTTGGAAAGAAAGCTTTTCTTTGAGCTTACTAAACTCAGATATAAGCCTGGCCCTGCTGTGGCCGTCTTTGTCACCACTTGAGGAGATAATGCCTAAAAATGAATCCAATCCAGAAGAAAGCAGAGCTAAGATAAAACGAAGAAAGACAGATTCTGGCTAATATTACACTGGCATCTGGATCCAACTAAGCCCAAAGCCAACCTTTCATTTATGCAGGCCAGTAAGTCTCCCTTTTTGCTTAAGCCAGTTTAAAATGAGTTTCTGCCATAACAAAAAATGTCCTGATTAACACAGAATCTGTGAACCTATGTGTCTACCCAACAGACTAAAATAAGCTTAAGTGCAAAGGCCTACTTGTTTATTTTTGGAGTTCCCCACAACATTTAAAAGTACCTTGCTTAATGAATAAGAAACTTAATTTACTGAACACGTGGGGTTTGTTTGTTTGTTTGTTTGTTTAGACAGAGTCTCATTCTGTTGCTCAGACTGGAGTGCAGTGGCACAGTCTCGGCTCACTGCAACCTCTGCCTCCTGGGTTCAAGCGATTCTCCTGCCTCAGCCTCCCGAGTAGCTGGGATTACAGGCGCTCGCCACCACACCCGGCTAATTTTTGTATTTTTAGTAGAGACCAAAAAGTTTAGTAGAGACTAATAGCGTTTTGCCATGTTGGCCAGGCTGGTCTTGAACTCCTGACCTCAAGTGATCCACCTGCCTCGGCCTCCCAAAGTGCTGGGATTACAGGCGTGAACCACCTCACCTGGCTGAACATGTGTTTTAACAAGAGGGAGTGAGGGCTATTGGACAGTCTTAAAGAAGGCATTTCTAATGGCACAAGAGTATGGATATATGGTAGGAAAAATAAATCAAGTGTAATCACCTATTGTGGAACACCAAAGTATACTGCCTATTTTTCACAAAATTAGATGTATTAAAACAAAACAGCGGCCGGGCGCGGTGGCTCACGCCTGTAATCCCAGCACTTTGGGAGGCCGAGGCGGGCGGATCACGAGGTCAGGAGATCGAGACCATCCTGGCTAAAACGGTGAAACCCCGTCTCTACTAAAAAAAAAAATACAAAAAAATTAGCCGGGCGTAGTGGCGGGCGCCTGTAGTCCCAGCTACTTGGGAGGCTGAGGCAGGAGAATGGCGTGAACCCGGGAGGCGGAGCTTGCAGTGAGCCGAGATCCCGCCACTGCACTCCAGCCTGGGCGACAGAGCGAGACTCCGTCTCAAAAAAAAAAAAAAAACAAAACAGCAGCCACGCAGTGGCTCACACCTGTAATCCCAGCACTTTGGGAGGCTGAGGCAAGTGGATCACCTGAGGTCAGGAGTTCAAGACCAGCCTGGCCAACATGGTGAAACCCCATCTCTACTAAAAATACAGAATTTAGCTGGGTGTGGTGGCACGCCAGGCCTGTAATCCCAGCTACTCAGAAGGCTGAGGCAGAAGAATCCCTTGAACCCTGGAGGCAGAGATGGCAGTGAGCCAAGGTCACCATTGCACTCCAGCCTTGGCAACAAGAGTGAAACTCTGTCTCAAAAAAAAATAAAATAAAATAAAAAATAAAAAAATAGCATTTTACAAAGAGAAAGGCTACGTAGATATAATTCATCTTCCACAAGCATAATGCCAATTTGTTATTTAAGTATTCTCCTTGTTGCCACATCTGGTAATGAACAATGTAACACTATTCTGAAAGAAGGATCTAGATTTTTTAAAATTAGTTTACAATAATTTATTCACAGGAGAATACACTTGTTCTAAGTATTTCAAATGAATGTTAACTCTCATTTACTGATAAAGATATAAAATTAATCATCTGAAATATATTTTAATAGTGAGTATGGGTTTTTCTCACATCACCAATGTATTTGCTTGCTCTATTTCTAGTACCAACACCCAAAGTAGTATATGCTAAAGTAAATTCAACTCTAAGTAGTAAAAGTGAGCTGATTGCTACCAGCTAAGTTACCATATTTAAGTTTTCCAAGAGGTTATCATGCATGTATACTAAAATGGCAATAAAAGGACTTAACAGATTGTCCAAAAGTAACCCTGTGCTTCAGCTGTTTTTCTGGGGCTGCTGCATTGACATGCTCCATTAATTTTTTAAAATAAAACTTCATTTGATGACAAACATTTAGCAGGAAATAATTTCCTACATCCTAATTCAAAATGAAAACTTCAATGCTAATGTTCCCCTAATTCAAGCTGAGAAAGACAATATAACTAGTATTTGAATGAGGCCTGCACATCATCTGCCAAAATTTTCTCAACATAAAGTAACCCAGTGAAGATCACAAGGCTGTAGCTACTTTAAAATTCTTCAAAAGTGGGTAATTAAACTATTTAGTTAAACGTTTAGACACCATTTGCATATCCCAAAACAGAAGAATTAATTTAAAAGTTCTTGGCTTCTTCTGTGTTAGACAGTCATTTACAATTTAAATTTAAACCCCAGAAAACAGAAAAAAGCAAGTTGGTGCTGCTACCCATCTAAATGTTTTCCTGATCTTAAAATTTCAAGACAACTAAGAAAACTAAAAAAGAATTATTTGAGTTGAACAATACAGATATTTGTCCCCCCAAATGAATATAAACCTTAAAGGAAAATAAATTAGGGTACTTCCATGGAACTGATTTTTTTTTTTTTTGTGGGGGACAGAGTCTCACTCTGTCGCCCAGGCTAGAGTGCAATGGTGCGATCTCGGTTCACCACAACCTCTGCCTCCCGGATTCAGGGAATTCTCCTGCCTCAGCCTCCTGAGTAGCTAGGATTACAGGTGCCCACCACCATGCCCGGCTCATTTTTGTTTTTTTTTTAGTAGAGATGGGGTTTCACCATGTTGGCCAGGCTGGTCTCAAACCCCTGACCTCAGGTGATCCACCCGCCTCAGCTTCCCAAAGTGCTGGGATTACAGGTGTGAGCCACTGAGCCCAGCTGGAACTGAATATTATACCACCATTAAAAATAAAATCATGGGCTGGGCGAGGTGATTCTTAAACTTTGGGAGGCTGAAGTGGGAAGACTGCTTGAGCCCAGGAGTACCAGACCAGCCTGGGCAACATGGCCAGACCCTATCTCTGTAAATAAATAAATATATAAATTTTAAAAATTAAAAAAAAAAGATTATGGGCTGAGTATGGCAGCTCAGGCCTATGATCCCAGCACTTTGAGGCTTTGAGAGGCCAAGGCAGGAGCATCACTTCAGGTCAAGAGTTCGAGACCAGCGTGGGCAACATAGCCAGACCCCTATCTCTACCAAAAAAGAGTTATTTGGATGTGTTGGAGCATGCCTGTAGTCTCAGCTACTCAGGAGACTGAGGTGGGAGGAACACTTGAGCCCAGGTGTTCAAGGTTAGAGTGAGCTATGATTGTGTCACTGCACTCCAGCCTGGGGGACAGAATGAGTTTCTGTCTCTAAAAAATAAAACAAAAACCAAACAAAAATAAAATAATTATGACTGCAGTCAACCATGGAAAGTATCTGATAAAACTGCAGCAAATATCTGCATATCTCTATCTATGTATAGAGATATATAGATACTATATGCCAAACATTGCTTTAAGCAATGTATTAACTAATTTAATCCTCACAAATTTTATAAAGTAGCTATTAGTATCCCTAGTATACAAATGAAGAAATTTAAGCATACAAGTTATGTAATCTGCTCAGTCTCACAGCAGCTAGCAAGTGGTGAAATCAGGACTCAATTTCAGGCAGTACTAATTCTCCACAATGCACTTTAAAGTTATCTGGGTAAGTGTCTAAATTAGTATAATTTACCCACTATAAATATCAACTTTCATCTTCAATCATAAGGTTATTTTATTTTAATAAATTTGTTTCTTTTAATTATATCATGAGGTAATTAATACTACTATTTAGTTATAACATGTACCAATTTATCAGTTAATTTATCATCACCAGATGACTAGCAAATTTGTAATTTCACTGAGGGCAAGAACTTTTTCTCATCTTCTACTCTCAAACTTCTAATGCAGTTGAATGAATGGATCAATGACTAGAGAACATAAGACACCATTCCTTTTATCAAAGAGAAGCTCAAATTCTGAAACAGAAAAAACAGGCTAAAATGACTCATTAATAATTCAAACTTTACTAAAAAATAACATGGTTGAGTTTAGAATAAACAAGTGGGGTGGGGGAGCAGATTATCTTAAAAACTAGGAGGGAGATGGTAATAGAAAACTAAAAGTAAAAGTTGTTCCATCTCTGTTAAAAGGAAAAACCCCAGTACATGACAAGATAATATTCTCATATCTCTACTGATTCATGGAAGGAAAAAATGTCATCTGATGAAAGAAACCAAGTACTCTGGTGTTAGGAACTATAAAAATTTGTCACAAAGACAAAAATAAAAGAATGTCCAGGTATTTGATGTGATTCGGTTACAGCGACGCTGTCCAAAAGAAACAGAATGAGGCCAGTAGCGATGGCTCATGCCTGTAATCCCAGCACTTTGGGAGGCCAAGGCAGGTGGATCACCTGAGGACAGGAGTTTGAGACCAGCCTGGCCAGTATGGTGAAACCTTGTCTCTACTGAAAATACAAAAATTAGCTAGGCATAGTGGTGGGTGTCTGTAATCTCAGCTACTCCCAAGGCTGAGGAAGAAGAACTGCTTGAACCCTGGAGGTGTATGTTGCAGTGAGCCGAGATCATGCCACCACACTCCAGCCTGGGCAACAGAGTGAGACTCCATCTCAAAAAAAAAAAAAAAAAAAAGAAAAAAAAAATTGCATGTCACATATAATTTAAAATTTTCTACAGCTACATTAATGAAAAAAGACATATTTAATCTATCAAAAATATTGTCATTTTAACAGGTAATATAAAAATATGAAATATTTTATGATTTTAAAAAACACAATGTCCTTGAAATCTGTGCATATTATGCATTAGCACATCTCAATTTGGACTAGTTACATTTCAAGTGCTCAGCAGACAAAGGTATCTAGTGAACAGTGCAAGGTTAGAGTTTATGAAGAGAGAAACAGGAACAAAAAACATGGTGAACAAGTATCATTGCTTTCTGGGTGGTAAGGAAAAATTTATCTTCCCCACAGTCATCTCTTTCCATACGCCAATAAAATACCTCAAATTCCTGTTATTCTGGGGGAGAACAAAATTTTATTTTTATTTTTTTAAGTCCCACAGATAACTTACTGTCTTATTTATTATCTACTTTTTTTTGAGACAGAGTCTTGCTCTGTCGCCCAGGCTGGAGTGCAGTGGCGCAGTCTCAGTTCACTGCAACCTCCACTTCCCAGCCTCCAGAGTAGCTGGGATTACAGGCGCTAGCCACCACACCTGGTTGATTTTTGAATTTTTTTTTTTTTTTTTTTTTTTTTTTGAGACGGAGTCTCGCTCTGTCGCCCAGGCCGGACTGCGGACTGCAGTGGCGCAATCTCAGCTCACTGCAAGCTCCGCTTCCCGGGTTCACGCCATTCTCCTGCCTCAGCCTCCCGAGTAGCTGGGACTACAGGCGCCCGCCACCGCGCCCGGCTAATTTTTTGTATTTTTAGTAGAGACGGGGTTTCACCTTGTTAGCCAGGATGGTCTCCATCTCCTGACCTCATGATCCACCCGCCTCGGCCTCCCAAAGTGCTGGGATTACAGGCGTGAGCCACCGCGCCCCCGCTGATTTTTGTATTTTTAGTAGAGATGGGGTTTCACCACGTTGGTCAGGCTGGTCTCAAACTCCTGACCTCAGGTAATCCGCCCATCTCAGCCTCCCAAAATGCTGGGATTACAGGTGTGAGCCACCGCACCTGGCCTATTTATTTATTTTGAAGACAGGGTCTAGCTCTGTTGCGCAGGCTGAAGTGCAGCGGCTCGATCATAGCTCACCGTAACCTAGAACTCCTGGGCTCAAGCAATCCTTTTGCCTTAAACTCTTGAGCAGCTGGGACTACAGGCATGTACTACTACATCCAACTAATTTTTAAATTTTTTATAGAGACAGGGTCTCACCGTGTTGCCCAGGCTGGTCTCAAACTCCTGGCTCAAAGCAATCCTCTCACCTGAGCCTCCCAAAGCACTGGGATTACTGGCAGAAACCATTGTACCTGGCCAACCTACAGCCTTTAAATGAGGTCTTATCCTTTATAACTTTTTAATTTTTAAAGTACATACTTTCTAATTACCTTAATATTCTAGATTTAGAAAACTTAACATTTTAGAGAGAAATGTGTTCACAATCAACCACATAGGATAAGTTACAAAAAGATTAAATTTTTAAAAATAGAGACAAGGTCTCACTCTATCACTGAAGCTGAAGGGCAGTGACATCATCATAGCTCACTGTAATCTCAAACTCCTAGAGGCTCAAGGGATCCTCCTGCCTCAGCCTCCCGAGTAGCTGAGATTACCAGTATAACCAGGCCTGGCTAATGTTTTCATTTTTTGTAGAGACAGGGTCTGGTTATATTGCCCAGGCTGATCTCGAACTCCTAGCCCTACGTGATCTCACCTCAGCCTCCCAAATCACTGGGATTACAGTGTGAACCATTGTCCTGGCTCTATATCAGTGTAAAGAAATTCTATCATGAAAACAAGACAACATAGAATTGCTTTGTAACCTCAGCATAAAGGCCTCCTAATATGACTCAAAATCTAGAAGCCATATGTAAAAGATTCAAGCACATAAACATCTTTTAAAATAACTTTTGTTTGGCAAAAAAGCACCAATGAATGTATTCATTTCCTCAGTAAATATTTATTGGGTGTATACTATGCATCAAGCACTGCTGCAGGCAATGAAAAGCTAAAATAAAAATAACTGAACCAAGCCTGGGCAATGTGGTGAATCCTTAACTCTATGAAAACAATATATATATAAAAATCAGCAGGGCGTGGTGGCACATGTTACTCGGGAGTCTGAGATGGGAAGACTGCTTGAGCCCAGGGGGTCAAGGCTGCAGTGAGCTAAGATCGTGCCACTGTATTCCACCCTGGGCCACAGAGCCAGACTCTCTGTCAAAAATAAATAAATAAAAACAATAGAACCATAAAAATGTCAGTGAAAAGCAATAAACCAAGAAAAAATTTTTGCTATTCCTATCACAAAGAGCTAATCTTTCTAATACATTAAAAAGAACTACTAGAAAACAAAACAACAACAACAACAACAACAAAAAACAAAAAAAAAAAGGCTAGGCGCAGTGGCTCACACCTGTAATCCCAGCATTTTGGGAGACTGAGACAGGTGGATCACCTGAGGTCAGGAGTTCGAGACCAGCCTGACCGACATGGAGAAACCCCATCTGTACTAAAAATACAGAAATTAGCCAGATGTGGTGGCGCACACCTGTGATCCCAGCTACTCAGGAGGCTGAGGCAGGAGAATCACTTGAACCCGGGAGGCAGAGGTTGCAGTGAGCCAAAATTGTGCCACTGCATTCCAGCGGATACCCTCATTTCAGACTACGGTCACAAGTAGTGGGTTCCTATATTACTTGTACTGTTTTGGACTTGCCTTCAAATCAAGGGTTCCCATGAACCCAACTCAGGTTTTATAATTTGCTAGAATGGTTCACAAAACTCAGGTGGAGTTTACTTATTACTGACTTATTATAAAGGATACAACTCAGGAACAGCCAAATGGAAGAGTTTACTTATTACTGACTTATTATAAAGGATACAACTCAGGAACAGCCAAAGGGAAGAGATGCATAGGGCAAGGTATTAGAGGTGGCGGGACAGAACTTCCATACCCTTTCTGGACACTATCTCCCGGCACCTCTATGTGTTCACCAACCCAGAAGCTCTCCAAACCCTGTCATTTAAGGGTTTTAATGGAGGCTTCATTATATAGACATGGTTGATTAAGTCTCTGGCCATTGGTAATTGGTCTCTAGCACTTCTCCCCTCCCTAACCCTCTAATCATGTTTTGGTCTTTCAGGCAACCAACACCCATCCTGAAGTTATCTAAGAGCCCCCAGTCACCAATCATCTGATTTTTTTTTTTATTATAACACAGTTCACTCAATGGAATTCTATATAGCAATGCAAATGGATCCACTAGAGTTGTACAATAAAACTTAGAAACAGGTTGAGCAACTGAAAGACAGAAAACACACACATATACACACACGTAAGGCGCTGGGTGTGGCATGCCCGTAGTCCCAGCTACTTGGGAAGCTGTGGTAGGAAGATCCCTTGAGCCCAGGAGTTCAACACCAACCTGGGCAACATGGTGAGATCCCATTTTTAAATATATATATATATATATATATATATATATATATATATATATATATATATATATATACACACACACACACACACACACACACACACACACAAACACACACACACGATTTGATTCATATAAAGTTCAAAAACATGAAAAACTATTTTATTTAAGAATGCTTACATTATGGCAAAACTGTGAAGGAAATGATTATCAAAAGTTAGAATAGCCGGGCACAGTGGCTCACACCTGTAATCCCAGCACTTTGGGAGGCCAAGGCGGGTGGATCACTTGAGGTCAGGAGTTCGAGACCAGCCTGACCAACATGGAGAAACCCCATCTCTACTAAAAATATAAAAAATCAGCCAGGCGTGGTGGCACATGCTTGTAATCCCAGCTACTTGGGAGGCTGAGAAAGAGAATCGCTTGAACCTGGGAAATGGAGGTTGCGGTTAGCCAAGACCGTGCCATTGTACTCCAGGCTGGGCAACAAGAGTGAAACTCTGTCTCAAAAAAAAAAAAAAAAGTTAGAATAGTAGTTACTCACAAAGTTATAATCAGAAAGAAATATAGTGGGGACTTTGGGGTACTAGCAATGTTCTGCTTCCTAACCTAGTGACTGGTTACCCAAGTATGTATTTATAATTATTTGTTAAATAATCATATATGATTTGTGCACTTTTCTGTGCGTTACTTAACCATAAAGAATAATCTACTCTTGGCTGGGTGCAGTGACTCACAAAACACATTGGGAGGCTGAGACAAGAGGAGCCCAGGAGTTTGAGACCAGCCTAAGCAACATGGCAAAACCCCATCTCTACACAAATTTTAAAAATTAGCTAGGCATGGTGGCGCATGCCTGTAGTCCCAGCTACTCTGGAGGCTGACAGGTAGGAGCATCACTTGAGCCCAGCAAGTTGAGGCTGCAGTGAGTCAAGATCATTCACTGTACTTCAGCCTGGACGACAGAACAAGACCCTGTCTCAAAAAAAAAAAAAAAAAAAGTTCGACTTGGAAAGTTTATCTTTTAGTGATAACATTAAAAAATACAAATAAAAGCTATACTGTCCCCCTTTCATTTGCCAATCTAGAGGCTAAATTAAGGAGACTGCTGTCACTCATTAAGAGACATGGGGAAAGGATAAGACTATAACAAACTTTATAAAATAGAGTTTCTCAAATGTTCATCATCTGTGAATTAATGAGCACTGCACATAACATGATCAATTTATGTAAAACATTCACTGCATTTTTATTTATTTATTTATGTATTTTTGAGACAGGTTCTCACTCTGTCGCCAGGCCGAAGTGAAGCAGCATGATCACAGTTCACTGCAGCCTCGACCTCCCAGGCTCAGGTAATCCTCCCACCTCAGTCTCCAGAGTAGCTGGAACTACAGGTATGCATCACTATACCTGGCTAAGTTTTGTATTTTTTGTAGAGATGAGGTTTTGCCATGCATGTTGCCCAGGCTGGTCTCAAACTCCTAAGTTCAAGCAATCCACCTGCCTTGGCTTCCCAAAGTGCTGGGATTACAGACATGAGTCACCACGCTCTGCCTCACTGCATTTTAAAATACAAGTAAAACATTAAAAAATGAATGCAGTAGTTCCCCCTTATCCACAGTTTCTCTTTCCAAGGTTTCAGTCACCCACAGTCAAAGGTGGTCCAAAAATATTAAATAGAAAATTCCAGATATCAACAATTCATAAGTCTTAAACAACTTTTATGAAAGTATACTGTTATAATTATTCTATTATTACTTATTGTTATTCTCTTACTGTGCCTAACTTATAAATTAAACTTTACTGGCCAGGCACAGTGGCTCACATCTGTAATCCCAGAACTTTGGGAGGCCAAGGTGGGTGGATCACCTGAGGTCAGGAGTTTGAGACCAGCCTGGCCAACATGGTGAAACCCCGTCTCTACTAAAAATACAAAAATTAGCCGGGCGTGGTGTGGTGGCACACGTCTGTGATCCCAACTTCTTGGGAGGCTGAGGCAGGAGAATCCCTTGAACCTGGGAGGCAGAGGTTGCAGTGAGCTGAGATCGTGCCACTGCACTCCAGCCTGGGCAACAGAAAGAAACTGTAAAAAAACAACAAAAAAAAAGAAAACCACTTTATCGTAAGTTATGTACATATAGGAAAAAACACAGTATAGTCATGTACCACATGACACTCCAGCCAACAGCAGACCATATATATGACAGTGGGCCCTCAGGATTATAATGGGCCAGGTGCAGTGGCTCACACCTGTAGTCCCAGCACCCTCCCTTTGGGAGGTCGAGGAGTGGGGTATGCTTAAACCCAGCAGTTTGAGACCAACCTGAGCAACATAGTGAGAACCCTCTTTAAAAAAAAAAAAAAAAAATTAGCCAGGCATGGTGGCACATGCCTGCAATTCTAGCCACTCAATTTCAGCTCTTTGGGAGGCTGAAGTAGGACACTCACTTGAGACCAGGAGTTTGAAGTTACAGTGAGTTATATGATCATGCCACTGTACCTCTTGCCTGAGCACAGAGTAAGATCCTGTCTCTAAAAAGAAAAAAGATTATAATGTTATAACAGAGATGAAAAACTCCTAGTAATATTTCCTATATTTTTCATTGTTACTTTATAGTACACTCCTTCTACTTTAAAAAAAAAAAAAAGTTAACTGTAAAACAGCCTCAAGTAGGTCCTTCAGGAGGTATTTCAGAAGACGGCATTGTTATCCTAGGAGATGACAGCTCCATGCATATTATGGCCCCTGAGGACTTCCAGTGAAACAAGATGTGGAGATGGAAAACAGCTGTATTGATTATCCTGACCTTGTGTAGGCCTAGGCTGCCATGTGTGTTTGTGTCTTAGTTTTTAACAAAAAAGTTTACAAAGTAAAAAAAAATTTAAAATTTAAAAAATAGAAAATAGCCGCTTGTAGAATAAGGATATAAAGTATTTTTGTATAGCTGTACTATGTTCTTATATGTTATTACAAAAGCGTCAGAAGTTAAAAAAAATTAAAAAGTTTATAAAGTAAAAAGGTTACAGTAAGCTAAGGTTAATTTATTACTAAGGAAAGAAAAATGGCTGGGGATGGTGTCTCATGCTTATAATCCCAGCACTTTGGGTGGCCAAGAGGAGAGGATCCTTAAGCCCAGGAGCTTGAGACCAGCCTGGGCAATGTAGCGAGATCACCTTTCTCAACTACAAAAAGTTTAAAAAATAATTAGCCGAGTGTGGTGGCACACACCTATATTCCTAGCTACTCAGGAGGCTGAGGTGGGAGGATCATTTGAGCCTAGGACTTCCAGGCCACAGTAAGCTGTGATCACACCATTGCACTAGCCTGATCAACAGAGTGAGACTGTCTAAAAAAGATTTTTTTTTTTAATTAAAAAGAAAAAAATATATATTTTTACAAATTTAGCATAGTACATGTACAGTGTTTATAAAATCTACAGTAGTATACAGTAATGTCCTAGGCCTTTGCATTCACTCACTATTCACTCATTGACTCACCCAGAGCAATTTCCAGTCCTGCAAGCTTCACTCATACTTAAGTGCCCTACACAGGTACATTTTTAAATCTTTTATACCATATTTTTACTGTGCCTTTTCTATGTTTAGATACGCAAATACTTAACAATTGTTGCAATTGCCTACAGTATTTAGTAAAATAACATGCTATAGTATGTACAGCATTTAATATATGTACAGCAATATGTCATAAAGTTTGTAGCCTAAGAGCAAAAGGCTATATACTACATACCCTAGGTGTGTAGTAGATTACACCATCAAGATTTAAGTTCTTGCTATGACATTCACACAATGACAAAATTGCCTACTGATGCATTTCTTAGAACATATCCCAGCCATTAAGCAACACATGACTGTACACATAGGGTTTGGTACTATCCGAAGTTTTAGGCATCCACTGGGGATCTTGGAACATATCCTACTAAGGAAAAGGTGGGGAAACTACTATAGTAAGATATTACAATCAGTGAGAGAAATGATTATACACTCTCATCATTGTATGCATAGGTAGTAAATTTACTTATTTCTATTATATTAGAAAATTCTAATTCAGTTATAGCTTATCAGGAAGGCAACAACATTTAGTGGTCACTATATCAGATACTTACAGGCTCTATCTTCAAAATATTTCTGAACCTAAACATTTCTTCATTACGTTCTCAATACCATCCTAGACCAATTAATCATCATCTCTTGTTCTTTCCTGGATTATTGAAATAGCCTTCCCCAAACTGTTTCCCTGCTACATTTATAACCCCTCCTTTCCCCACCTTCAGACTATCCTCAACACAGTAGCTGGAGTGATCTTGAAAAACCTAGAACTTGTCACTCCTCTGCACAGAATTTTCAATAGCTCCTAACTCATTCAGAGAAAAGGTACAATCTTTACAATGGCCCACCAGGCACACTAATATTTGGCCCCCCATTATCTCCCTCCTGTAACTGTGCACTGCTTCCATCACACTGGCCCCCTTGTTGTTCCTCAACACCTTATGCTCCCAACTCAGGGCCTCTGCTCTTCTGTTACCTCTGACTAGACTGTTCCGCTGAATCACTGAATGGCTTAATCCCTCGCTTCCTTCAAGTCTTCATTGAAAAGGTGACACTTGTGTAAAGTCCTCCCTGATAACCAAGTTAAAACTGCAATTTTCTCCAACTCCACTGCCTATCACCTTACCTTAATTTTCTCCTTAGCATTTACTACCATCTAGTATACTATATATTTACTTATTTATTTTGTTTATTGCCTGCATTTCCCCCTCTAGGCTATAAATTCCATGAAGCTGGGATTTATTTGTCTGGTTTACTGCTATATTCCCAGCACTCTAGTCCTGGAATAACAAAGCTTTCATTCAAGTAGTTGTTAAACAAATAGGTGAAATTAATATGGAACAAAAATATCACATTCAAAATGAGTATTTTAACCTAAGAGATATAATAAAGAGATACAATAGATTTTTAACCCCCTCTTGTTGCATTCATTTTTAAAGTATTTAGAAGCCATCTTAAATGTGCCAAATAATATGCCGTCAATTTCTTCCTCTAAGGGAAAAAAATCCATATGTATATCTCGGAATTCTTCTTCAGAGCCACATGGCCCTTTTTAGTCAGACCAAAACACATTCCTATTTTGAAGTAATTGTGAGAAATACAGTTCATGTCTGCTTGGGGATAGAAATACTGGCCTTGGCCGGGCACGGTGGCTTGATGCCTATAATCCCAGCACTTTGGGAGGCCAAGGCGAATGGTCAGGAATTGAAGCCCAGGAGTTCAAGACCAGCCTGGACAACACACTAAAACCCCATCTCTATTAAAAATACAAAAATTAGCTGGGTGTGGTGGTTCGGGCCTGTAGTTCCAGCTACTCAGGAGGCTGAGGTGGGAAGATTGCTTGAGCCAGGTCAAGGCTCCCTAGTGCCTGGGTGATAGAGCAGATCCTGTCTCAAAAAAAAGAAATACTGGCTTTGGGCTCAACAGAGCAATTTGGCTAGAGATAAATCTTTAGGCGTTATCTAAGTGTACAGCTGAAGACCTAAAGTCATGGAAGTAGTTGAGATTGCCCTGGGAGAATGTGTAGAGTGAAGATAAAAAAGAAACAAGAAAAAAATCATGAGAGCGATTAGCACATGAAGACTGGTATCAAATAAATACAAGGAACAGAGTATCCTAAGGAGGAAATGGTTAATATTGTCAGAAACTACAGAGAGATGACACAGGATAAGGACTGGAATAAAACACTAAATCTAAGAACTCAGTGATGTTTAAAATAATAGCTTTATTGAGATATAACTCACTTAATATGAAATTTACCCTTTTAAAGTATACTATTCAGTTGTTTTTAGTATATTCAGAGGTGTGTGACCATCACTACCACCAAGTTTCAGAACACTTTCATCACCCCATAAAGAAACCCTGCACCCATTAGCAGAGTTTCTCATTGGCAGGGTTTCACATTTCCCCTAATATTAGTGATTTTTTAAAAAGACAGTTTTGGAGAAGTATGAAAAACTAAAAGAAAAGTAAGGAATTATAAGTAACAAGGGTATATTATGCTTTCAAAGGGAACTAGGAGAGAGAGGTAAATAGGAAGAGGTGGTATCAGAATGGCTGTTTAAAATGGGAAAGGCCATAGACTGAAGGGAAGGATTCGGGGAAAAAGACTGAGAGGCACAGAGACAGAAGATATATACTCGCTCACAAACTGGATACAGTTGAACAGGATACAATCAGAAACACAGATGGAGGGGTTTGACTTGGAAAGGAAGAGACACCTTAGGGGACTATCATGACAAAAGTAAGAAACTACTAAGTCAATAACTAAAAATGAGGGACAGCTGGGAGCCAATGGTAGGAAGCAGATTTACTTTTTGCTAAATTTTGGTAGTTTTAAATTTTTCATCATTTGCATGTTTTAATATCTCAAAATAAAGATGATAAATACGGGGATTTTGGGCCAGGCATGGTGGCTCACGCCTGTAATCCTAGCACTTTGGGAGGCCGAGGTGGGTGGATCACTTGAGGTCAGGAGTTCGAGACCAGCCTGGCCAACATGGCGAAACCCCATCTCTACTAAAAATACAAAAATTAGCTGGGCATGGTGGTGCATGCCTGTAATCTGCAGCTACTCAGGAGTCTGAGGCAGGAGAATCACTTGAGCCCAGGAGGTGGAGATTGCAGTGAGCTGAGATCATGCACCACTACACTCCAACCTGGGTGACAGAGTGAGACCCTGTCTCAAAAAAAAAGAAAAAGAAATGTCACAGAACAGAGAACACACAAACACCTAATGAATTAAATTTCAGAAAGTGATAGCCCTTTAATAGAGAGAGAGGCCCAACACTACTCTCTTCCCTGGTGCAGCAGCATCAGGAGAAAACGTACTGTAGATGGGGATAAGAAGAAACAAACCAGACTTTTAAGAAATTTTTAATGCCAAATGTAGGCTAGCATGACAGATTAAAATTCTAAGGCGTGGTGGAGGTAAAGCTGAGTAGTCTAATGTGCTGGAAAAAGAATTACAAGGAGCCCCAGACATGGAACCCATCTGTACCCATCTACCAACTCTCCTACAGGTCTTCACTAAATACACAGGTAGCACACTGAAAGCTGAAGACAGATCAGAAGAACTGAAAGAGATCCCATCTGAAGTATGTAGGCCTCCCTGAAGTACAAGGCAGTTATCTTCCAAAGGAGGATTGGCAAGTGGCAGACAGAAATCCATCTGAGGTAATCCAAGCTTTTGGCTACCAAAGGCTGTGGAGGCAAGAGCTGAGAAAAAGCTCTCCACGGCATTCCAGGCCTTCACAGAATGTAAAACAGCTGCCCTCCTGAGGCAAGGGTAAGAGCAGCAAGGCAGAGATCTCCTTTGCTGCAGAGATCTCCTGAGACACAGAAAGGCAAGAAGCACAATTAAAGAACAAAGAGAACCTCCCAGCGACCTAAAAAGCTGGCAGCTCAGCTGGCAAAACAGATCTCTGAAATCATGTCAGTGCTTAGATCCCAAATCCTGCTGAGGAGAAAGTCATAATTCTGCCCCAAAGTATTTGGACCCAGTGGTAAACTGAATCAAACTACAGCTGCAACAAAGCACAGACTCATCTTACTTATAAATTAGACTTACTCAATTTAGTGGCCAGACAGAATAAATGGAATTTTGGAGGTAAATATTAAGTAAAAAATAAGTAAACTTCAGGTTCTCCTTTGTTTTATAGAAGCTGTCTGGTATACATGCCAGGTACGGCAGCTCACGCCTGTAATCCCAGCACTATGGCAGGCCGAGGCGGGTGGATCACCTGAGGTCAGGAGTTCAAGACCAGCGTGGCCAAGATGGTGAAACCCCATCTCTACTAAAAATACAAAAATTAGCTGGGCATGGTAGCACAGGCCTGTAATCCCAGATACTCAGGAGACTGAGGCTGGAGAATTGCTTGAACTTGGGAGGCAGAGATTGTGGTTGTTTTTAGTATATTCAGTTGTTTTTAGTATATTTTTAGTATATTCACAGGCGTGTGACCATCACTACTACCAAGTTTCAGAATACTTTCATCGCCCCATAAAGAAACCCTGCACTCATTAGCAGTCACATTTCCCCTCCCTAATATTAGTGATTTTAAAAGAAGACAGTTTTGGAGAAGTATGAAAAACTAAAAAGTGAGCTGAAATTGAGCCACTGCACTCCAGCCTGGGTCACAGAGTGAGGCTCTGTCTCAAAAAAAAAAAAAAAAAAAAAAAAGATGTCTGGTATAAAATAAAAGATTATGAGACATAAAAAGAAGCAAGAAAATGTGACCAATGGTAAGTAAAAGTAAAGGAAATAGTCAAAATAAGCAAACTCAAAGATGCCCCAAATGTTGGAATTATTATTAAATAGTAAGTTTAGGCTGGGCGTGGTGGCTCAGGCCTGTAATCCCAGCACTTTGGGAGGCCAAGGTGGGTGGATCACTTGAGGTCAGCAGTTCAAGATCAGCCTGCAACATGGCGAAACCCCATCTCTACTAAAAATACAAAAATTAGCTGGGCATAGTGACGCGTGCCTGTAATCCCAGTTACTCTGGAGGCTGAGGCAGGAGAATTGCTTGAACCTGGGAGGCAGAGGTTGCAGTGAGCCGAGATCATGCCACTGTACTCCAGCCTGGGCAACAGAGTGAGACTCCATCTCAAAAAAAATAGTAACTTTAAAATAATTATGATAGGCTGGGTGCGGTGGCTCACACCTGTAATCCCAGAACTCTGGGAGGCCAATGGATCACCTGAGGTAAGGAGTTTGAGACCAGCCTGGCCAACATGGTGCAACACCATCTCTATTAAAATACAAAAATTAGCCAGGCGTGGTGGTGCGCACCTGTAATCCTAGCTACTCAGGAGGCTGAGACAGGAGAATCACTTGAACCCAGGAGGCAGAGGTTGCAGTGAGCCGAGATTGCGCCACTGCACTCCATCCAGCCTGGGCGACAGAGCAAGACTCTGTCTCAAAAAAAAAAAAAAAATTATGATAAAAATATTAAATGATCTAGTAGAAAAGATAGACAATATGTATGAAGTGATGGGACATTTCAGCATAGTAACAGGAACTACAGAAAAGAAATACTGGAAAGGAAAAATATATTCAAAATCAATAATTAATTAGATGGACTAAGCAGAAGGATTGATAAACCCGAGGACAGATCAATAGAAAATATCCAAAATGAAACAGAGAAAAAGAGGGGGAAGGGTATACAACAGCATGTCTAAGTTCTGTGGGACAATTTCAAATGGTCTAATATAATGTGTAATTGGAGTCCAAGAAGGAGAGTAGAGAGAATGAAACAGAAGAAATATTTTAAAAGGAAATGGCCAGAACTTTCCACAAAGAAAGACATCAACCAAACAAAACCAAGAAGTTCAGTGAAGCCCAAGCAGGATAAAAATATACTAGAGGATTCACCCAATGAGGTTATAATGTAGTTTAAATGACTACTTGAAAGAAATTATGTCGGTTCTTATTAATACATGGAGTTAGGATCAAATCCATCTATTGTCTACAGAGTCTGTTCCTAAAGAAACCATGGAGGTAAGTTTTAATTTTACATCCTACCTATTAAAGAATTTAGCCTTGCCCAAAGACAGGTGCCCTCTGCTCCTGAGAGGTAATCTATGTCATACTTGACAGGAGTGTCCTTCTGGCCAGGGTTGGCCAACCAGAAAGGCCAACCATGTGATTTAGGATGGGGACTTTGGGTCACCCAGTATCAGTCTGAATCCAATCTAGAGACTGAGCTCAACTATGTGGGCAATCCATCAATCAAACATGCCTATTTAATGAAGTCCTAATTTGAAAATCTGGATGCTGAAGCACAAGTGAGCTTCCCCGGATGGCAACAGTCCATGCATACTGTCACATACTGATACTGAGAGTAACACCTCCTGACTTAATGGGGAGCGAATACCAGATGCTCCAACATTTGAGACCCTCTTGAACTTGGTTCTATGGGCTCCTTGCCTTGATTTTAATCTGTATCCTTTCCTTGAAATAAACTGTAACCATGAACATAATAGCTCTTAGCAGTGAGTTCTCCTGGCATCTTTTTAGCAAGTTATCGAAACTTTGGGAACCTCCCCAGCCCCCAGACTTGCAGTTGGTGTCAGAAGTGAAAGTGGTCTTATGGAAGACTGTGTCCTCAAACTTTACAGTTTAGCTAACTCGGAGAGGATCTTCATAAAAGTTTTAGGTTCATTTAATGATGAAAGCTAGTTAAAAGTTCAGGCTTGGCCAGGTGTGGTGGCTCATGCCTGTACTACGAACACTTTGGGACGTCAAGGTGGGCAGACTGCTTGAGTCCAGGAGTTTGAGACTAGCCTAAGAAACATAAGGAAACCCTGCTTCTACTAAAAAAAAAAAAAAAAAATAGAAAAATTAGCCAGCGTGGTGGTGCATGATTGTAGTCCCAGCTAGTCAGGAGGCTGAGGTGGCAGGAAAGCTTGAGCCCAGGAAGCAGAGGTTGCAGCAAGCGGAGATCGCACCACTGCACTCCAGCCAGGGTAACAGAGCGAGACCCCTGTCTCAATAAATAAATAAATTAATAATGCAGGTGTAATAGAAACATATGGATCCTCTTATTATTTGTTTAAACATGTGTTTGAAGATGCTCTTTGGGGAATATTGCTGATACAGTAAAGTTATATTCTCCAAGCTAAATCCAACATTGTGGGTCAATCTAAATCAGAACAGGAGACTTAATTTAACAAGCTGAATAAGCTACATTACTATACTGTACATCTCCATCTCATATTTTATACAACTCTTTTAACATATGAAAAAAATAATTGCTTCTGGTCCAACAACTACAAATAATCCCCACAAAAGAACTGTATTTTTTGTATTTTTGAGACAATCTTGCTCTGTCACCCAGGCTGGAGTACAGTGGCGCAATCTCAGCTCACTACAACCTCCATCTCCAGGTTCAAGTGATTCTCATGCCTCAGCCTCCTGAGTAACTGGGATTACAGGTGTGTGCTACCACAACCAGCTAAATGTTTTATTTTTGGTAGAGATGGGGTTTCACCATGTTAGCCAGGATAGTCTCAAACTCCTGATCTCAAGTGATCTGCCCTCCTCAGCCTCCCAGAGTGCTGGGATTACAGACGTAAGCCACCGTGCCTGGCCACAAAACAACTGTTATGGAAACCTCATCACTAGTCAACCTTTTATAGCAAATACAGTATTTGACTTTAAACATTCAGCCAATTATTATGTGGTAACTATGAAAACAACTATGGTTTTAATGTCCCCTCCAAAACTCATGTTGAAATTTAATTGCCATTGTGATAGTATTAAGAGGTGGGACCTTTAAGAGATGATTAGGCCAGGAGGGCATAGTCCTCATGACTACGACTGTGGGAGTACACTCACACAATGTCATAATTGTGGGATTAATACCATAACTGTAGGAATGGGCTCCTGATTAAAAGATGAGTTCAGCCAGATTTCCTCTCTGTCATATGTGGTCGCCTGCACTCTGTTAGGACACAGCAAGAACGCCCTCACCAGATGCCAAGCGGATGTTAGTACTACCATGCCCTTGGACTTCCCAGCCTCCAGAACTGTAAGCCAAATAAATTTATTTTCTTTATAAAGTATCAATCTGTGGTATTGTTACAGCAGCAGAAAATGAACTAAGACATTCTTCCAATAAAAACTATCCTGAAATAAGAGATTTTTCCGCCGCAGTTAGAAACTGAAATTCCCTGAAGAATATTTCCTTAGAAATCGGCTTTGTTATCCCACTAAGTTTTATATTTAAAAAATATTCTTAAATCTAAAGGTATTAACAGAAATTCAACTTAAAAATTGCTGAATATAGCTTCCGGTTCTAGGTGCTTCAGGAGCCATGGCTTAGGGTGCAGACATGGCCAAGTCCAAGAACCACACCACACACAACATTCCCGAAAATGGCACAGAAATGGTATTAAGAAACTGCGATCAAGCCAGGTGTGGTGGCTTACGCCCGTAATCCCAGCACTTTGGGAGGCCAAGGCGGGTGGATCACGAGGTCAAGAGATCGAGACCAACCTGGCCAACATGGTGAAACCCCATCTCTACTAAAAATATAAAAATTAGCGGGGCATGATGGCGCGCGTCTGTAGTCCCAGCTACTCGGGAGGCTGCGGCAGGAGAATTGCTTGAAATCAGAAGGCGGAGGCTGCAGTGAGCCGAGATCGCACCACTGCGCTCCAGCCTGGCAACAGAGCGAGACTCTGTCTCAAAAAAAGAAAAGAAAAGAAAAGAAAAGAAAAGAAAAGAAAAGAAAAGAAAAGAAAAGAAAAGAAAAGAAAAGAAACCCCGATCACAAAGATATGACTCTCTCAAGGGGGTGGACCCCAAATTCCTGAGGAACATGTGCATTGCCAAGAAGCAAAACAAGAAGGGCCTAAAGAAGATGCAGGCTTTGGCAGGCCATCAGTCCACGTGGTGAGGCTATGAAGGCCCTTGTAAAGGAGGTTAAGCCCAAGATCCCAAAGGGTGTCAGCAGCAAGCTCCATCGACTTGCCTACATTGCCCACCCCAAGCTTGGGAAGCGTGCTTGTGCCCGCATTGCCAAGGGGCTTGGGTTGTGCCGGCCAAACGACAAGGACAAGGATCAAACCAAGGCCCAGGCTGCAACTCCAGCTTCAGTTCCAGCTCAGGTTCGCAAAGGTGCTCAGGCTCCTACAAAGGCTTCAGAGTAGGTATCTGCCTGCCAACGTGAGGACACAAGGACTGGTGCAACCTGCCCAGGCTGCCGTCTGCATGGGGCTGGGGTCCTCACCTCCTGTGCTATTTGTACAAATAAACCTGAGGCAGGAAAGAAAAAAGAAATTGCTAAATACAGGCATCACAAACTAACAAATGAGGACTTTGAATTAGAAGAAAAGAAAAACTGAGTTTCTGCCCCATCCCTATTATTATTAATTAGCTATTTCAACTTGAATAAAGCACTTCACCTCTCTGAGCTTCAATTTCTCAAGTACATAAAGTTGTTAGACATTGGATGATAAGATTCATTCTAGCCTGGCGCAGTGGCTCATGCCTGTAATCCCAGCACTTTGAGAGGCCAAAGCAGGTGGATCACCTGAGGTCAGAAGTTCAAGACCAGCCTCACCAACATGGTGAAACTCCACCTCTACTAAAAATACAAAATTAGCTGGGCATGGTGGCACATGCCTGTTATCCCAGCTACTCGGGAGTCTGAGGCAGGAGGATTGCTTGAACCCAGGAGGCAGAGGATGCAGTGAGCCGAGACTGCGACATTGCACTCCAGCCTGGGCAACAAGAACGAAACTCCATCTCGAAGAAAAAAAAAAAAAGATTAATTCTAACTCTTAGATTTCTATAATATTAAATTTAACTTGTAAAGTTTAATTCTTTTCTCCAAATTTTGTTACGTTAAGTATGCAGTCACATTTCCAAGTTGAGGGTATGACACAATGAAACTTCCTCATTCGAATCTAACTTAATTTTACCCTGTGGATTTCTTGTGATGTATTTTTTTATAAAAATTAGAAATATAGGGGGCCGGGTGTGGTGGCTCATACTCATAATCCCAGCACTTTGGGAGGCCGAGGCAGGTGGATCACGAGGTTAAGAGATCAAAACCATCCCGGCCAACTTGGTGAAACCCTGTCTCTACTAAAAATACAAAAATTAGCTGGGCATGGTGGCAGGCGCCTGTAATCCCAGCTACTCAGGAGGCTGAGGCAGGAGAATCGCTGGAATCCGGGAGGCAGAGGTTGCAGTGAGCCGAGATGGCGCCACTGCATTCCAACCTGGTGAAAGAGGAAGATTCTGTCTCAAAGAAAAAAAAAAAATTAGAAACATGGCCAGGTGCAGTGGCTCATGCCAGCAAACCCAGCACTTTGGGAGGCCAGGGCAGGCAGATCACTTGAGGTCAAGAGTTCAAAACCAGTCTGGCCAACATGGTGAAACTCCATCTCTACCAAAAAATACAAAAATTGACCAGGCATGGTGGAGTGCACCACATAGCAGTCGTTGTTGCTGTCGTCGTCCCAGCTACTTAGGAGACTGAGGCAGGAGGATTGCTTGAACCCAGGAGGCGGAGGTTGCAGTGAGCCAATATCATGCCACTGCACTCCAGCCTGGGAGACAGAGCAAGACTCTATTGCAAAAAAAAAAAAAGGAGCCCCGCGCGCTGGCTCACGCCTGTAATCCCAGCACTTTGGGAGGCCAAGGCAGGTGGATCACGAGGTCAGGGGTTTGAGACCATCCTGGCTAACATGGTGAAACCCCATCTTGAATAAAAATACAAAAAATTAGCCAGGCATGGTGGCAGGCGCCTGCAGTCCCAGCTACTTGGGAGGCTGAGGCAGGAGAATGGCATGAACCAGGGAGGCAGAGCTTGCAGTGAGCCGAGATAGTGCCACTGCACTCCAGCCTGGGCAACAGAGCGAGACTTCATCTCGAAAGAAAAAAAGAAAAGAAAAGAAAAAAGAAAAGAAACATACTATCACATTGTGGATTAAGAAAAGAAACAAAAAAAAATCAGAAACAAGTTAAATCACTAAGCTCAACTATCAAAAATCAGAAATCTCTCCAAAAAAATCTTAAAATCTCCATCTATCAATAAAAACTTTTTTAATTATTAAATTTGATATACCTCCAAGATGGGGGATACTATACTGAATTTTAGGTATAATAGGAAGCCCAGGGTGAATTTCAGGCAGACACAGTCATGTGATCTGATTTACATTGCTCAAGATCCCTATTGTTCTGTGGAAAATAGGCATAACAAACAAAAATGGAAACTGGGAGACCAATTAACAGGTAGCTGAAAAAGTCTAGAATAATGACTTGGACTAGGATAACAGCAATGGAAATGTTAAGAAGTGGTTTGATTCAAACAAGTAAACAAAATGGTACATACAGACAGTAAATGAAATAGGAGAAAAGAACAGTAATGTGAGAGAGAATGATTTAGTTGGGGAGGATACTATTATTATTATTTTTTTTTGAGACGGAGTCTTGCTCTGTCACCCAGCCTGGAGTGCAGTGGCTCGATCTCCGCTCACTGCAAGCTCCGCCTCCCGGGTTCACGCCATTCTCCTGCCTCAGCCTCCCGAGTAGCTGGGACTACAGGTACCGGCCACCACGCTTGACTAATTTTTCTGTATTTTTAGTAGAGATGGGGTTTCACCGTGTTAGCCAGGATGGTCTCGATCTCCTGACCTCGTGATCCGCCCACCTTGGCCTCCCAAAGTGCTGGGATTACAGGCGTGAGAGGCGTGAGCCACCGTGCCCGGCAAGGATACAATTTTCAATAGGGTAGTCAGGGAAAAAAAAATTGGAGCCACAACCTGGACATAAAAAAGAGTGAGCCATGGGAAAAGTGAAGAGGAGAGTCTTCCCAAGCTTCGTCACAAGTTTAAAAATAGGTGAGCCTGGCCAGGCACGGGGCCTCACACCTATAATCCCCGCACTTTGGGAGGCTGAGGTGGGAGGATCACAAGGTCAGGAGGCTCACTGCAACCTCCACCTTCCAGCTCAAGCGATCCTCCCGCCTCAGCCTCCTGAGTAGCTGGGATTATAGGCGAGCACCACCATGCCTGGCTAATTTTTTATTTTTAGTAGAGATGCGGTTTCACCATGTTGCCCATGCTGGTCTTGAACTTCTGGGCACAAGAGATCCACCCACCTCAGCTTCCCAAAGTGCTGGGACTACAGGCATGAGCCACCGCACCTGGCCCCCACTCCATTCTTTAGCCTCCATATTACTCTATTAAAACGATTATCCACTGCACAACTACTATAAGCACATTAATAAAGGCCTTAATTCTATTTTGACAAAAGGCAATGGTTGCACCATAGCTTAATATCCACTAGTAGTCATTATTCCTGAAGACTAGTAGTCTTCAGCCCTTAGGAGCAACATTCTACACATAAGTGATTCACAACCAGGGTATCTAACCATGATAATTTTCTATGTCTGCATATGTGTATCACTGTATGTATGTGGGAGGGGGACAAGGAAAGGGGATATAGTCACAGCAAGAGATCCCTATTGAAAGACATTTTGCTGACCAAGAAGTTTTCAATCTAACTCAGAATCCCAACAGTAGTACTGCTTTGTGGAGATAATTACTGAACTTTGATCTACTTCATTGTTCATTCACTTGACATGAATCATTAAATAAACTTTGACATCACCCCAATTCCAACATGACAGATAACAGTAAAGCTTCTGTGTTAAATGTTATGGTATATACCTGCATTTAACATGGCTTAAGGTAGAAAAAAGATAAAACTGAGTTGCAACTGAGAAACCCTGAATAGTGAATAATAAAAAATAACGAAAAACTGACATGACTACTTCTGGAATTTTCCCCCAAACTCCATCAATTTCTATGACTAAAAAAGTCTTACTTTCACATGACATCAACATGTGGATTAAATTCATAGTTTTATATAACAGTGATAGCAGGAGAAAGAACCATGTAGCAGCAAGCAAATATCAGACTTCCCTCTTATAAACTGTGTGATTTTTTTTTTTTTTGAGATGGAGTCTTGCTCTGTCTCCCAGGCTGGAGTACAGTGGCACAGTCTCCGCTCATTGCAACCTCCACCTCCCAGGTTCAAGCCGATTCTCCTAACTCAGCCTCCCAAGTAGCCAGGATTACAGGTGCCCGCCACCACACCCGGCTGATTTTTGTATTTTTAGTAGAGACAGGGTTTCACCATGTTGGCCAGGCTGGTCTCGAACTCCTGACCTCAGGTGATCCACCCACCTCAGCCTCCCAAAGTGCTGGGATTACAGGCATCAGCCACACTGCCAGGCCAACTGTGTGATTTTTAAAGTAAGTTACTTGATCTCCCTTTGTCTTTAGTTTTCTCATCTGTAAAACACAGATAATACTGTGTTTTCAGAGTTAAATAAAATTATATAATAAAATGCTTAGCATATAATAGCGATTTTAAAATACGTTTCCATCCAATTATTTTTCCTTTTAAAAAATGTTAACATCACCCTGCCTTGACCATTGTTGAAACAAGCATCAGTATGTTGCTACCATTAACTGTGCACAGTGGCATGCATCTGTACTCCCACCTACTCTGGAGGCTGAGGCAGAAGGATCCTTTGAGCCTATCAGGTCAAGGCTATACTGCATTACGATTGTCTCTGCGAATAGCCATTGTATCCCAGCCTGGACAACACAGCAAGACCTCATAAAAAACAAAACAAAACAAAAAAAAAAAGCCACCTTAGTCTGGGCGCAGTGGCTTACATCTATAATCCCAGCACTTTGGGAGGCCGAGGTGGGTGGATCACTTGAGGTCAGCAATTCGAGACCAGCCTGGCCAACGTGGTGAAACACTGTCTCTACCAAAAATACAAAAATTAGCCACGCGTGCTGACAGGCACCTGTAATCCCAGCTACTTGGGAGGATGAGACAAGAGAATCACTTGAACCTGGGAGGCAGAGGTTGCAGTGAGCTGAGATCATGCCATTGCACTCCAGCCTGGGCAACAGAGTGAGACACCGTCTCAAGAAAAAAAAAAAAAAGCCAACTTATTATCAATAAGGACATGAAAAGATACTCAATATCACTAGTCAACCTACTAGAATGGCTATAACTGGAAAAAAGGAAAACAACAAGTGGTGGCAAGGGTGTAGAAAAAGTGGAACCCTGATACTTTGCTGCTAAGGGAATGTAAAATGGTACAGCCACTTTGGAAAACACTTTAGTGTTTCTTCAAAAAATTAAATATGGAATTACAACAACCCAGCAATTCCACTCCTAGATATATACCCAAAAGAACTGAAAATAGGAGTACACTAATACTCATAGCAGCATTGTTTATAATAGCCAAAAGGTGAAAACAAATGCAGTATCCATCAATGAATTAATATACAAAATGTGGTACATTAAATATGATTCAGCCATAAAAATGATACATTCTACAACATGTATGAACCTTGAAAACATTACGCTAAGTGACATAAGTCAGACACAAAAGGCTAAATATTACACGATTCCAATCACACGAAAGATCTAGAATAGGTAAATTCACAGAGACAAAAAGTAGAGGCTGGGCACAGGGGCTCACGCCTGTAATCCCAACACTTTGGGAGGCCAAGGCAGGTGGATCAAGACCATCCTGGCCAACATGGTGAAACCCTGTCTCTATTAAAAATACAAAAATTAGCTGGGCGTGGTGGTACATGCCTGTAGTCCCAGCTACTCGGGAGGCTGAGGCAGAATTGCTTGAACCTGGGAGGCAGAGGTTGCAGTGAGCTGAGATCGTGCCACTACATTCCAGCCTCCATCTCAAAAAAAAAAAAAAAAAAAGTAGATTAGTGGTTACCAGGGGCTGGGTTGAGAAGAGAATGAACAGTCACTGCTTAACAGCTACAGAGTTTGTTTGGGATGGTAAAAAATACAAAAAATACAAAAATACAAAAATTAGCTGGGCATAGTGGTGCGTGCCTGTAATCCCAGCTACTCAGGAGGATGAGGCACGAGAATCGCTTGAACCCAGGAGGAGGAAGTTGCAGTGAGCTGAGATCGCGCCACTGCACTCCAGCCTGGGCGACAGAGCGAGACTGCATTTCAAAAAAAAAAAAGGCATTAGAAAGTCATCGTCTTGATCGAAATCTTCATATTGTTTCCCATTTTCAACAAACTTAATTCTAGAACCTTGCAGGTTTGACCATTAGCAAAAATTAGTAGTTTACATAAATTTAAACATAGGGGAAACTAGGTGCAGGGTTTAAGGGATTTCTCTGTACTACAATTACAAATTTTCTGTAAATTGGTAACTTCATGATTTTTCTATAAACTTTCTAAAAAAGTTTATTAATAAAAAAGAGACATGTTATTGAATCTCAAAAGTGTTATGCTAAATGAAAGAAGCCAGTCTCAAAAGGCTATATACACTGTGTGATGCCAATTTATATGGCATTTTGGGAAAGGCCAAACTATAGGGATAAAAAACAAATGAGCTGTTGCCAGGGAGTGAGGGGTGGGCTGAAGGGATTTACTTCAAAAGGGCATAATTATGGAAATTTTTGGAGTGATGGAAATATTCTATATCTTGTATCTTAATTGTGGTGGTGGCAGTTACACAACTGTCACTGTTTTTTGTAATTCATCTGTTTTAGCAGAACTATACAGAACTTTACACCTAAAACAGATGAATTTTACTAAGTGTAAATTATACCTTAATAAGTATGACTTTTCAAAAAGAATCCTTAACAATGGTAGTATCATGTCATACATTTCAATACACACAGAATTCTAGCCTGATAAATGTCATTATGAGATCTAGTCAGATGAAACTAGGCGATTCAAGCCGGGCACGGTGGCTCATGCCTGTAATCCCAGCACTTTAGGAGGCAGATGTGGGCGGATCACTTCAGGTCAGGAGTTCAAGACCAGCCTGGCCAACATGGTGAAATCCCGTCTCTACTAAAAACCCAAAAATTAGCCAGATGTGGTGGCAGACGCCTGTAATCCCAGCTACTCAGGAAGCTGAGACAGGAAAATCGCTTGAACCTGTGAGGCGGAGGTTGCAGTGAGCCAAGATCGTGCCACTGCACTCCAGCCTGGGTTACAGAGCGATATTCTATCTAAAAAATAAAAATAAAAAATAAGCCTTGAAAACCCCTCCCTAGGCCTGGTGTGGTGGCTCATGCCTGTCATCCCAGCACTTCAGGAGGCCGAGGCAGGCAGATCATGAGGTCAAAAGATTGAGACCATCCTGGCCAACATGGTGAAACCCCATCTCTACTAAAAATACAAAAATTAGCCGGGCGTGGTGACGTGTGCCTGTAATCCCAGCTACTTGAGAAGCTGAGGCAGGAGAATCACTTGAGCCTGGGAGGCAGAGGTTGCAGTGAGCCAAGATCGCACCACTGCACTACAGCCTGGTGAAAGAACGTGACTCCGTCTCAAAAAAAAAAAAAAAAAAGAAAAAAGAAAAAAAAAAAGAAAAGCTTTCCCTAAACCTACGTTTTATGTTCCCTTAGCTAAGTTTTCCCTTAAGTTGTTCTCTGTGCATTGAAATAACACTATCCTTAACACCTCATCATCTTCTTCTTCCTATAGTAAGGATTTACAATCTAAACTCTTTACTCAAAAATCTTGTCTAATTAACTCTTATCTATTTTCCATTTGACTATATTATCCCTTACATCTTTTCTTTCCCGTAACAAATTTTTTTAAATAACTGAAGTACTTTTTGCTACATGGATTGTAGTTAGTTGGTCTCTCCTAGTTGGAATATAAACTTCCCAAAGGCAGGAAGTAACTATTTCTTTATACACTCCAAAAATCTGGTTTGTACTATGTATCTAAACACTCAAATGCCATATGAAGAGATTCAATGAAAAGAATACTGGGGCCCGGGGCGGTGGCCCACACCTGTAATCCCAGCACTTTGGGAGGCAGAGGCGGGCAGATCGCCTTAGGTCAGGAGTTCAAGACCAGCCTGGCCAAAATGGTGAAACCCCATCTCTACCAAAAATACAAAAATTATCCGGGCATGGTGGCATGCACCTGTAATCCCAGCTACTCGGGAGGCTGAGGCAAGAGAATCACTTGAACCCAGGAGGCGGAGGTTGCAGTGAGCTGAGATTGCGCCATTGTACTCCAGCCTGGGCGACAAGAGTGAGACTTCATCTCCAGAAAAAAAAAAAAAAAAGAAAGAAGGAAGAAAAGAAAAGAATACTGGGGTGGACGTGGTGGCTTATGCCTGTAATCTCAGCGCTTTAGGAGGCCAAGGTGGGCCCAGGGGTTCAAGACCAGCCTGGACAATGTGGCAAAACCCCTCCTCTACAAAAAACACAAAAATTAGCCAGGCGTGATGGCACGTGCTTGTAGTCCCAGCTACTTGGGTGGCTAAGGTGGGAGAATCACCCAAGTGTGGGAGGCAGAGGTTGCAGTAGGCTGAGATGGAGCCACTGCACTCCAGCCTGAGCGACACAGAGAGAACCTCCCTCAAAAAAAAAAAAGAACAGAACACTGGGCCTAGCATTGTTAAGACCTGAATTCAAGCAATGCTTCTAATTTATTATGCTAAGTAAGTCACAACATCTTTGGGCCTCAGCAAAATCAGAATACTTGCTGTATTTACCTCACAGGTAATAAGGTCTTGGAGGGAAAACAGTGTTAGCTAAGCTATAACCATCAGTCAATCCAAGTGTAAAGATGTATTATTGTCAGTCATAGCTATCTTGTCTAAAATTAGCCACTAGTGTTTTTTAACCAAGCTCAGTGCACAGCAAATTAAGTGCACCAACATTGCACATCAGTCATATCAATAATGTAACTGTTATACTGTAATACTAACAGAAAGCCTTATGTTTAACAGTAAGCATGTTAATTATACACTATCTTAATGCAGTCTCAAGGTTAAAAGATAAATACTTGTTGCTAAGCCAACAATAACTGCCTTCAAATCTATTAAAAGAGGATTTATAAATCCCATTTGTTTTTGTACCCAAATAGCTAAGTTTAAAATTTTAAGAAATCCAAGAATTAGTTTAAAATTGTATAAATTCTCCTTTTAACTTTCTAAAATGTCCATATGCACTCTCATTGTGTTTTAAATCCATTACATTAGAAAAACAGACTGCAGGCCGAGTGCAGTGGCTCATGCCTGTAATCCCAGCAGTTTGGGAGGCCAAGATGGGAGGATCGCTTGAGGCCAGGAGTTCAAGACCAGCCTGGTCAACATAGTGAGACACCATCTCTATTAGAAAAAAAAAAGAAGAAAGAAAAAAAGAAATAACATACTGTAGAAAAAAAGGATACAAAGTATACATAAATGAACAAAATAAAGATAACAAAAATATGACTCCACTACAGATGCAGAGAAAACAAAGACATTTCTTCTCATCCCAACCATAATCCTATGAACAACCTGAAAGATACTTACAGCAATATTTGCAAGTATGACCATAATTCTCATCAAAAGAACATCATATATGAGTACCATCAAAATGATTACAAATTATAAATTACCAGTGATAATTTTCTCATTGGAGTCCCTTTTCCTTTTTCAAGCAGAGAACCAAGACAGAATAGCCTCTAGATCTTTTTTGTGGTGGTGGTTGTTTTTTGAGACAGTGTCTCACTCTGTTACCCAAGCTGGAGTGCAGTGGTGATCATAGCTCACTGCAGCCTCAAACTCCTAGGCTCAAGAGATCCTCCTGCTGGCAGGGTACAGTGGCTCACGCCTGTAATCCCAGCACTTTGGGAGGCCGAGGCGGGCAGATCACAAGGTCAGGAGATTGAGACCATCCTGGCTAACACCGTGAAACCCTGTCTCTACTAAAATAATATAAAAAATTAGCTGGGCGTGGTGGCGGGCGCCTGTAGTCCCAGCTACTCGGGAGGCTGAGGCAGGAGACTGGTGTGAACCTGGGAGGCGGAGCTTGCAGTGAGCGGAGATCACGCCACTGCACTCCAGCCTTGGCGACAGAGCGAGACTCCGTCTCAAAGAAAAAAAAAAAAAAGAGAGATCCTCCTGCCTCGATCCTCCAAAGCACTGGACTATGGGCATGCATTAATGCACCCAGCCTCTAGATCTATACTGTCCAATATGGCAGTTACTAGTTACATGGAGCTATTAAGTGCCTGAAATGTGGCTGTTCCAAATTGAGATGTACCAAGTGTAACATACACCAGATTTAAAAGATTTAGGGGAAAAAAATAATGTAAAATCTCCTACCTATGTGACTCCCATTTTTGGCTCACATATTTCTCATGTACAGCACTGCTTTATATATGTAGTCGAATCCTGAATAAGGAAAATGGATACCAGAAGTATTAAGCAGTTTGCTCAATATCTCACCGCTTGATAGAAGCAGAGCAGGGCCTAGAACCTGATCACGTTTATCCATCCTGCCCTTATGAATAGAAGGAATTAATCATTTAAGACTCAACTTGAGCATCCTCTTCCTCCTCAAACCCCCTCATTCCTTTTCCATCTCCCAGCCCAGGTGACCATATCCTATTTAGCCTGCCCTTATAATTATACTGTTATAAAATGTACGTTGTCTTCCAAATGGATGAGAAATTCTTGAGAGCAAGCACTGTCTCATTCATTTTTCTTATCCCTGGGAACCTTTGAAGTACCAGGCACTCTTTCAGGCCCTCCGGCACTCTCAGAGCTTTGAGAGGGTTAATTTTTAGCCCTATGCAGGTACAACTACTAAAATGAAATCACCTACAATGTGATGCACCACCAGAAACATCCACATTTATCATTTGCCTGTCTTAAATTATTTTTGGAATATGCTAAATTAATACAATGCATAGGCCAGGCGCAGTGGCTCACACCTGTAATCCCAGTACTTTGGGAGGGCGAGGCGGGCGGATCACTTGAGGTCAGGAGTTCAAGACCAGCTTGACCAACATGGTGAAACCCCGTCTCTACCAAAATACAAAACTTAGGTGGGTGTGGTGGTGTGCACCTGTAATCCCAGCTACTTGGGAGGCTGAGGCAGGAGGATTGCTTGAACCCAGAAGGCAAAAGTTTCAGTGAGCTGAGATCACGCCACTGCACTCCAGCCTGGGTGACGGAGTGAGACTGTCTCAAAAAAGAAAAAAAGAGCCGGGCAGGGTAGCTCAAGCCTGTAATCCCAGCACTTTGGGAGGCCGAGGTGGGCAGATCACAAGGCCAAGAGCTCAAGACCATCCTGGCCAACCAACATGGTGAAACCCCGTCTCTACTAAAAATACAAAAATTAGCTGGGCATAGCGGCACACGCCTGTAGTCCCAGCTCCTCGGGAGGCTGAGGCAGGAGAGTCACTTGAACCCGGCAGGTGGAGGTTGCAGTGAGCCAAGATCGTGCCACTGCACTCCAGCCTCGTCAACAGAGTGAGACTCCATCTCAAAAAAAAAAAAAAAAAAAAAAAAAAGAATAATTCATGTTATCAAAGAAAAACAAGTTACAAAAAATGCTTTGCACTACTGCTGCTCTGATGCTCTATAAGAACTCTGAGTTCTCAGGAAATTCAACACTCTTTAGGTATAAGTTCACTTATTGAATGTGCTTACTTAAATGCAAAACTTTGTGCTACAGAAAGAGTCCTGGACATGGGAATTAATGCAAGCAATCTTCAATTAATTGAAAATTTTAGAACTATTAATTGCAGAAGAAACAAACTTAGTATACAGTTATTCATTACAAAAAGTTAGTTTCTAAAATTCCTCAATGCAAACATGCCAGCTTTTGTATTCTATAAAACAGAAAAAACTGCCAGGTGCAGTGGCTCAAGTCTTTAATCCCAGCACTTTGGGAGGCCAAGACGGGCAGATCACTTGAGGTCAGGAGTTCGAGACTAGCCTGGTCAACATAGTGTAAACCAGTCTCTATTGAAAAAACACAAAAATGAGCCATGTGTGGTGGCGCGTGCCTGTAATTCCAGCTACTCAGGAGGCTGAGGCAGGAGAATCACTTGAACCCTGGAGGTGGAGGTTGCAGTGAGCTCTCGTGCCACTGCACTCCAGCCTAGGCGACAGAGCGAGATTCAAACAGAAAAAAATTGTAAAACCTGTGATGAAAACATTAAAACATGTTATTTGCAAAGAAAACTGCAGGAAACACGCATATAAAACACAAATAGCAAGACACTTTGATAAGAAAAAACCTACTTTAGAATGTATTAATTCAGCCAAAATTACGGAATTTATGGAAGAAACTCCATATGTGCTTTCTACCTACGTAAAATCACTTTTGAACTAAATCTGAGTTAACAAATAAAATCTCTCTATTCCCAGTTACATTGTTTTTCAGTATGTAACCACTGTCTTGATACTAAACAAATATCTTATATAAAAATAAAATCTGTATACTTCAACTAGGGTCCTTTCGTCTAATTTGCTGCTGTGAATAAGAGCACCATCCTGTCCAGATAAGGTTAGATCAAATTTAAAAAAAAAAAAAGCACCATTCTGCTGGGCATGGTAGACCAGCCTGGGCGACACAGTGAGACCCCATGTCAATTAAAAAAAAAAAAAAGAGCACCAACCCCAACTATGGCAGAGCTGCTAAAGGAGTCTCTTGTGGAGACTTGAACCACAAGCCAAGGAGGCAAAGGTACAAAGTCTCTCCTGGAATTAGTTCCTGGACTTCTGTGCAGCCTTCCCTCTTTCTACTATGTCTTCACCGTTCCCCTACAAACAGCTTTCTTCTTCTTGCATCTCTTATATGCTGTGGCCTTTGATGCTACAATAGATTTAAAAATTTTCCCAACAGAGCTTTTCTGCCTGAAACCCACCAGGAAAGATTTCAGGACATTCTTTAATAACTAATCTTGTTCAAAGAGGCAGGCCTCCTTCGTTTCACTTAATTCAAACCCCCACTGTTCAAAATAAGAATATAATTATAACCTCAATTTCTATCGGGCCAGTATAGGAAAAGAACTACAACAGGCTCTCTCTTCCACGTTATGTCCAGACTTTTTTCCTTAGTTTCTCCTTCCTCATTTCCCTCCTCAATCCCTCCTCCCCCAAAAAATAATTCCACAGCTAGAGAATGTCGTTTTTAAAGCCAGAAATTCAGTGAGGAAAATAAGTATGTGCCTTTTTCTTCAATTATTTATGATTCCTCCGTCACTCAGGAAGAGTTAAGCTAGTATTTTTTAATCTGACCGCTCTCTCAGAAGGATGATGCGCTAAATACACACTGAAAGAATAGTGTTCCCAAAGCAAGTGGATTCGCGGCTAAAGGCAACGCGGTGGGAGTGGGGGGTCCGGGAAGAAGAAAAAGTATCCTTGGCCCCCAGAGCCAGAGATGGGACAGGAGGTGAAAGAAGGGGCCGTCACTGAGAAGTACAACACACACACTCGCCAGAACTAACAATCTGCCAAGAAAATAGGACCGGCCACTGCGGCTCCAGCCCGGTCCCGCGGGACAAGGCGGGGGAGGGGGGCCGGCGGCCGGGGGGCCTGCCCTCCTTCTGTGGGACAAAACTAACTCCCTGGCGCACCTCCGCTCCCGAGAAGAGGGGCCTGGTGGGGACGCGGGCTCCTCGCACCTCCAGCGCAGCACTTGCTCACGGCCTGGGTGGAAGCAAGGCCCGGAGGGAGGGGGGAGTCGGGCTGGGCAACGCCAAGAGCACGGGATGGAGGGTCAGACGCGGGCACCCAAGGCACTGGGGGCCGCGACAAGAGACCCTTCCAGCCCGGGAACCCCGGGGCCCCTCTCCACCCTTGCAGAGCAGGACCCCGAATATCGTCCCCAGCCGCACCGACCGCTCCTCACCTCAAGCTGCCTGAGCCTCCGCCTCTACCACAACCTGAGCCGCCGAAGCCGCCACAGTCCGAGCCATTTTTCCCCTCAGCTGGCTCAGCCGCCGCCGAAAGCTTCGGCCGACTCCACAGCCAGCCAAGCGCAGCACGTCACTTCCGGACAGGGAAGCACCGCCTTCCCCGCCCGGACTTGTTGCGAATTGGCTGGCGCGGACGGCCTACCTGAGCTGGCGGGCGGGGCTTGGACGCTGCCGGGGTGGCGTGAGCAAGGGAGCTGGGGCGCTGGGGCGCACGGGCCCGGGGGACCAGGGTCTGGCTCTCTCCCGAGGAATGCTGAGCAGGCTCTGGACGCCTCTCCGTGCACACCCCAGACCTGGGGAGGGGAGCTCTCCGGACACCCCAGCTGGCCGCCCCTCGGGCCCTGAGTCCGAAGACCCGCTAAACAGGGCCCGGGCACTGAAGTACCCTATTGTTCTCATCCCCTCTCCCGGGACCCCGCACCCTCCTCCATCTAGGCTGAGGTTCCCAGATTTGTGTCTTGGCCCCTGGCGGCGCCGAGATTACTTTGTGATTGGAAGACTGAAAGGAACAGGCAAGACTTAAACTCGTCCACTCCAACCAGTATTTACCGAGGCCTCACGGTGGGTCAGGTGGTATACGGTGGGTAATTAGTAGCCTATCACGTGGTTTCTGTAAAATGCTTGATAGCACGTAAAACGCTTTCAGGTCGGCGTCTCGTTTCATCCTCACAACAGCCAGGTAAGGAAGATAACCCCCTGATAATAACTCACAGCCAGACGGCTCTTTCTACATTACAAAGTATTTTCACATGCAACCTCCATAATAATATATTCTTATTGAGAATTTAATGAGATTATGCTTGTAAAGCGTTTGGTCCTCACGTGTTAGATCTAAAAATTACGTAACCATGGGAAGATATAGGAAAATTATCCCCATTTACAGATGGGGCTTCTGGGGCACAAAGATGTTAAGGGGAGAGGAACGATTCCATAGCGTTTTACAACAAGATTGTCTTTTAAGCAGTAGGAGAAGGGGGTCCACACCATCCAGACGTTCACAATCTGATGTGGCAGACTGATTTAGGCTGCATTTCTCAGCCTAAACTAAAAATTATCAGCCTATATGATATACGCATAATTAGAAGGCTCTAAGAGAAGTTGAACTTTCAGCAAATAACTGGAAAGAAAGAAATTGGCCTGATTTGGCAGGGACGGGGGTTGGCGAAAGGGGGCTAGGGCAATGGGGAATGTGGAGTGGATGAATCCCTCATAGCGCTGTAATAAACATGCCTGCACCTCCGCAGGGATGGTAAAATTGGATGGAGTTTCTATTCTATGGGGAATTCTAGAAACAAATGTGATTATTTCTTACGGCTGTAGCTACTGGCTGTTGTACACCCCCCCCCCTTCCAACTCCTATCTTTCCCCCAACCCCGCCCCTCCTCTATGCACACACACTTCCAGGCAGGCTACACACTCTAGAAGAATGTCCCTTAGAAATCAACTTAGTTCCGCAGCATTGTTCTGCTTTATCTTCTGATCAAAGGAGGAATTTCTAAAATTGGCAGCAGCTCTTTCACAAGATTAAAAAGGGTGGGGAAAGTGATTTATCTCAGGGTAGCTTCCTAGCTTCTGCTCCAGATCTGAGTGTGCCTTCAGGAAAGAAGGAAGAGGCCTTGGGAGAACACTGAGTCTTCAGGAAAGAGTAACTATTTGTCTGTCTTTTTTTTTTCTTTTGTTTTCTTTCTTTCTTTCTTTCTTTCTTTCTTTCTTTCTTTTTCTTTCTTTCTTTTTCTTTCTCTTTCTTTATTCCTCTCTCCCTCTCTCTCTTTCTTCCTTTCTTTTTTTTTGATCCAGCGAGACAGACTGGATTTTTTCTTCTAATTTTTTTTTTTAATGAAACGTATTTCCCCTGAGTCTCAGCAGCAGAGGGCCCTGGTCCTTGAGTCACTTCCTTGTTGCAGTTCTGAATTCATTATTTTATTATAGCTTTTGAATGACTGATACATGGTAGGCTCTGATCAACCAAAAGGTTCCCAATAAGGTGAAGAGAAAGAAAAGGAGTTTGATAGTTTTCCAGATTCCAAAAAAATTAGCTTTCACAAGTTGCCAGGTGTCAAGAATCTGAACAGGTAACCCTCTCTCAGCATATCTCATCTGTCAGCAATGGCTTGTGAAGATGCATGTGTAAACAGTAGGAACACAGACTTCTGGGAGACAGTACAAACTGGTGCTGCTGTCATTTGGAACCAACTAGAACATAGCTGGCAACCATTTCTCCTGTTTCCTTTCTTCCACTGGCTTCACTTTTTTTTTTTTTTTTTTTGAGACAGAGTCTCATACTTGTTGCCCAGGCTGGAGTGCAATGGTGTGCTCTCGGCTCACCACAACCTCCGCCTCTCTTGGTTCAAGGGATTCTTCTGCCTCAGCCTCCTGAGTAGCTGGGATTACAGTCATGTGCCACCACACCCAGCTAATTTTTGTATTTTTAGTAGAGACAGAGTTTCTCCGTGTTGGTCAGGCTGGTCTCGAACTCCCGACCTCAAGTGATCTGCCTGCCTAGGCCTCCCAAAGTGCTGGGATTACAGGCAGAGGCCTTACATTTTTCACTGTTTCAATCCTAACTTCCCACAGACAACTTCCCAGTACCACAAATATTCCCCAGCTTCTTCCAGTACCACATGAGAAATGGGCAATCTTTTTTTTTTAACCACAGATAAAATATAGTGGATAACAATGATTAGCATTTGCTAAGGCCAAGCCCTGTTCTTAGTGTTTTATGAGTATTATCTCATTGACTTCCTCCAACAACCTTCCTGAAAGATATAATTATTATATCCTAATTTTATAGCTGAGAAATTTGAGGAACAGAGAGGAGAGTAACTTGCCCAATGTCACACAGCTACTAAAGAGCAGAGCTGGGATCCAAAACTGGGTCTGACTGCACAACCCATGCTTTTTTAACCTCACAGTTCCGCCAGCGGGCCAAGATTTTAACATCTACGAAATGCTGTTAAGAAGTATAATAGTTAGGTTTTTATTTCCTTTCTCAATGTTATATCCCCACCTGAGTAGAAGGACTCTGCTGGGTACTATACCAAACTACCTACCTATTTATTTATTTATTTATGTTTTTTTGAGACAGACTCTCACTCTGTTGCCTAGGCTAGAGTGCAGTGGCGCAATCTCTGCTCACTACAACCTCCATCTCCTGGGTTCAAACCTCCAGAGTAGCTGGGATTACAGGTGCACACCACCACACCTGGCTAATTTTTTGCACTTTTAGTAGAGACAGAGTTTCACCATATTGACCAGGCTGGTCTGGAACTCTTGGCCTCAAGCGATCCTCCCATCTCAACTTCCCAAAGTGCTGGGATTACAGGCATGAGCCACCGGGCCCAATTATTTAATCCTGATTATGTAAGCAGTTTGAAGGAAAACTACAGTGTTCTTTGATTTAGAATAGAAGGCAGGAAGGCCTTCCCTGAAAAAGTGACACTGAGCTGAGATCCAAAGGATAAATAGAAATTGAGGATGGGGGAAAGCATACCCAGCAGAGGGAACAGTGTGTGCAAAGGCTCTGAGAAAGGAGCATGGCTCAGCTGAGGAACTGAGAGGCCAGTGTTGTTGTTATACTGAGAAGAAGAAGGAAGTATCTTTATTCAAAAAAAAATTTTTTTCTAGACACGGGGTGTCACTATGTAGCCCAGGCTAGTCCCAAACTCCTGGCCTCAAGCAATCCTCCCACCTAGCCTCCCAAAGTGCTAGGATTATAGGTGTAAGCCACTGTGCCTGGCCAGAAGCATGTTAGGTACTATAGTGAGACAGGAAGATAATGCCAGGCCTGGGAGGCTGTATTAAGAATTTAGGTCTTTATCTTAAGAATGAAGAGAAAGATTTTAAGCCTTCAAGTGATCAGAGTTGCATTTTTGAAAGATTTCATAAAGCTAGGAGGAGAAAGAATTAGAAGGGTCTAGGGGATTTGGGTAGCCCAGTCTGGAGTTTATTGCAACTGTGTAGGGAAGTGATGATGGTGGCTTGAACCTTGGATAAGACACAATAAGTGTGTGGCTCACGCCTGTAATCCTAACACTTTGGGAGGCCGAAGCGGGTGGATCACCTGAGGTCAGGAGTTCAAGACCAGCCTGGCCAACATGGTGAAACCCCATCTCTACTAAAAATACAAAATTAGCCAGTCATGGTGGTGCGTGCCTGTAATCCCAGCAACTTAGGAGACTGAGGCAGGAGAATCACTTGAACCCAGGAGGTGGAAGTTGCAGTGAGCCAAGATCGTGCCATTGCACTCCAGCCTAGGCAAAAAGAGCGAAACTCCATCTAAAAAAAAAAAAGACACAATAAATGTGAAGTTGACTGAGCTAGGGTTCCTGGCCTTGGAGACAGTCCAGTAGGGGAGAGCAACTTAGAAATAAAAATAGTATATTGTGCTATGAGCACTACTAGAGGTAAACCCAAATAACTCTGGAAGCTCGGAGAAAAGATAGAGGGAAGATGGAAAATGTATTAGTTATCTATTGCTGCATATCAAATTACCCCAGCATTTAGCAGCTTAAAGTAAAAATGATAAACATTTACTAGATCACAGTTTCTGTGGGACAGGCATGTTGGCATGGCATAGGTGAGTGTTTCTGATTTAAGATCTCCCACAAGATTGCAGTCAAGCTGTCAGCTGCCAATCCCATCTGAGGGCTTGAATGGGGGGAGATCCACTTCCAAGTTCACTCATGTGGTTGTTAGAAGGCCTTGATCTCTCCCTACATAGGCAGCCCTCTCCCCAGGGCTTCCTCACAACATGGCCACTGACGTTCCGCAACGTGAGTGACCAAGAAAGAGAGCAAGAGAACCAAGAGTATGTGAGAGAAAGCACCCATGGAAAGAAGCCACAGTCTTTTTGTAACCTAATCTCAGAAATGGTCTTATCACTTCTGCCATACTCTATTTATTAGAAGTGAGTCAATAAATTCAGTCCACATTCAAGAAAAGGGAAATACACAAAGGTGATGAATACACAAAGGTGTGAATAGCAGGAGGTGGGGATCATTGGGGTTCATTTTAGTGGCTGCCTACCACAGTAGGTTCCACAGAGGAGGCAGTACATGAGTAGTTGTATTAAAGTTTTTCAGGAGCATTTCAGGAGGAAGGGCTTTCCAGGCAAAGCAAAGGACGTGTGCAAAGATACAGAGGCATGGAAGAACTTCATGTGTTCAGGATACGCTGTTGGCCATTCTGTGACCAGGCGAGAGGGGCTTGGGGAGTATAATTGATTCAGCTGAGCAAATTTGAAGAGGAGGTAAAGTATCATTGGTTGAAAGATGATACATTTACTTCTTTGAATTCTACCAGCATACCTGCATCTTTGTGAAAAATATATACATACGAATATATTCATTAAAGCATCATCTTTATATTAGTTTGCTAGGGCTGCCATAACAGAGGACCACAAACTGGGTGGCTTAAACAACAAATTTATTGTCTCAGAATGCTGGAGGCTAGAAGTCTGAGATCAAAATGCCAGCAGGATTGGTTCTTTCTTTTTTTATTTTTCACACAGGGTCTCACTCTGCCACCCAGGCTGGAGTGCAGTGGCACGATCTCGGCTCCCTGCAACCTCCGTCTCCTGGGTTCAAGCGATTCTCCTACCTCAGCCTCCCGAGTAGCTGGGACTACATGCGCGCCACCATGCCCAGCTAATTTTTATATTTTTAGTAGAGTTGAGGTCTAACCATGTTGGCTAGGCTGGTCTCAAATTCCTGACCTTAAATGATCCGCCCACCTTGGCCTCCCAAAGTGCTGGGATTACCTGTGTGAGCCACTGCGCCTGGCCTAAGATTGGTTCTTTCGGAGCACCCAACTTCTGAGGGTTGCCAGGGAAATAATTTGTTCCAGGTCTCTCTCCTTGACATGTAGATGGTCATTGTCTCCTGTCTTCATATTGTCTTCCCTCCTTAAATGTCTCTATCCAAATTTCTGCTTCTTTAAGGAGACCAGTCATATTGGATTAGGGCCCCCACTAATGATGTCATTTTATCTTAATTACTTTGTAAAGACCCTGCCTCTAAATGAGGTCACATTCTGAGATATTAAGGGTTAGAAATTAATCATATGAGTTTGGGGGGAGGGTACACAATTCCACCCATATGTTCCATGAAAGGGCTATATATGCAAAGCAACCTGCAGACACAAAAGGAACCAAGAAACCAAAGAATAAGGAAGACAAATCTGGTTTGTTGGTATAGAGTATTTTATTAGGGAGCTTACGGACAAAAGTATGGTCTTCGGTGGCCACAAGACAGGTAGTTCTTCACACCACAAACCCCCTGATCCAGGGCTTATATTTTGAATCATACATGCTCTGGGAGAAATGTGTAGATGGTTATGGACCTCACAGCCTGTGATTTATGCAATGACATCAGGGGTGGTTTTGAAGGAAAGACAAAACTTACAGTGAATAGGTGTTTCTACATAAAGAGTAATAACTAGACATCTTGGAGGTATTCCTGGACTGGGGGTTAGTCAGGAGTCACATGGCAGATTAGCATCTAAAATACAGTCACTCTTGTCCCCACACCATAAAAATCATGTGATGGGAAAAGAGTGAAAACAACTAAATGCTCATCAATAGGGAATGGGTAAATAGGTTATGGTATATCATAAAATGGAATACTATGCAGCTGTTAAAAAGATGTACTGATAAGAATATTTTCCATTGTGGAATAATCTCCAATATATTTTATTAAGGGAAAAGGGCAAGTTGCCAAGTAATCTATGGCATGCCAGTATTTATGTTAAAAAATGGAATGTGTTGTAATAGCATAGGATATCTCTGGAAATATACACAAATATACACAAGAAACTGGTAATAGTGGCTACATACGTAAAGAGGAACTGGGAGCCTGAGGGTCAGCAATAGGAGGGAGCCTTTTTACTATATACTCCTGTTGTACAGGTTGACTTTGTTACCATGGGCATGTATTACTTTCAAATTAAAAAAGAAAGAAGTAGGTGCAGCAAACCACCATGGCAAATGTATACCTGTGTAACAAACCTGCACGTTCTGCATATGTATCCCAGAACTTAAAGTAAAATAAAAAAAGAAGCATAAGGGAGCTTGGTAATTTTGGTATGAAGTATATTTAGTCTGAACAAAACTGAAGTTTATGTCTATGTTTTTAAAGTTGATGTTGGCTGGGCGCCAGTGGCTCACGCCTGTAATCACAGCACTTTGGGGGGCCGAGGCGGATCACAAGGTCAGGAGTTCGAGATCAGCCTGACCAACATGGTGAAACCCCGTCTCTACTAAAAATACAAAAATTAGCTGGGTGTGGTGGTGCACGCCTGTAGTCCCAGCTACTCAGGAGGCTGAGGCAGGAGAATCGCTTGAACCCGGGAGGTGGAGGTTGCAGTGAGCCGAGATCGCACCATTGCATTCCAGCCTGGGTGACAGAGGAGACTACGTCTCAAAAAAAAAAAAAAAAATTTTTTTTTTTAAGGGAGCCAAAAGGTACATACAGATTTTTCAACTGTGTAGGGGTCAGTTCTCCTAATGCCCTCATTGTTCAAGGATGAAGTGTACTAAAAGTAAACAAATGCCAACCTTGAAATTCTGTACACAGTGAAAATATCACTTAAAATAAATCTTAAAAAAAAAGTTGATGTCTATGTTTTCTCTTCTCGAAGCTTCCCCACCCAGTCTCTCTCCCTTTGACCCTTACACACATAACTTCCCTCTCTCCCTTAATCTTACACCTTCTCCAGCTTCTGCCTTCTTCCCTGCTTCCTATTATAATGAAACTCAGAAGAACTACCTGTACTTGCTGACCCTACCTTCTTACTCTTTTGGGATTTTATATCCTCTGTATACTGAAATGTTTCATCAAGTTGCTAATGACCCACATTTTGCCCAAGTCCGGTCAAGTCTCTGTCCCCATCTTTCCAGACCACTCAGCAGTGTTTCACTGTAGTGACCATTCCTTCCTGGAAGCACTTTGTTCTGTAGGCTTTTATGACATCAGATCCCCCTAGTTTTCCTTCTACCTCCCTGCGTACCACTTAGTCTCTTATCAGTTCCTTCCCTTCTATCAGACCTCTAAAGGTAGGAGAGCTCTAAGACTTCATCTTCAGCTTTTTTTTTTTTTTGAGATGGAGCCTCGCTCCCATCGCGCAGGCTGGAGTGCAGTGGCGTGATCTCGGCTCACTGCAACCTCCACCTCCTGGGTTCAAGCGATTCTCCTTCCTCAGCCTCCCGAGCAGCTGGGATTACAGGTGTGCGCCGCTACACCTGGCTAATTTTTGTATTTTTAGTAGAGACAGAGTTTCGCCGTGTTGGCCAGGGTGGTTTTGATCTCCTGACCTCAGGTGATCCACCCGCCTTGGCCTCCCAAAGTGCTAGGATTAGAGGCATGAGCCACTGCACCCAGCCTCTTTTTTTTTCTTTGATTTTATGGTTCAACTAGGTGAGTTCAAGATCCATGGTTTTAAGTACCATTCCTAGGTCAATCATTCTGAAATTTATATCTCCAGCCCCTGACTAGTCCTCTGTAGAACTCTAGATTTGTGTAACTGTCTACCTCATTTGGATGTTTGATAAGCAACTCAAAATGAGCACAAATTGAGAACTCTCAATTTATCACCCTATATCTGTTCCCCACTTTCCCATCCCCTCATCATCCCCAATATTTACCCGCCTAAATAATTGGCACCATCAGCCCAGTTACATAGGCCAGGTCAGGAGTCATCCTTGATTCCTCTCATTCTCCCATATCCCAGTCAATAGTTCCTACTGGCTCTATCTCCAAAATACATCCTAAAGCCAAACCTGACCCTTCTTGCCATCTCACTCCTGTAATCCTAGTCTAAGCCACCATCTAACTGGTCTTCCTGCATCCAGTCTTAACCCCTTAAGTTTGTACCCCATGCAATTCTTGGCATGATTTGAAATGGTAAATCACTGAGTGGGTGGCTCATGCCTGCAACTCCAACACTTTGGGAGGCAGAGGCAGGATGATCACTTGAGGCCAGGAGTTTGAAACCAGCTTCGGCAACATAACAAGACCCCATCTCTACAAAAAATAAAATAATTATCCAGGTGTGGTGGTGCATGCCTGTAGTCCCAGCTACTCAGAAGGGTGAGGCAGAAGGATCACTTGAGCCCAGGAGTTCGAACCGGCAGTGAGCGATGATCGCACCACTGCACTCCAGCTGGGCGACAAGAAGGAGACTCTGTCTCTAATGTAATAAATAAAATGAAATGATAAATCAGCTGTAAATCACAGCTGCCAAGAAGGCTGAGATGGGAGGATTACCTGAGCCCAAGTTTGAGACTAGCCTGGGCAACATAGTGACTCTCATCTCTAAAAAAAAATTTTTTTAAATAGCTGGGCATGGTGATGCGCTCCCATATTCCCAGCTACACAGAAGGCTGAGGAAGGAGGATTCATTGCACTCATGTGTTTGAGGCTGCAGTGAGCTATGATTGGACCACTGCACTCCAGCCTGGGCAACAAAGGGAAACCATGTCTCTTAAAAAAAAGAATAATAATAAAAGGTAAATCAGATCACCTCACCAACTGGTTGAACTCACTAGTAGCTTTCCATTGCACTTAGAATAAACCTTCCCTTTGCTTCCAAAGCCTTACAAACCTGATCCAGTTTACCTCTCCTGTATCGCTCTGCCCCTTGACCACTGTTCCAGCAACAGCAGCCTTCTTTCATTCCTAAACAGCCAAGAATATGCAAGCTCACTCCTGCTCTAATGACTTTGCACTAGCTATTCCCTTGCCTGAAATGCTGTCCCTTTGAGTGTGACTGGCTCCTTTTTGTCCTTCATATCTCTGGTTAAATGTTACCTCCTGAGAATTTCACTGACCACCCAGTCTAAAATACTCACCTCGTCCCTATATATATAGCGTGACTTTATTTTAATGCTCTGTGAAGCACTGACTACCTCCTGATACTTTTCTTATTTATTTATTTTAGGTATTTATTTTCCCACACTAGAATGTAAGCTCAATGACAGCAGGGACTTTGTCTTGTTCACCATTAATTCCTTTGCATCTAGAGCAGTGCTTGGCTCAGAGAGCCTAATAATTGTTAAGTGAATGAATGAAATTACTTCCATTTATATTTAATACCTTTTCCCCTTCAGTTAAAACAACATAGCCAAGACTTTCCTCTTGTATAGAAATTCACATGATTTTTTTTTTTTTTTTGAGACAGAATCTCACTCTGTCACCTAGGCTGGAGTGTAGTGATATGATCACATCTCACTGCAGCCTCAACTTCCTGGGCTCAAGCAATCCTCCCATCTCAGCCTCTTGAGTAGCTGGGACTACGGGTGCACTCCACCACACTGGGCTAATTAAAATAATTTTTTTAGAGACAAGGTCTCACCATATTGCCCAGGTTGGTCTCGAACCTCTGGGCTCAAGCAATCCTCCCCGCTTGGCCTCCCAAAGTGTTGGGATTGGAGGCATGAGCCACTGCACCTGGCCTGAGCATGAATTATGAAAGACTAATATTATTTCAGTGGAAGCCCTGCCTTGTAAACCAGTGGTGAGGAGCATTTGTATTGCACTGAATAATTTTTTAAATTCAGTTGTGAGTTACTATATAAAACCTAAAATTAAGTTAGAAAAATTTCAAAGAACTATCAACTGTTTCTTTGATATGCCTTTAAAAAGGATGGCCATTTTGTGCATCATTAAAGTATGATGTGTAGGCTGTGACTCACAAGAGGAATAGCCAACCTACTCTTTTCTCTCCTCCTCTTCCCCTCCCCAGAATATCATAAAGAAACAGGTGATAGGTACTTGGAAGAGTAGCTAACATTTGCTGAGAGCTTGCTATGTGCTAGATATTTTATTTTATTTTATATTTTATGTTATGTTACTTTATTTTATTTTTATTTTATTTTGAGACAAGGTCTCACTCTGTTCCCCAGGCTAAAGTGCAGTGGCATGATCACAGCTCACTGCAGGCTTGACCTCCCCAGGCTCAAGTGATCCTCCCACCTCAGCCTCCCAAGTATCTGTGACTACAGGTATGCACCAGCACACCCAGCTAATATTTGTATTTTTTGTAGAGACAGAGTTTTGCCATGTTGCCCAGGCTGGTCCTGAACTCCTGGGCTCAAGTGATCCGCCCACCTCAGCCTCCCAAAGTGCTGGGATTATAGGCATGAGCCACTGTGCCCAACCAACATTTAATAAATTAACTCATTTAACCTTCAGAACAACCTTATGAGAGACAATTCTAATTCCCACTTAACAGATATGAGGTACAGAGAGGTTAAGTAACTTGCCTGGGTCACATGGTTAATGAGTGGTAGAGCTGGGCAGGCTGACTCCAATGTCTGAGCTTTTAATCATCTTACCATGCTGCCTTGGGGAATGCATGTCAGTGGGTCTGAATGTTTGTCGCCACTTTAGTCCTTTGGGACTACAAAGGAGAGTAAATAAGGAAAAATACATGGGGGTTTGGAGCTAAGTGTCAAATCCAATCAAGTCCAAATTCCAGAGGTTTTCCTTTTTTATGCCATGGACCGTTTTGGTAGTCAGGGAGTCTATAGACCCCCTACTCAGAATAATGTTTTTACATACAAAGCTAAAATAGAATTGGAAACCTATTATAGTGAAATACAGTTCTCAAAATATTAAATCACCATGTGGGATATAATATACATGCTTTTTGTTGATATATTAAAAAGATCTAATGGCAGTCTAATGACTACCATAATTTCATAGCAGTATGAACACAAATGATATTTCAAGATAGTTTTAACTGCAATAATGTGACATAGAAATATCTGGGATGTGGTCGGGCACAGTGGCTCACACCTGTAATCCCAGCACTTTGGGAGACCGAGGCAGGCAGATCACTTGAGGTCATGAGTTCGAGACCAGCCTAGCCAACATGGTGAAACCCTGTCTCTACCAAAAATATAAAAAATTAGCCAGGTGTGGTGGTGCATGCCTGTAATCCCAGCTACTTGGGAGGCTGAGGCAGGAGAATCGCTTGAACCCAGGACGGGGAGGTTGCAGTGAGCTGAGATCATACCACTGCACTCCAGCCTGGGCCACAGAGCGAGACTCCATTTAAAAAAAAGAAAAATATCTGGGATATCTGTTAGTGACAAAGTCACAGATACAGCTAGTACTGCTATGACTTGTGGCCTACATTAGTAAGGGAAGGAATTGCTAAGTTTCTATTTGAGATTAGTGAAAATAAAGACATGATATTTTTTCCTTCCCATTCAAGTTCATAGGCCTCTTGAATTCCATCCATGGATTTCTTTGGGGAAGGGAGTTTTGGTGGAGACAGATCTATATACCCCCAGGTTATTATTCCCTGCCACCGAGCCTGGGAGCAGTTTCTGGATATACGGTAGTGACCCGGTGTATGGACAAGAAGTAGATGCAGGGAATTGACCAGGAATTACTGGGAAGAGGGATTCAGTGGTGTGAACTGGTCACCCCTTCCCATAAGCCTGATGATTGAAAAAGGACAATGAGTGACCAGGCGTGGTGGCTCACGCCTGTAATCCCAGCACTTTGGGAGGCCAAGGCGGGTGGATCACCTGAGGTCAGGAGTTTGAGACCAGCCTGACTAACATGGTAAAACCCTGCCTCTACTAAAAATACAAAATTAGCCTGGCTTGGTGGCACATGCCTGTAATCCAGCTACTTAGGAGTCTGAGGCAGGAGAATGCAGTGTGATAGCCCAAAAAGAAGGCAGAGGTTGCAGTGAGCTGAGATCGCGCCCCCGCACTCCAGCCTGGCCAACAAGAGAGAAACTCTGTCTCAAAAAAAAAAAAAAAAAAGGACAATGAGAAAATAAATGAAGTAAAATTTGTTTCTGTGATATCTGAGATAATCTTTTAGATGTGTTTCTAACATTTCCCCAAATGAAGTAAATTATTACACAAAATTACGAAGTTAAAGCAAATTTGGAAAAAAAAAAAACAGTTACAAGTGGACAGAAGTCTATTTTGGCATTCTGAGTGTCTGCAGCTTTGGGACAAATGAGAGGCAGGATCCCTGGGCAGGATCAGCACACTCATGGTAGCAAGCGCTCCTCATTCTGCCCCCAGTTCTGCCCCCACAGCTTCAAACATGGTGGGCTGACAACAATATGGAGGTCGGAGAAGAAGAACAATTTCAGAGCATGTCTGAGACAACCCAAGGTGCTGAAAAATGTACTGAAGCTCTACAGTGATGGAGGCATGGATCAGCACTATGCAGATAGAAACATAAATGTGACATCATTTGTAATTGCAGTCTGAATGAGTTAGAAAAAAATTAGGATATTCTTACGTGGAAGCTAAATCTTAATACCACTAGGAAGATTTGTAATAATAACAATGATAGTTAACGTGAATGGAATGGTTACTATTTGTCAGGCACTGTTAGAAGTACAGTACTTTACATGCATTAACATATTTAATTCCTAGAGCAAACTTACGAAGTAAGTGCTGTTAATATCTTCATTTTACAAGCAAGGAAACCGAAGTGCAGAGAGGTAGAAGTAAATTATTTTTTTAAAAATGACACTTATTTGGGCCTACATGTCACCCAGCAGCCAGGGGAAAAAAAAAAGACATTTATTCTAAAACAGAGTAGAAGTATATTCTTTTTTTCTTTTTTAAAATACTTTTTTTGTACAGAGCAGTTGAAATGTAAGAAGTATATTCTTTTGTTTTGTTTTTTGAGACAGAGTCTCAGTCTGTCACCTAAGCTGGAGTACAGTGGTGCAATCTCAACTCACTGCAACCTCTGCCTCCCGGGTTCAAGCAATTCTCCCTGCCTCAGCCTCCCCAGTAGCTGGGATTACAGGTGCCCACCAGCACGCCCGGCCAATTTTTTTATTTTTTAGTAGAGGCAAGGTTTTGCCATGTTGGCCAGGCTGGTCTCGAACTCCTGACCTCAGGTGATCCACCTACCTCAGCCTCCCTAAGTACTGGGATTACAGGCATGAGCCACTGCACCTGTCCTAGAAGTATAATTCTTGACTGTATTAGTTAAATGCTATATTGACTTTATGCTAGCTGCTGTAAAAATAAGCTTTGAAACCTCAATGGCTTAACACAATCGGAGTGTATTTCTCTCCGCATAAGCCCAATATGAGGTTGGGTGTTGAGAAACTCAGAATGATGAAAGTCTGCTGTCTTCACTATATCAGCATCACTCTGAGGTTTCTTGCACCTTCATTTGAAGGTGAAATGCATCAAATTCCACTGGTCAGAACTACTTGCCCATGACTAACTAAAAGGGAAGCTGGGAAATGTAGCTGAACTGTGGTCCAACAGGGGAAAAAAATGGTTTGGTAACCAGCTAGCCAGTATTTGTCATGCCAGCAGATCAGACAACTTTATTGGTTCAAGCAGAGAGCTTCCCTTTTTTTTTTCAAAAGGTGCTCCTTAACAAACTGAAACAACTTTTAAATGAGCTTAGTTCATGGTCTTTTGTTAAGAAGAAGTCCTTTATTTTTATGTTGTAGATATGATATTATTACCACCCAGTCCTTCTGTATAATTATTGTCAGAAAGCATGGCTTGAGAACAACTCTTTTTATATTCAAATACTGTTTTTGGTAACTGTTCTCCAGTATTTTGATTTACTGTCAAAAAATTTATATAGCATACAAATAATGCACTTATCTGGTAAGTAAATTTCTTAGCTAATTTATTAAGATATTCTCTTGACTTCTGGGAGCTAGAATGATCTTGACTACATTTATGTGGAAGAACTTTGGGGCCTGAGACATCACTTGTCCATGTGTTTAAGTGAGTCCAGATCTATTTCTGAAGAAAGTCTTGTCTTTGCACATGTACCTTCTTAGGCCTATTTCCAAATGGCAGTGGGATGGCCTTCTTTTTGGGCTATCGCACTGTTAGATGCCTCATTGCTCTGAAAGAATGTCAGTCCTACCTTCAGCCCCATTGAGTGCTAAATCAACTATTACTCAGCAGCAAAATCATTTCCATTCTAGTTTCTTACCAGAAAAATAACTTCAAACTTTCTCTGCACTTTATTTATCAAAAGCTCAAGTGAAAAAAAATAATACTCATTGGGGATTACTTGAAGGATAAGTAATCTATCCACTTCTCTAAACAATCTAAATGTTATCCCTTATTTATGACTATTAGAATAAGCTATGTAGCTGGATTGCCCCTGTCTCTTGTAGAATTGCTTGTGCTGAATTGCATTTTGGTTTTACACACCAAAGCTGGTTGTAAGAGATGGCCCTAGGAATCTTGCTGTTGTAGTTATTGTAAGGATGTTGTTGAGGACTTTGACCACTATGTTATAGAGTGACTCATAATTAGGGAAAATTTCTCTCGGATCTTATTACCAGGAAGCTATGTTTCTCTTAAGAGCTACTTCATTTTGGCTGGGCACAGTGGCTCACGCCTATAATCCCAGCACTTTGGGAGGCCAAGGCGGACAGAGCATGAGGTCAGGAGATCGAGACCATCCTGGCTAACACGGTAAAACCCCGTCTCTACTAAAAATACAAAAAATTAGCCGGGCGTGGTGGCGGGCACCTGTAGTCCCAGCTACTCGGGAGGCTGAGGCAGGAGAATGGCGTGAACACGGGAGGCAGAGCTTGCAGTGAGCCGAGATCGTGCCACTGCACTCCAGCCTGGGCGACAGAGCAAGACTCTGTCTCAAAAAAAAAAAAAAAAATGAGCTCTTTTATTTTTATCAAAGGGAAAGTAAATTTCATCATTGTTCAGATTTCCCTATGGCTTTGTCCCTGGAAGCTCAGAATCAAATTTACGGCCCAGGTCTAGCTATTGTCTAGAACTATATAATATGCACTTTTGTGTGTCATCATAACAGTTGGTTTTAGCTTATTTTCCTTCTCCTGCTTGCCTTTACTTCTTTCCTCCACACCAATTACTTAACCCATTATTTCATGTTACATTTCTATAAATTGCTTCAAAGACTTTAGAAACATAGGAATTATATGTTTGAGCATGTACTTACATGTATATGCTTAAAGTAATGCTCAAATATTTCGAATAACAAAAGATGTTGAAATACATGTTCCCTTAAACACTATTATTGCATATTTTTCATTAAAAGTTTTGCATTGGAATTCATGTTTCTTTTCTTTTTTTTTTTTTCTTTTTGAGACAGAGCCTTGCTCTGTTGCCAGGCTCGAGTGCAGTGGCACAATCTCGGCTCACTGCAACCTCCACCTCCCAGGTTCAAGCGATTCTCCTGCCTCAGTCTCCCAAGTAGCTGGGACTACAGGTGTGTGCCACCACACCCAGCTAATTTTTTTTCAGCTAATTTTTTTTTTTTTTTTTGAAATGGAGTCTCACTCTGTTGCCCAGGCTGGAGTGCAGTGGCACAATCTCGGCTCACTGCAACCTCTGCCTCCCAGGTTCAAGCAATTCTCCTGCCTCAGCCTCCTGAGTAGCTGAGATTACAGGTGTGCACTACCATGCCTGGCTAATTTTTGTATTTTTGGTAGAGACGGGGTTTTGCCATGTTGGTCAGGCTGCTCTCCAATTCCTGACCTCATGATCCACCCACCTCAGCCTCCCAAAGTGTTGGGATTACAGGGATTACAGGTGTGAGCCACCGTGCCTGGCTTTTTTTTTTTTTTGGGAGACGGAGTTTTGCTCTTGTTGCCCAGGCTGGAGTGCAATGGTGTAATCTCGGCTCACTGCAACCTCCACCTCCCGGGTTCAAGTGATTCTCCTGCCTCAACCTCCCGAGTAGCTGGGATTACAGGCACGCGCCACCATGCCTGGCTAATTTTGTATTTTTATTAGAGATGGGGTTTCTCCATGTTGGTTAGGCTGGTCCCGAACTCCCGACCTCAGGTGATTTGCCCGCCTCGGCCTCCCAAAGTGCTGGGATTACAGGCATGAGCCACTGCACCCAGCCTTGTTTCTTTCTTTATACTCCACTGCTTCTCTCCTCCAACCCATGCTGCAGACTGCTCCCACCCTTGCTTTTTCTTAAGCTATTCCCTGTTCCTTCCTCTCCTCATTGCCAAATCTTCCTCCAAGGGCCTCAGCCCTAGCTGCTCTGTCAGAATGGAATGTTCTTTCCTGACAGACTTCTTATCAGTTCCTTGCCAACTACACAGAGAGACTTCCTGACCCTCATCCTCTCTAAAGCTGACTCTTGTCCCCTGCTCGCCCTACCTCATATATAAACAGCACCTTGCTTACTTTCTTCGCTATATTCTGTCATCATTTTCTTATTAATTCCCTTGGTGGTTATATGTCTACTCAACTAGAGGGTGAACTCCGTGAGGGTAAGTACCATGTTGTTTGCTTTTTTGTTGTTGTTAAGAGACAGGGTCTCACTGTGCGGCTCAGGCTGGTCTTTTTTTTTTTTTTTTTTCCCAAGACGGAGTCTTGCTCTGTTGCCCAGGCTGGAGTGCAGTGGCATGACCTCAGCTCACTGCACGCTCCACCTCCCAGGTTCAAGTGATTCTCCTGCTTCAGCCTCATGAGTAGCTGGACTACAGGCACCTGCCACCATGCCCAGCTAATTTTTATATTTTTAGTAGAGAAGGAGTTTCACCATGTTGGCCAGGCTCGTCTCAAACTCCTGACCTCGTGATCCACCTGCCTCAGCCTCCCAAAGTGCTGGGATTACAGGTGTGACCCACCATGCCCAGCCTCAGGCTGGTCTTTATCTCCGGCCTCAACCATCCTCTTGCCTTAGCCTCTTGAGTAGCTGGGATTAAGGCATGAGCCACTGTTCCCAGCAATCCAGGTCTTCAGATGCATGAATAAATTGTTGAGCCTATGAACTGCAGAAAACCTCTTCTAACTCTTCTGTACTCTCAGGAATATTCCCTTTTCAAAACTCCTGAATTTACTCCTATCTTGTCCGAACCTAGTCACTCGGCACGTTTAAAGCCCTCAATACCTCTTTGTTTCGTGTTTCAGGATGGATTTCCCCAATTACTTTGTAAGTTTTAAATTATTTGGCTAATAGATTATTAGAGGAACACTGAAGGTACAGGCAGTGGAATCTGGATATCAGCAGGGGATTTAAATAGTCTCATATTCATGAGGGTGCGCGAACCTTTATGCTAACTCAGAACTCCAGAGTTAGTATAAAGATTATTGTAAGCAGAACACATTTGAGATTCAATAGAATCATAAAGAATCCTTCTCGGAGCTTCCCTTATGTGACTAAAAGCAGCAACTTCTGAGAAATGAGGTATCATGAATTCTCCCTCCAGGGAAGTTTTACGGCCTTGAAGAAGGCAGAAAGACCACTCATAGTTATGTGGCCAAATATTATCACAAACTTTGGCTCTCATTTGTTCTCTTAAAAACTCACTTGTGGCTGGGTGTGGTGGCTCACACCTGTAATCCCAGCACTTTGGGAACCCGGGGCGGGCGGATCACAAGTTCAGGAGTTCGAGACCAGCCTGACCAACATGGTGAAACCCAGTATCTACTAAAAATACAAAAATTAGCCAGGCATGGTGGCATGTGCCTGTAATCCCAGCTACTCAGGAGGCTGAGGCAGGAGAATCGCTTAAACCCGGGAGGCGGAGCTTGCAGTGAGTTGAGATCGCACCACTGTACTCCAGCCTGGGCGACAGAGCAAGACTCTGTCTCAAAAAAAACCCCACTTGTATTTCCTTTAAAAACCTATTTGTCCTTCCCATGGGACTCTTTTCTTCCTCCTCCTTCCCCTACTGTTAGATATAGCCACAAATTCTTTTTTTTTTTTCTTTTTGAGACGGAGTCTTGCTCTGTCACCCAGGCTGGAATGCAGTGGTGTGATCTCGGCTCACTTCAACTTCCACCTCCTGGGTTGAAGCAATTCTCCCACCTCAGCCTCCCGAGTAGCTGGGACTATAGGCGTGCACCACCACGCCTGACAAATTTTTGTATTTTTAGTAGAGGGGTTTCACCACGTTGGCCAGACTGCTCTCGAACTCCTGACCTCAAGTGATCCACTCATTTCGGCCTCCCAAAGTTCTGGGATTACAGGCATGTGCCACTGTGCCCAGCCATAAGCCACAAATTCTAGCCACCTTTTTGAGTTACTCATCACTGAGCGTTCCCACACATATGTGCATTGCATGCGTGAACTCTTATTAATTTGTCTTTTGTCAGTTTAATTTGCAGGCCTCCAGTAATTGAATAGAGGAGGGTAGAAGAGGCCAGCTGCGGTGGCTCATGCCTGTAATTCCAGCACTTTGGGAGGCCAAAGTGGGCTGATCACTTCAGGCCAGGAGTTCAAGACCAGCCTGGGCAACATGGCGAAACCTCATCTCTACTAAAAATACAAAAATTAGCTGAGCGTGGTGGTGCATGCCTGGAGTCCCAGCTACTCAGGAGGCTGAGGCAGGAGAATCACTGGCACCCGGGAAGCAGAGGTTGCAGTAAGCCTAGATCGCACCACTGCACTCCAGCCTGGGCGACAGAGCAAGACTCTGTCTTAAAAAAAAATGAAGAAGAAGAAAAGGGTAGAAGAAAAGGGCAATGATAGAAGGACAAGAAGGGGAGGTAGAAAGGGAACTTACATTTTTTGAGAACCACTTAGATTAGGCAAAACACGTCATAGGAAGATATATTTCACCTCCTTTTTTTTTTCTTTTTGTTGTTGTTGTTGTTGAGATAGGGTCTCACTCTGTCACCCAGGCTGGAGTATAGCGGCACGATCACAGCTCAGTCTCCCAAAGTGCTAGAATTACAGGCATGAGCCACTATACCTGGCATCCCCTCCCTTTTTTTTTTTTTTTTTTCAGATGGAGTCTTGCTCTGTCACCCAGGCTGGAGTGCAGTGACACAATCTCAGCTCACTGCAAGCTCCGCCTCCTGGGTTCACGCCATTCTCCTGGCTCAGCCTCCCAAGTAGCTGGGACTACAGGCGCTGGCCACCACACCTGGTTAATTTTTTATGTTTTTAGTACAGACGGGGTTTCTCCATGTTGGTCAGGCTGGTCTCGAACTCCTGACCTCAGGTGATCTGCCCGCCCCGGCCTCCCAGAGTTCTGGGATTACGGGCGTGAGCCACTGCACCCGGCCAGTCACCTCCCTTTTTTAAACAATGGGAGCAAGCAAAGGGTAGAGTGAGTTTCCTTGAGACATCATTAACTCAACAAAATGTTTTGAGTGTGTTTCATGTGCCAGGTATCCTAAGAACTAGGGATGGAGCATGAATAAGACTTTGTTCCTGTTCTCATGGTATTGACAATTTAGCAGAGGCCAGGAGGAATCCATCTGAAAAAAAAGTTCCGTCAGGCCTGGATCAGAGATTCTAGCCCTGAACAGAAGCCGCACTCAGTAGAGTAAGTGAACATTTACAGAGGACTTACTATATGTTAGACACCATGCTAATCACTGTATACAGCATCCATGTTCCCTTAAAAACCCCAGATCCGCCTCTTCTCTGAGAAAACACCAAATGGCGTGACGCCGGTGCAGTTGGGGGGCCCGGAGGCCCTGGTGGCCCTGGGATGGGGAACCGCGGTGGCTTCCGCGGAGGTTTCGGCAGTGGCATCCGGGGCCAGGGTAGCGGCCGTGGACTGGGCCTGGGCCAGGGCCGCAGAGCTCGCGGAGGCAAGGCCGAGGATAAGGAGTGGATGCCCGTCACCAAGCTGGGCCGCTTTGTCAAAGACGTGAAGATCAAGTCCCTGGAGGAGATCTATCTCTTCTCCCTGCCCATTAAGGAATCAGAGATCATTGACTTTTTCCTGGCGGCTTCTCTCAAGGATGAGATTTTGAAGATTATGCCAGTGCAGAAGCAGACCCGTGCCGGCCAGCGCACCAGGTTCAAGGCGTTTGTTGCTGTCGGGGACTACAATGGCCACGTCGGTCTGGGTGTTAAGTGCTCCAAAGTGGTGGCCACCGCCATCCGTGGGGCCATCATCCTGGCCAAGCTCTCTATTGTCCCCGTGCGCAGAGGCTACTGGGGGAACAAGATCAGCAAGCCCCACACCGTCCCTTGCAAGGTGACAGGCCGCTGCGGCTCTGTGCTGGTGCGCCTCATCCCTGCACCCAGGGGCACTGGCATCGTCTCCGCACCTGTGCCCAAGGAGCTGCTCATGATGGCTGGTATCGATGACTGCTACACCTCAGACCGGGGCTGCACTGCCACCCTGGGCAACTTCACCAAGGCCACCTTTGATGCAATTTCTAAGACCTACAGCTACCTGACCCCTGACCTCTGGAAGGAGACTGTATTTACCAAGTCTACCTATCAGGAATTCACTGACCACCTCGTCAAGACCCACACCAGAGTCTCCGTGCAGTGGACCCAGGCTCTAGCTGTGGCTACAACATAGGGTTTTTATACAAGAAAAATAAAGTGAATTAAGCGTGAAAAAAAAAATTACACCCAGATCCATGGCTGGGCATGGTGGCTCACACCTGTAATCCCAGCACTTTGGGAGGCCGAGGCAGGTGGATCACCTGAGGTCAGGAGTTTGAGACCGGCCTGGCCAACATGGTGAAACCCAGTCTCTACTAAAAAAATACAAAAATTAGCCAGGCGTGGTGGTGCATGCTTGTAATCCCAGCTACTTGGGAGGCTGAGGCGGGAAGATCGCTTGAACCTGGGAGGTGGAGGTTGCAGTGAGCCAAGATCGTGCCGCTGCACTCCAGCCTGGGTGACAGAGCAAGACTCTGTCTCAAAAACAACACAAAACAAAAAACCCACAGATCCTGAGGGGGGAAACATGGCAGTTCTTGGCCTCCTCCGGGGCCCTGAGTATTGCTATACACACAGGAGACATTCAGTACCCAAGTGATTATTGATATAATTCAAGAGATTCAATGGTAATGAATCACCAGAGCAAGACGGTGTCTCACTCTCTTGCCCAGGCTGGAGTGCAGTGACCAGATCATAGCTCACTGCAGCCTTAACTCCTGGGCTCAAGGGATCTTCTTGCCTCAGCTTCCTGAGTAGCTGGGACCATAGGCAGTTGCCACCACACACAGCTATTTTTTAAAAACTTTTTTTGTAGAGATGGGGGTCTCTTCATCTTGCCCAGGCTGGTCTCAAACTCCTGGGCTCAAGCAATCCTCCTACCACAGCCTCCCAAGTAGCTAGGACTCATGTGTACAGCTAATTTTTTTTTTCTTTGAGGCAGGGTTTCACTCCTGTCTCCCAGGCTGGAGTGCAGTGATGCCATCTCTGCTCACTGCAACCTCTGCCTCCCCGGTTCAGGAAATCCTCCTGCCTTAGCCTCCCGAGTAGCCGAGACTACAGACGCACACCACCACATCTGGTGAATTTTCATATTTTGTAAAGACAGGGTTTTGCCATGTTGCCCACGTTGGTCTGGAACTCCAGGGCTCAAGTGATCCGCCCCCCTAGGCCTCCCAAATTGCTGGGACTACAAGCCTAAGCCAAGGCATCTGGCCCCAAATTGATTTTTAAAGCAGCATTTTACTTTAGCTCCAGCAGAGGGAGCCAGGTCCATGTTGATTAAAGGCAAAACAAAAAATCCAAAACAAAACAAAAGAAAGAAAACTAACAAACAAAAATGGGAGGTTCAGGCAAAGAGATTCCTTTTTCAAAGAAAATGCCGTCTAATTTCCGAAGTATTGTATTTCCGCCTTCCTTTGAAATCCCTGAGCAGCTCTTTCCTCTCTGAGACTTTAGGGCATAAATCTGAAGTTGAGACAGGTCACAATAGAAAACTTTCACTTTTTTGAGTCCTTTTCAAGGTACAGAATGTCAGTTTGTGTAAACATTATTTGACGCTGAAGACTCAGCTTAAATTTCCCATTTATGGGCCAGGTGTGGTGGCTCATGCTTGTTAATCTCAGCACTTTGGGAGGTTGAGGTGGGCAGATCACCTGAGGTCAGGAGTTCGAGACCAGCCTGGCCAACATGGCGAAACCCCATCTCTACTAAAAATACAAAAATTAGCTGGGCATGGCGGCACGTGCCTGTAATCCCAGCTACTCAGGAGGCTGAGGCAGGAGAATCACTTAAACCTGGGAGGAGGAGGTTGCAGTGAGCAGAGATCATGCCACTCCACTCCAGCCTAGGCAACAGAATGAGACTGTCTCAAAAAACAAAAAAAAAAAAGGTGATAAAACATAACATAAAAATTACCATCTTAATCGTTTTTAAGTATACGGTTCAGTGATATTAAGGACATTCATGTCATTGCACAACCATCACCACCATCCATCTCCAGAACTCTTTTCATCTTGTGAAACTGAAAGTCTGTACCCATTAAACAACTCCCACTTCCCCCTCCCACCTAGTCCCTGGCAACCACAATTCTACTTTCTGTCTCTATTGATTTGACTACTCCAGGTACTTCACATAAGTGGAATCATACAGTATTTGCCTTTTTGTGACTGGCTTATTTCACTTAGCATTATGTCCTCAAGGTTCATCCATGTTGTAGCATGTGTCAGAATTTCTTTCTTTTTTAAGGCTAAATAATATTCCATTGCATATGTATATCACACTTTGTTTATCCATTTACCTATTGGTGGACACTTGGTTGTGTTCCACCTTTTGGCTATTATGAATAATGCTGCTATGAACATGGATATATAAAAACTTTTTTTTTTTTGAGACCTTGTTTTCAGTTCTTTTGGGTATATACCCAGAAGTGGAATTGCTAGATTGTATAGTAATTCTATTTTTAATGTTTTGAGGAACCACTACACTGTTTTCCATAGTGGCTGCACCATTTTACATTTCCACCAGCCAAAAATAAGGGTTCCAATTTTTCCACATCCTAATCGAAACTTACTATTTTCTATTTTCTTCCTTTTTATAGTAGCCATACTAATGGGTGTCAGGTGGTATCTCATTGTGGTTTTGTGGTTTCTTTTTTAATCAACATGAAATCTACATAAGGTTAAAAAGTCAAATAATGCATTTCTACAAGGTTTGTAATGTCCAAAGCCCTATCCTATCCTCTTTGTCCCCCAATCCTGCTCCCTACAGACAGCCATTTTCAACACTTTTAGTTCTTCTGGTCCATGAACCCACATTCTTAAGTAATATGCTAATCGTGTTATTTTATTTTATATATATATGTTTTGAGACAGAGTCCCGCTCTGTCGCCCAGGCTAGAGTGCAGTGGTATGATCTCGGCTCACTGCCACCTCCACTCCCCAGGTTCAAGCAATTCTCCTGCCTCAGCCTCCCAAGAAGCTGGGATCACAAGCATGCGCCACCATGCCTAACTAATTTTTGTGTTTTTAGTAGAGACAGAGTTTCACCATGTTGGCCAGGCTGGTCTGGAACTCCTGGCCTCAAGTGATCCACCAGCCTTGGCCTCCCAAACTTTTGGGATTACAGGCATGAGCCACTGTGCCCAGCCTATTTTATTTTTTATTTATTGAGACAAGGTCTCACTCTGTCACCTAGGCCGGTGTGCAGAGGTGTGATCTTGGCTCATTGCAACCTTCGCCTTCAGGGTTCAAGTGATACTCATGCTTCAGCCTCCCAAGTAGCTGGGACTACAGGCATGCACCACTACACCCAGCTACTTTTTGCATTTTTAGTAGAGACAGGGTTTCCACCTGCCACGACCTCCCAAAGTGCTGGGATTACAGGTATGAGCCACTGTGCCCGGCCTAGTAATGTTATTTCTTAATTTGTCTTCTAAAATTATCATTACTTTGTAATTATGGCAGGAAAAGATTTAGCATCCTTCAATCACTCTGTTCCACTCCTCCCTTTTTTCCAATATAGTTATGTAAACTTGTTTACTTAATTCAATATGACTAAGTATCATTTACTACTGAGCCATGTAGTGTACATAAATTATGTTTCCTTAACATTTGTTTTTCTCCAGATTTAATAATTGCCTCATTTTAAAATTTGCTTAATTTTCTTTTCTTTTCTTTTTCTTTTTTTTTGGAGATTGAGTTTTGCTCTTGTCACCCAGGCTAGAGTGCAGTGCCGCAGTCTTGGCTCACTGCAACCTCTGCCCCTTGGGTTCAAGCGATTCTCCTGTCTCAGCCTCCCGAGTAGCTGGGATTACAGGCACCCGCAACCACGCTCAGCTAATTTTTTGTATTTTTAGTAGAGACAGGGTTTCACTATGTTGGCCAGGCTGGTCTTGAACTCCTGACCTCAGGAAATCCACCCGCCTCAGTCTCCCAAAGTGTTGGGATTACAGGCGTGAGCCACCACGCCTGGCTTAATTTTCTATATATCTGTTGTTAATTCTTCCCATAAACTCCAACAGCTTCTCATTGCAGGCTTTTGGAGTCAAACATATCAGACCGTTTATGTTTTCCTGGAGATGCTCTGATCTTGGAGCTCTGTCCTTAGGCTCCTTTAATGTGGATAGGTTGTTTTCTAAGCCTGCTACTTAGTTGTCATTTAGGGACTTCTGTAACTTTGACAAATTCTAAGCAAATTAAAAGTTCACATGAGAAACATTGTCTGACATTAGCTTTGGATGAGTCCTCTTTTGGTTCTTAAGATGGTGAGTTCCAGCCTCCATTCCTTTGGTATTATACTAATCCTTCCACAGCACAGCTGCTGTGCCACTGCTGCCTGGGACTCTAAGAGTTACATAGGGCAAAGAACAGATGAAGAAACAACAGGAAAATACACAGTAGGTTCTTTACAAAAAAGTTGGAAAAATACATATGGAAAGGATGAGGGAAAATAATTCCAATCCTCTTATATTCTCATAACCAAAGGTAACCTCTATTAACATTTTTGTTTATTTCCTCCCCCTGGCTTTTAAAAAATTAAGCCTAGGTGTATGTGTGTGTGTGTGTGTGTGTTGTAATCATATTGTATATCCAATTTTATGTTTTGTAGGTTTTTTTGTTTTGTTTTGTTTGAGACAGAGTCTCGCTCTGTCACCTAGGCTGGAGTGGAGTGCAACCTCCACCTCCCCGTTTTGAGGGAGTCTCCTGCCTCAGCCTCCCGAGTAGCTGGGATTACAGGCACCCACCACCACACCTGGCTAATTTTTGTATTTTTAGTAGAGACGAAGTTTCACCATGTTGGCCAGACTGGTCTGGAACTCCTGACCTCAGATGATCCACCCGCCTTGGCTCCCAAAATGTTGGGATTACAGGTGTGAGCCACCACACTCAGCCTTGTTTTGTTTTAGGAAACAATGTCTTGCTCTGTTGCCCAGGCTGGAGTGCCATGGTGTCATCATAGCTCACTGCAGCTTCGACTTCCTTGACTCAAGTGAGCCTCCTGCCTCAGCCTCCCAAGTAGCTGAGATTATAGGCATGTGCCACTGCACCTGGCTAATTTTATTTTTTATTTTTTATAGAGATAGGGTCTTGCTATGTTGATCAGGCTGGTTTCAAACCCTTGGCTTCACGTGATCTGCCCACCTCAGCCTCCCAAAGTGCTAGGATTACAGATGTGAGCCACTGCACCCAGCCTATGTCTCAATTTTTAATAACAATGTTATATTATTAAGTGTTTTTCTGGGGGTTTATAAATTATTCAGAAACATCCTTTTAAATGCCTGCATAATGGCCCATCTGGTTGAAATACCATAATTAATATATCTTCTATTATTGTACCTTTAGGTTTTTACCACTTTTACACTGTTACAAATAATGTTTTGGTAAATACTTTGTCATAAAACATTGTTTTTAATTTTTATTTTTTATTTTTTTTGAGACGGAGTCTCGCACTGTCACCCCAGCTGGTGTGCACTGGTGCAATCTCAGCTCGCTGCAACCTCCGCCTCCCAGGTTCAAGAGATTCCCCTGCCTCCACGCCCTGCCACCACGCCCAACTAATTTTTTGTATTTTTAGTACAGACTGGGTTTCACTGTGTTGGCCAGGCTGTTCTCGAACTCCTGACCTTGTGATCTGCCCACCTCGGCCTCCCAAGGTGCTGGGATTACAGGCGTGAGCCACTGCGCCCGGCCAACTCTTTTTTTTTTTTTTTTTTTTTTGAGACAGAGTAGTCTCACTCTGTCGCTCAGGCTGGAGTGCAGTGGCTTGATCTTGGCTCACTGCAACCTCTGCCTCCCAGGTTCAAGCGATTCTTGTGCCTCAACCTCCCGAGTAGCTGGGATTGCAGGCACCTGCCACCATGCCCAGCTAATTTTTGTATCTTTAGTAGAGATGGGGTTTCATCATGTTGACCAGGCTGGTCTTGAACTCCTGACCTTAAATTATCCACCCACCTTGGCCTCCCAAAGTGCTGGGATTACAGGCATGAGCCACTGCATCTGGCCGTCATAAAACTTTTTACATATTTGGGATTCTTTCCTTTATATAGAATTTTACAAAGTCAAAGGATATGAACATTTTTAAGGCTGAAATATAATGCTACTTCAAGGATGCATACTCAGAGACTGAAACTCTTAAACTCTTAAATGATCATGATATATTTTATACTCTTTAGAGGCTTCATTTGAATGCAGCCATCTTTGACGGGAAATGATTAAATTGCTACCCATCCAGATTTAATATGTATAGTTCATGACAGAAAGATAAACCTCTTAAGTGAACTGTCTCTGTTTCTCCAAGCTGTAAAATCTTAGAAGATGCCCAGGACAGAATGGCTCAGAAATGCTATAAGTAGGATCCAAAATATGCTTATTAGCCCTCTTATGTAAGAAGTGCTCTGTCCTCTGACATACCACAAAGAAAACAGCCTATGCTCTGGGCATGTCTTTATTCTCTCTCTCAATAGCACATTATCACACAGCACATTGTGGAACTTTCAATACCTATAGAACCTTGAGGATGTGCTAAGATGTTCTTGATCGAATCCTGATTCAGTCATTTCCTTGGATATTAAACCCTTCACCTCTCAGGCTGTATTGCTGGCTCTAACAAAGGGCTGGAATCCTCCTTGTGTAAAAAACTTTCCCTCTTGGTTGCCCTCAACAAAGTGAACAGTGGATCTCTTTAACAGTAAGCTTCTCGGCTGAGTATGGTGGCTCATGGCTAGATTCCCAGCATTTTGGGAGGCCGAGCCAGGAGGGTTACTTGAGCCCAGGAGTTCAACACCAACCTGGGCAACATAGCAAGACCCTGTCTCTACTATAAAAATAAATTAAAATAAAATTAGCTGGGCAAGGTGGTGTGCACCTGTAGTCCCAGCTACTCGGGAAGCTGAGACAAGAGGATTTCTTGAACCCAGGAGTTCAAGGCTTCAGTGAGCTATGATGGCACCACTCCTTTCCAGTCTGGGCAACCGGGCAAGACCCTATCTCAAAAATAAATAAATTAAAATTAAAATTAAAAAAAGAATTAACTTATGTGGCCAGGCACAGTGGCTCACGCCTGCTATCCTGGAACTTTGGGAGGCTGAGGCAGGCAGATTGCTTCAGCCCAGGAGTTCAAGGCTAGCCTGGGCAACATGGCAAAACCCCATCTGTACAAAAAATACAAAAAGTAGTCAGGCATAGTGGTGCATGCCTGTAGTCCCAGCTACTGAGGAGGCTGAGGTAGGAGGATTGCTTGAGCCTGGGCCCCAGAGGTTACAGTGAGCTGAGATCGTGCCACTGCACTCCAGCCTGGGAGACAGAGCCAGACCTTGTCTTAAAAAAAAAAAAATTTAAGAACAAAGGCAAAAACATTATCAAAACTCGTCACTTCTTAATTATTTTTGCTACATTTCACTGTGATCTATGTTTTGAGGTTACTTATATCTACTGCATCTGTATAGTAGAAATCCTAGGTAATGGTATGCAGTAACTGTACATCTCCCAATTCTGTACTCAGTGACATGGCAAGATTGGCAATGGTGGAAGTATTTACCCCTGCAAATGTTACAAATCAGAACTTTCCTCCCTCCTCCTCCAAGAGAGTCAGTTCTTAATCCTGAACTAGTACTCCATGCATTGTTGACACATTAGTTATAGAGCAGACCAAACAAGTTACTCAGTTGAAAAGTAAGAGCTTCAGTCAGCCTGACTCCAAATTTGTCTCTGCTAATTTAGAGAAAGCGCAGCCGGGCGCAGTGGCTCACACCTGTAATCTCAGCACTTTGGGAGGCCGAGGCGGGCAGATCACAAGGTCAGGAGATTGAGACCATCCTGGCTAACACGGTGAAACCCCGTCTCTACTAAAAATACAAAAAATTAGCCAGGCGTGGTGGCACATGCCTGTAGTCTCAGCTACTTAGGAGGCTGAGGCAGGATAATCGCTTGAACGCCAGAGGCGGAGGTTACAGTGAGCTGAGATCGCGCCATTGTACTCCAGCCTGGGACACAGAGCAAGACTCCATCTCTTACAGAAAAGAAAAAATAGAAAAATTTCAAACATATAGAAAAATAGGGAGAATAGTATAAGAATCTCTGTGTACCCCTCACCCAACTTGAGCTATGATCATGATCAGTATATTGTCTTGTTTCAACTGTATACCCACCCACTTTCCCCTATACTTGGATGACTTGAAGCAACTCCTGGCCATCATATCATTTTATTCAGTATTTATCTCTAAAAAATAAAAAGTCTTTTAAGAGTTGATTAACCCATTGGCCAGGCGCAGTGGCTCACGCCTGTAATCCCAACACTTTGGGAGGCCAAGGTGGGTGGATAACCTGAAGTCAAGAGTTTGAGACCAGCCCAGCCAACATGGTGAAGCCCTGTCTCTACTAAAAATACAAAAATTAGCCAGCTGTGATGGTGCCCACCTGTAATCCCAGCTACTCAGGAGGCTAAGGCAGGAGAATCACTTGAACCTGGGGGGCAGAGGTTTCACTGAGCTGAGATCTCACCACTGCACTCCAGCCTGGGCGACAGAGTAAGACTCCATCTCAAAAAAAAAAAAAAAAAAAAAAAAAACCCCAAAAAACAAACAAACAAAAAGTTGAGTAACCCATTGTAATAGGGAGATTAACTGAGACTCTGAAGTTAAGTAACATTCCCAAAGTGACCAAAACTGGTAAGTATATTAACCAAACTTCAAATACAAAACAATCTGTCTTCCTTTACATTCATTTACTGACTGATATAAAAATCCATGATCTGAAGATTAGGCAGCAAAACTGTAAATTCCAATAACAAATCTTAGCATTCTAAAATTTAATTTAATTAATTAATTTATTTTATTTATTTATTTATTTATTTTTTTTGAGATAGAGTCTTGCTTTGTCGCCCAGGCTGGAGTGCAGTGGCACGATCTTGGCTCACTGCAACCTCCGCCTCCTGGGTTCAAGCAGTTCTTTGGCCTCGGCCTCCTGAGTAGCTGGGATTACAGGCATGCACCACCACGCATGGCTAATTTTTGTATTTTTAGTAGAGACAGGGTTTCACTATGTTGGCCAGGCTGGTCTCAAACTCCTGACCTCAGGTGATCTGCCCGTCTCAGCCTCCCAAAGTGCTGGGACTACAAGAGTGAGCCATTGCGCCCAGCCACATTTTAAAATTTAAAAAGAAATCTGACTAGAATAAAAGCACAGTCATTCAACACTGAGCAGTAATAGGCCCACAGATTAAGTTCCTTTGGATTTATTTTTATTTTGGCTAAAAGGATTTATCTTGATCTTTGAAGGCATCAAGCATGAAGGGTGAAACCAGAGGACCAATTGTGCATGGTGAATAACTGAGCAAAATGGTTGTTCTCTCCAGCTTCCAGCACTAAAACAAATACCTTAACAGTTGCTTGTGGTGTCATACTTTCAAAAAGAAGTACTGTATTCCTAGCAGTGTGATTATTTAAAGGAAAAGCATGCAGATAGAAGCTGCACATGAGGAATTAAACTTAAATTGCCTAGCAACGTGACAGCTTTCAGCAAATGTTAATAATGACGAAGATGATAGTGATCATAATGATGAGGTTGACACATGACATATGAACCACGTGCAGGAGCAGGAAAACAAGTCAGTCACAAGTCTGTACATAATAGCTTGCAAAGCAGGTTTGGAGCTTGCCTGAGGAAAAGGCCAAAGAGGTGGTGTGTATAGTGCAGGACCTAAAACCACAGGCTTTGGAGCTGGCTTAAATTCTGACCTCCTACTACCAAATGTGTAACATTAAATAAGTTCCTTAATATCCCTGAGCCTCACTTTCCTCACTTGTAAAATGGGGATAATAGTATCTATTGCATAGTGTTGTTGTCTCACAACATAAATAAGATTAAATAAGATTATGGAGACCAGGCGAGGTGGCTCACGCCTGTAATCCCAGCACTTTGGGAGGCAGAGGTGGGCAGATCGCTTGAGGTCAGGAGTTCAAGACCAGCCTGGCCAACGTGACGAAACCCCATCTCTAACAAAAATACAAAAATTAGCCTGGCATGGTGGCATGTGCATGTAATCCCAGCTACTAGGGAGGCTGAGGCAGGAGAATCACTTGAACCTGGGAGGTGGAGGTTGCAGTGAGCTGAGATTGCGCCAATGCACTCCAGCTTGGGCAACAGAGCGAGACTCCACCTCACACACACAAAAAATAAATAAATAAAAATAAGATCAGGTGAGTGGTGTATGGTTATATCACATTGTTTGGGGGTTACCAGGATATGCACCCCAACCTGAGAAAATGAGAGACATAGGATTGCTTTTAAGAAGTGGATGAAGGAGACTAAAGGTTTCCCAGGTTGGTAATATGCTGACACTATGGATTGCATTAAGGTATCTAGAGAAATACAGTGTCATTGAGAAGGGGTAAACATGCCAGGTTTACTTGGTGACCTGAGGAGGATCTAGCCTCCTAGGTAAGTCAACAGAGAGAAATGAGGGCATGTATCTTTCAAATATGTCAATCCTATGACAGTGATGTCTCTCTGTTGATGACTGGATTAGCATTTGGCATTTGGCTCTTGTGTACTTTGGGCAGCCCAAGTCTATCATCTCTGAGGCTCTGGTCATGCTGGGGACTTTCAAAGGAAAGGACAGATCAAGCCAGACTTGCTTTACACACTGTTATGGGCAGAATTATATCCCCACTGACATATCATATTTTGAAGTCCTAACCCTCAGTACCTCAGAAAGTGACTGTATTTGGAGATAGGACCTTTAAAGAGATGACTAAGTTAAATGAGATGGTTAGGGGGCCCTAATTCAATCCGACTGATGTCCTCATAAGAAGAGGAGATTAGGACACACAGAGAGACACTAGGGATGCACACACAGAGAAAGGGCCATATGAGGAAACAGTAAGAAAGCAGTCATCTTAGCAAGGCGTGAAAGCTTACACCTGGAATCTCAGCACTTTGGGAGGCTGAGGCGGGTCGATCACTTGAGCCCAGGAGTTCAAGACCAGCCTGGGCAACATGGTGAAACCCTGTCTCTACAAAAAGTACAAAAAATTAGTTGGGCATGGTGGTGCATGTCTGTGGTCCCAGCTACCCCAGAAGCAGAGGTGGGAGGATCACTTGAGCCCAGGAAGTCGAGGCTGCAGTGAGCTGAGATTATGCCACTGCACTCCAGCCTGGGCGTGGAAGTGAGACTTTGTCTCAAAAAAAAAAAAAAAAAAAAAAAAAAGAAAAAGAAAGAAAGCAGCCATCTACAAAGCAAGGAGAGGGGCCTCAGAAGAAACCAAACCTGCTGACAACTTGATCTTGACTTCCAGTCTCCAGAACTTCAGGAAAATAAATTTCTGTTGTTTAAGCCACTCAAGTTGTGAAATTTTGTTATGGCAGCCCCACCAGACTAATATAGACAGTGCCAAGAAAAATCACCTGAAGGGTCTTATTACAATGTAGATTTGGATTCATTAGGTCTAGGAGGGAGCATGAGATGCCTTTTTTTTTTTTTTTTGAGAAAGAGTCTTTCTCTGTTGCCCAGGCTGGAGTGCAGTGGTGAGATCGTGGCTCACTGCAACCTCTGCCTCCCAGGTTCAAGCGATTCTCCTGCCTCAGCCTCCCGAGTAGCTGGGATTACAGGCATGGACTACCACAGCCAGCTAATTTTTGTATTTTTGGTAGAGACAGGGTTTCACTATGTTGCCCAGGCTGGTCTTGAACTCTTGACCTCAAGTGATCCACCCGCCTCAGCCTCCCAAAGTGCTGGGACTACAGGCAAGAGCCACTGCTCCCAGCCTGAGATGCCAAATTTCTAACAAGCTCTCAATTGATACTGATGCTGCTGGGTCACACTTTGAGCAGCAAAGCTGCAAACAACCATCAACACTTCCAGTTACACTTCTACTTTCTTTCTTTCCTTCCTTCCTTCCCTTCCTTTCCCTCCTTCCCTCCTCTTCCTTCCTTCCTCTTTCTCCTTCCTTCCCTCCTTCCTTTCCTTCCTTTCTTCCTTTCTCTCTCTCTTCCTCCCCTTCCTTCCTTTCCTCCCTCTCTCCCCTCTTCACTCCCCTCCCCTCCCTCCTTCACTCCCTCACTTCCTTCCTTCCTTCCTGTCACCCAGGATGGAAAACATTATGGCCCAATCATAGTTTACCACAATCTTGAACTCTTGGGCTAAAGCAATCCTCTGGCCTTGGCCTCCCGAAGTGCGAGGATTACAGGCATGAGCCATTGCGCCTGGCCATACTTCTGTTTTCAACAAGGATTCATCCATAATATTTATCATCCCTTCTATTTTGAAGGTCATAAATGTCCAATTCAGAACCTAATGCTTGCTGTTTAGGCCCTCTATATCTAGAGACTTAGAGCAAGCCTTTGACTTGTTTTGTTCGTCTTTGTCCCTTTATACCTAGACATGGGTCAGGATAGGGCAGTAATAGGTGTCCAAATCTCCCTCTCTTTGGGCCAGGGCAGGACCAGCACTAGCTAAATGGCTGCTTAAGCCAGGTGTCTTGCCTGAGGTAGACTGAAGCTGAGAGAGAACCTCGGGGAGGCTCAAAGGCAGAAGCAGAGACAGCTGAATCGAATCTGGTCAGTGTAGCTGGGCATGGTGGCATGCACCTCTATTCCCAGCTACTTGGGAGGCTGAGGCCAGAGGACCTCTTGAGCCCAGGAGTTTGAGGCTGCAGTGAGCTGTGATTGAGCCACTGCACTCCAGTCTGGGAGACAGAGTGAGACTCCAACTCTTAAAAAAAAAAAAAAAAAGAAAGAAAGAAATTGCTTGGTGAACTTACTGGGCAGGAGCTGGATAAGTGAGAAAATAGCCTGAGAGGAGGGTGAATGATTGCTTTAGCACCAGGTAGCTTCAAACTATTTGGTTTAGAGAGGCAGAGTCTGATAGACCCTGAACTGGCAGCTAGCATAATGGTATCATCACTGCTGTTACAGGCGAGGCTGAATTTGAATAGATAACATTTACAAGCTATATTCAGACTTGAATTTGCTGAAATAAGAGACAGGCAATTCAGGGCATTTGAGAGTATCTTATTTTTCAAAATTTATATTTGCTCATCTGAAAAAATGAGAGAGATAAATGAAAATGAATGGATTGGCCAGGTGCGGTTTCTCATGCCTGTAATCCCAGCACTTTGGGAGGCCGAGGCGGGCAGATCACTTGAGGTTAGGAGTTTGAGACCAGCCTGGCCGACATAGTGAAACCCTGTCTCTACTAAAAATTCAAAAATTAGCCAGGCGTCACGGCAAATGCTTTTAATCCCAGCTACTTGGGAGGCTGAGGCAGGAGAATTGCTTGAACCTGGAGGGAGAGGTTGCAGTGGGCTGAGATCATGCCACTGCACTCCAGCCTGGGGCAACAGAGCGACAGTGTCTAAAAAATAAAAAATAATTTAAAAAAGAAAGAAAATGAATGGATTATGTGAAACTTAGTTATAGACAAGATTAAAATTCATCTGTAATCTTTAGATGAATGGTGTTATATGAGAATAAAGTACAATGTGTCAGAAGAAACAATTACCACTGTGCTAATAAACTATCACTTAATTACAAAAATAAAATCCTTCAAGTCCTCAAACTTGCCACTGTGGTTTTTCCTCTCACAAAGGAAATCCTGTTATAATTCTTAAATCCAAATGAAGGCATTTTAATATTCCCTTTTCCTGCAAGCTAAATGTCTTATTGAATTATAAAACAGAAAATTTTCATCTCAGAAAGTTTTACTCAATTTTTTGTATCCCCCAAATAATGCTTAAAGCTGTTCAAAGTTTTAATTATTACAAAACACTTAAGATAAAAGCTTGTAATCCCTCAAAGCAAATCACAACAAATCCAAGGGCTTTCTTTTCTTCAAAGGGAACTGTCTAAATAAAGGGGGAAAACTGTGTAATAAGCTAAGCATAATATTGTTGGCTGCTTCATAATAACCAACAGGCACACAATGGCTTGGGGCCTAGCAAGCAACAAAGAATAATTCTTCATCACATAGTCTTCACTTTGATTTCAGCTAGATGTCTGACCATGGTGAACCAGTTTATCAACATTAGCCTCCCTTTTCTTCCCTGTAAAATGAGGGATTGGTTCCAAGTCTTTGCTATTGTGAATAGTGCCACAATGATAGACTGGATTAAGAAAATGTGGCACATAGACACCATGGAATACTATGCAGCCATAAAAAAGGATGAATTCATGTCCTTTGTAGGGACATGGATGAAGCTGGAAACCATCATTCTCAGCAAACTACCGCAAGGACAAAAAACCAAACACCGCATGTTCTCACTCATAGGTGGGAATTGAACAATGAGAACACATGGACACAGGAAGGGGAACATCGCACACTGGGGACGGTTGTGGGGTGGAGGGAGCGGGGAGGGATAGTGTTAGGAGATATACCTAATGTTAAATGACGAGTTAATGGGTGCAGCACACCAACATGGCACATGTATACATATGTAACAAACCTGCACGTTGTGCATATGTACCCTAAAACTTAAAGTATAATAATAATAAAAACAAACAAACAAAACAAAACATTGAGTTAAAAAAAAATGAGGGATTGGACTAGCTGGTACCTAGTCCCCACATTTCATTGATTCAGTAAAAGCCTGCTTTTGATTTTGAGAGCATCAAAAACTATTTACCATCAAAAAGAGCATCGAAAAATAAGAGCGGACCCAAGAGGTGAAGCAACTCTCCCCTGGTTACACAGAAGCAGAGCTAGGATTAAACTCCAAGGTGTCTGACTTCCAGGACAGGAGCATTTTCCATAATGTCATGCGGCTTGAAATTCTTTCCAGAGATGAGCTTTCCTGCTATATGTATGAAATTGTAACCAAAATAAACATAAACTACATAAAACATTAAGCTAACATAACTTCTTCTTTCTTTTTTTTTTTTTTTTTTTTTTTGAGACAGGTTCTCATTCTGTCACCCAGGCTGGAGTGCAGTGGCACGATCTCAGCTCACTGCAACATCTGCCTCCTGGGTTCAAATGATTCTCCTGCCTCAGCCTCCCGAGTAGCTGGGATTACAGGCATGCACCACCATGCCCAGCTAATTTTTGTACTTTTAGTAGAGACAGGGTTTCACCATGTTGGCCAGGCTGGTCATAACATAACTTCTTCTAAGGAAATGATTATTTCCCTGGGTGGCTTAATATAAGTCATAAGTAACTGATTGTGGTCAGAAGTGTGGATGTAATTATTTCTAGGGAACCACATGAAAGCAGGTCAAGTTCTCATACACAGCAAAAATGCCTGTTTTCAAGACCAAGCAGTACTGATCCTCTTGGTATACGAGTGACCTGTGAGCAGAGACCATGCCTGGCCCATCTGTGTAGTTAGCAAGGCAGGTATTCTGCACCTTGGAGATCATCCCATGAGTGTAGGGCCTGGGAGCAGGACTGAGGCAAAGGAGTTGGCTCAAGCATTAGGGAGGGGCATCTCCGGAAGACAAGGCAGGTATGGAAGGAGATCTTATAATAGTAGCCAAACATAAATCAGTCCTGTGCATAGGCACATGAGTAGAAATGTCAGGTATCCTCAACCATAGTTCCACACAACTCGGGGATGAGGAAGGGAACTGTAGAGAAAAGAAACCCCATCTGTGTTTTCTAAATATATTATATCCCTCCCCACCCTTCTTCCTTTGAGAAAGTTTTAAAGTTATTATATATTTAACATTAGTGTATCTGAACATATTACTAGAAAAGGGATAAACTGCATGACAAAATGACTCATTTAAAAATTTCTATGATTTCTATATTTATGTAATATTTATATAACGCTTAGTAGTGCCAGGCACTGTTATAAGTACTTGCAAATAAATATTAAGTCATTTAATCATTTTAAGAACTCTATGGTAAGTAACCTATTATCTCTATTTTACAAATGAGGAAACTGAGGCACAGAGAGATAAGTAAATTGCCTGAGGACATATGGCTAGTAAGGAGCAGAGCCTAGGCGGTTTGCTCCTGATTCTATGCTCCTAACCACCAAGCTTCACTTTCTCCTTGAGAAAGGACTACAAAGGAAGTGGTAAGAGTGGGCATTTCTCCCTTTGCTGCTCAGCTTCTTTTTTTTTTTTTTTTTTTTTTTTGAGACAGGAGTCTCGCTCTGTCACCCAGGCTGGAGTGCAGTGGTACAATCTCAGCTCACTGCAACCTGCGGCTCCTGGGTTCAAGTGATTCTCCAGCCTCATCCTCCTGAGAAGCTGGGACTACAGGTGCGGGCCACCACATCCGGCTTTTTTTTTTTTTCTTTTTTTTCAGTAGAGACGGGTTTCATCATGTTGTCCAGGCTGGTCTCGAACTCCTGACCTCAGGTGATCCGCCCGCCTTGGCATCCCAAAAGTTGGGATTACAGGTGTCAGCCACTACACCTGGCCATTGGCTGCTCAGCTTCTAAGCTCACTTCTTAGGTTAGGAGAATCTTGGTGAGACTTGAAAGAGGCAGAGTCACTTCCCACTCTACAAGCTGAAAATGGCAGATACTCATATTCCAAGCACATGCCAGCCTCAGCCATTCTGATGCACTAAACAGCTTAAATCCAAAGCTAATGATAAAAGGAGGGCCCAGAAAATCCTCTGTGGAGGCAGTGGAAGCTTCAGAGGCCTCGGTTCCAGAACCGGTTTAGGCAGCACAGAGAGAATAGTTAAGAGGGTGGGTTGGAGGCAGAAGCCTGGCTTTAAGTCCTGGCTCTGACCCTTGAGCAGGATGCCTAACCTCTCTTTGCTTCAAATGTCTAATCTGTAAAATGAGGGTCCTTAAGGAGATGATAATTGCAGACCTTTGTTGAGAGATGACCCTCTTCCAGGTGCCACATTTTACCTCTGTCCTACTGGATAATTGTCACAACAATCTGAGCAATAGTATGGGTATTTTTCTTACTCTCATTTTACAGAGGAGGAAATTGATGCACAGAGGAGGTAACCTGTACAAGAACATGTCACCATAAAGTGAGGGAGTATAAGTAGGCACAATTTCAATTAATTAATAAAAACCATCTAAAAAATGTTCACGGCCGGGCACGGTGGCTCACGCCTGTAATCCCAGCACTTTGGGAGGCCGAGGCGGGCGGATCACAAGGTCAGGAGTTTGAGACCAGCCTGGCCAATATAGTGAAAACCCGTCTCTACTAAAAATACAAAAAAATTAACCAGGCATGGTGGCACATGCCTGTAATCCCAGCTACTTGGGAGGCTGAGGCGGGAGAATTGCTTGAATCCTGGAGGCAGAGGTTTCAGTGAGCTGAGATTGTACCACTGCACCCCAGCCTGGGCCACAGAGCAAGACTCTGTCTCAAAAAAAAAAAAAAAAAGGAAAGGATACAGAAAAAAAATCTAAGTTTCCTTCATACCTCTGCCTCACTCAGTACTCTTCACCCTTAGGAGCAACTGTTCTCTCACTCAATTTTTCTCTCACGCTCAACTTTGAACTCAACTAGCTTAAGTAGCTGAAGAATCTTCTGCCCCAGCCTTTCCTTCAGTCTCCTTTCAACATTTTCTCCAGCGAGAAAATTTCAGACTTGGAGAAACAGATTCCTCATTCTCCATCTGATTCTCTTTACTCTTTTCCTTGATTCTGCAACATAAAAGTCTAGGAACCATCTGGGCACGGTGGCTCTCACCTGTAATCCCAGCACTTTGGGAGGCCAAGGCGGGTGGGTCACGTGAGGTCAGGAGTTCGAGACTAGCCTGGCCAACATAGTGAAACCCTGTCTCTACTAAAAATACAAAAATTAGCTGGGTGTGGTGACTCACGCCTGTAATTCCAGCTACATGGGAGGCTGAAGCACGAGAATCACTTGAACCCAGGAGGCAGATGTTGCAGTGAGCCAAGATCGTGCCACTGCCCTCCAGCCTGAGTGACAGAGCAAGACTCCACCTCAAAAAAAAAAAAAAAAAAAAAAAAAAAGTCTAGGAACCAACCTGAAAAAACTGAACTTTCATTAGAGGGTTTGAGAGTTAACGTATTAATGTAGAAGGTTTGAACATATAATGTATTAATGTGAAGGTTCGAATATTAATACATTAATAATTTTTGTAGTCATCACCCAAGCAGGCTGGGACTAAAGGCATAAGCCACTGTGCCCAGCTGTTTGTAGTTCTTTTTTTTTTTGGAGACAGAGTCTCGCTTTGTCACCCAGGCTGGAGTGCAGTGGTGCCATCTCTGCTCACTGCAACCTCCACCTCCCAGGTTCAAGCGATTCTCCTGTCTCAGCCTCCTGAGTAGCTAGGACTACAGTTGCAAGCCACCACGCCCAGCTAATTTTTGTATTTTTAGTAGAGATGGGGTTTTGCCATGTTGGCTAGGCTGGTCTCAAACTCCTGACCTCAAGTGATCCACCCGCCTCGGCCTCCCAAAGTGCTGGGATTACAGGCATGAGCCACCACGCCCGGCCTTGTTTGTAGTTCTCGAATGGAGGATATATGCAGCACTAAGGGAGAGAGAGTTTCACAGAAATCTAATACCAACCATCCTTCAGAATGCAAGGTTATTTTATCATCCATTTTTACTTATTACCCCATTCATGAGATTTCTGCAGCTCTCTTTGTTTCTCTGTGTCTTTTTATATTTCCCCCTGCTGCCAACTGGTGAATCTCTTAACATTTTCCCAAATTGGCCAAGCGTGGTGGCTCACACATGTAATCCCAGCACTTTGGGAGGCTGAGGCGGGTGGATCACCTGAGGTCAGGGGTTCAAGACCAGCCTGGCCAACATGGTGAAACCCCGTCTGTACTAAATAATAATTTTAAAAAATAGCTAGGCATGGTGGCACGTGCCTGTAGTCCCAGCTACTCGGGAGTCTGAGGCAGGAGAATGGCTGGAACCCAGAAGGTGGAGATTGCAGTGAGCCAAGGTGACAGAGCGAGACTGCGTCTCAAAAAAAAAAAAAAAATTCCCAAATTTCAAATTTGAGACACAGAGAGCCAGATTGCCTTATGTAACTTTTATTATGCCCATCTCATAGGTCACAGGCCAGTCTATGGGTTTGTAGTTCTTTTTAAATTTAATTTAATTTTTTAAAATTTTTGAGATAGAGTCTCACTCTGTCACCCAGGCTGGAGTGCAGTGGTGTGATCTTGGCTTCCTGCAACCTCCGCTTCCTGGGTTCAAGCAATTCTCCCACCTCAGCCTCCTAAGTAGCTAGGACTACAGGTACATGCCACCATGCCCTGTAAATTTTTGTATGTTTTGGTAGAGACAGGGTTTCACCATGTTAGCCAGGCTGGTCTCAAACTCCTGACCTCAAGTGATCCACCCGCCTTGGCCTCCCAAAGTGCTGGGATTATAGCCGTCAGCCACTGCGCCTGGCCTAATTTTTAAAAAATTTTCTTTCCTTTTTTTTAATAGAGATGGGATCTTGCTATATTGACAAGGCTGGTCTTGAACTCCTGGGCTCAAGCAATTCTCCTGCCTCAACCTCGCAAAGTGCTGGGACTACAGGCATCAGCCACTGTGCCAGACGGATTGTAGTTCTTAAATCGGGTCCTATGGTTTGCTCAAGTGTAGCGGTCTCTATGCAATATCCTTGGCTCCCACACCTTCTCTTAGCAGAGGGCTATGGGTGAGGCAGCTTCCTTAGAAAAAGACAGTGGGTATGAAGCTGGGGATGCAAGAGATTCCTTGCTTAGCAAGGGCTGTGTGGAATCTCTTCTAGAGAGGTGGCTCCAAGAATCACAGCTCCATCCATTCTCAGAAGTAGCAGTGGCAGCAGGTTCAGAGGCAGGCACCCAGTGTCTAGTTTTAGGGGATGCCCAATGTAAGCTGTGATGTCCAGTAGGCCCAGTAGCAGCTGGACCGTCTTCATCAGATTGCTCTAGGATGTGATTTTGAGCTTGGTCCCTAGCTGCAAAAACCTTCGATCCTGATTCTCCTGCCCTTATTGAAATTCTGTGAACCACCAATATTCTTTTAATCATGTTCTTTTCTGCTTAGCTCAGTTGATTTCTGTTGTTTGTGAAAACATTGACTGATTTAGGGACTATGTTACAGAGGGCTTCCATGGGTCAAAAGTTAATTTTGCTGGTCTTGTCTGTGGCCTCCTCACCACCTGCCCAAGTCCATGGATCTAAGTAACTTGGCCAAGTTCACACAGCAGGTGGCACAGCCATTACTAAAACCTCCAACACCCCTCCAACAGACCTCCTAATTCTTAGCCCAGTTGATCTCCTTGTGAAAAATCCTGGGGACCTCTACCCCGGCCTTGCACTTGGGAGTCAACTCAGTTTCCTTAACTTGTCGCGTATGCTTGCCTTTAATTCTTGGTTTCTTGAATTTATGGGATCTCAAATTCCATTTAATGAATCTAAAATCCAACCAGTTAGGGGAGAGGTGGTTACAGTCACCACACAAATGGGGGAGTTGGCCTTAGGTGGGCACTTGAATGAAGTATCCACTGTTAATGGGAAGACACAGTGTACGGGTAGAGAGACATGTAGGTCAATGAGTAGATTTTATTGATGAGAGGATGTGGAAATTCTCTTTGATTCCTAACATTTTCTCAGTGATATGAAGAGCAATGTTATCAGCTGACAGTGAGGGAGAGTATTAGAGGTTGAGAAGGAGAAGGAGTGAAATGGCGTACTAAGGAGAGTGGGAGAGTGAATTGGATTAGGGAAATTAGGGTGGCTGTATAACAATGAGGGTCCACTTGAGGATTCTGGCCATGCATTTATTCATTTTTTTTAATTTATTTTTTGAGACAGGGTATCACTATAGCCCAGGCTGGAGTACATCATAGCTCACTGTAACCTCCAACCCCTGGGCTCAAGCGATCCTCCCTGCCTCAACCTCCTGAATAGCTGGGACTACAGATGTGCACCAACATGCCCAGCTAATTTTTAAAAATTTCTTGTAGAGATGAGATCTCACTATGTTAACCAGGCTGGTCTTGAACTCCTGACCTCAAGCAGTCCTCCTGCCTAGACCGTCTAAAGTTCTGGAATTACAGGCATGAGCCACTGCACTCAGCTTGTCATACATTTAAAATTAGATCAGTTAGCATGATTGTCTATTTTTCTCGTCATGTTCATATAAGGCAATAATTCAAGATATTAAGGAACTGAGAAACTAAGGTGCTGGATGGATCATCCATGTGTATGTGTATTTGTATTCACAAATAGGAACATACATATATGTAATGTTTCTACTTCTTTCTTTCTTCATTTAACAATATATATTAAAGATTTTTTTTTTTTTTGAGACGGGGTTTTGCTCTTGTTGCCCAGGCTGGAGTGCAATGGTGTGATCTTAGCTCACTGCAACCTCCACCTCCCAGGTTCAAGTGATTCTCCTGCCTCCGCCTCTCGAGTATCTGGGATTACAGGCATGTGCCACCATACTCAGCTAATTTTTTGTATTTTTAGTAGAGACAGGGTTTCTCCATGTTGGTCAGGCTGGTCTTGAACTCCTGACCTCAGGCGATTTACCCACCTTGGCCTCCCAAAGTGTTGAGATTACAGGCGTGAACCACCACGGCTGGCACATATTAAAGATTATTACATATCAGAGCTATCTTATACTTTTTACTGGTTGTAGAGTATATGGGTGTGCTCATCCCTGGGAGGATGAAAAAAATTAATTTGTCCTAATTTACTTTTCTCACACATACATGGAATGACTAGCACAGGGCTTAATACATAGTAAGCATTCATATCTTTTTGAAATCCTCAACACACATATTTAACTAACCCTTCTGGGGATCATGCCTTTGAAGTCCAAGTCAGGATCTGCTCTCATAGAAAGCCACAGCTTGGTGTCTTTCCAATTAAGAGTTTTCCCAGTTCTTGGCAGGAGCAACAAGGTCCACTCACTCTTGCAAATGGAGGCTCACAAATGGAGCCTTGTCCTTCCTCCAAAGATAAAGGAATGTTCTGAGGGTCTAGGCCTGTACTCCAGCTGCTGCCTTTCTTGATCATAGTATCTCATATTAACCAAAAGCCTATGGATTCTCTTACTAACACAGGGAAAAGGCAAAGTCAGCTACTATAGAACTTTCATAATTTTAAGGAACTAAGTTTTCTGGGCTGACACAATCATGCTGCCTTCCAACTTACCTGACTCCCAGAACAGCTTCCAAGTCTGAGTGCCAGGAGTTGCTTTGGCCCATTCCCTCTGGCTGAGTGACTGCTGAGTCTTTGGAGATCTGAGTCATTGGTCTTCTAGGAAGCTATGGCAGCCTCCAAGTGGTCCTTTGAAGGCTATACACTCCTCACTGGCCAATGCATTCCATGCTGAGGCTTTGGCCACCAGGGCTCATTAGGCATCTTCCAGGGCAGACCTCAATACCTGTGGGCCTCAGGGACCCTGTAGAAGTCCATGTGTGCTCTTAGCTTGCCTCTTTCCTTGTCAGATGAGTGTGGCAAACACTAGAAATAGTGCAAATACCAAAGGGGATGTAAAGCCGTGATCTTATAGTGGTTAGTACTCTGCAATGTGAAGGGGAGGTAAGGAACATACAAGGCATTGCTGATAAATAAGTCTGCTCAACCCAAAGAGATAATTGAAGATTCCCTATGTTTAGGTGACAGGAGGTGGAGGAGAAGACAGGTCAGGGAGGAAGGAAGAAGTTGAGACAACCTAGGCTGGGTGCGGTGGCTCACACCTGTAATCCCAGCACTTTGGGAGGCCAAGGTGGGAGGATCACCTGAGGTCAGGAGTTCGAGACCAGCCTGGCCAACATGGTGAAACCCCATCTCTACTAAAAATACAAAAATTAGTCTGGCGTGGTGGCGGGCACCTGTAATCCAGGCTACTCGGGAGGCTGAGGCATGAGAATCACTTGAACCTGAGAGGTGGAGTTTGCAGTGAACTGAGATCACGCCACTGCACTCCGGCCTTCGTGACAAAGTGAGACTGTCTTTAAAAAAAAAAAAAATGGCCACGCGCTGTGGCTCACACCTGTAATCCCAGCACTCTGGGGGGCCAAAGCGGGCGTATCACCTGAGGTCAGGAGTTCAAGCCAGCCTGGCCAACATATAGTGAAACCCTGTCTCTCAAAAAAAAAAATTGAGAAAACCCTATGAGGGAAGACAAGGGAGGAGAGAGTGCCGAGGAGAGGCTGTCCAACAGCATCAAATGCTGCCAAGGACCCGAGAAGGATAAGGATTGCACAAGGGCTGGGTTTGATTAAGTGAGAAATTACCAAGATTACCTTCCTATACAGAGGAAGGCTTTGGGATAGGTCAGTCAAGGAAGACTTCCTACAGAGGAATAATTTTGAATTCGGCCTTGACAAACGTAAAGAATATACATTGAGAGAAGAGTGAGAAAAGTGAGAGGATCTTAGGCAAAAGGATAAGTTTAGGGAAAGAAAAGGAAGACTGAGAGAACATGGCATATAAGCACTAGATTTTACTGCAATGGAAAGTATTGGGGACAATAAGAAAAACAGTGGAGCTGGTGAGATTGGGAAGGGAAGCTGGGCGTGGTGGCTCACTCCTATAACCCCAGCATTTAGGGAGGCCGAGGTGGGTGGATCACGAGGTCAGGAGGAGACCATCCTGGCCAAGATGGTGAAACCCCATCTCTACTAAAAAGTCAGGTGGGCGCCCACCTGGAGTCCCAGCTACTCAGAAGGCTGAGGTACGAGAATCGCTTGAAACCTGGGAGGCAGAGGTTGCAGTGAGCCGAGACTGCACCACTGCACTCCAGTGTGGGCAACAAAGTAAGTGAGACTCTGTTTCAAAAAAAAAGAAAAGAAATCTTCAAGGCTGTCATAAAGAGTTTGTTCTGATGTATAGGTATGTTGAAGTCACTATAGAACTCTTTTGGGTTTCTAATTCCAGGGATGAAATAACTAGGGTAGTCCCTAGTTATCTGTGGTGGATAAGTTCCCAAACCCCCAGTGGATGAATGAAACTTTGGCTAGTACTAAACCCTATATAGACAGTCATGTTGAAACCACCCAAGTGGTTCACCTTGCCCGCTGCCTAGACAGAGCCGATTCATCAAGACAGAGAAATTGCAATAGAGAAAGATTCATGCAGAGCCGGCTGTATGGGAGACCTGAGTTTTATTATTACTCAAATTAGTCTCCCTGAGCATTTGGAGAGCAGCGTGTTTTTTTATTGTTGTTGTTGCTGTTGTTGTTTTGTTTTTGTTTTGTTTTGTTTTGTTGTTGTTTTTTGAGATGGAGTCTCACTCTGTTGCCCAGGCTGGAGTGCAGTGGCACTATCTCAGCACACTACAACCTCCACCTCCCTGATCAAGCAATTCCCCTGCGTCAGCCTCCTGAGCAGCTGGGATTACAGGCATCCCCACCACACCTGGCTAATTTTTTTGTATTTTTAGTAGAGACGGGGTTTCACCATGTTGGCCAGACTGGTCTCGAACTCCTGACCTCAGGCAATCCGCCCGCCTCAGCCTCCCAAAGTGCTGGGATTACAGGCGTGAGCCACCACGCCGGGCAGAAGAGCAGAGTTTTTAAGGATAACTTGGCAGGGCGGGGGAAGCCAGTGAGCCAGAACTGCTGATTGGTCAGGGATGAAATCATTGGGAGTCCAAGCTGTCTTCTTGTGCTGAGTCAATTCTTAGGTCATGGGGCCACAATATCAACTGAGCCAGTTTATTGATCTGGGTGGGGCCAGCTGATCCATCAAGTGCAGGGTCTGCAAAATATCTCAAACACTGATTTTAGGAGCAGTTTAGGGAGGGTCAGAACCCCGTAGCCTCCAGCTGCATGACTCCTACACCATAATTTCTAATCCTGTGGCTGTTAGTCCTACAAAAGCAATCTAGTCCCCAGGCAAGAAGGAGGTCTGCTTTGGGAAAGGGCTGTTACCGTCTTTGTTTAAACTATAAACTACAAACTGAGTTTCTGCCAAAGTTATTTAAGCCTACACCCAGGAATGAACAAGGATGGCTTGGAGGTTCAAAGCAAGATGGAATTGGTAAAGTTAGATCTCTTTCACTGTCTCAGTCATAATTTTGCAAAGGTGGTTTAGCAAAATACAAACCTAGATTGTTAGCTTACTGCACACCAAGGCTATGTGGTATAGCCTATTGCTCCTAGGCTACAAACCTGTATGGAATGTTACTGTATACTATAAGCAATTGTAACACAATGATAAGTATTTGTGCATTTAAACATAGAAAGGCACAGTAAAAATATGAAGGATAAAAAATGATATACCTGCATAGGGTACTTACCATGAATGGAGCTTGCAGGACTAGAATGAGTGGGGAGTGAATGTGAAGGCCTAGGACATTACTGTACAATACTGTAGACTTTATAAACACTGTACACTCAGATCACACTAAATGTATAAAAAATATTTTTCTTTCTTCAATAAAAAATTAACCTTAGCTAAGTGTACTTTTTTACTTTATAAACTTAAATTTTATTTTATCTTATTTTATTTTATTGAGATAGAGTCTCACTCTGTTGCTCAGGCTGGAGTACAGTGGCATGATCTCAGCTCACTACAACCTCTGCCTCCCAGGTTCAAGCAATTCTCGTGCCTCAGCCTTGGGAGTAGCTGGGATTACAGGTGCCTGCCACCACTTCCGGCTAATTTTTGTATTTTAGTAGAGACGGGGTTTCACCATGTTGGCCAGGATGGTTTCAAACTCCTGACCTCAGGTGATCCTCCCGCCTCAGCCTCCCAAAGTGCTGGGATTACGGGCGTGAGCCACTACACCCGGCCAGCTTTAAAATTTTTCAAAAAACTTTTTGACTGTTTTGTAATAATACTTAGCTTAAAACACAAACACATTGTACATCTAAACAAAATTATTTTATTTATATTCTTATTCTATAATCCTTTTTTCTATTAAAACAATTTTTCATTTTGTAAACTTTTTTGTTTTAAAAATTAAGACACAAACACACACATCAGCCTATGCCTACGTAGGGTCAAGATCATCAATATCACTCTACATCTTGTCGCCCTGGAAAGTCTTCAAGGGCAATAACATGCACGGAGCATCATCTTCTGGATGTCATATTCTAGACTGTCTTCTAGACTATCTCCTGAAGGGCGTGCCTGAGGCTGTTTTACTTTTTTATTTTATAAGTAGAAGTATTAGGTTGGTGCAAAAGTGATGGTGGTTTTTGCCATTACCTTTTTTTTTCAGACAGAGTTTCGCTCTTGCCGCCCAGGCTAGAGTGCAATGGCACGATCTCAGCTCACTGCAACCTCTGCCTCCCGAGGTTCAAGCCATTCTCCTGCCTTAGCTTCCCAAGTAGCTGGGATTACAGGCTTGTGCCACCACGCCCAGCTAATTTTGCATTTTTAGTAGAGATGGGGTTTCACTGTGTTGGTTAGGCTGGTCTTGAACTCCTGACCTCAGTTGATCCATCCACCTTGGCCTCCCAAAGTGCTGGGATTACAGGCATGAGCCACTATGCCTGAATTTTTTGCCATTATTTTAATTGCAAAAACCGCAGTCACTTTTGCACCAAACTTTGTACACTCTAAAGCAATGATAAAAGATATAGTACAGTCTGGGTGCTGTGGCTCACGCCTGTAATTCCAGCACTTTGGGAGGCCGAGACAGGTGGATCACAAGGTCAGGAGTTTGCGACCAGCCTGGCCAACATAGTGAAACTCCGTCTCTACTAAAAATACAAAAATTAGCCTGTCATGGTGGCGCACACTTGTAGTCCCAACTACTCTGGAGGCTGAGGCGGAGAATCACTTGAACTTGGGAGGTGGAGGTTGCAGTGAGCCGAGATCGTGCCATTGCACTCCAGCCTGGGTGACTGAGCGAGACTCTATCTCGGAAAAAAAAACAAAATACAAAAATTAGCTGGACATGGTGGCGCATGCCTCTAGTCCCAACTACTCTGGAGGCTGAGGCAGGAGAATCACTCGAACCCAGGAGGTGGAGGTTGCAGTGAGCCAAGATGGCGCCACTGCACTCCATCCTAGGCGACAGAGCGAGACTTCGTCTTAAAAAAGAAAAATATATGTACAAAAATTAGCTTGTGGTCCTAGCTACTTAGGAGGCTGAGGTGGGAGGATCACTTGAACCCAGGAAATTAAGGTTGCAGTGAGCTGTGATTGCACCATTGCACTCCAGCCTAGGTAATAAAGTGAGACCCTGTCACACACCCACAAACACACACACAGACACACGCACACACATTCAAATGTATAGTGTGGTAAATAGTAGGCAATAGGAATTTTTCAGCTCCATTTTTAAATCATGGGACCATCATTGTACATGTTCATGAGAATCGCTTGAACCCGGGAGGCGGAGGTTGCAGTGAGCCAAGATTAGGCCACTGCACTCTGGCCTGGGCAACAAGAACAAAACTCCATCTCAAACAAAAACAAAAACAAAAACATGGAGTGTGGTGGCGTGTGCCTGTAATCCCAGCTACTTGGGAGGCTGAGGCAGGAGAATCGCTTGAACCCAGGAGGCGAAGTTTGCAGTGAGCCGAAATCAGGCCACTGCACTCCAGCCTGGGCAATAAGAGTGAAACTCCATCTCAAAAAAAAAAAAGAACAATTATAACAATATTTGAGCATCACTACTCTTGGGCTTTGGGGTCATTATTAAGAAAAATAAGACTTACTGAACACAAGCACTGTGATACTGTGACAGTTGATTTGATAACTGAGATGACTGCTAAGTGACTAATAAATGGGTAGTGTATATAGCATGGATATAATGAACAAAGCGATGATTCACATCTGGAGTGGGACAGAGCAGGATGGCTGAGATTTCATCATACTATATACTACTCAGAATGGCATGCAATTTAAGACTTATGAATTATTTCTGGAATTTTCCATTTAATCTTTTTGGACTGTAGTTGACTGCTGGTAACTGAAACCCAGGAAAGTGAAACTGCATATAAGCGGGGGACTACTGTGTTGACGTAGACAACTATGCTTGACCTCAACTAAGACATTGGCTCAACAAAGAACAGCTTGCAACAGAACTAAACCACTCCAGACTAACCTAATTCAGAACCAAAGCCCGTGGGAGGTTGAGGCAGGAGGATCACTTAAGCCCAGGAGTTCAAGACCAGCCTAGGCAATACAGAGAGACCCCATCTGTACAAAAAATAAAATTAGGCAGGCATGGTGGTGCACGCCTGCGGTCCCGGATACTCCAAAGGCTAAGATGGGAGGATGGCTTGAGCCTGGGAGGTCAAGGCTGTAGTGTGCCTTGACTGTGCTACTGCACTCCAGCCTGGGTGACAGAGAGAGAGAGAGACTGTCGGGGGGTGGGGGGAAGCCTGATTTAGGATGGCTTAGAGCCCAGAATATGCTAGCTTATTCCCGTATTCACTCACTCATTATCATCAAGTAGGTATTTACTGTAGGTCTACTCTGTTCCAAGCACTGTGGTAAGTGCTTAGGATGATCTGGACATGGGAGGATTTCCTAGAAGCTTGTACCACCCTAGTGATCAAATGTAGGGCTCAGCTCCTCTTCCTGTTGTTGTCAGCACATCCAGACTAGTGTCATCAGATAAGCTTGCATAGATTTTCCCCATGACATCATATTCTGCTTCATTTTCATATGGCAAATTTTGTCATATAATAGCATGTCTCATCATGGCCCCACCCCATAACCTTTTGACCTAGTAGATTTCTATACTGGCTTATGACCATTCACTATACAAATATTTATTAAATGACTTTAGATTGCCAGAAAATACTGCCTTTAAGTAACTCACAATCTTTAATTCTACCAAAGGAAATTGATAAAATTGTTTAAAAAGCTACTCCACTGTGATAAATTTTATAATAAAGATGTCTTCAAAGTTCTGTAGGAGGAGGAGTTGTTTCTTTTTTCTTTTTCTTTTTTCTTTTTTTTTTTTTTTTGAGACAGAGTCTCACTGTGTTGACCAGCCTGGAGTGCAATGGTGCAATCTTGGCTCACTGCAACCTCTGCCTCCCAGGTTCAAGCCATTCTCCTGCCTCAGCCTTCTGAGTAGCTGGGATTACAGTCACCCACCATCAAGCCCAGCTAATTTTTGTATTTTTAGTAGAGACGGGCTTTTGCCATGTTGGCCAGGCTAGTCTCGAACTCCTGACTTCATGATCTGCCTGCCTCTGCCTCCCAAAATGTTGGGATTACAGGCATGAGCCACTGCGCCCGGCCAGGAGTTGTTTCTTAATGCTAGGAGAGTGTGGCTTGGGGAAGTAATTTCTCCACTGTTATTTGAAGAATAATTCAGAGTTCAGTGAAAGAGAAGGGCCTTCTAAGAAAAGGAACAGTTTGAGCTGAGGTATGCAGGCAGCAAAGAGAGTGGGATGTTTCAAGGACAGTTGTTGATGATGTTATGGATCTTTTGAAGATATGGTTTATACCACTTGGGGAGTAATAAGATTTCTTCTAAACCTGACCCAAGGATATTTGACACCAGGGATTTGTGTGGGTTTTTTGTACTTTTTACGTATTTATTTTTTCTGTAGAGTTGAGGTCTCACTATGCTGCCAAGGCTGGTCTTGAACTACTGGCCTCAAGCCATCCTCCTGCTTTGGCCTCTCAAATTGTTGGGATTACAGGTGTGATTCACCATGTCCAGCCAACACCAAGGATATTTAACAACAAACATATAATAAGAATTATGTCAATATCAGTGAATTTTCTTGGAAAGTATTTTATGAGTCAAATTTTATTGATTCAGTTTAATTCCATGATTAATGCATGCACTATAAAGCTCTTGAATACACTGTGGGGCAGCAAAACTCTACCTCCGTCCTCTTAGGGTCCTGGCTGAGCCTGGGAATCACATTGACATAAGACAAATTAACAGGAGAAAAGCATAGAAATACAAGTTTTACATGGCACCAGAGTCCTCACAAAGAAATGAAGATACAAAGGAGCAGTGAGAGTCACTTATATACTGAATTGGACTTTGGACAAAGAGTAGTAACTGTGAAAATGTGATAAGGCAAAAGAGCTTGGACTAGGGTAGCTCATTGGATAGAGAAGTGACTAGGAAGATAAGGGTTAGTTTTAAAAGGTTTGTTTGTACAGAATTTTCTTCCTGTCCTTGATAATAAGAATGTTTGTTGGTTTATAGGGAGGGCATCTTTCACATAGGAACTTCATCTCTTGCTTTTAAGAAACAAAATGAAGGTCAGAGTGATCTTCTTGTATTTGCTGTTTTCTTTTTTTAATCTTTAATTCAGGCCAGGTGCGGCGGCTCATGCCCGTAATCCCAGCACTTTCGGAGGCCGAGGCAGATGGATCATGAGGTCAGGAGTTTGAGACCAGCCTGGCCAACATAGTGAAACCCCGTCTGTACTAAAAATACAAAAAGTTAGCTGGGGATGGTTGTGGGTGCCTGTAATCCCAGCTGCTTGGGAGGCTGAGGCAGGAGAATCGTTTGAACCTGGGAGGTGGAGATTGCAGTGAGCCGAGATCTCACCACTGCACTCTAGCCCCAGCAACAGTGCGAGATTCTGTCTCAAAAAGAAAAAGAAAAAAAAAAAAAATATATATATATATATATATATATATATAATTCAAAATAGTCAATATGCCAGAACAGCATACTTTGGGGTGGCATATTCTTCATGCTTTCAATACAATGGGGGCAAAATACTCCCAGAAGTCAAGGGTGGCAGGATCGGAATATTCTTGGGGTTAAAACAGCAGTGTATCAATATTCCACTGCTTCCATCCTTGTCACAATGAATTTCCTAAGGTCTACATAGCTTCTCATGTCATAGATTACCTTCCCCTCCTACAACATATTTCCCAACATTACCTCACCTCTTTGTTATATGGAATTCCCCAAACCAGTGTCACAAACTTGAATGCCCACAAGTGCTAGGTGGATAATATGAGTAAAACTAACTAAATGAGGACTGTGGTAAACTAAGAGTACCTGTCTCATCCAAAAAAAGAAAGCTGTTAGTGTGCTCCAGCCAGCTGTTGCCAGGTAGGAATGCAGACCAAAGGTTGTCAGAACTCCAACATTTTTAAAAAGAAGCCAGAAATCCTGATTTTTATTATAGAAATTCCAAATTTGGCAACTAACTGGGGAAGAAACACACAAAATCCTGTGTGCAGGCCAACAAAACATGTCTATGGGCCAGATCCCACCCCTGGGCAGCAGTCTTGTGATCTTTGTCCTAAAACTTTCAAACTTTTCTATGTTATCATGCTTGAAGGAATGAATGACTGCTCCATTCCCTTATGACATCATGATCACTGACTTCCCAAATATGGGCCCAACCCTTTTCCTGTTGTGCACCTCCCACTGGTGATTTCAGAGTTTGACCATCCCTTTAAGATGTCAAGTTTTTGTAATGTCCTGAGCCCTGTCTTTGTGATGTCATAAACTATATGAACAGTCTTCCCCTCCACTTTTGAGGGTTGCTTGGCCACACCCCCTATGACATCATGAATTGCTCTAACACCTTGGAATAACAACTTATTCCTCCATATTATTGCAAGCCTTTGCACATCTCTTTGTATCATCCCCCTATGACATCATGTGTTAATCTCATCTCAGGACTGCAACCCAAGATTGCAGTGAGTGGGAAGATACAATTTTTACAGCATCACCAAAAAGGATAAGGTTATTTGGGTAAGTTCATGATGTCATAAGAGAATGTCTGCATCAGTAGAGCTTTCAAAAAGAATCACAGCTGGGCATGGTAGTGTGTGCCCTTAGTCCCAGCTACTTGGAAGGCTGAGGCAGGAGGATCCCTTGATCCTAGAAGTTTGAGGCTATAGTGCACAATAATCACATCTGTGAATTGCCATTGTATTCCAACCTGGGCAATATAGTGAGACTCTCTCTCTCAAAAAAAGAAAAAAAAGTCATAATAGTTGATTTTTTTTTTTTTTTGAGATGGAGTCTCACTCTGTTGCCCAGGCTGGCGTGCAGTGGCGCGATCTTGGCTCACTGCAACTTCCGCCTCCCGGGTTCAAGCAATTCTTCTGCCTCAGGCTCCTGAGTAGCTGGGACTACAGGTGTGCGCCACCATGCCTGGCTAATTTTTGTATTATTAGTAGAGACAGGGTTTCGCCATGTTGGCCAGGCTGGTCTCGAACTCCTGAGGTCGTGATTCACCTGCCTCAGCCTCTCAAAGTGCTGGGATTATAGGCGTGAGCCACTGCGCCCAGCCAAAAATTGATGATTATATGTGATTTAGATTGTTTTAGAGTGAATAAAAAATGTAAACTCAGTTTTCCAAGTATTTCAGGGCATTTTTTTTTTTTTTGAGACAGGGTCTCACTCTGTCCCCCAGGCTGGAGTGCAATGGCATAATCACAGCTCACTGCAGCCTAAACCTGGGCTCAAGTGATCCTTCCACTTCAACCTCCTGGGTAGCTGGGACTATAGGCATACACCACCACGTCCAGCTAATTTTTTGATTAGCCGAGGCCTCACTTTGTTGTCCAGGCTGGTCTCAAACTCCTGGGCTCAAGCAATCCTCCTGCCTCGGCCTCCCAAAGTGTTAGAATTACAGGCCTGAGCAGCTGCGCCCGGACCAACTTTTATCATAGTGAATAATTATAGGAATTATCTGAAGAGACTGCTCACTGTATGTATTCCTTGGGGGTGGTAAGAGGTTTTTTTTTTTTTTTTTTTTTTTAGTTTATGGAATGAAAATCCAGAGGTTAGGAAACAAGATTTATGTAATTGATCTGATCACTGCAAAGTCTCTCTAAGGTCTTTTCTTGGATGAAAAAAAATTATAAGCGTAGCACTCAATATTTATTTGATAATGTTCCTCATTGCAGTATGACTGAACTTATAAATTATTTGTGTTTTTTTTGGTTTGTTTTTTTTTTTTGAGACGGAGTCTCGCTCTGTTGCCAAGGCTGTAGTACAATGATGTGATCTCGGCTGTGCAACCTCCGCCTCCCAGGTTCAAGCGATTCTTCTGCCTCAGGCTCATGACCAGCTGGGTTTACAGGCACCCATCATCATGCCCAGCTAATTTTTGTATTTTTGTAGAGACAGGGTTTCGCCATGTTGGCTAGGCTGGTCTTGAACTCCTGACCTCAGGTGATCCACCTGCCTCGGCCTCCCAAAGTGCTGAGATTACAGGCATGGGCCACCGTGCCCAGCCATAACTTATTTATTCTCACTACATTTTTATAATCCATGGGATATATGCTTCAGGATTCCTCCTACTATGTTTCTAATATATTGTTCTTTTTATTTATTTATTTTTTAAATTTGTTTGGTAAGATTGCTAAAAGGAAGTAGGATTATTGTCCTTAGAATATTATAAACCTTTCTTTTTTTTTGAGATGGAGTCTTGCTCTGCTGCCCAGGCTGGAGTGCAGTGGCACAATCTCGGCTCACTGCAACATCTGCCTCTCGGGTTCAAGAGATTGTCCTGCCTTAGCCTCCTGAGTAGCTGGGATTACAGGCACACACCATCATGGCTGGCTAATTTTAGTATTTTTAGTAGAGGTGGGGTTTCACTATGTTAGCCAGGCTGATCTCAAACTCCTGACCTCAGATGATCCACCCGCCTCAGCCTCCCAAAGTGCTGGGATTACAGGCAACAGCCACCGCGCTGGGCCCCATTCTCTTTCTAAAGGAAAAAAATAAAAACAAAAATTAAATCCCTTTGTCAAAACACTATGAGGAAAACAACCCAACAATATGAGTACCTAAGATAATTAGATGACTTTCGCCGGGCGCGGTGGCTCACGCCTGTAATCCCAGCACTTTGGGAGGCCAAGGCGGGCAGATCACCTGAGGTCAGAAGTTCGAGACCAGCCTGACCAACATAAAGAAACCCCATCTCTACTAAAATACAAAAAAATTAGCTGGGCGTGGTGGCGCATCCCTATAATCCCAGCTACTCGGGAGTCTGAGGCAGGAGAATCGTTTGAACCTGGGAGGCGGAGGTTGCGGTGAGCTGAGATCATGCCATTGCACTCCAGCCTGGGCAACAAGAGTGAAACTCCATCTCAAAAAAAAAAAAAAAATTAGATGACTTTCATGCATTCAACAAATCAACAAATATGTATGGATTGCCCTACTATATGCATCAGACACTGTGCTAGGCTCTGGGTATAAACAAATCAAATATGGTTTATGCCCTCATCGATTTTATGATCTAGTGAAAGACACAGACAAAAAGCAATTAAGGAAAAAAGTACACACACACACACACACACACACACACACACAATTAGAGAGAGTAATAGGAGGGAGGAGAGGAAAATTACTTTAGATTAAATGGTCCAAGTAGCTTTTTTTGAAGCAGTGGCATTTGACTTCTAATGAATGAAAAGAATCCAGCCATGCAAACTGCTGGGGGAACAGTGGTCTGCTGAAAGGGGCACAGCCTTGGCAAAGGCCTCAGGTGGAAATAGTTTCAAAGATCAGAAAAACCAACATGGTTAAAGTATAGTGACAGAGAGGAATAGTGAGGAATGAGGCTGGACAGAAAGATGAAGGAGACATCATGCAGAGGCTTGACAGACATGGTAAGAGGTTTAGGTTAGAACATATTATTTTCAAGTAGAGTAGTGCCTTTTTTTTTTTTTTTTTTTTTTTTTTTGAGACAGAGTCTCACTCTGTTGCCCAGGCTGGAATGCAGTGGTGCGATCTTGGCTCACTGCAACCTCCACCTCCCGGGTTCAAGCGATTCTTCTGCCTCAGCCTCCCAAGCAGCTGGGACTACAGGCACATGCCACCACGCCCGGCTAATTTTTGTATTTTTAGTAGAGACAGGGTTTTACCATGTTGGCCAGGCTGGTCTTGAACTCCTAACCTCGTGATCCACCCGCCTCAGCCTCCCAAAGTGCTGGGATTACAGTCGTGAGCTACCGTGCACGGCGAGTAGTGCTATGTTTTAAAGCATTCCTCCAACTGCTGTGTGAAGAATGGATGCCAAATTGACAGTAGGACAGTAATTTGGAGGCTATTTGCAGTATTCCATTGGGATATGATGATAACTGAGACTGGGTTATTAGAGAGAGGGAGAGGGAGGGGGAGAGAGAGAGAGATTGATTATGTTCCTTAGAGGTAGAATCAAAAGAAACTGCTGATGCTGATGAAGCAGATATGAGGTATGAAGGAAAACAAAGAATCAGAGATGACTCATAGGGGTTTAGCTTGAGCAACTGAATGGATACCAATTATTAAAATGAGAAGGATAGAGAAAGTGCAGAGCAGGTTGTTTGGGAAGCATATGCTACGACAGAGTTAGGTGTGCCAAAGGTTTATCAGGGGGATAATACCTGTGTAGGAAAAGGGACAGAAGCAGAATTGTGCAGGAGGAGTTTGCAGATAATGATGTAAACCTGACAAAGTCTCTGCCAGCTCAATGGAGGGGTTCCAGAGCAAAAAATGCCGGTTGAAGGGGTTCCATGTTAGACTAGACCCATGAACTACCACCTTGCTCATTCATTGGCTGGAAACCTGCCCAAGAAGAGTATGACTTAACTACATGCCAAAAAGAGTGTGACTTTGGCTCTAGAGCTGAGGTAGACCCTAAAGCCAGTAACAGCTAGAGACTCTCAGCTAACCACACTCCTACAGCTGGGCAGCAGGTCCTTTCTTGAAAGGGGATCTGAGCAGCACATCTCCCGGTCTCCCACAGTGAACAACAGGCATGAGAAGATCAGCAATTTAATGTTAGACAAAAGAGGGACAGGCTGGGTGCGGTGGCTCACGCTTGTAATCCCAGCGCTTTGGGAGGCCGAGATGGGTGGATCACTTGAGGTCAGGAGTTCAAGACCAGCCTGGCCAACATGGTGAAACCCTGTCTCTACTAAAAATACAAAAATTAGATGGATGTGGTGGCGGATGCCTGTAATCCCAGCTACTCGGGAGGCTGAGGTAGGAGAATCGCTTGAACCCGGGAGGCAGAGGTTGCAGTGAGCCAAGATCGTGCCACTGCACTCCAGCTTGGGCGACAGAGTGAGACTCTGTCCTTCCCCCCACCAAAAAAAGAGGGACTAAGATAGTTAATTAGATCATTAATTCATCAAATATGTATTGACCTCCCACAATAGGCCATCCAAATAAAAATGTAGATAGTTAAAGATAGTCTAAATTTCCTAAAAGAAGTTTGGACTGGAGATATTTGAGAATTTTGCATATACTGTACATGGTACGTATATGTTTTATGGACTGGCTTGCACCACCAAATGAAAGAGGAGATTGTTCTTCACTTGGAGAAGTGTTACTTCTCTAGAGATTGTTTGGAGGTAATTTGGGTTGTCACATTGACTGCAGGGACAAAGGAGACACTACTGGCACTTAGTGAGTAGAATCTAGGAATATAAAACATTGTGTAATGCACGGGAAATCCTGCTCAATGAAGAAATGTCTCACATAAAATACCAATAATGCTTCTGTGAAAAAAATTTGCTGTGGACAGAGAAGAGGTCCCAGAACCAACCCTGGAACATTCTATCTTTTAGAAGTTGGGTAATGAAGAAGAAGATGGCAAAGGAGCCTGAAAAGGATTATCTAGAAAGGTAGAAAGAAAACCAGAAGAGAGTGGTGTCAGATGCTAAGAGAGGAAAGTGTTTCGAGAAGGAAGTCAGAAGCAAACAGTGCTGCTGGGCAGTTGAGTAAGATAAGGACAGAAAAGTGTCCACTGAAAGGTGACCTTAATAAAAGCAATCTCATTAGCCAGGCATGTGGCAGGCACCTGTAATCCCAGGTACTTGGGAGGGTAAGGCAGGAGAATTGCTTGAACCCAGGAGGTAGAGGTTGCAGTCAGCCACTGCACTCCAGCCCAGATGACAGAGCAAGACTCTGTCTCGAGGAAAAAAAAAAATCTGCCAGGAACAGTGGCTCATGCCTGTAATCCCAACTACTTAGGAGACTGAGGCACTAGAATCACTCGAACCTGGGAGGTAGAGGTTGCAGGGAGCCGAGATTGTGCCACTGCACTCCAACCTGGGTGACAGAGCAAGACTATGTCTCAAACAAAACAAAATAAACAAAAAATTTAATAAATAAAAATAATAGGCCGGGCTCAGTGGCTCACACCTGTAATCCCAGCACTTTGGGAGGCTGAGGCAGGTGTATCACAAAGTCAGGAGTTCAAGATCAGCCTGGCCAAGATGGTGAAACACCGTCTCTACTAAAAATACAAAAATTAGCCAGGAGTGGTGGCGGGCGGCTGTAATCCCAGCTACTTGGGAGGCTGAGGTGGAGAATTGCTTGAACCCAGGAGGTGGAGGTTGCAGTGAGCCGAGATTGTGCCACTGCACTCCAGCCTGGGCGACAGAGCGAGACACCATCTCAGAAAAAAAAAAAAGCAACTTCAGTGTACTGTTGGAGAAAATGGAAGCCAGACTAGTATAAATAATAAGAAAAGAGAGGTGAGCAACTAGGGGAAGGAACTTTTTCAATGAATTTGAACAATAAGCAGGGAAATACTTTGGAGGGGGATTTGGGGTCAAGGAAGAGATTTTATTTCCAACATTACATTGTATAAAGTATGTAATTACATATAGAAAAGTTGAAAGAATTTTGCAGTAAAATCACTAAATTTTCTACTTGACATTTTACTCGGCTTGCATTATCACATTTCTTTATCCATAAGGAAGGGGATTTTTAAAAGATGGAAGACAGTCCTATAGCATGTTTGTATGCCTAGAATGTGATTCTGTAGCCAGGGGAAGATTCATCATATAGGAAGGAAAGGCAATAGCCAAATAAAGGAGTGAAGTCCTTGAGAAGTGAGGGGAATGGAATTCAGAGTAAAGGGACTGCCTTTTGTTGTTACAGAAGGAAAGAAAGAGGACATGGGTACAGAATCATGAGTGTTTGTGGATTTGATATCGGGAAGACATGGCAAACACTGCACTATTGCCTAACAGCCAGACCCTCTTCTTCCTCGTTAATAGAACCCAAAATTTGGTGTGGGGGTAGCAGTGTGTCCATACTTAGGAGATTAGTTGTAATTGGTGTAAGACAGTCATGATGACTGCATTCCTCTTTCTTTGCCAGACGCTTTCTATCATACCTTGTACCGGGAGAATGGTCATATAACCTATTTCTAGTCAATGGAACTTTAAGGCTTGTTTGCTGGAGCTGGTGGGTGGGAGTGGGGTGGTGTGTGGGGTGGCTCTGTGACAGTTTTTCCTTTGCTAACAAAAGGAGAGGGAACTTCTTACATAAAAGGTTCTTTTGCTGCCTCCGCACATCCCCCAATCCCCTATCCCATGTGTTTTAATTTCTTTTCTTTTTTTCTTTTTTTTTGAGACAGAGTCAAGTGATTCTCCTGCCTCAGCCTCTCGAGTAGCTAGGATCACAGGCGCCCAACACCATGACCAGCTAATTTTGTATTTTTAGTAGAGACACATTTCACCATGTTGGCCAGGCTGGTCTCGAACTCCTGACCTTAGGTGATCTGCCCAGTTTGGCCTCCCAAAGTGCTGGAATTACAGGTGTGAGACACCGTGCCTGGCCCCGCCCCACTTTTTTTTTTTTTTTTTCTTATACAGATGGGGTCTCACTTTCTCAGTCCAGAGGGAAGTGGCCAATCATAGCTCACTGTAACCTCGAGCCCCTGGGCTCAAGTGATCTTCCCACCTCAGTTTCCTTAGTAGCTAGGACTACAAGTGCACACCACCACACCCGGCTAATTTCTGCATTTAATTTATTTTTTTGGTAGAGATGGGGGTCTCAATATGCTGTTATGCCCAGCTAATTTTTTTCTTTTTCTTTTTGTAGAGATGGGGACTTGCTATGTTGCTCAGGCTGGTTTCGAACTCTTGGCCTCAAGTGATTTTCCTGCCTTGGCCTCTCAAAACACAGGAATGCAGGTGTAAGCCACCATGCCCAGCCTGTTTCCTATTTCTGAATGTGGTCATGACTCATGATGTCAGGAAGTATGCTAGCTGTCTTTCAACCTGAGGCAATAAGCTTGAAGATGAAAAGTCAGAGCTGAGGAATGCAGAGAGGCTATGATGATATTACTTAGCAGCTGAACACAGGGCAAAAACTGCCTCCTACAGGTGTATTTCTTTTCTTTTTTTTTTTTTTTTTGAGACAGAGTCTCGCTCCGTCATCCAGGCTGGAGTGCAGTGGCACGATTTGGCTCACTGCAAGCTCCGCCTCCCGGGTTCACGCCATTCTCTCGCCTCAGCTTCCCCAGTAGCTGAGACTACAGATGCCCGCCACCATGCCCAGCTAATTTTTCTGTATTTTTAGTAGAGACGAGGTTTCACCGTGTTAGCCAGGATAGTCTCGATCTCCCGACGTCGTGATCCGCCCGCCTCGGCCTCCCAAAGTGCTGGGATTACAGGCGTGAGCCACTAGAATTTATATTTTAATAAGTTCCCGAAGTGACTTATATGCACATTAAAGATTGAGAAGCCATGCATTACAGGATTTGATGAAGGTAAAGAATTTCTGCACTGAGAATACTGAAAATATGATCCTGGGTGAATTATCTAGTCCAGATGTTAGTAATTTTTTTTTTTTCTGTAAGGGGCCAAGAGCCATACAGTTTCTGTCACAACTATTTAACTCTGCCATTGTAGTACGAAAACAGCCTGAGAAGATAGATAACACATACACAAGATGGACAGATGTTGAAAGTTGCTGTGTTCTAATAAGACTGTCAATAAAAACAAGTAATGGCAAGTAATGGGTTGATTTGACCCAAGGGCCATTGTTTGCTGATCCCTGATCTTGACCTTGATAAAAACAACAACAACAACAACAACAGTCTTAGCTCCCAAGAAAAGTTTACCCTGAGTTTTCTAGTTCTGACTACTTACTATCTCTTGGGAGTAAGTATTCTCCCTCTTCCCTTTTTTTTTTTTTGAGATGAAATCTCACTCTGTCACCCAAGCTGGAGTGCAGTGGTGCGATTTCAGCTCACTGCAACTTCTGCCTTTTAGTGATTCTCCTGCCTCAGCCTCCTGAGTGGCTGGGATTACAGGCATATGCCACCACGTCCGGCTAATTTTTGTATTTTTAGTAGAGATGCGGTTTCACCATGTTGGCCAGGCTGGTCTTGAACTCCTGATCTGCCCGCCTCAGACTTCCAAAGTGCTGGGATTACAGGCGTGAGCCACTGCACTCAGCCCTTCTTCCCTTTTCTTAACACAATGAAGAATTTGATTTTGTAACTAATTGGCCAGTTGTTGTTCTGCAGGATCCTAAAAGAGGAGATAAGAAGGGAACTGAAGTCTTAGAAAGCCAGAATGTCCTTGAAACCATTTTTTTCCCCCTAGAAGTACCAAGAGATGTAATATGGGGCAGGGTTCGCGTCAGCTGGTTCTCTGGGGTTGTTTCACTTTTATTTTCTTCTGGCTTCCAGCAAACACATTTTGAGTTTCTCAGCTGAGCCAAAGGAAATCAAGAAATCTCCTGGAATCAAGGAAATCAAGGAATCAATTACTTACACCAAGCTGAGCAAGAGACAACATGAAGGCAGAGGTAGCAGTAATCAGACAGGATTTCCAAGGTAACAGGGCAGAAGTAGGGGCGAGGTGGGGAACAGAAATAAAAGCTATTGGACATCTCCTCACTAGGACTTTATTTTTATTTATTTATTTATTTATTTATTTATTTATTTTGGGTTTTTTATTTTTTATTTTTGGTGTTTTTTTTGTTTTGTTTTTTGAGATGGAGTCTCGCTCTTGTTGCCCAGGCTGGAGTGTAGTAGGGTGATCTCAGCTCACTGCAACCTCTGCCTCCCAGAGTTCAAGTGATTCTCCTGTCTCACCCTCCTGAATAGCTGGGACTACAGGTGCTCAGCACCACGCCTGGTTAATTTTTGTGTTTTTAGTAGAGACTGGGTTTCACCATGTTGGCCAGGCTGATCTCCAACTCCTGACCTCAGGTGATCTGCCCGCCTCGGCCTCCCAAAGTGCTGGAATTACAGGCGTAAGCCACCGCATCTGGCCACCTTTCTAGCACTTCACATGTATCATTGGAATCCTTAAAGTTAGTTCGGCATTATTATCCCCAGGTTACAGGTGGAGAAACGGAGACCAATATATTATTAGACATTAATAAAGCACTTTGCACCGGGCACCCTCTGCTTTACAAATATAAACTCATTTAATCCTTACCACAACTATAGGAAGCTTGAACTATTGTTGCCTGCATTTTACAAGTGGGAAAGCTGTGCTTTGAAGAGCGGGGTTAAGTGACTTGCTGGAGGACATTAGCTAATATGGATGGAGCTGGGTTTTTAATCCAGGTGGACGGGTTTCATTGTTCACGCTCTTAACCACTATACCTCCCAGATTCACTCTTTCCAGACTTGAACAACTACTCTCTAGAAAATGCACCAGGCCTAGAGTTAGGGAACTAACTCAAAACTGGGCACATGTAATAAGCAGTAGAGCCAGGGTTGGGGTCCAATTCTGACGCTAAAGCTTGTGTATTTTCCCTTGTCCAAGGTAGTGATTATGTTCTTAATTAGTATTATAGAACAGTTGGAATACACAAGGTAGTGACTATGGTTTCTGTTGTTGTTGTTGTTGTTGTTGCTTTTTGTTTTTTTTTGAGACAGAATCTCACTCTGTTGTCCAGGCTGGAGTGCAATGGCATGATCTTGGCTCACTGCAACCTCCGTGTCCTGGGTTCAAGCGATTCTCCTGCCTTAGCCTCCTAAGTAGCTGGGGTTACAGACATGCACCACCATGTCCCACTAATTTTTTTGTATTTTTAGTAGAATGGGGTTTCACCATGTTGGTCAGGCTGCTTTCAGACTCCTGACCTCAAGTGATCCACCTGCCTAGGCCTCCCAAAGTGCTGGGATTATAGGTGTGAGCCACCGCGCCTGGCCCATGTTCTTTAGACATCTTTCCCACCAGGAGATTCTCTGTCAGTGCTAAACCTTCAAGTTTTAGTTTTACTTACTGTTATTATCTCACCACATAGGTTCATTTTATTGAGCTGAAAGCTTACAAAAAGTCCACTGGTCCCTGCCCTGCCCGTGTTACACTCATTCCTTCCCATGCACACTCTTGAGGATCCACAAGTGCTTCCACATAACTGGTTTCCCCCAACAAAGCACAAAGGGTGGTGCTTCAAAAGCATCCGTTGTTCCTAGCAGCAAGACTTTCAATGCTGGGGTTTTATTTATTCTTTTTCTTTTCTTTCTTTCTTTTTTTTCTTTTTTTTTTTTTTCTGAGACAGAGTCTCACTCTGTTGCCCAGGCTGGAGTGTGCAGTGGCATGATCTCGGCTCACTGCAACCTCAGCCTCCCGGGTTCAAACAATTCTCCTGCCTCAGCCTACCAAGTAGCTGAGACTACAGGCGTGCACTACCACACCCAGCTAATTTTTTTGTATTTGAAGTAGAGACGGGGTTTCACCATGTTGGCCAGGCTGGTCTTGAACTCCTGACCTCAGGTGATCTGCCCGCCTTGGCCTCCCAAAGTGCTGGGATTACAGGCATGAGTCACTGTGCCTGGCCACTTTTTATCTTTGAAAGTGTTTTATTTCAATAGTTTTTGGGGTACAGGTAGGTTTTGGTTACATGGATAAGTTCTTCAGTGGTCATTTCTGAGATTTTAGTGCACCCGGTTCCCCAGCAGTATACACTGTACCCAATATGTAGTCTTTTATTCCTCACCCTTCTCCCAACCTTACCTTCTGAGTCCCCAAAGTCTATTATATAATTCTACCTTTGTGTCCTCACAGCTTAGCTCCCACTTATAAGTGAGAACATATGATAATTGGTTTTCCATTCCTGAGTTACTTTACTTGGAATAATGGCCTCCAGCTCCATCCAAGTTGGTGCAAAATACATTATTTTGTTCCTTTTTATGAATCAGTAGTGTTCCATAGTGTATATATAACACATTTTCTTTGTGTACTTGTTGGTTGCTGGGCACTTAGGTTCGTTCCATGTCTTTGCACTTGAGAATTGTGCTGCTATAAACATGCATGTGCAAGTATCTTTTTCATATGATGACTTCTTTCCCTTTGGGTAGATACCCAATAGAGGGATTGCTGAATTGAATGGTAGTTCTACTTTCAGTTATTTAAGGAATCTCCATACTGTTTTCCATAGAGGTTGTACTAATTTACATTCCCAAGAGCAGTGTAAAAGTGTTCCCTTTTCACCACATCCATGCCAACATCTATTGTTTTTTGACTTTTTTTTTTTTTTTTTTTTGAGGCAGGATCTCACTCGGTCACCCAGGCTGGAGTGCAGTGGCGTGATCTCAGCTCACTGCAACCTCCGCCACTCGGGTTCAAGCAATTCTCCTACCACAACCTCCCCAGTAGCTGGGAGTACAGGCATCCACCACCACACCCGGCTAATTTTTGTACTTTTAGTAAAGATAGGGTTTCACCATGTTGGCCAGGCTGGTCTTGACCTCCTGGCCTCAAGTGATGACCAGCCTCAGCCTTCAAAGTGCTGGGATTACAGGTGTGAGCCATCGTGGCTGGCCATTTTTCTTTATTCTATTCCAGTGGTCTGTGTTCCTGTTTTTATGTCAGTGCCATGATGTTTTGGTAACTATAGCCTTTTTTTTTTTTTTTGAAACGAAGTCTCGCTCTTGTCCCCCAGGCTAGAGTGCAATGGCATGATCTCGACTCACTGCAACCTCCGCCTCCTGGGTTCAAGCAATTCTCCTGCCTTAGCCTCCTGAGTAGCTGGGATTACAGGCGCCTGCCACCACACCTGGCTAATTTTTGTATTTTTAGTAGAGACGGGGTTTCACCATGTTGGCCAGGCTGGTCTCGAACTCCTGACCTCAGGTGATCCACCCGCCTTGGCCTCCCAAAGTGCTGGGATTACAGGCGTGAGCCACCATGCCCGGCAGCAACTGTAGTCTTGTAGTATAGTTTGAAGTTGGGTAAGGTGATGCCTCCAGATTTGTTCTTTTTGCTTAGTCTTGCTTTGGCTATGCGGCTCTTTTCTTGTTCCATATGAATTTTAGGATTTTTTTCTCCAGTTCTGTGAAGAATGATGATTGTATTTTGATGGGAATTGTATGGAATCTGTAGATTGCTTTTGGCAGTGTTGTGGGATGTGTTTCCATTTGTTCCAGAAGGGAGTATAACTGCCTCTGCTGCACATGAGTTCACAAAGGGAGTGGGGAGTAGCAGGCAGCAGCAAGCCTCACCCAGCTCCCATGCAGTTGGCAAGGCTGGTCTTGCTCCATCAGTGCCCTGTTAGCAGCACTGAGTTTAGATCCAGGCAGTCTGTGCACACTGTGACCTGAAACCACAGCTTTCAGGTCATGCCCTTCCCTTTCTGCTGGTAAGCTGAACACCCAGCATGTATGCTTGTGTCTCCTGCACACTTCTCGCTTGCCCACTGGTTTCTGCTCAAGGGAGTTCATCCCCACTCCAGATTATATCATAAAATTCAGTTGGGAGCTTCTTTCACCTTGGGACCCCTCCCTCAGTTTGTTGGCTGGCTTCCCTGAGGGCCCCTGTAAGATACAGTCAGGAATGGCTTCCCTCCATTCACAATAGAGACTGGGAATGCCTACGAGGCACTTCCCACTACTGCTTCTACGTTTATTTATTTCACGCCACTCCCTAAATCCATTCCGGCTCTGGGGAGGGTTAAAGCCTTCTCCTGTGGACTAGAGGTTCAGATTCCCTGGTAGGAATGTGTGCTTGGAGGAAGACTCTCCCCCTCTCACACTCTGGGAATTGACAGTTTTTCACCTGTCTCACAGAGTACGCTGCAGCCTGCTGCATCTTTCAAAGGGTCTGTGGATTCTTTCCCAGCTAATTTATAAAAAGCTCTTTTTGTAGAGACAGGCGTAGGCCAGGTGCAGTAACTCATGCCTGTAATCCCAGCATTTTGGGAGGCTGAGGTGGGAGGATTGCTTGATGCCAGGAGTTCAAGACTAGCTGGGCAACATAGTGAGACCCTATCTCTAAAAGAAAAGCGGGGAAAAGAGGGTTTTAGTTGACTGAAACCAGGACAAACATAAAGAAGGTCTCCCATTCAATTTATCTGGTTCTAAAAGCAGCTTTTTCCAATTGTGCACACGAATGAACTGTTTTAGACAAGACAGGGTCTTGCTATACTGCCCAGGCTGAAACACAGTGGCTCTTCACAGGCGTGATCCCACTACTGATCAGGAAAGGAGTTTTTGACCTGCTCTGTTTCCAACCTGGACCAGTTCATGCCTCCTTAGGCAAGCTGGTGGTACTGAGACGGGAGGCAGAACTCAACTCTGGAGGCAGGGCTTGGTCACCAGACCAAATTGAGAACTAGCTGAAACAGGTTTGGAACAGAAGCACCTCCCCATAAGACACGCCCACCACTGTGCCATGTCAGTTTACCATTGCCATGACAACACCCTGAAGTTATGGCCCCTTTCTGTGGCAATGACCTGACAACTTGGAGGATGCCACCCTCATTCTAGAAATTTCTGCATAAACTGCCCATTAATTTGCATATACTTAAAAGTGGGTATAGGGCCAGACACAGTGGCTCATGCCTAGAATCCCAGCACTTTAGGAGGCCGAAGTGGGTGGACTGCTTGAGGTCAGGAGTTCGAGACCAGCCTGACCAACATGGTGAAACCCCGTCTCTACTAAAAATACAAAAATTAGCCGGAGTGGTGGCGGGTGCCTGTAATCCCATTTACTTAGGAGGCTGAAGCAGAAGAACCACTTGAACCCAGGAGGTGGAGACTGTAGTGAGCTGAGACTATACCACTGCACTCCAGCCTGGGTGACAAAGTGAGACTCTGTCTCAAAATAAATAAATAAAAATAAAAATAAAATAAAATCAGTATAAACAGGAATGCAGAACTGCCTCTGAGTTGCTGCTCTGGGCACACTGCCTACAGGGTAGCCCTGCTCTGCAAGGAGCAGTAGCTCTGCTGCTGCCGGGTACTGCGGCTTCAATAAAAGTTGCTGTTTAACACCACCAGCTCACGCTTGAATTCTTTACTGGGTGAAGCCAAGAATCCTCAATTTTGGCGCTTTCCTGTCCTGCATCAGTCTCCTGCTCCTAGGAGTTCACCCTTGTTTGTTTGTTCGTTTTGAGGCGGAGTTTCGCTCTTGTCGCCCAGGCTGGAGGGTCCTCTTCTCCTGAACCTCAAAAAGGAGCCTAACCTTGAGGTACTGATCTATGTATGTGGATGAGAAGTGTTAGTAAAGATAATTGAGGCCAGGTGTGGTGGTTCACGCTTCTAATCTTTGAGAAGCTGAGGAAGGCAGAGCGCTTGAGTCCAGGACTTCGAGACCAGCCTGGATAACATGGCAAAAATCCGTCTCTACAAAAAAATGCCAAAAAATTAGCCAGGCGTGGTGGTGTGTGCTTGTAGTCCCAGCTACTTGGGAGGCTGAGGTGGGAGGATTGCCTGAGCCTGCGAGGTTGAGGCTGCAGTGAGCTGAGATTGCGCCACTACACTTCAGCCTGGGCAACAGAAGGAGACTCTATCTCTAAATAAATAAATAAATACGATTGGGTTGAAATCTAGAGACCTAAGTTATAGTCCCAGCTCAGCCACTAATCTGAGAATGGTTAACATTTATTTAAAATTTCCTATGTGCCAGTCACTTTTTAAATTAATTTGCTATGCTGTAAGTAGGAGGGTACTGTTATTATGTTCATTTTACAGACAAGGACATGGAGGCAGAGAGCACTTAAATAACTGGCAAATTACACGGTTAGGGGCACACAGAGTCCAGTTGTGCAACAGAGGCAATCTGGCTGGTAGTACTTCCTGATAACAGAAGCTTTCATTGCTAACATACTATGTGGCAGATTCTGTACTGTGTGTTTTTGTTTGTTTGTTTTTTTGAGACAGGGTCTCACTCTGTGGCACAATGATCATGGTTCACTGCAGCCTCGGCCTTCTGAGCTCAAGTGATCCTCCCGCCTCTGCCTCCGCCTCCTGAGTAGCTGGGACTACAGATGTGCGACACAGCACCTGGCAAATTTTTAAGTATTTTCTTCAGACTGAAACATCATTGTGTTAAAGATAAAAAAGTAAAAAATATTCTTGTAGAGATAGGATCTCACTGTTGTCCAGATTGGTCTCAAATTTTTGAGCTCAAGCCATCCTCCTGCCTTGGCCTCCCAAAGTGCTGGCATTACAGGGTGAGTCACCATGCCTAGTCTGTACTGTTTTCCTGGCAATGTTATCTCATTCAATCTTCGTGAATAACCCTAAGGTAGATATGATACCAATTTTTCAGGTGAAAAAAACTAATCGGCAGGATGAAACTTCGTAAACAGCCTGTGGCTCCAAAAGCTTCTGGAAGGCTCAAGCTACCCATGTGCATCTTTGAGCCTCAGTTTCCCCATCTTTAAAATGAGGGGTTTGGAATAGATGTCTGTTCTCTGGGGCAGGATGCAGAGGAAAGAGCTGTCTGCGAATGGGCAAGAGAGAAGGTGGGTAAATACAGTTAAACCACAGTGACCGAGGGCCCAGCACAACGGGGGTGGGTGCGGTTACAAATGCCGTTAAGATTCCCGCCAAGGCGGAGGACGGGGGTGTCAGAGCCGAGCGAGGCCTGTGGGCGAGAATAGGCCTGACAGCCATTCTCCGACCTGCGTGGGCGCTGCAGGCGCAGGCCAGAGGCCAAGGGAGAGGCGATCCCTGGGGCTCTGCCCGGGTCTCAGGACGGCACCTCACCCGCCCGAGTCCTGCTCCACAGGATTCTCCGGGTAAGCTAGGGAAGGAAGAGGCGCGGCCTCCTGAGCCCGCATCTCAGAGCGCCACGTCCCTCCTGGCTCAGCCTCCCACCAGGCTCCACAGCTTCGGCCCTCCTCACCGCCCGCCTCCAGGCTCCCCGGCGCGGCCTTGTCCCTGCTCCCGCCAATCGGCGTCGTCAGCAATCGCGAACCGGACCAATCAGCGGCCGCAGAGTGTGGGAACTGTCGCCATGGCAGCCAGGAGGCGGGCGCGCGCGGCGGGAGGAGGGGCAGAGCGGAGCGGTGGGCCGGGGGCTGGAGGACAGGTTTGTGCGCTGGACGCAAGCACCAGGCGCAGCCTCGCTCGCCGAGACCCGGCCAGGTAAGGCCGGTGGCCGCGCGGTAGGTGCGGAGCAGCGCGGCGGGAGATTAGGGGTGGGGGAGTCCGGAGATAAGGCTCCGGTCTTCGCCTGCCTTGCCAGAGCAGAGAGGATGGTGGGGGCCGTGCTGTGGGCGGGGCACCGGCGGGGAGGGGGCTCCCAGCGCGAGCCGGAGGCGCTGGGTTCCCTCTGCTCCACTCGCAGCTGGGCACCCGAGCTTTCTTCGGGGTCGAGGAGGGTGGCTGGCTCTTGGCGGGGAGCAGGAGAGGGTAGGTGCCAAACCGAGACCCTGGCGGGGTCCCTTCGGGTTTGGGCAGGTCGATGGGCAAGGGGGTGCCCACTAGTGAGGAGGGACACCCACCAATTCCAGGCGATGCTCCCCTGTGCCGCTCAGCAAAGCTAGGCCCGGGGATCCTGCTCTTCTCCGGTCTGGTTAAGCCAGCAACCTCTGACACTTAGGAGAAAGTTAGTGTAAGTCGTGATATGCTTTTCACTTAAGTGACAAATTAGGTACGAGATGAACCCTTTTGGTTTTAGGAGATGAGAAACAGTATTTCCTTGTTGCACCTGCTAAGTGGCAACTCAGTGAGCAAATATGGTTATTGTGGTTGGTGTTTGCAACGGTCTTAGATGACAGTTATTTTACAGTATCAAATGGCTGGGAGAGGGAGGGAAAGAAGGAGAGAGAGAGAGAGAATATGAGGGAATGAGAATGAACGGGAACCATTATGATTTTTGAGAGACAGAACCTCTTGAAATTCTATGTCTGCTAAACTTCTAAATTGAATAATGTACATTTTATGCAATTGAATAAGCTAGTGCTACCATTTAAGCCTGCTACTAAGGCTCTGTTAAATCCGTGGACGAATATGAACACTAAAAGATATTACCTTGGTTTAAAAATAGGGGAGGTTAAATGCAAATATTTCTGATAGTGAATTTTGTTTGAGGGAGATTGTGGACTTTCCCTATGGGAAAGTTAAAGAATTGATGAGATAGATGCTTTAAGGAATGTTTTTGTTTTTTGAAACTTGAATAAGTTCAACAAATGTTGAACAAATATTTCAACAAATCTTCTTCAGCTAATAGGGTCAAAAATTAAAATTCTGGAAATTTAGAATTAGAAATGAAATCTCAAATAATGTCACTCTCCTAATTAGGATGAACATGGAAACTTCTATTTCTCATCGTGGTCTTCAAGCTTTCCATGATCTCATCTACCTTTGTAGTAGGGGGTCAAATTTTTTTTTTAACTAGACAATTTTAGAAACTTAAAGGAGGCAAAAATTTATTTCTGTCTCCGTGTGTTTACTCATGCTCTTCTCTATCCAAATTTTACCCATCTTTTTTTTTTTTTTTTTTTTTTTGAGATGGAGTCTCACTCTGTCACCCAGGCTGGAGTGCAATGGCCCGATCTCAGCTCACTGCAGCCTCCGCCTCCCGGGTTCAAGGGATTCTCCTACCTCAGCCCATCGAGTAGCTGGGATTACAGGGACCCACCACCACAGCCAGCTAATTTTTTGTATTTTTATTAGAGACGAAGTTTCACCATGTTGGCCAGGCTGGTCTCGAACTCCTGACCTCAGGTGATCCACTTGCCTTGGCCTCCCAAAGTGCTGAGATTACAGGTGTGAGCCACCGTGCCTGGACGACCCATGTTCTAAGAGTCGAATCTGTCTATGTTGTGTTTACCTTTCTTTGCTCTCCCAAGGTACATATTGTTCATATCACGTATTTTGTATATATTCTTTCAGCATGCTTTTTGCCAAGTTGGTTTGCGCTCTGTGAATAACAGTTGAGATAAAATGCACAATTAAGACAATTAAGGTACTTTTCAAGACACAACTAATTATGGGCACTAATATCAATAACATCAATTCAGATGTCTTTTTTGTTTTGGGATATGTTATTAATCTCTGAACACATACTAAACTAATTTTGCATTACTTAGAATAATATGTAAATTACTTTCCACTTTCTAAGGACCCTTTTGAAGGCTGGGTTCTACAAAATACCCTTTTGAGTACTGGGTAGCTGGCAGAAGCAAGTGCAGGATTTAAAAATGTATTGAAAATAATCCTTTAGGCCGGGCATGGTGGCTAATGCCTGTAATCCCAGCACTTTGGGAGGCTGAGGCGGGTGGATCACTTGAGTCCAGGAGTTCAAGACCAGCCTGGCCAACATGGTGAAACCCCGTCTTTACTAAAAATACAAAAATTAGCCAGACGTAGTGGCGGGCATCTGTAATCTCAACTACTCAGGAGGCTGGAGCAGGGGAATCGCTTGAACCTGGAGGCGGAGGTTGCAGTGAGCCGAGATCGCGCTATTGCACTCCAGCCTGGGCAACTAGAGTGAAACTACGTCTCAAAAACAAAACAAAAAACAGGCTACTAACAATTTCAAATAATTTATTCAAGGAAAAACTTCAATCACTTTCATTATTTCCAATCAAAAATTTTTTTTACAACCATGATGTGGTGAAAAGTATACTTAGTTAGAATTTCATGGCCAGATTCCAGTACGGGCTCTGCCAAACGAACTTGGCCAAGTCAGTTAACTTCCTTCTGTATTTATAACCTTTTATAAAAGTAGGGCTGAATTAGATTACAGTAGTCCTCCTTTATCCTAGAGGGATATGTTCCAAGGGTCCCAATGGATGCCTGAAACTACAGGTAGTACCAACCCTTATATACGCTATGTTTTTTGCTATACATACATAATAATAAAATGAATAACAGTAATACACTGAAATGAAAGTTATATGAATGTGATCTTTCAAAATATCTTGTTTTACCTCAGGTAATTGAAACTGCAGAAAGTGAAATCGCAGATTAGGGAGGACTACTGTACCTCCAAGATTATTTCTGATCTTAGAATTCTCTGATTCTAAAATCCTAAAGCAGCCTAATAGAAGTTCAGATAGTAGTTACTTGATTTTATTTTTGGCAGAGCATTTTTTTTTTTTTTTTTTTTTTTTGAGACAGGGCCTCACTCTGTTGCCCAGGCTGACTGGAGTACAGTGGTGTGATCATGGCTCACTGCAGCCTGGAACTGCCAGGCTCAAGTGATCCTCCTACCTCAGCCTCCTGAGTAGCTAGGACTAAAGGAGCATGCCACCACACCCTGCTAATTTTTAAGTATTTTTTTGTAGAGAAGAGGCCTCGCCATGTTGTCCAGGCTGGTCTCAAACTTCTAGGCTCAAGCGATCTGCCTGTCTTGGCCTCCCAAAGTGCTGGAATTACAGGCATGAGCCACTACACCTGGCCTTGGCAGAGTTTTTTTTGGCAGTGTATTTTAATTATCTGAAGTACAGTATATGTAAATAATAAAGAGATTATAATTTTAATAATATGTTTATTGAGTGATACAGATCTGTTTTTCATAAGCCTATAATCTAGGATACTCCAATCCGTTGTTAAGACTGGAAAAAAAGGAGATATAATAGTTTCATTGATGAGTGTCCTTTTCTACAGATGTAGACAACAGAGGCTCTAAGATCTATACTAATGTCTTGATCAGGGAAAAGCTGGAGTCCAACTCAGCTGGTCATACACTTGATATTTTATTTGAACCTCACTTTCCTGTTGACTTTCATTTTCAAAGGGAAAATGGAGGTGAGCACCAGGTTATCTGTGGCCTTTGAAACTGGTGCCATGGAGAAACTCAAAAGCCGTTTATTTTTCTTCACCCTACCCTGTTTCATCATTAGATTTGTGACATTGATAGTAAGAAGAAGCAATCCACGTTTCCTAGCTCAAGGCAGTGTCTTAGAGAAGGAAACCTGAGTCTCTTGCTACAGTTCTGATTTAAGGTTGGAAGGAAGAGATTATGTTGGATGCATTGCTTTCATTGGTCTATGATTGCATCAGGACTTTGGTTCTGGCAATGTTCAGAGAAGAGCTCTAATGTGGCCTTTCAAAAATGACTGTAAGACCGGGCATGATGGCTCAGGCCTGTAATCCTTGGACTTTGGGAGGCTAAGGTGAGCAGATCACTTGAGCTCACAGGTTTGAGACCAGCCTGGGCAACATGGTGAAATCCCATCTCTACCAAAAATATTAAAAACTAGCTGGGCGTGGTGGTGCGTGCCTGTAGTTCCAGCTACTCTGGAGGCTGAGGCGGAAGGATGGCTTGAGCCTGGGAGGTGGAGGTTTTGATGAGCTGAAATAGCGCCAATGTACTCCAGCCTGGGTGGTAGAGTCAGACCCTGTCTCAAAAAACAAAAACGAAAACAAAAATTACTTTTAAAGTTGTATGTCAAACTGGTCTTGCTTGCTTTTTGTGTCGTTAATTTTTATTTATTTATTTTATTTATTTTTTTTAGACAGGGTCTTTCTCTGTCATCCAGGCTGGAGTACATTGGTATGCATGGCTCGACCTCCTGGGCTCAAGCAACCCTCCCATCTCAGCTTCCTGAGTAGCTGGGACTACAGGTGCACACCACTACACCCAGCTAATTTTTTGATTTTTTTTTGTAGAGGTGGGGTTTCACCATGTTGCCCAGGCTTGTTTTGAACTCCTGGGCTCAAGTGATCCACCCGCCTCAGCCTTTCAAAGTGCTGGGATTATAGGTGTGAGCCACCATGCCCAACCTGGTCTTGCTTTTTAAGTTCTACCACTTTGGGTGTTTACAGAACAGATTTTCATATTTCTTTATGTTTCCTTTTCAAGACAAGAAGGGCATTAATATTTATTGAGCAATTACCATTGTCATGCACTGTGCTGGTTACTTTGTATTCATTCTTATTTTCCTCGCATCAACAAACCTGTGAAGAGGTATGAGCTCAGTTTTCTAGGTAGGAAAATCAAGACTCAGAGGCAAGTAGCTTGCGAGTAAATGGGGGAAGTTAGGATTTAATCTCCTGTTTGTGTGTTTATTTTTTACCATGTTGTGTCAATAAAAGTCATATAACTTTCCAAAATACAACATGCATGTGATTACTCTCCTGCATAGATTATTTTATGTTAAATATACCATATGTAAAACAAGAAATACATGTCTCCTTAAAATTTGAAAATATTTTATTTGCTTTTTTTTTTAACAGACTACTTAGAAATAACTGCTTATGTTTACTAATGAGTTTGCACATGAGCTGATTTATGTTTTACATGTTATTTGGTGGGGTTTCAAAAAAGAATTTGAAATATTTCATCTTATTACTGATCTCTGTGACAAACTAGGAACAAAGTTAATTTTTTTAAATTGGTGGTAAGAGTAAAGAAAAATTCCAGTTAAGGATTTAACAGGAAAAGTTGCCCTATATCTTGAAGTCTCATTGCTGAAAAAAATAAGCTTTTAATCTGAATTCCTCCTAGTTATTCAAGAGTGGAGGAATACAGGAAAATTTGGGCATAATAAATCTATATCTATATCTATATATCTATATCTATATCTATCTATCTATCTATCTATATATATATATATATATATATTTTTTTTTTTTTTTCCCAAGACAGAGTCTCGCTCTGTCACCCAGGCTGGAGTGCAGTGGCATCATTTCGGTTCACTGCAACCTCTGCTTCCCAGGTTTAAGCGATTCTTGTGCCTAAGCCTCTTGAATAGCTGGAACTACAGGCACCTGCCACTATGCCCGGCTAATTTTTGTATTTGTTTAGTAGAGATGGGGTTTTACCACATTGGGCAGGCTGATCTTGAACTCCTGACCTCAGGTGATCTCTCCACCTCGGCCTCCCAAAGTGCTGGGATTACAAGCAGGAGCCACCGTGCCCGGCCAACATCTTTGTTTATTCCGGTTTTTGATTCTGTTTATTTCATGTATCTTTCTCCCCTCCTTAATGGAATATGATATAATTTAGTCTCCTTCCACATCATAAAAATTTGGCACTTTTCACATTATGTGACAAATGCATACACTATCATGTACCATTACCACTGTAAAAAGTCTAAATTTTGTGATTTTGTGTCTTTTATTTATTTATTTTTATTTTTTTTTACATTTAGAACGTGTTACGAGTCAGTTTTTAGTGAAAAAACATTGAGCTAGGAGCCAAGACCCATCTCTTCACTATTTTGGTATTGTGCAAGTCATCTTACCTCTCTGGATCTCAGTTGTCTCATCTGTAAAAAGGAGATAAAAATTATTTACCTGCCTGAACGTAAGTACTCAATAATTGCATTTGGTTGCAAAGAAACATGACTATCACTACCACCACCACCAAAATACAAAAAAGGAAAAACCAAAAACGAACTCACAGATGGCTTAAACATGCAATATTTATTTTTTATATAAAATAATAATTGAAATAGCACTCTAGGATGGGTATAGTGGCTTTATAAAGTCATCAGAGACTTAAGCTTCTTTCAGTTCTTTTATCAGTGATCCCTAAGACATTCTTGTAGTACTGGTTCTTGTATGTCCAAGATAGCTGCCAGAGCTCTAACCATCACTGTCATGTTCCAGGCAGCAAAGCATAGGCGAAGAAAGATGCATCCTCTTCCTTTAAGGAGAATTCCTGAACCAAGGCTGAGGCTATAAGAAAGCAGGGAAATGTAGCTGACTGCATGTCTGCCCTCTATAAAATTGGGCTTTTGTTACTGAGAAGGAAGGAAAGATTTGGATATTGGCAAGCAAATAGAAGTGTCTGCCATGATATGAATCTTTTTATCTTTCAGCTCTGAAATCTGTAAGCTGTGATAACCACTCATAGAAGCTTCTATAATTTGCCATGGCAGAGATATAAGTCTGACTATTAACTACAGAAGGAAATAATCTTCATGTAATAAATTGTGTTTCTGTTTTTACTTTTAGCCCTTAATTCATTATAGAAGCTTTTCTGTCTTATTTGTGGATTTGTTCTGGTTATTTTTTAAAATTACCCATAAATGCTCAATAGATGTTTGTTGTACATTTTATGGTTGTGTTAAAAAGAGCTAACATTTATTGAGCTACTTGCTATAATCAAGGCACTAAAATGACAGAGATAAGTTATCCCAAGGGTATCACATAACTAATCATCAGGAAGTAAATTTATATTGAAAGTAAATATAATTCATCTCAAGATACATTTCACTATGGTCACATGAGGAACACTTGCCTTCCTTGCTAGCTAAAAGTAGTTTGTTCTTTTTCTTTCCTTTCTTCTTTTTTTAACCACTTAACTGTTAGTTGTCTTGAAATTTTCTCTTACTACTAGTTCTTGCTTAACTTATTTAGCCACACCAATATTTTATTTCCTTCCAGACTTTTATTTTTTTTGTTGAGACGGAGTCTCACTCTTTCACCCACGCTGGAGTGCAATGGCTTAGTGCAACCTCTGCCTCCTATGTTCAAGCGATTCTCCTGCCTCAGCCTCCTCAGTAGCTGGGACTACAGGCATCCACCACCACACCCAACTAATTTTTGTATTTTTAGTAGAGATGGGGTCTCACCATGTTGGCCAGGGTGGTCTTGAACTCCTGACCTCAGGTGATCTGCCTGCCTCAGCCCCCTACAGTGATGGGATTACAGGAGTGAGCCACCGTGCCCAGCCCCTTCCAGACTTTTCTTTGTGAATATTATATAAATATACCCTATACTTGTCCTGCAAAATGGTTCAATTGTCATTATTTCTATTTCAAAAGTAAACTGAAATAAATAGCTTTGAGAAAAAGAAATTCAGGGAATGGAAATTGGAGTGAGAAAGATTCTAAAGATTCAGTCAATCTTTTAGAGTTTTTAGAAGGGAGACAGTAAGTTAAGATTTTATTTCTACACAGTATATTTGTATTTTTGAAAGTTTTTACATTTTTTGGTTGTATTAGATAGGCACAAAGTACAGTAGTTCTTTTGCTGCTAGTATTGCAGTTTCCTTTTTTCTGATCTAGACTTGTTGACCTCAAACAAAATAATCAGGAGACTTGTGACCATAAAAACAACCCAGTTTTTAAGAGACATTTAACGTTATAAATCACCTGACTGAGAATGTCTGTTTGGTGAATACCATTTTCATGACTTTTAATTTTTTTTAATTAACAGAAAAGTATCATGCTATGCATTGTTTTGTAAGCAGCATTTTAAAAATTGCAATTGTATTTAATAGCTTACCTTCCTCACTAGATTGAAGCCCTGTGAGGGTAAGGACTATGTCGATCTCGCTTACCTTTGTCTTCTAGCATAGTATCTGGTACCATAGTCATTACTTAATACATAAATATTAGTTTAGTTTTGTTTTTAGAAACAAAGTCTCAATACATACATACATACATACATACATACTTATAATAGGTTAAAGGAAACATGCTTCAATTCAGCCATTAATTGAAAAGGAAGAGGGGCAAAAGAAGAGGGTTGAGGAAGATGGAAAAAGATACATAAAAGAGGCTGGGCGCGGTGGCTCATGCCTGTAATCCCAGCACTTTGGGAGGCCAAGGCGGGCAGATCACAAGGTCAGGAGATCAAGACCATCCTGGCTAACATGGTGAAACCCCGTCTCTACTAAAAACATACAAAAAAATTAGCCGGGCGTGGCTGGGTGAGGTGGCTCACGCCTATAATCCCAGCACTTTGGGAGGCCGAGGCGGGCGGATCACGAGGTCAAGAGATCGAGACCAGCCTGGACAACATGGTGAAACCCTGTCTTTACTAAAAAAAACACAAAAAATTAGCCAGGCATGGTGGCATGCGCCTGTAGTCCCAGCTACTTAGGAGGCTGAGGCAGGAGAATTGCTTAAACCCAGGAGGCGGAGGTTGCAGTGAGCTGAGATTGCACTACTGCACTCCAGCCTGTGCAACAGAGCGAGACACTGTCTCAAAAAAAAAAAAAAAAAATTAGCTGGGCGTGGTGGCGGGCACCTGTAGTCCCAGCTACTCAGGAGGCTGAGGCAGGAGAATGGTGTGAACCCGGGAGGCGGAGTTTGCAGTGAGCCAAGATCGCGCCACTGCACTCCAGCCTGGGTGACAGAGTGAGACTCCGTCTCAAAAAAAAAAAAAAAAAAAAAAAGATATATAAAGGAGGAACAGAGACTACTTCCAAGGAAAGAGAAAATTTTCAGTTTTCTGTACTTTTCACCCTGGTTATCTATGGTAATTTTTTTTAACCACTTCCAGGATATCTTGCCCAACAATCAAAACAGGAAACCATCACACATACATGCGCGCACGTGTGCGTACACACACACACACACACACACACACACACACAAAGCAAACTTAATCTGTATAACTATGGGTATAAATCAGTAGCTAAGAAATCTGCCTCTGTGTATGAATGGAAATTTTATTTTTTGAGACATGTTCTCACTCTGTCACCCTGGCTAGAGTGCTGTGGCGTGACCATGGCTCACTGCAGCCTCAACCTGCTGGGCTCAGGTGATCTTCCCACCTCATCCCCCACCAAGTAGCTGGGACTACAGGCATGTGCCACCATGCCCAACTAATTTTTGTATTTTTTGTAGAGACAGAGGTTTCACCATATTGCTCAGGCTGGTCTTGAACTCCTGGGCTCAAGGAATCCACCCTCCTTGTCCTCACAAAGTGCTGGGATTATAGGCAGGAACCTCCGTGCCCAGCAGAATAGAAATTTTGACTTGGTTGAGACAGGGGAAGAGAGATTAGCTTTCTTTTAGGACTTTAAAATTTAAGGAAATTATATCTACTGAATACTAAGAGAAGCTTAAGAACTCTGCTTACTTTGTAATTTTACCAGAGGCTCTGATGCCTTTGGGGTCAGTGCCTCCCATTCTGTCTTGAGATGACTACATAATTTAGAATTTCACACCATCCTACTTTAGAGAGTAAATTATCAGCCTGTCCTGGTTTGGATGAGTCTACTGTTTCAGCCTGGTTCAGCCCAGTGTCTCCTCTTTAGGTCCGTATCTCTCTTATGAAAGAAGAGGGTGATAAAGGAAAGGAGAAGGCCATTCTTACTGACCTGATAGTGGAAGAAAAGTAGGTTAGTTCTCCTTCTTCCTATTGCCTGTCCTTATCACTCATCTCTTTCTTCTATATGGATATTTGTATATTTTCTCATTCATGAAAATCTGTAAACCTAGTAAATTTGCTGTTATTCCTTTAATGCAGACACATTTGACATCTTGGCATTTAAAGAGACTTTTGTGTCATTATTTTTCTGCCTAATGTGCTGGAATACTTACCATTTTTTTTTTAAATACAGTTGATGTTTATGGAGGCCTTATTAAGAATTAGAGTCAGTGTTTAAATTAATTGTCCTAGTTATGTCTAGAATAAGCACTAACAGATTAGAAACTAGTAGAAAACATTCTCCATCAATCAAAAATAAATTTAAAAGGCAAGAAAGGAGAGGAAATAAATGTTAAAGAGGTAGGATAAATAGAAAGCCCTACCAGCCTGAGCAACATAATGAAACCACAACTCTACCAAAAAAAAATATATATATATATCACCACGCATGGTGGCTTGCTTGTGGTCCCAGCTACTTGAGAAGCTGAGGCAAGAGGATCTCTTGAGCCCAGGAAATCAAATTTGCAGTGAGCTGTGAGCTCACCACTGCACTTCAGCCTGGGTGGCAGAATGAGAACCTGTCTCAAAAAACAAAAAAGCCCTATAGAAGGTGGTAGATTTAAAAATCAAGATATGGTATTAAGGCCGGGCGTGGTGGCTCACACCTGTAATCTCGGCACTTTGGGAGGCTGAGGTGGGCAGATTGGTTGAGGTTAGGAATTTGAGACCAGCCTGGCCAACATGACAAAACCCTGTCTCTACTAAAAATACAAAAAATTAGCAGGGCATGGTGGCGCACACTTGTAGTCCTAGCTACTCAGGAGGCTGAGGCAGGAGAATCGCTTGAACCTGGGAAGTGAAGGCTGCAGTGAGCCAAGATTGCACCACTGCATTCTAGCCTGGGCAACAGAGCAAAACTCCACCTCAAAAAAAAAAAAAAAAAAAAGATACGTTATTAAATCAACTTTAAGGGCTAGATGTGGTGGCTCACTCCTGTAATCCCAGCACTTTGGGAGGCCAAGTTGCATGGATCACTTGAGGTCAGGAGTTTGAGACCACCTTGGCCAACATGGTGAAACCCAATCTCTACTAAAAATACAAAAATTAGCCGGGTGTGGTGGTACCCACCTGTAATCCCAGCTACTTGGGAGGCTGAGGCAGGAATCGCTTGAACCCAGGAGGTGGAGGTTGCAGTGATCCGAGATCGCGGCACTGCACTCCAGCACGGGCAGTAGAGTGAGACTCTGTCTCAAAAAACAAAAAACAAAAATGGCTTGAAGAAATCACCATTCCTCTCCCCGGTAGAGAGAACAGTGTTGTATGGGAAAACACAAAAGGTAACAATTCAAGAAAGTGTTTAAAAATACTTGGACTACAAAGGTGAAGAAGTCCTTAGAATACCTTTATCAATTTATTTCGTTTAATTTCTTTATGTGTGCATAAAAATGATGTGAGAAAAATCTATGATATGCCTAAAAATACTTTCAGCAAACATAAGATAGAATTGTAAGTGAAAAAGCACGGTGGTGTAATTTAATTGGCAGCATTTTTTTCTATATAGTATACAATGGTGTGTCTTAATATCGATGGAATCTTTTATCCCACCCTGAGGTCTCTGTCACCCAGGCTGGAGTAAGGTGGCACAATCATAGCTCCCTGCAGCCTAGAACTCCTGGGTTCAAGCAGTCTTCTTACCTCAGCTTCCTGAATAGCTGGGATTACAGGTGCAAGCCACTGCACCCAGCCCAATGGAATCTTAAAGCCTATTTATTTTATTTTATCTTTTTCTTCTTCTTCTTCTTCTTCTTTTTTTTTTTTTTTTGAGACAGTCTCATTCTGTTGCCCAGACTGGAGTGCAGTGGCACAATCTTGGCTCACTGCAACTGCAACCTCTGCCTCCTAGGTTCAAGCCATTCTCCTGCCTCAGCCTCCCGGGTAGCTGGGACTACAGGCATGCGCCACCTCTCCAGGCTAATTTTCATATTTTTAGTAGAGATGGGGTTTCGCCATGTTGGCCAGGCTGGTTGCAAACCCCTGACCTATGGTGATCCACCCACCTCAGCCTCCCAAAGTGTTGGGATTACAGGCATGAGCCACCGTGCCTGGCCCTTAAAGTCTATTTAATAACATGTATATACACACACACACACACACACACACACACACACACACACACACACACACACACACACACACACACACACATATATATATATATTTTTTTTTTTTGAGATGGAGTTTTGCTCTGTTGCCCAGGTTGGAATACACTGGTGCAGTCTCGCTCACTGCAACCTTTGCCTCCCAGGTTCAGGAGATTCTCCTGCCTCAGCCTCCTGAGTAGCTAGGACTACAGGCGTGTGCCACCATGCCCGGCTAATTTTTTGTATTTTTAGTAGAGACAGGGTTTCATCATGTTGGCCAGGTTGGTCTTGAACTCCTAACCTCAACCAATCTGCCTGCCTTGGCCTCCCAAAGTGCTGGCATTACAGGCGTGAGCCACCACGCCCAGCCTCTTCATACCCTTTTGCTAGAGATTTTCTTCCAAGCACCCTATATTAATTTTACAAGCTTTACAAGCTTGGTGCTGGTGCTTTCTTCATCTTATCAGAAGATGATGACAGGAAGTTTTCAGATTCATAGTCTTTCCTCAAACTCTCCTTAAATGATTCATTGATGAAGACCTGGAGGGCTGGCCTTCATGAATCACACCAACTTGTATTACTTTTCAGGCAACCTATTCTTTATTCAGATACACGCTCTCAGAATGTATCAAGAACTAAACTAATAAACACACTTGTCAGGTTATGTAGTGCTCTTCAACATTCAAATCAGATTTAGCTACTCTTCCTTTAGCTCAGCCACCATCCATCAACCCCATACTTCTTAAAAATGCTTAATATAACATCTTGGGGGAAATCATTTTATAATTTAATGTTTAATATGGCAACAACTTTTGGCTGTAGGCATTTACAGCAATGTTACAGTGATTTGTTATTTTCTGACCATTCTCGTATCAATCTTTTTACCACCTTTAGCATTAATGTAGATTTTGAGGCATGTAAAAGAACATCAGGATTTTGTCAGAATTTCCTGTTGACTAAACTCAGCTTTATTTTTTCCTTAAACTATACTTTGCTGGAAGTTGTGCAGCTTCTGTTCAGTATTTTCAGGAAGTTCCTGACAAATTGACATTTGCATGAGTCCATCAATTCAGCCTCATGTTCCTTGAGTTTTTTTATTTATTGGAGGCATAGTTGGTTTCTGCTATCTTCATTTGCATTGTTTGGCTGCTGATAGGTAATCCTGTTGTGTTTTACTAACAAAACGTAACATGGCTTTGTCTACTTGCAGGTATCTTCCTGTCTAGAGTCAGGTAAAGCACTAGTTGTTCCTTTATAAGAAAGAGTAAAATTGCTGTTATTCCCCTAATATCAAGTATTTGCTTCACTAACATCAGCTGCTTTGTTTCTGTGCTTACAAAATAACTTTTCATTTTAATGCCAAATCATAGCTTAATGTTTATGAAGATATTTACAATGACAAGCACCAACAATGCAAAAACTCAATCTGAAGTTATGACAATAATAATAACTATAATAAAGTTCATGCATGTACACATAACAAAGACTATGTTGCTGTTGCTATGTGGCTAATTACAATTTTCATATTCCATTAATTGAGGCTGGGTATAGTAGCTTATGCCTCTAATCCCAGCACTTTGGGAGGCTGAGGCAAGAGGATTGCTTGAGCCCAAGAGTTTGAGACTGGCCTGGGCAACATGTTGAGACCCTGTCTCAAAAAACAATAAAAAAAATACTAATATGGTTGGGATATAAAGGTCAGTCATGAGATAAAAGATTAAATTTACTGTAAAGCTAGAAAATCTTAAGTTTATATATATATACCTAATATTTGAATAAAAATTAACAGAATTATAAGGAAAAAGAGACAAAATCATGATATAAGATTTTCATGTGCTTTTCTAGTGATTGTAGAACAAGCAAACAAAAATCATTGAGAACATAGAAAATGGGATAATTTTGAAAAATTATAAGCATGACTAGTGTAGAAGGTGAATAGTGGTTCATGAATTGTATTTTTAAAATTTTTCACATTTTATAAACTTGGATTTTTTTGCTCTATTTTTACTCCTTTTAAAAAAATTGAAATATGATTTACATATCATACAATTCTCTCTTTTATAGTATACAATTCACTGGCTTTTAGTATATTCATAAGGTTATGCAACCATCTCAACGATCTAATTTTAGAATATTTTCATCACCCCCAAAAGGAACCCTGTACCCATTTAGCACTTATTTCTCATTTCCCCTCCCTCCACCAGCAGCCCTCAACAACCTGTAATCTGCTTTCTTTCTCTGTGGATTTGCCTATTTTCCACATTTATATAAATTGAATCGTATAATATGTGTCCTCTTGCTTCTGGCTGTATTTACTATTAATCAGTTCTGTTGTATTTTATTTTTAAACAGATTTCTCCTTAAAAATATCAGTCTTGGCCGGGCACGGTGGCTCAGGCCTGTAATCCCAGCACTTTGGGAGGCTGAGGCGGGCAGATCACCTGAGGTCAGGAGTTCAAGACCAGCCTGGCCAACATGGTAAAATCCTGTCTCTACTAAAAATATAAAACTAGCTGGGCATGGTGGCCTACACCTGTAATCCCAGCTACTCTGGAGGCTGAGGCAGGGGAATCACTTGAACCCGGGAGGCAGAGGTTGCAGTGAGCCAAGATCATGCCACTGCACTCCAACCTGGGTGGCAGAGTAAGACTCTGCATCAAAAAAAAAAAAAAATCAGTCTTTTGTCCTTTAAAATTATCAAAAAGTGAAAGTTTTTGGCTTTGAAATGGCAGTCACAATTCATTGTCCTCTTTCTTGCAAAAGTTAAAAATAAATCCAGCTTGAATGAAATGTAAGTCTGACAATCTCTAAACCTGAAATCAAGGAGGAGCTTTGTTTCTGCTTCCACAGAAGCAAATTCTCAGTTTGATCAGAGAGGATAATGTTCCATATTTTGTTTCCAAAGTGTGAAACTTTCCTGGCTTTACATCATTTTTATTGTGTCTAGATATGAACTTTCTTTGCTAGTTCATTTTCCTTGTTGTTAATCTTTGTATCTCAGCAACCAGGCCTGCTATTTGCTTTACCAACATAATTTTAAGCTGGCTGAGTAAGCAATATTTAGTTTAAAGGCATTTACAAGTCATATAACTTAATCATTTTAAATGAATGGTGTGAATACAAGCAGCTTTTCTTTTTTTTTAATTTTATTTCTGTTTAGTATTTCTGATTACGTAACAGGAAAGATCTGTACTAAAAAGAATAAATAGATAATAGAATTTAAGTACTTAAGTAATACTAAGTTCAAGTTAAATTCTCTTATTTAAAATTTTTTTTATTTTTATAAATGAGGGAACTGAAGTGGGAAAAGTTAATTGGCTAACCTGTGATCATATAGCAAGTAAGTGGTGCAGCTGTAACTAGAATATAGATCTAAATTTAGTTCTGCCTTACTGCTTGGTGTAAAACCCACTTTCTATTTCTCCTTTTTTCCCACTTTCTATTTTTTAAAGATCCAAGTTTACCTTTGAGATGAGCATTCTCTTTCTGTCTCATTGTAGGTGAGGTTGGTAAATAATAGAGCAAAGGGAGGCAGTATGTTCTAGGGCAGTGGTTTTCAAATGTTGGCATGTATCAGAATCACCTATAGGGCTTATTAAAACAGATTGTGAGGCCCCCTACACCCAGAGTCTCTGATTTAGAAAATATGGAGTAGGCCTTGAGAATTCGCATTTCTAACAAATTCCCAGGTGATGCCAGTGCTGCTGGCCCAGGGACCATACTTTTGAGAACCACTCCTGAAAAGCCAACAAAGGCTTTGGAGTCAGTCACTCCCAGGTCTACACTCTAGCTGTATGACTGACTGCTGTGTGAACTAGAAGTGATATGTCTCAGTTTCTTGTACTTTGAAATGGGGATAATAATATTGACTTCACAGAGTCATTGTAAGAGTTGATGCGTTAATATATTTTAAAAGTTTAGCATACTGCTTGGTACATAGTAAACATTCAATAGATGGTTTCTGTTGTTATTTATAATAAGCATGGGGATCAATTAAATCTTTAGGAACCATAAATTCAGTTAGTGTTTTAAAGCAGTTTCTCAGAAACTTTTTGTGACTTTGTCACTTCAAGATGTTGTCAGCGGCTAGGTGCAGTGGCTCATGCCTGTAATTTCAGCACTTTGGGAGGCTGAGCTGGGTGGATCATCTGAGGTCAGGAGTTCGAGACCAGCCTGGCCAACATGGTGAAACCCCAGCTCTACCAAAAATACAAAAATTAGCTGGGCGTGGTGGTGGGTACCTGTAGTCCCAGCTACTCGGGAGGCTGAGGCAGGAGAATCGCTTGAACCCGGGAGGCAGAGGTTGCAGTGAGCCGAGATCGGGCCATTGCACTCTAGCCTGGGCGATAGAGCAAGACTCTGTCTCAAAAAAAAAAAAAAAAAAAGATGTTGTCAGGTGTTGTTAGGACATACACACACACACTCATGTATACAAACACATTCTCTTGACTTTCCTTCTTATTTATGGTAGTCTTGGCAGGAGAGGAAGAGAGCAGCAGAAGTGACAAAAACACGTGGAAGATATGGAAAAATTAGAACCCTCATTTATAGGTGGTGAGAATGTAAAATGATATAGCTGCTTTAGAAAACAGTTTGGCAGTTCCTCAAAAAGTTAAACTTAGAGTTACCAAACTGACTCAGCAATTCTACTCCTAGTTATATAACCAAAAGAATTGAAAACCTGTTAACAAAGTAACTTAAACACAAATGTTTACTGAAGTATTATTCAAAACTGCCTGAAAGAAACAATCCAAATGTCCATCAGTTCATGAATGGATAAACAAATATGGCATATGTATACAATGGACTATCTATTCAGCTATAAAAAAGAAATAAAGTCCTGATACTTGTTACAATGTTGTTGGACCTGGAAACATACTGCTAAGTGATAAAAGGCAGACACAAAAGGCTACATATTGTATAATTCCATTTATATGAAATGCCCAGAATAGGCAAATCTATACAGATAGAAAGTAGATTAGTGGTTGCCAGGGGATGGGAAAAAAGGGTAACAGTGAGTGACTGATAATGGGTATGGGGTTTCTTTTTGAGATGATGAAAATGTTTTAAAATTAGATAGTAGAGATGGTTGCACAGCCTTGTGAATATTCTAGAAAACACTGAATAGTATAATTTAAAACATTTTATGCCTTATGAGTTATATCTCAAAAAACCCAAAATGCACACCTATGTATGTGTGGACAAGAAGCATGAATGAATAATAAACCTTTTTTGTTATTAAAAGTAATTGTGGGGAAGAGGAGGTGATTCATAGTGAGAAGACATTCTGTGAAGTATACTACCCTATTAGAGATTCTAGTATCCTAGAGATGAGTGGATCTCAGGTTTTAGTATACATAGGAACCCCCTGGAACCCCCTGTTTGTTAAAACAGGTTCCTGGCCCCCACCCCAGAGGTCTTGGGTACAGCCTGAGAATTTGCATTTCTGATCTGCTTTCAGATGATCTTGTAAGATTTTGTAAGATTGAGAACTAAACTTTGGGTAGCATCTTTATAGATTAGACATATGCTGTACTTAAATGGGTGAATTTTATGACGTGAAGTATATCTCAATAAAGATGCTAAAAAATTGGCATAAAGATAGTAAAATGTAAGTTTTAGTGGTTTGTTAATGGCAAGACAATGCTCTGTAAGGGAATTGGTTTAATTATTAATTTCTTCATTTGTAAAATGTGTCACTCTCCTGTGTATGTACCACCTAGGGTTGTGGTGAAAATGGGGTTATGTGTTCTTTTCCAAATGGTGTTCTGTGGGTAAAACGTGTTGCCTTAAAAAAAAAAAAAAAAAAAAAAAGCCATGGCTAGATTGAAGCTTTTGTAATTAGCCAAATGTTTTCTTATACTATAAAAACAATATAGGCCGGGCACAGTGGCTCACGCCTGTAATCTTTGCACTTTGGGAGGCCAAGGCGGGCGGATCACCTGAGGTCAGGAGTTCGAGACCAGCCTGACCAAAAGAGAGAAACCCCCGTCTCTACTAAAAATACAAAATTAGCCAGGTGTGATGGCACATGCCTGTAATCCGAGCTGCTTGGGAGGCTGAGGCAGGAGAATCGCTTGAACCCAGGAGGCAGAGGTTGGGGTGAGCAGTGATCGTACCATTGCACTCCAGCCTGGGCAACAAGAGTGAAACTCTGTCTCAAACAAACAAACAAACAAACAAAAACAGTTTAAAATATTGTATTCTGTCTTTTTAATTTTGGCTACAAAAACATTTCTCCCTTGATTTTCTTTAGTGATCTATTTTAAGCATTATTTTTGACAAGTTTTAATCTATTCTTTCCTTTCCTATAATTTTTTTTTTGTTTTATTAAACCTCTTGAGATTAAATATATGATTAATGTGACATTCGGAATGCATGTATATAGAGTTAAAACATTATTCATGACTTTACCATAATTACTCCTTTATTTCAGATGAGGTGGAGGACCATCCTGCTACAGTATTGCTTTCTCTTGATTACATGTTTACTTACTGCTCTTGAAGCTGTGCCTATTGACATAGACAAGACAAAAGTACAAAATATTCACCCTGTGGAAAGTGCGAAGATAGAACCACCAGTAAGTGAAATGAAGTGAAATGGGAGGAATTATAACTAAATGAAATGAATTATAATTGTAACTAAATGAGGTGGAATGAGGTGAAACTATAACTAAATGAAATGAGAGGAATTATAACAAAAATATTGCTAATATTTATTACTTATAAAATTGTACACTTGGGAACTATTTCTGAAATAGCAGTGAAAAGAGTATTGGCCAAGCATATGCTGTTTACCATTACACAATATTTATTTAATATAGTTAGTATATTAGATAGAAGAATTAATCGTAATACATTTCCAACACAGACCTGACTAGCCAAGAAAACACTGTATTATATTCAAAGCAGAGGCAGATAACAATGGGGAGAAACCAAAGTGGTAAAATCTTCATTGTCTGAACTATATAGAAAATCTACTGGACTAGAGAGTGTCGTAAAAAAGAAAAATCTACCTTTAAGTAACAATAAAAGATGATATTGGTTCTGATATAAAACTATTTATTTCAGAAATATAGCTTTTCACTTTGTTGAAACTATCAAAGTAAATATGTCTTAATGCCATTTTGCTAGAAATTGTTTCACAGGATTGACCTCTTTAGATTCAAACAAGGAAAAACCTGCAGAAGCATTACTGTTGGTTTCTTAATTTGAAGGATACTGGACTTTATTATGATGAATATCTCAAGCAAGTGATTGATGTGCTGGAAACAGATAAACACTTCAGAGAAAAGCTCCAGAAAGCAGACATAGAGGAAATAAAGGTAAATGCAATTCAATAATATATACATATATGTATCTTAATTTAAAATTTTTTTAGAGATGAGGTCTCACCATATAACCCAGGTTGGCCTTGAGCTCCTGGGCTCTAGTGATCCTCCCACCTCAGTCTCTCCAGTAGTTGGGACTACAGGTGCGTGCCACCATGCTTGGCTTAAATATTTAACAAACATTTGCACGTGCCAGGCACTGAGCTAAGTACCAGAAATACAAAGATGAGATTTATTCCCAGCCCTTAAGGAACCCTCAAGGGAAAATCATATCCAGAAATAGATTATAGGATGGATTATATGATGAGTATTTAATCTAGAAATACAGAAGGCAGACACATAATCTAATATGAAGCAGTGGGGCGAGGTGGGAAGTTATTCTTCCTAATAGAGATTATGCCAGAGCTTAAAGATGTAGTGAGAAAAGGAGAGGTACTGGGAGGCATCCTAGACAAAGGTGCAATGGTACAGAGGCAAGAAGTATATGGGAAACTGGAAGCAGTAACTGTGGCTAGACCCCAGAATGGGAAATGGAGGCCTGAGTGGCCAAAAGATGAGGTTTGGAAAGAATCACAGTCTCGTTGACAGAGGGCCTGTATATCATGTTAAGGGGTTTGGGTCATTATCTGAGGACAGTAGGAAGTTATTCAAAAGTTTGGAATAGGTGAGGTCCTGGTGTTTTAATCAGGTCCAGATTAACAGAAGAGATAATGGGCTATGTATTATATCAATCAGAGAGGTTTAACCATTTGACTCTGTCCTGAGAACCCTATTTGACATAATTCCAGCCATAGTCAGCTCTTCAGTACTCATAATAAGAAAGGGGGTTGTAAAGATCTGACATGAGAGATTCTTGTAAAGTCTTTCCTTAAAAGGAAATGAATCAGTTTAGCTGGGTTTATCTTAGACTCAGTGAGTAAAAAAAAATCCAGTTAATTTTAAAATTCCAATAATGTCTCCTAAGATAATTTTGTTTGCTTATGTTACCTTTATTTATTTAAGTTTTACTTTCTTAAAAAATTACGTTGCTTTTTTTCTAGAATCAGAATAAGAGAACTGTGTTTGAAAGACTCATTCTGGGTCAAACAAACCTTTTATTTTAGTTTCTGTTCTTGGTGTGAACTTCTTTGAAAGACTGACTCCCGTTAGGTTGTGGTGTCTGTCAGCGCTCAGGTGTGGCATTTAGTTCGCAGCTCTCCTCTTGGAAGTTGTGAACTTTTCTGGGGAAAAGGTAATAGTGTTATGCTAATAATTCCCCGGAATTGTCTTTGAGGATAATCCTACTCTTCTTCTGAAGGATTAATTCGATCTGTGGAACAAGTTTCCTATGGTGAATATATCTGATGTAGAACTCTTAATGTCTTGTATCAGGAGTAAGAACGTTATTTGGGGTGACATAGAAAATGTGGATCATGGGAGATACTACATAGAGATATTCAGGCAAAAGAAGAAAATAAGCTTCCTGGATTGGTGCAGGGAATACTTTTATAACTATCTTCCTTTCACATTCAATTCCTGTTTCTATGAAGGGTTAGGGGGAACCAAAATGAAGTTAAACAGTTACACAATAAAAAAGAAATGAGGGTCCGTGTGTGGTGGCTCACGCCTGTAATCTCAGCACTTTGGGAGGCTGAGGCAGGTGGATCATGAGGTCAGGAGTTCAAGACTAGCCTGGCCAAGATGGTGAAACCCTGTCTCTACTAAAAATACAAAAATTAGCCGGGTGTGGTGGCAGGCACCTGTAATCCCAGCCACTCGGGAGGCTGAGGCAGGAGAATTGCTTGAACCTGGGCGGCAGAGGTTGCAGTGAGCCGAGATTGTTCCACTGCACTTCAGCCTGGGCAACAGAGTGAGACTTCGTCTCAAAAAAAAAAAAAAAAAAAAAGGGGGGCCGGGGCAGTAGTTCACACGTGTAACTTTGGGAGACTAAAGCAAGAGGATGGCTTCTAGCCAGTAGTTTGAGACCAGCCTGAGCAACATAGCGAGACCCTGTCACTACAAAAAATTAAAATTTAAAATTAATTTAATTAAAAATTATCCTTCAAATTAAAAAAAAAATCATCTGAGGCCAGGCACAGTGGCTCACATTTGTAATCCCAGCAGTTTGAGAAGCCAAGGCGGGAGGATCACTTGATCCCAGGAATTCAAGAACAGCCTAGGCAACATAGTGAAACCCCTATCTCTACCAAAAATAGAAAAAATTAGCTAGATGTGGTGGTGTGTGCCTGTAGTCCCAGCTGCTCAGAAAGCTGAGGTGGGAGGATCACTCGAGCCCAGGAGTTTGAGGTTGCAGTGAGCCATGATTATATGACTGTACTCTAGCCCGCATGACACAGAGCGAGACCTCATCTCTTAAAAAAGAAAAAAAAATGAGTAAAACTAGACAATAAAACGCAAACCAATAGAATCATCACAAATAGCCAAGCAAAGACTTCTGTTTCATAAAAAACTGACAAAAAAAAAAGTTAGAATTTTCTCTTTCCTTTTTTTTTTTGTTTTGGGACAAGGTCTCACTCTGTCACCCAGGCTGGAGTACAGTGATGCAATCTTGGCTCACTGCTACCTCTGCCTCCCAGGGTCAAGTGATCCTCCCACCTCAGCCTCCCAAGTAGCTGGGATTACAGGTGTGGGCCACCTTGTCTGGCTAATTTTTGTATTTTTAGTAGAGATGGGGTTTTGCCATGTTGTCCAGGCTGGTCTCAAACTCCTGACCTCAAATGATCCCCCTGCCTTGGCCTCCCAAAGTGCTGGGATTATAGGCGTGAGCCACCATGCCCGGCCTCTCTTTCCTTTTCAGCTAAGCATTTTGAAAGGAGAATCATATTACATTTCTTCACTTCCCAAACATTCCCTAACTGGAAAGGTGATGGTACTGCCCTCACTGTTCCACTGAATATACCTTCATGGAGGGCATCCATGACTTCTTAATTGCCAAATCTAGTGAACATCCTAACATCTTTGATTCCTCATTCTACTGGGCTCCTTTATTTCTCTCAATAGTTTTTAGATTTCAGGGTTTGTTAAAACATATTGCTGTTTCCTACCTTCGGGGTGTCCAATTCAGTAACTCTAGAGCCTGCATTTCTGAAGTTCCCTGGTGATGCTGATGCTTCCAGTTGGGGACTACATTTTGACAACCATTGTTTTATCTAATAATAATGACTATTCTCTCCTTGAAATATACTGCTCTTTTTGATTCTGTAACAGTATATTCTCCTAGTTTTCCTACTAATTACTCATCTATGAAGAAAGTAATCAAAAGAGACCTAAAAAAGATAAATTTTGAAAAGCTTTTATATATGGAATGACTAATGCTTATAGAGGCCCACTGACTTTTAACTTAATTTAAATGTTCTTTTTTGCCCTAATGGTGCTGACCAACTTAACTTTTTAAAAAAATAACAAGCCAGGTGCGGTGGCTCACACCTGTAATCCCAGCACTTTGGGAGGCTGAGGTGGGTGGATTGCTTGAGCTCAGAAGTTCGAGACCAGCCTGGGCAACATGGCAAAACCCTGTCTCTACAAAAAATACAAAAATTAATCAGGCATGGTGGCATGCATCTGTAGTCCTAGCTACTCGGGAGGTTGAGGTGGGAGGACTGCTTGAGCCTGGGAGATTGAGGCTGCAGTGAGCCATGATCATGCTACTGCACTCCATCCTGGGTGACAGACTGGACCCTGTGTCATAAAATAAAATAAAATAAAATAAAAATAAATACTTTGTTGACATATAATTCATACACCATAAAATCTATCTTTTTAAAGGATAAAATTCAGTGTCTTTTTGTCTGTTTTTGTTTTGTTTTTTTTTGAGATGGAGTCTTGCTCTGTCGCCCAGGCTGCAGTGCAGTGGCATGATCTCAGCTTACTACAACCTCCACCTTCCCGGCTGACACGATTCTCCTATCTCAGCCTCCTGAGTAGCTGGGACTGCAGGCATGTGCCACCACACCTGGCTAATTTTTGTATTTTTAGCAGAGATGGGTTTTCGCCATGTTGGCCAGGCTGGTCTCAAAACTCCAGCGCTCAAACGATCTATCCACCTTAGCCTCCCAAAGTTCTGGGATAACAGGTGGGAGCCACTGCACCCTGCCATTTCAATAGTTTTTTTAAAATATACCCACAGAGTCGTGAAATCATCACCACTATCTAATTTTAGAATATTTTCATTGTTCCCCAAAAGAAACTGTGTGCCCATTAAGCTGTAACTCCTAATTGCGCCCCTTTCCCCAACCACAGCAAATCTACTTTTCATCTCTGTGGATTTGCCTGTTCTGGACATTGCATATATGTGGACTCATACAATAAGTGGTTTGTTGTGTCTGGTTTCTCTCATTTAGCATAATGTTTTACAGGTTCATTCATGTTGCAGCATGTGTCAGCATTTTATACTTTTTTATGGCCAAACAATATGCCATTGTATTGGTATACTATATTTTGTTTATCCGTTCATTAGTTGATGGACGTTTAGGTTTCTGGTTTTTTGGCGAGTATGAATATGCAGCTATGGATATTATGTTTAAGTTATTGTGTTAACATGTTTTCTGTTCTTTTAGTTATATATCTAGGAATGGAATTGTTGGGTCATGGTAACCCTATGTTTAACTTTCTGAGGAACTGCCAAACTGTTTTCTGAAGTGGCTACACCATTTTACAATTTAACCTTTTGAGTTTCTGCTTTGTGCTTTAATGATGCTTTTCTAAATTACATGGTTTTTCAGACACCTTGATTTTAGAGTTAAAGCTAATCTTTTTTTTTTTTTTTTTTTTTTGAGACGGAGTTTCACTCTTGTTGCCCAGGCTGGAGTGCAATGGCATGATCTTGGCGCACTGCAACCTCCGCCTCCTGGGTTCAAGCAATTCTCCTGCCTCAGCCTCCCGAGTAGCTGAGATTACAGGCATGGGCCACCACACCTGGCTAATTTTTGTGTTTTCAGTAAAGATGGGGTTTCACCATGTTGGCCGGGCTGGTCTCGAACTCCTGACCTCAAGTGATCTGCCCGCCTTGGTCTCCCAAAGTGCTGGGATTACAGGCGTGAGCCACCGCGCCTGGCCTTTTTTTTTTTTTTTTTTTTTTTGAGACAGAGTCTCGCTCTTGTCGTCCAGGCTGGAGTGCAGTGGTGCAATCTTGGCTCACTGCAACCTCTGCCTCCTGGGTTCAAGTGATTCTTCTGCCCCAGCCTCCCAGGTAGCTAGGATTGACAGGCGTGTGTCACCATGCCCAGCTAATTTTTGTATTTTTAGTAGAGACGGTATTTCGCCAGGTTGGCCAGGCTGGTCTCGAGCTCCTGACCTCAGGTGATTACCCACCTCAGCCTCCCAAAGTGCTGGGATTACAGGCGTGAGCCACCACGCCCGGCCCTAAAGCTAATATCTTTTGAAAGAAATTCTTTTTATAATATTAAATTTATCTAAATTAGTCAAAAGTATTTATCACTAATGTATTGTAACCCTGTTTTTAAGCTGTTGCATTTGTCTAAAAATGGAATGTAATAGATAAAACTAACTTACTAATTTTGTTAACAGAGTGGGAGGCTAAGCAAAGAACTGGATTTAGTAAGTCACCATGTGAGGACAAAACTTGATGAACTGAAAAGGCAAGAAGTAGGAAGGTTAAGAATGTTAATTAAAGCTAAGTTGGATTCCCTTCAAGGTAAGTGCTAAACAAAAGGTAGGATTTTTTTTTTCTTTTTTCCTTTTGAAACAGCGTTTTACCCTGTGGTTCAGGCTGGAGTGCAGTGGCACAATCACAGTTCACTACAGCCTTGACCACCTGGGCTCAAGTGATCCTCCCATCTCAACCTCCTGAGTAGCTGAGACCACAGGTGTGTGCCACCATGCCTGGCTAATTTTTTTTGTTAGTTAGACAGGGTTTTGCTGTGTTGCCCAAGCTGGTCTTGAACTCCTGGGCTCAAGCAATCTTCCTATCTTGACCAAAGAGCTGGGATTACAGGCATGAGCTGGCGGGCCTGGCTAGAAAATTTTAACATTTGGTTGTTGAGGTCAGTTTATATTAGTACGTGCCATCTATGTTCTTCTAGTCAAAATTTTATGTTAGTATTGATTTGGCTTCTCTTAATTTTTAGAATTTAATGTTTTAAATAGATAATACATTTTATATCATTCAAAAATCAGTATAATAAGCCATAATTATAGCAATGAAAAGGAAGAATGAAAAGTAATCAATTAAACAACTGGTTTAAAGAAGGAAAAATAATATTAAAGGAAACCAAAAGGAAGCAGAGAAAGAATATCTAATCAGAAGAATTTTCATACATGGAATAGAAAATTTTTCAGAGATCTAGCCCCAGAAAAAAACACAAGATCCAGACCATTTCTTTTCTTTCTTTTTTTTAAAGAAAATCTTTTAGGAGACGAGATCTTCCTCTGTCACCTAGGCTGGAGTGCAGTGGCATGGTCATAGCTCACTGCAGCCTTGAACTCCTAGGGCTCAGGTAGTCCTCCCACCTCAGCCTCCCAAGTAGCTAGGAGTGCAGGCATGCACCACCATGCCCTGCTAATTTTTTTTTTTTTTTTTCTGAGATGGAGTCTCGCTCTGTCGCCCAGGCTGGAGTGCAGTGGCGTGATCTTGGCTCACTGCAAGCTCTGCCTCCCGGGTTCACACCATTCTCCTGCCTCAGCCTCCCAGTAGCTGGGACTACAGGCGCCCACTACCACACCCAGCTAATTTTTTGTATTTTTAGTAGAGACGGGGTTTCACCATGTTAGCCAGGATGGTCTCAGTCTCCTGACCTCGTGATCCACCCGCCTCGGCCTCCCAAAGTGCTGGGATTACAGGCGTGAGCCACCGCACCCGGCCTAGTTGTTTTTTTAATTACGTTTTTTAGAGATATGGTCTTGCTGTGTTGCCCAGGCTGGTCTCAAACTTCTGGCCTCAAGTAATCCTGAGTTGCTAGGATTACATATGCATAAGAATAAGTTTCATAAAGGGATACTATCTGTCTACTCTTTAATGATTTGAGTGATTCTATCAAACCATTAAAGAGCAGATTGTCAATTCTATTTAATCTATTCCAGAGCATAGAAAAAGAAGGAAAGCTTCCACATTCTTGCCATATATTGATGCCAAAATCAAAATTATTATGTCTCCAAAGAATACTATCTCATGACAGTTGGATTTATTTCAGGAATATAAGATGGACTTAATATTAGGAAATCTAATATTATAAATCATCATATAAATAGTCCTAAGGAGAAAAAAATCTTTAAAATTTTGATGTATCAAAAAAAAGTCATAAAGTCAAAGGACAAATGATAAATTGGAATAAATATTAGAATCCTTATTCTTTTAATTTTAGGCTATGAGAAGATTAAATAGCTATGTAATAGAATTTCCGAAATGCAAGGATATCTTAAAGTTATCTTGCTGGGCATGATGGCTCACGCCTGTAATCCCAGCACTTTGGGAGGCCGAGGCGAGTGGGTCACCTGAGGTCAGGAGATTGAGACCAGCCTGGCCAACATGGTGAAACCTCATCTCTACTAAATATACAAAAATCAGCTGGGTGTGGTGGCACATGCCTGTAATCCCAGCTACTTAGAAGGCTGAGGCAGGAGAATCGCTTGAGCCCAGGAGGCAGAGGTTGCAGTGAACTGAGATCACGTCACCTCACTCCAGCCTGGGCGACAGAGCGAGACTCCATCTCAAAAAAAAAAAAAAAAAAGAAAAGTTATAAGTCATATGGCTTTCTCCATGTATGCAGAAAATCCATTTGACAAAATTGAACACCAATTCATAATTTAAAGTAATAAAATACTAATTAATAGATAAATTCTGTAACACGATAAGCTATATCCAACTCAGTTACATCATACTTAGTGGGGAAGCACAAGTATGTATCCTGACTGAAATTAGAAACAAGACAGTGTTGCCCACTGTAACCACCACTAAATAACATCGCTTTGGAGGTACAAGCCAAAACATTTATTTATTTTTAATTTTTAAATTTTTAATTTTAATTTTTTTTTTTTTGAGACCGAGTCTCACTGAGTCACCCATGCTAGAGCATGCAGTGGTGCAGTTTCAGCTCACTGCAACCTCCGCCTCCTGTGTTCAAGGGATTCTCCTGCCTCAGCCTCCTGAGTCATTGGGATTACAGGTGCCTGCCACCACTCCCGGCTAATTTTTAATTTTCAGTGGAGACAGTGTTTCACCATGTTGGTCAGGCTGGTCTCGAACTCCTGACCTCAGGTGATCCACCTGCCTTGGCCTCCCAAAATGCTGGGATTACAGGCATTAGCCACCGTGCCTGATCTAGCCAAAACATTCATACAAATAAAAAAAATTTGGAGGTAAAGTAATTGGAAAGGAGGTGATAAAACCATCTTTTTTCACAGATGATATGATGTTTATATATATGTGGAACACCCAAAATAATTAATGGAAAAAATTACTATAAACAACAGGAAAATTGAGCCCCTCAATAGGAAAATTATGGTAAACTTAATCCGTAGAAATCAATATTTTCCATATGTACGTAACAGCCAGTTAGAAGACAGAATGGAAGAAAAGGACTCCATTTACAATAGCAACAAAGATAAAATGTCCAGAATAAACCTACTCAGAAATGTGCAAAACTGACAGACAAAAACTTTAAAATACTCATGAAGGATGCAAAAGTAGACTTGAATAAGTGGGAAGACACAATAACTTTTTGATACAAAGGCTCAGTGTTATAAACATGTCAGTTTTCTCTAGATTAATATATAATTTAAACATAATCCAAATAAAAATATATACTTTTATTTTTCTGGCACCAGCCAAGTGAATTTTTCAAAGTGCATATGAAAAAGGACACGAGTAGGCCAGGCATGGTGGCTCACGCCTGTAATCCCAGCACTTGGGGAAGCTAAGGCGGGCGGATCACCTGAGGTCAGGAGTTCAAGACCAGTTTCGCCAACATGGCAAAACCCTGTCTCTACTAAAAATACAAAAATTAGCTGGGCATGGTAGCACATGCCTGTAATCCCAGCTACACAGGAGGCTGAGGCAGGAGAATCACTTGAACCTGGGAGGCAGAGGTTGCAGTGAGCTGAGATCACACTATTGCACTCCAGCCTGGGTGACAGAGTGAGACTGTGTCTCAAAAAAAAAGAAAAGAAAAAGAACACAAGTAAGAAAACTTAGATACCTCTGAAAAAGAACAATAAAGGACTAGATATTAGAAATTGAATCTTTAATATCTATTAAATCTTTAATATTGAATATTAAATTATGTCACTAAGCCTCAGTCATTAAAACTGTATGGCTTAGGCAAAAAGTGGAAAGACCAGTGAAACACAACAGACATTCCAGAAGTAGAGTTAAACACACAACATAATTTAGTTTAATATAAAGGTGATATCTCATTATTAGTGGGATAAAGATAGGTTTTTATTTTTATTATTATTAATTTTTTTTTTTAGACAGGTCTCACTCTGTTGCCCAGGTTGGAGTACAGTGATGCAATCATAGCTCATTGCAGCCTCAGACTCCTGGGCTCAAGAGATTCTCACACTTCAGCCTCCTGAGTAGCTAGGACTACAGGAGTGTGCCACCATGCCTGGCTAATTTTCTTTTTTTTTTGGAGAGAGAAAATCTCACTGTGTTCCCCAGGCTGGTTTGAGGGAACTCCTGGCCTCAAATGATCCTTCTGCCTTGGCCTCCTAAAGTGCAGGGATTATAGGTGTATGCCACCACACCCAACACATTTTTAATTAAGTAGTGTTGGTATAACTTGCTAGCCATTTGGACAAAGGTATAGTTAAAACCACATCTCTTATATCCTTTATCAGAATAATTGTAAATGAATTAAAGATTTAAATGTAGAAAATAAAATCATAAAAGTACTATGTGACAGCACAGGTGAATTTCCTGTATTATCTTGGAATGAACTTTCTAATTATGAGTCAAAATCAAAGAGTAGATTTAGCCAGTGGAAGATCTTTCAAGCTGGTTCATGTGTCCTTGTGATAGCCTCCCATAGGTTGGTTATCTGGGTGGTTTGTTGTCATTAATAAACATCTGAACATTTAACTCTTGGAATAGTGGTTCTAAAACTTCAGATTGCATGAGAATCTCCTAGAAATCTTGTTAGAAATGTAGATTACTAGATCTCACCTCCAGAGATTCTGACTCTGGGAAAGAGTATAATAATCTACATTTTAAACATATAGTCTTAGAAAACAAATACCAAATACTCATCATCCTGAAATTAAGGATATCAATGAGAAGTAAATTGAGTCATGCCATGCTACTTGGGGTAGTCAGGCATGCAAGGTAATTCCATACTTAAAGCCAGGCCTAAGATGTGTGGAGATTTCTCTCCCTGGGACAACTTCCATCCCCTCAGTCTTAACAGTATCCTCTTCATTCCAAGATGGGTACTGAATTTCATTGCATAAAGAAAACAGTGTAGGCTGGGCGTGGTGGCTCACACCTGTAATCCCAGCACTTTGGGAGGCCGAGGTGGGTGGATCACCTGAGGTCAGGAGTTCGAGACCAGCCTGGCCAACATGGCAAAACCCTGTCTCTACTAAAAATACAAAAAAATAGCCAGATGTGGTGGCATGTGCTGCTAGCTACTTGGGAGGCTGAAGAAGGAGAATCGCTTGAACACAGGAGGCGGAGGTTGCAGTGAGCCGAGATCATGCCACTGTGCCCCAGCCTGGGTGACAGAGTGAGACTCCGTCTCAAAAAAAAAAAAAAAGAAAAGAAAACAGTCTGATGTAACTTTTAAACTAAGGAATATTGTTTTCTCATTGGTTCAGTATGAATTGAAATATCTGATAATTTGAGGAAGGGCTTAAACAGTCTTAATTTTAGGGAGGGGGGTAATTTTTAAAGTAGGCAGTTTTTATTCTTTTTATTGAAATGGAGTCTGGCTGTGTTGCCCAGGCTGGTCTTGAACTCCTGAGCTCAAGCGATCCAACTGCCTCAGGCTCCCAAAGTGCTGGGTTTACAGGCATGAGCCACTGTGCCTGGCCCATTCACGTGGTTCAAATGTAGAAAATGTAGAGCAAAAATCTACCTGATATTTTTGTATCCTGTCAGTTCCCAATGTCCCCTAACACCATCCTCCTTGGGTTTATCTATTTGTTTATTTTTAAGTTAAATAATTGAGATGACGTTTTGCTATGTTGTCCAGGCTGGTCTTGTACTCCTATTCCTGGCTTCAAGTGGTCCTCCTGCCTCAGCCTCCCAAAGTGCTGGGATTATAGGCATGAGCCACTGTGCCTGACTCTTGAGTTTCTTTATATATAAGCAAATACAAATACAATTTTTTTATTGTCCCTTTCTTTTTATGCAAAAGGAAATACACATTTTTGTGCATTGTTTTTCAATTAATAATATATTTTGAATATCTTTCTGTATTAGTACATAGAGACCATCTCTCTTTTTATTTTTTGTTTTTTTACAGCTGCATAGAACTCCATTATATGGATATACTATAATTTATTTAGCCAGGCCCGTGTCAATTGACATTTAGGTTATTTCTAGTGAACTATCTGTGCATATGTCACTGTGTATCCCTGTAAGATTATCTTTAGGATAATTTCCCCACAGTGGAATTGCCAAATCAAATTATATATATATATTTGTAATTTTGATAGATATTGCCACATTTGCCTCCATAGAGGTTGTATCAATACACATACCCGCCAGCAATAATTCCTCACAGGCTTACTAATGGCATGTGTCATCAAACTTTAGGAGTTTTCCATTCTGTTAGATAGTATAGCAGTGCAGTTTTAATATGTATTTCTCTTATTTTGAGTGAGGTTAAGGGTCTTTTTATATATTTCACTGTCTGGTCATTTTTTTTAGGGCTAAGTCTTAAAACAAGTATTTTCTTCATAAATAGAACTGCTAGTACAGTGCCATACTTAGAATTCAGTGAAAACTTGGTTGAACCAGATTTAGCAGTTCTTCACTTTCTGGCATAACAATATGTTCCAGGATCAACTTGTACCTACCTTGCCCCAGCTCTGGAATGAGCCATTTCTCTGAGGAGCACTGGTTTTTCTTAAGGGGCAACTATATTTTAGATCAAGAGCTGGCACTAGGTACGCTCCTTGCTACTGGAGTGTATTTTCTTGGCACCTTAATTGCATGGAGCTAGGAAATATGCATGTCTATACACATAGACACATATATAAACACATACATATTCATATACATGTGAAACATGCATATACATGTTAAATGTACATATTTTAGAAATGCTGAGTTCACACAGATAGTGCTAATTCCCATTCATCTCTAGCAATTTCTTTCTTGCCTTTCACCCTTCCATATTTGTATATTCCTTCTTCCTAAATGAGAGCTGATTTCCAACAACTTCAACAATGTACCCATTTTGCTCAATTCTAGAAGGGCTCGTATTGCGTTGTTTCTGGTGAGCTGTCTTGTATGTATATCCACTGTGTATCCATTACATGTGTCCACTATGTAATACAACTGAAACAATCCAGCATCACTTCACCCATTTCACTATAGTAAATTGTAACTTGTTTTTTAAACGTTAAAAAAATTGATATTTCCTTAAAAATACTTCATAATTAAAAGGAAATTTACCTAAATTAGATTTTTATTGTTTCATAAGTGATCCATTGGAGCAATATACAAGGAATTCTTTCATGTAAGCTTTAGAGCAATTATTTTTAGAAATTCTACTTAAACCTTTGATAAGGATACTATATTAGAGATTTATTAAAAGCAGGATATTTAGTAGTTTTAAGATAATTAAAAAGGGTTTGTTATTGTGCTGATAGTCAACTAGTTATTTAAGATATAACATTAAAATATGCATAAGGCCAGGCATGGTGGCTCATGCCTGTAACCCCAGCACTTTGAGAGGCTGAGTTGGGAGGATCACTTGAGGCCAGAAATTCAAGACCAGCCTGGGCAATATAGTGAGACCCTGTCTCTACCAAAAATTAAAAAAAAAGAAATTAGCCAGGCGTAGTGGTGCACACCTGTTGTCCTAGCTACTTAGGAAGCTGAGGTGGGAGGATTGCTTGAGCCCAGGAGGTCAAGGATGCAGTGATCCATGATTGCACCATTGCTCTCCAGCTTGGGTGACAGAGCAGGACCATGTCTCAAAAAAAAAATGAGAGAGAATTTTTAAAAATATACATGTTAAATTGCATTCCACTCTAGGTTCAAGGACACTACCTTTAACTAGAATAACATACGCAGTATTCATAAAGTAAATATAAGCCTTTATTCTAAAACTTTGGATTTCCTTATAAAATCCTATAGGAATAAATATGAAATCTTTTTCTTGTGTATAATTATTATGTTTCTAGCTTCTAGAAATTGATCATTTACAGTTTTCTTATTTTCTTTCAGATATAGGCATGGACCACCAAGCTCTTCTAAAACAATTTGATCACCTAAACCACCTGAATCCTGACAAGTTTGAATCCACAGATTTAGATATGCTAATCAAAGCGGTGAGAATAATTCCAAAAAGTTTTGTCTTTATTGTGCCTTTGAGGTTTTGTAATTTGACAAGTAAACCCAATGAAATGGAAATATAACTTTTATATATTCTGTAGAAGTTCTTTAAAGGAAGGTAGCTTAACCCTTATTAATACAGATATTAATATGTACATACAGGTCTAAAATCCCTTATCCACAATTCCTAAATCCAAAAGCTGTAAAAACTGAAACCTGGCCTGAATGAACCAATTATAGTAAAACCATTTACAGTTTTTATTTAACCTACTTAGTGTGAATATTTATAGATTTTGCTTAAGAAATACTAGTCTGTTTGATTACAGATGCTACAGGGATATTCCATAATATGGCATATGTACCATATTCCCTTTCTTTAAGGTAGAAAATTCTGAGCACATCTGGCCTCAGAGATTCCAGATAAGAGTTTGTGGACCTCTCACATTATGTGTGAATGGAACTAGTTCTAACCTGGCAGGTATTAGATTAGTTAAATGGTTAGAAGCCATTTTAGTTTTCTGTACTGTCTAGATTTGATAATAGTTCCTTTCTTCTTCTTTTTTTTTTTTAAATCAACTTACATATTACTTGCTTATGAGGAGTTTCCTAAAGTTGGGGCTAGCTTTGAACTTTTAGTTTCTTTGAATACTCTCTGGTAATAATGATGACTAAAATTGCTGGGCATGGTGGCTCATGCCTGTAATCCCAGCACTTTGGGAGGCCAAGGAGGGTGGATCACCCAAGGTCAGCAGTTCAAGACCAGCCTGGCCAACATGGTGAAACCCTGTCTGTACTTAAAATACAAATATTAGCCGGGAGTGGTGGTGAGCGCCTGTAATCCCAGCTACTCGAGAGGCCTCAGGAGGCTGAGGTGGGATAATCGCTTGAACCAAGAGGTGGAGGTGGCAGTGAGCCGAAATCGTGCCACTGCACTCCAGCCTGGGTGACGGGTGAAACTCCGTCTCAAAAAAAAAGAAGAAAAAACTTGACTAAAATGAAATGGTAGAATTTAAAAAGAGGAGTCCAGTATGTTTTTGCCCTCCCGTACCACTTCTGTTCAAGAGTATGCTATATTCAAGAATGGCTTTATTTACATTTTTCAAGTGAATGTTTTTATTTAACTTAAATGCATTATTGCATTTCAGGCAACAAGTGATCTGGAACACTATGACAAGACTCGTCATGAAGAATTTAAAAAATATGAAATGATGAAGGAACATGAAAGGAGAGAATATTTAAAAACATTGAATGAAGAAAAGAGAAAAGAAGAAGAGTCTAAATTTGAAGAAATGAAGAAAAAGCATGAAAATCACCCTAAAGTTAATCACCCAGTAAGGATTGTGACTTTATGAAACCATTTTTAGATAAAGATACTTCTTCGTATCAGCGGATTTTTATTGTGTTATTAGTACTTAAATCTTGATTCTTCTGCCAAGTTCCTCAAATTTATATTTTGAGTCTGTACAGATAGATTATATTTTGTTTTGAGCAATTTTTTAAAATTGGTTCACAGGGAAGCAAAGATCAACTAAAAGAGGTATGGGAAGAGACTGATGGATTGGATCCTAATGACTTTGACCCCAAGACATTTTTCAAATTACATGGTAACGATTTGATACAAATATTAATATTTATATCTGCTGCTTGAAAAAGTATTTGCTTTCCTCTTAATTGATTTCTGCCAAGGTCTGCTATTGAGTTCTAGTGAGAGTAAATGGTTAGAGTTTTTCTAGGGTAATATGATAGTCTTTATTGCTCACCTGCAGTATAAAATGTTTTAGATTAGTAGCTCTGTCTTTATACTGGCTTTTACTGTTGAGTCATATGAATTACTGCAAAGTTCTCTGTTAAGTGAAAACTAAACTGTGACTAGCTAGGTTATATCTAATAGGCTTTATACTATAATATTACATTTTACTTCTACTCTCATAGAATATTGCTTTACTTTATATTTTTGGAAAAAAATGGTCAAGATACGCTTTCCTTACAAATGATTATGAATTACAAATAAATACAGCATATTTATCAGTTCAGCTGATCTAAAGCTTCATGACAAAGAATAAATGCTTTTCTGCAGTCTATTGATGCTTCACATCAGTACTACTTTTGTAAACCCTTTATAAATCATTGTATTTTAATTATTTTCTAAGTTATTAAAATCTATTTTTGCATTTGTAACTTTTAAACTTTAGATGTCAATAGTGATGGATTCCTGGATGAACAAGAATTAGAAGCCCTATTTACTAAAGAGGTAAAGGAGTTTATTAAGTATTCAGTGTTCTTGTTCTCTCTCTTTTTTTCCTGTTACTTTCTTTCCTTTCATGTTCATTTAAAATTTTTCTTTTTAGTTGGAGAAAGTATATGACCCTAAAAATGAAGAGGATGATATGGTAGAAATGGAAGAAGAAAGGCTTAGAATGAGGGAACATGTAATGAATGAGGTATGTTTTAAAAGTTTAAGATAATATGTTATTTCTATGTATTATTTAATTCTTGCAATAAATCTTTAAGATGGAAAATATACAGAATTTGTATTTAAATGGAGTTTGCGTTTTTGTTTTTGTTTTTTTTTTGAGACAGGGTCTTACTCTGTTGCCCAGGCTGGAGGCAGTGGTGCAATCATGGCTCCCTGCAGCCTCAACCTCCTGGGCTCAAGCAATCCTTTGGTCTCAGCCTCCTGAGACTGAGGAGGGACCACAAGCTGGAGCCACCATGCCTACCTAATATTTTTTTTTTTTTTTTGAGACGGAGTCTCACTCTGTCATCCAAGTTGGAGTGCAGTGGCGCGACCTCGGCTCACTGCAACCTCCGCCTCCCAGATTCAAGCAATTCTCTGCCTCAGCCTCCTGAGTAGCAGGGATTATAGGCACCCACCACCACACCTAGCTAATTTTTTTATTTTTAGTAGAGACAGGGTTTCAGCATGTTGGCCAGGCTGGTCTTGAACTCCTGACCTCAGGTGATCCATCCGCCTTGGCCTCCCAAAGTGCTGGGATTATAGATGGGATTACAGGCATGAGCCACTGGCCTTTTTTGTTTGTTTTTGAGACATAGTCTCACTCTGTCACCCAGGCTGGAGTGCAGTGGTGCGATCTTGGCTCGCTGCAACCTCTGCCTCCCGGGTTCAAGTGATTCTCTTGCCTCAGCCTCCTGAGTAGCTGGGATTACAGGCATGCACCACCACGCCTGGCTGATTTTTTTATTTTTAGTAGAGATGGGGTTTCACCATGTTTGCCAGGCTGGTCTTAAACTCCTGACCTCAAGTGATCCACCCACTTCGGCCTCCCAAAGTGCTGGCTGGGATTACAGGCATGAGCCGCCGCACCAGGCCGATTTTTATTTTTTTTAAGAGACAGCATGTCTTTGCTACGTTGCCCAGGCTGTCAGCTAACTTTTTAATTTTTGGAGACACAAGGTCTTGCTATGTTGCCCAGGCTGAAGTTTGCATTTTTGATCCAGATTATTATACTAGATGCCTTTAGTATGAATAAAATAATTTGTAACTACTTTAAAATATTCTAAAAGATAAAGATGCTACTGCATATCAGGTATAAAACTTTTTTTTTTGGGCTGGGCATGATAGCTCATGCCTATAATCCCAGCACTTTGGGAGGCCGTGGCAGGTGGATCTCTTGAGGTCAGAAGTTCGAGACCAGCCTGGCAAACATGGTGAAACCCTGTGTCTACTAAAAATACAAAGATTAGCTGGGTGTGGTAGTGCATACCTACAATCCCAGCTACTCGGGAGGCTGAGGCATGAGAATCGCTTGAACCCAGGCGGCAGAGTTTGCAGTGAGCCAAGATTACACCACTGTACTCCAGCCTGGGTGACACAGCAAGACTCCATCTCAAAACCAAACCAAAGCAAACCCTTTTTTCAGTACTGAAAAACAAAAACAACAACCTCTGGTTACTGCCTCATTTCTCTGTTTCTCTTCAAGGAGTTGTCTATTCTTCCTCTTCCTGTTAATTCTTCACTTTTCCTTTTCGCCTTAATCTGTGCTGATACAGTTGATGCCTCCCTCTTTCTCGAAATGCTTTCTTCACTTGGCTTTTAGGAAACCACCCCTCCTCAGTTTCCTCATACCTCACTCTCTCTTCTTTGCTGGCTCTTCCTCCTCTTTCCAAGTTCTACATGTTGCATTGCCCTGGGCCCATCCCTTGGCCGTGTTCTCCTTTCTCGCTTCGTTCTCTCCTTAAGTGATAGTGTGGAGCCCCATGTCTCTATATATGCTCTATATCTGCATGTATGCTGGTGAGTTCAACATTTTTATCTTCAGCTGTCTCCTTTCTCTGAGTTCTAGGGTTGTATCTGCTTGACAGTTCTCCTTGTGTTTAACTCACATCTTCTTCAAACCCAGATCTGTTCCTTCCTCAGCCTTTTTCATTTCAACAAATGAATCATAATTCATCTAGTTGCTCAGGCTAAGTCATCCTTAACTTCTTTCCTCACATCCTGCATTTCCTCTATAAGTTCTGTCTGATCTATCTTTCAAACAGATCCAGAATTTGACCACTTCCCCCCACTTCCACTACTATTTAATACCAATCAAGTCCAAGCAAGTCTCCTAACTGGCATCTCTGCTTCTATTCCTTACCCCACTGCAGACACTTCTTCATAAGTAGGCAGAGTAAGCTCTTAAAAGCATAAATCAGGTCATGTGCTCTCTTGCACAGAAATACTTCAGTGGCTTGCAATTTCCCTTGTAATATGATCCCAAATCCCTCCTATTTCCAAAAGATTCGTGACTTCATCCTTGCCTTGCTCTCTGTGACTCTCTCTCCTCTGGCCTTCTGATGTTTACCTCTCATCAAGCTTGTTCCCATTTTAGGGCATTTGGACTTAATATTTCTTTTTTCTGGAATACCCCTTTTCTAGATCATCACAAGGTTTTACTTCCACCGAGTCTGTGCTCAAATGTCCATGGTCCATCCAATGACTACGCTCATTTAAATATTTGCCTTTCTCTGCAGTTCTTGCTCTGCCTCTCCTCCCTTTAAGCCAAAAACTCTGATATAGGCATCATATGCAGGGTAACTGAATCCCACTATTTTGCTTCAGTAACTTTCATCTGAATTTTTGAGTGGTAAATGCTAAATTGGGGTCTCTGTTGACTGCTGACATCCCAACTATCAAGTGAATTTCTTTGACCATTATAGATTACACCTTTGTAACGAAATTTGCCACAGCCTGTAACAGCTGTACAAGAGGATTTGGAGAGGTTGTCAGCTTTAGTTTTGATTTTGGTAATTGTGTTTTTTTAAGAAAAAATGTTGAGAGCATTTTAATTTAACCTCCTTTACTCTTGGCTAAAACCGTCCTCTTTCTGGAATGGTTCTTTTTCTTACCCAAGAACTTGGCTTCAAGAGGGATTATACATATTATGGTAAAGGAGGAAGACAGTAACAGTCACCTAACCACTCAGATCAGCTGACTGAAACTTAATGGTTTTGTGGGCATTAGGTATATAGATATCTCATATTTTCCAATTTGAATTATATAGAAGAGAAAGATGTTTATTTTGTAATTCTAGTATAATGTTGAGTGCTCTGTTTTTTATTTTTTTCCTCCAGTTTCTGTGGAAGTTAAGTGAGTCCTAATTGCTGTATGTTTATGTAGTGGCATCTATTACAAGACAGTTGATAGTGTCTAAATAATATGAGAAAGATTTACTTTATATTATGTATACATTTTGTTTTAATCAGGTTGATACTAACAAAGACAGATTGGTGACTCTGGAGGAGTTTTTGAAAGCCACAGAAAAAAAAGAATTCTTGGAGCCAGATAGCTGGGAGGTAATAGAACCTACTCTAAATGAGATGTATGGTTCAACAAATTCTACATCAGTCTATTCTACTTTTAACTTTTATTCCCCATTATGTTTGCATGTATAGTCTTACTATCTTGGGATTTTTATATAAATGTCAGTATAAAATAATGAACTTCATTTCTTGGAAAGCTTGTAGCAATTTATTTCTTGTTTATAATCATACTGCATAAAATTGGAAGTCTTTTAAAAATTATACTTTTTTCAAAGTATAAAATAGGATTCGTTATTGAAAATTAGAAATATAGATATATTGAAAGAATAAATTAGAATTCACCTATAATTTTACTAATCAGAGGTAGATTCTTGAGTTATGCATCGTACTGTGTTAATTTGGAATGGTATGCAGTTTGTATATATAGTATATGCACATATACAGTATGTAAACAATGTATTGTCTCATTTTAAATTCACACATATACATATATTCATATTTATGTGTTTTTTGTTGTTGTTTGTTTGTTTTTTGTTTTTTTGTTTTTTGAGACAGAGTCTTGCTCTGTTGCCCAGGCTGGAGTGCAGTAGCGCGACCTTGGCTCACTGCAACCTCCGCCTCCCAGATTCAAGCAATTCTCTGCCTCAGCCTCCTGAGTAGCTGGGATTACAGGTGCCCGCCACCACGCCCGGCTAATTTTTGTATTTTTAGTAGAGATGGGGTTTCACCATCTTGGCCAGGCTGGTCTTGAACTCCTGACCTCGTGATTCACCCACCTCAGCCTCCCAAAGTACTGGGATTACAGGCATAAGCCACCGCATCAGGCCAGTCATATTTATGTATTTTTTAAAATGGCTTCATACTGTATAAATGACTTTGTATGTTGATGAAATACTTTTTAAAAATTTAACAATATTTCACAAACATCTTTTAATATCATTCTTCAAAAACATGATTTTTAAAATGACTACCCAATATGCAGTTATATGGCTGTAGCATAATTTATATATCCATTTCTCCAAATTTAGACCTTTTGGGTAAATTCCAGTATTTTACTGTAATGACACTATGATGACTATCTGTTTCTTCACACATTTTTGGGCAATCTATAATGATTTCCCTGGGATTAACTCCCAGGAATAGAACTATTCTTAAGATTTATGAAAAATTTTTTAAATTTCTCAGTATATCTTGGCAAACTGCTCGAGAAAAGTATATCAACTTGTAACACAGTCAACTGTGTATAAATGAATGCATAGACAACTTGAAAAGAATAGTTGAGAGGCACCAACCAAAATGGATGGAAGAAAGAACATAGTCTTTTTCTACATAAAAACTGAAAATATTACTATTTAAATTAAAATTTTAATTGTCCAGAAAATAGTTTAAGAAAGGGTGAACAGCTACTCTAGTTTACCCAGGACTGAGGAATTTCCAAGGATGTGGAACTTTTCATTGCTAAAGCCAGACATTTCTGGGCAAATTGGGACAGTTGGCCCCTTTAGTTTGACATCAGAAAAGTCAGCCTCTTTTTGTATTGGGTTTTTGTCTAACGTTTGAAATGTTTCTTGACTTTGGTGAAGAAGAAGAATGCTAAGATTATTTGAATCTACATTCCCTTTAGTGCATCTGGTAGACTAGAAGATCAATAGATAATTATATACTTTTAAAATTTTGACATAATTTCAGATTTACAAGAGTTGCAGGAATAGACAGGAAATCCCTGAATACATTTCAACCAGGTTTAACTACATTTGCTTTATCTTTCTCTCTTTCCCTCCTCTCTATTTTTAATCTCTATGTGTGTGTATGTATAACATATAATTATGTTGTAATGTATATACTTATGTATATGTTATGTATATATATAAACATGTATATGTGTACATATATATAAAGTTTTGAATTGCTTAAGAGTAAATTACACATCATGCCACTTTAATCTAAAATACTTGAGTGTATATTTCTTGCAAACAAAGATTTACCTTATGTAATCATAGTAAAATTATCAATACTACACACATGGTACTCTTCTCCAATCTCTAGACTTAGTGAGATTTTGTCAATTTTCCCAATAATATCCTTTATAACAAAAGAAAATCCAAGATGATACATTGAATTCAGTTGTAATGTCTTTTTAGTCTCCTTCCATCTGAAACAATCAAGAGGACAGACTATTATGTTGTACAATGTCCCTTGAATACCACAGAAGAGATGCTCAGTGTATCCTATTAGAAGGCACATGTTGACGATCCCCATAACTGGTAATGGTAGCTTTGATCATTTTGTTAAGGTGGTGTCTACCAGATTTTTTTATGTAACGTTATTATTTTACCTTTCACATTTTAAAAAGTATCTCGTCTAGCCCACCATAGTGAGAGAATCAGAAGTCAGTTTTTGTTTTTTTATTTTATAAATACAGACCAGGTCTCACTATATTGCCCAGGCTGGTCCCGAACTCCTGGGCTCAAGGAATCCTCCTGCCTCAGCCTCCCAAAATGTGTGAGCCACTGTGCCTGGAAAGAAGTCAGCTTTTTTTTTTTTTTTTTTTTTTAATAATTTTAGGAAAAATAAAGACAGAGTCTCTCTCTGTCACCCAGGCTGGAGTACACTGACGTGATCTTGGCTCACTGCAACCTCTGCCCCCATCCCCCTCAACCTGCCTGGGCTCAAGTGATTCTCCCACCTCAGCCTCCTGAGTAGCTGAGACCACAGGCATGCACCACCATGCCTGGATCTTTTTTTTGTGTTTTTAGTAGAGGCAGGATGTCGTCATGTTGACCAGGATGGTCTCAAACTCCTGAGCTCAAGCAATCTGCCTGCCTTGGCCTCCCAAAGTACTGGGATTACATATGTGAGTCACCGTGCCCAGACAGAAGTCAGCTTTAAAAAAAAAATACATTCAATATCATATCAAAAGTATTTTCACATAATATTTGTAAGCCTTATTTTAAAAGCTATGGAGGTATATAAACATTTTTTTAGGGTTTGACATTTAAATTATTTCATTTTTTACTGCTATTTTAAAAAGAAAATGCTGCTACAAATACATTTTTATATAAAGCTTTGTACGTGATTAGGGTTGTTTTATAGGGTAGATTCTCAATGTAGCATTACCAGGACCCAGGGAATATTTTTAAGGCTATTTTTAAGGCTTGAACATCCTGATATACTGAAAGTAAGGAAGTCCCTAAAGAATGATCCAGATATGTCACAAAGACACAAAAGCCAGTTTGAAGAAACTCTCACTGGCCAAATCTGGGACAATTTGAACGTGGAAATAATGATGATAAGGATTAGAGCTTATTGAATAAAACAAGAAGCCACGAGTCTACACTGATATAAGTAGAGGGAGAGAGAAGGCCGAATTCTTTTGCAAAATTGCTTTTCAAAAGACTTACGCCATTTATATTTCCACCATTAAAAACGTGTGCACTCTTTAAACATATCAGAGCTGGGCACGGTGGTGCCTACCTGTAGGCCCAGCTACTTAGGAGGCAGGAGGACCACTTGAGCCCAGGAGTTTGAGACCAGTCTGGGCAATGTAATGAGACCCTGTCTCTAAAAAGAAAAAAAAAATTTTTTTAAAATACTTTGAGAATATGTGAATGTATTATTGTTGATGTCCATTGATGATTCTAGCTAGAATTATTACTGTGATGGTTGACAAATGGAGATTTTCTAACCTGATCATCCCTTCTACATTTGTTAGTTGGCTTTCTACTGTAATGAAAAACTATTCCTTCCCCTCGACCTTCTACTTATATCAGTGTAGACTCATGGCTTCTTTTATTCAATAAGCTCTAATCTTTACCATCATTATTTCCATACTCAAATTGTCCCAGACTTGGCCAGTGAGAGTTTCTTCAGACTGGCTTTTGTGTCCTTCTGACATGTCCGAATGATTCTTTGGGGACTTCCTTACTTTTAGTATATCAGGATGTTCAAGGCTTACCTTATTCTTTCCCTGACCCAACCCAGAATGACCCATTTTTCTGAGAAGCCCTGCAGACCAAGATCTGGGCCCTGGATGTTCCCCTTGCTACTGTAGTGTCATTGCTTCCAAGGTCTTGTCAGATGACAGAGCAGGGGAATTAAAAGAATATGTATATAATATGGATGTGTATATGTACATATGTACACACATACATGCACACATACACACATATACCCACCTATATACATTAATATTCATTTCTACATATCTATCAATATATATTAAAACTCATGAATTTACACTGATATCTCCAGTTGCAATCCAACAACTCTTGATTTCCTTTTTTTCATTTTAATTTTTTGAAGTTCAGGGGTACATGTGCAGGTTTATTATATAGTTTATATATATATAAACTTGTGTCATGGGGTTTTGTTTTACAGATTATTTTATTACCCAGGTATTAAGCCCTCATACCCATTAGTTATTTTTCCTGATCCTTCTCCTCCTCCTGCCCTCTATCCTCCTATAGGCCCCAGTGTGTGTTGTTCCTCACTATGTGTCCATGTGTTCTCATCATTTACCTCCCACTTATAAGTGAGAACATGCAGTATTTGGTTTTCTGTTTCTGCATTAGTTTGCTAGAGATACTGTCCTCCAGCTTCATCCATGCTCCTGCAGGGGACATGATCTCGTTCTTTTTTTATGGCTGCATAGTATTCCATGGTGTATATGTACCACATTTCTTTATCTACTCACTTACTTTGGGCATTTAGGTTGATTCTATGTCTTTGCTATTGTGAATAGTGCTGCAATGAACATATGTGCCACAACTTTGATTTCAACTTAGCATTCTATCTTTTGCCATATTTCATGCAAAACCTAACTCCCTTTTCCTTAAAAATATTTCATTTATTCACTCAATCCTAGAATGTACAAGAAGTTTCAGAATACTAATCCATGCCTCTGTAAAATAAGAGTTTAAATTTTGTTTAGATTTTGTTGTTGTTGGGGCCAGTGCAGTAGCTCATGCCTGTAATCTCAGCACTTTGGGAGGCCGAGGTGGGCGGATCACCTGATATCAGACCTGGCCAACATGGTGAAACCTTGTCTCTATTAAAAATACAAAAATTAGCCGGGAGTGGTGGTGCACTCCTGTAATCCCAGCTGCTCGGGAGGCTGAGGCAGGAGAATCACTTGAACCTGGGAGATGGAGGTTGCAGTGAGTCGAGATTGCACCCCAGCACTCCAGCCTGGATGACAGAGCAAGACTCCGTCTCAAAAAACTAAAAAAGATTTTATTGTTATTTTTAAGGTGAGGGCATATTGTACAAATACTATGATCAAAAATTACTTGGGTTAGTTCATTTTTTTCCTCCCCGTTCTGTGGGTTATCTTACTCATTTAAAATAAAAGTACTATTTATTTACTTCTGTTTTTCTATTCAAGCTTTAGGATTTTCCTGTCTTGTGGATTTTAATTTTCTTGAGTATGTGAAACATTAACACATTTCCAGAAATTGAATCTGTACAAAGAAGGTGTATTCAGACAAGTTTTTTCTTTATTTTTTTTAATAAGTAAAATTTGTTGTGTGTGCATACATAGTATGTGTATATATTTATGGGGTACTTAGATATTTTGGTAGAGGCATGTGATGTGTAATAATCACATAATGGAAAATTGGGTATCCATCCCCTCAACTGTTTATCCTTTGTGTTACAAACAATCCAATTATACTCTTTTAGTTATTTTCAAATGTACAATTAAATTATTATTGACTATAGTCCCCCTGTTGTACTATGAAATACTGGGTTTTATTCATTCTATTTTTTTTTTTTTGGTACCCATTAACTATCCCCACCACTCCCCAACTCCACACTTTTCCTAGCCTCTGGTAACCATCCTTCTATTCTTTATCTCCATGAGTTCAATTGTTTTGATTTTTAGATCCCACAGATAAGTAGGAACATGTGATATTTGTCTTTCTGTGCCTGGCTTATTTCACTTAACATAATGACCTCCAGTTCCACCCATGGTGTTGCAAATGACAATCTCATTCTTTTTTTATGGCTGAAATAATACTCCATTGTGTATAAGTACCACATTTTCTTCATCCATTCATCTGTTGATGGATGCTTAGCTTGCTTCCAAATCTTAGCTATTGTGAACAGTACTACAACAAACATGGAAACACAGATATCTCTTTGATATACCAATTTCCTTTCTTTTGGGTTAAGATTGCATTAAGATTGCTGGGTCATATGTTAACTCTATTTTTAATTTTTTGAGGAACTTCCACACTGTTCTCCATAGTGGTTGTATTAATTTACATGCCTACCAACAGTGTACGAGGGTTCTTTTTTTTTCACATCCTTGCCAACATTTGTTATTGCCTGTCTTTTGGATAAAAGCCATTTTAACTGGGGTGAGATGGTATCTCATTGTAGTTTTGTGTTTCTCTGATGATCAGTGATGTTGAGCACTTTTTCATATGCCTGTTTGCCATTTTATGTCTTCTTTCGAGAAATGTCTACTCAAATCTTTTGACCATTTTTGTCAGATTATTAGATAATTCCCTATAGAGTTGTTTGAACCCCTTATATATTCTAGTTATTAATCCCTTGTCAGATGCGTAGTTTGCAATTATTTTCTCTCATTCTGTGGGTTATCCCTTCACTTTGTTGATTTTTTGCTTTGCTCTGCAGAAGCTTTTTTACTTGATGTGATCTGATTTGTCTATTTTTGCTTTGGTTGTCTGTGCTTACGGATATTACTCAAGAATTTTTTGTCCAGGTCAATGTTCTGGAGAGTTTCCTCAATGTTTTCTTGTAGTAGTTTGATAGTTTGAGGTCTTAGAGTTAAGTCTTTAATCCATTTTGATTTGATTTTTGTATAAGGCAAGATGTAGGTATCAAGCTTCATTCTTCTGCATATGGATGTTCAGTTTTCCAGCACCATTTATTGAAGAGATTGTATTTTCCCCAATGTATGTTCTTGGCACCTTTTTCAAAAATGAGTTTACAGTAGGTGTGTGGATTTGTTTCTGGGTTCTCTATTCTGTTCCATTGGGCCTGTATGTCTGTTTTTATGCCAGTACGATTGTGTTTTGGTGACTATAGTTTTGTAGGATAATTTGAAGTCAAATGATGTGATTCCTTCAGCTTTGTTCTTTTTGCTTTGGTTATTCTAGGTCTTTTGTAGTTTCACATACATTTTAGGATTGTTTTATCTATTTCTGTGAAAAATGTCATTGGGTATTTTGATATGGACTGCACTGAATTTGTAGACTGCTTTGGGGAGTATGGAGATTTTCACAACACAGATTATTTCAATCCTTGAACATAGAATATCTTTCCATTTTTTGATGTCCTCTTCAATTTCTTTCATCTGTGTTTTATAGTTTTCATTATAGAGATCTTAACTTCTTTGGTTAATTCCTAGGTATTTAATTTTATTTGTGGCTATTATAAATGGGATTACTTTTTAAATTTCTTTTTCAGATTGCTTATTGTTGGCATATAGAAATGCTGCTGATTTTTGTATGTTGATTTTGTATCCTGCAAATTTACTAAATTTATCGGTTCTAATAGTTTTTTTTTTGTGTGGAGTCTTTAGGTTTTTCCCAAATATAAGATTATATCATCTGCAAACAAGGATAGTTTGACTTCTTCCATTCCAGTTTGGATGCCCTTTATATCTTTCTCTTGTCTTATTGATCTAGCTGGGACTTCCAGTACTACATTGAATAACAGTGGTGAAAGCGAGCATCCTTGTTGTGTTCCAGATCTAAGAGGAAACACTTTCAGTTTTTCCCATTCGGTATGATATTAGCTGTGGGTCTGTCATATATGCCTTTTATTATATCAAGGTATGTTCCTTCTATACCCATTTTTTGAGGGTTTTCATCATGAAGGGATGTTGAATTTTTTCAAATTCTTTTTCAGCATCAGTTGAAATGATCATATGGTTTTTGTTTTTCATTCTGTTGATATATCATATTGATTTGTGTATGTTGACCCATCCTTGCATCACAGGGATAAATCCCAGTTGGCCGTGATGTATGATCTTTTTAATGTATTGTTGAACTCAGTTTGCTATTATTTTGTTGAGTATTTTTGCATTAATATCCACCAGAGCTATTGGCTTGTAATTTTCTTTTTTCGATGTGACTTTGTCTGGTTTTGGTATCAGGGTAGTACGAGCCTTGTCAAATGAGTTTGGAAGTATTCCTTCCTCCTTTAGTTTTTGGAATAGTTTGAGTAGGATTGGCATCAGTTTTTCTTTAAAGGGTTGGTAGAATTCAGCAGTGAAGCCATTGGGTCCTGGGCATTTTTTTGCTGGGTGACTTTTTTTTATGGCCTTGATTTCATTACTTGTTACTGGTCTGTTCAGGTTTTGGATTTCTTCCGAATTCAATCTTGGTAGTTTGTATGTGTCTAGGAATTTGTCCATTTCTTGTAGATTTTCCAATTTATTGGCATATAGTTGCTCATAGTAGCCATTAAGGATCCATTGAATTTCTGCAGTACCAGTTGTAATGTCTCCTTTTTCATCTCTGATTTCATTTATTTGGGTTTTCTCTCTTTGTCTCTTAGTATGGCTAAAGGTTTGTCAATTTTGTTTAACTTCAAAAAACCAACTTTTTGTTTCATTGATCTTTTGTATCATTTCATATTCATTTATTTCTGCTCTGATCTTTATTTTTTCATCTTCTACTAATTTTGGATTCAGTTTGCTCTTGCTTTTCCAGTTAAGATGCACTATTAGGTTATTTATTTTGAGATTTTTCTTTTTTGATATAGACAGTTATAACTATAATTTTCCCTCTTAGTACTACATTTGCTTTATCCCACAGGTTTTGGTATGTTGTATTTCCATTATCATTTGTTTCAAGAAATGTTTCAATTTCCTTCTTAATTTTTTCATTGACCCACTGGTTATTCAGGAGCATATTGTTTAATTTCCATGTGTTTGTATAGTTTCAAAAATTCCTCTTATTATCGATTTGTAGTTTTATTCCATTGTGGTCAGAGAAGATGCTTGCTATTATTTCTATTTTTTGAATTTTTTTTTTTGAGACAAAGTCTTGTTCTGTTGCCCAGGCTAGAGGGCAGTGGCACTATGTCAGCTCACTGCAACCTTCGCCTCTCAGGTCCAAGCAGTTCTTGTGCCTCAGCCTCCCAAGTAGCTGGAATTACAGGTGCATGCCACCACGCCCAGCTAACTTCTGTATTTTTAGTAGAGATGGGGTTTCACCATGTTGGCCAGGCTAGTCTTGATCTCCCAACCTCAAGTGATCCGCCCACCTTGGCTTCCCAAAGTGCTGGGATTACTGGCATGAGCCACCATGCTCAGCCAAATGTTATAAGACTTGTTTTGTGACCTAGCATATTGTCTATTTGTCTATTTATTTATTTATTTATTTATTTATTTATTTATTTTTGAGACAGAGCCTCACTCTGTTGCCCTGGCTAGAGTGCAGTGGCGCGATCTTGGCTCACTGCAACCTCCGCCTCCTGGGTTCAAGCGATTCTCCTGCCTCAGCCTCCTGAGTAGCTGGGATTACAGATGTGTGCCACAACGCCCGGCTAATTTTTGTATCTTTTTAGTAGAGATGGGGTTTACCATATTGGCCAGGCTGGTCTTGAACTCCTGACTTCAAGTTATCCACCCACTTCAGCCTTCCAAAGTGCTAGGATTACAGGCTTGGGCCACCGTGCCTGGCCTATATTGTCTATCTTTGAGAACGATCCATGTGCTAAGGAGAAAAATGTGTACTCTATAGCTGTTGGATGAAATACTTGTTAAGTATCTATTAGATCCATTTGATCTATAGTGTAGATTATGTCCAATGTTACTTTGTTGATTTTCTGTCTGGGAGATCTGTCTAATGCTGAAAGTGGGGTGTTGAAATCTTCAGCTATTATTGTATTGAGGCCTGTCTTTGTCTTTAGCTCTAATAATATTTGCTTAATATATCTGGGTGCTCTAGTGTTGGGTGCATATCTGTTTACAGTCATTCTATCTTCTTGCTGAATGGACCCATTTATCATTTTCTTTGTCTCTTCTTAGTTTTTGTCTTGACCTCTGTTTTGTCTGATGTAAGTACTGCTCCTGCTACTGCTCTTTTTTGGTTTCCATTGGCAGGGAATATCTTTTTCCATCTCTTTATTTTCAGTCTGTATATCTTTATAGGTGAAGTGTGTTTCTTTTAGGCAACAGATCATTGGGTCTTGTTTTTTCATCTATTCAGATGCTCTATGTCTTGATTGAAAAGTTTAGTTGATTTACTTTCAAAGTTATTATTATTGATAAGTAGGGACTTACTCCTGCCATTTTGTTATTTTTCTGGATGTTTTGCTGTCTTCTTTTTCTTCCTTCCTGTCTTCCTTTTAGTGAAGCTAATTTTCTCTGGTGGCATGCTCTAATTTCTTGCTTTTTTTGTGTGTGTATCAATTGTATGTTTTTAGATTTGAGGTTACCATGAGGCCTGCAAATAATATTTTATAACCCATTATTTTAAATTGATGACAACACTGATTGCATAAACAAACATGCAAAAAGAAAATAAATACTTTACACTTTAACTTCATCCCCCTGCTTTTTAACTTTTTGTTGTTACTTTTTCTTTTTTTTTTTTCGAGACAGTGTTTCACTCTTGTTGCTCAGGCTGGAGTGCAATGGCAAGATCTCGGCTCACCACAACCTCCACTTCCTGGGTTCAAGTGATTCTCATGCCTCAGCCTCCCAAATAGCTGGGATTATAGTCATGCACCACCATGCCCAGCTAATTTTGTATTTATAATAGAGACAGGATTTCTCCATGTTGGTCAGGCTGGTCTCGAACTCCCAACCTAAGGTGATCTGCCTGCCTCAGCCTCCCAAAGTGCTGGGATTACAGGCGTGAGCCTCTGTGCCTGGCCTCATTGTTACCGTTTTTTTTTTTTTTTTTTTTTTTGAGATGGAGTTTTGCTCTTGTTGCCCAGGCTGGAGTGTAATGGTGCAATCTCAGCTCACCGCAACCTCTGCCTCCTGGGTTCAAGCGATTCTCCTGCCTCCCCCTCCCGAGTAGCTGGGATTACAGGCATGTGCCACCACACGCGGCTAATTTTTTGTATTTTTAATAGAGACAGGGTTTCTCCATGTTGGTCAGGCTGGTCTCGAACTCCCAGCCTCAAGTGATCTGCCTACCTCGGCCTCCCAAAGTGCTGGGATTACAGGCATGAGCCACCGCACCTGGCTGTACTTTTTATATCTTATTTTATTGCCTGCCTTGAAAAGTTGTAGTTATTATTTTATTTATTTTTAGTTATTTTTGATCGGTTCCTCGTTTGGTCTTTTACTTAAGTCAAGAGAAGTTTATATACGACAATTACAGTGTTATACTATTCTGTGTTTTTCTGGGTGCTTACTGTTAACAGTGACTTTTGTACCTTCAGATGATTTCTTTGTTCTCATTAACATCCTTTTATTTCAGATTGAAGAACTACCTTTCACATTTCTTATAGGACAAGTCTGGTGTTGATGCAATCCCTCAGTTTTTGTTTATCTGAGAAGGTCTTTATTTCTCCTTCATGCTTAAAGGATATTTTCAGTGAATATACTATTCCAGGGTAAAAAATTTTTTTTCCTGTCAGTACTGCAAATATTTCATATCAGTCTCTCTTGGCCTATAAGATTTCCACTGAAAAATCTGCCACCTGAGACAGAGTCTTGCTCTGTTACCCAGACTGGAGTGCAGTGGCGTGATCTTGGCTCACTGCAACTTCTGCTTCTCAGGTTCAAGTGATTCTTGTGGTTTAGGCTCCCGAGCAGCTGGGATTACAGGTGTGTGCCATCACATCTGGCTGATTTTTATATTTTTAGGTGAGATGAGGTTTTTCCACGTTGGCCAGGCTGGTCTTGAAATCCTGGTCTCAAGTGATCTGCCCACCTCTGCCTCCCAAAGTGCTGAGATTACAGGTGTGAGCCACTACGCCTCGCCAGGATCCTTTCTTTGTACTTGACCTTTGGTAGTTTGATTATTAAATGCCATGAGGTAGTCTGACGTGAGTTAAATCTGCTTGGTGTTCTATAACCTTTTTGCACTTGAATGTTGAAATATTTTTGATATTATTCCTTTGAATAAACTTTCTACCCTTATCTCTTTCTCTGCCTCCTCTTTAAGGCCAATAAAACTCCTATATTTGCCGTTTTGAGGCTGTTTTCTAGATCTTGTAAGCATGCTTTCATTGTTTTTCATTCTCTCTCCTTTGTGTCCTCTGTATTTTCAAATAGCCTGTCTTCAAGCTCAGTAATTCTTTCTTATACTTGATCAGTTCTGCTATTAAGAGACTCCGATGCATTCTTCAGCGTGTCCGTTCCATTTTTTTAACTCTAGAATTTCTGCTTGATTCTTTCTAATTATTTTGATCTCTTTGTTAAATTTATCTGATGGAATTCTGAATTCCTTCTCTGTGTTACCTTGAATTTCTTTGAGTTTCCTCAACACAGCTATTTTGAATTCTGTATCTGAAAGGTCATATATCTCTGGTTCTCCAGGATTGGAACCTGGTGCCTTATTTAATTCATTTGGTTAGGTCATGTTTTCTTGGGTGGTGGTGATGTGTGTAGATGTTTGTTGGTATCAGAGCATTGAAGAGTTAGATACTTACTGTAATCTTCACACTCTGGGTTTGTTTGTGCATGTCCTTCTTTGGAAAGCTTTCCAGGTATTCCACGGGACTTGGGCCCAAAGTCCAGTAATTCTGTGATTTTTGCAGACTCTTAAAAGTACCACCTTGGTGGTCTTGGATAAGATCCAGAAGAATTCTCTAGATTACCAGGCAGAGACTCTTGTTCTTTTCCCTTACTTTCTTCCAAACAAATGGTCTCTCTCTCTGTGCTGAGCCACCTGGAACTGGAGGTGTGGTGATGCAAGTACCTTTATGGCCATCACCACGGAACTGTGCTGGGTCAAGCCTGAAGCCAACATGGCACTGGGCCTTGCCCAAGGCCCTTTCCTTCATGGTGGCGAGTTCCCCCAGATCCTGGGTGTGTCCAGAGATGGTGTCTAGAAGCCAGGGAATGGAGTAAAAAACCCTAGCAATTTACCTGATGTTCAGTTTTACTGTGGCTAAGCTGACACTCAAATCACAATACAAAAGCCTTCCTGCTCTTCACTCCTCTTTCCACAGGCAGAGGACCCTCTCCCTGTGGCCATTACTACCACCATCTCTGGTCCACATGGGGTTCTGCCAGCCACTGCTGATATTTACTGAAAGCCCAAGGGCTTTTCTGTCACCTTGCGGTAAATGCTGCCAGGCCTTTACCCTTCAGGGAAGTGGGCTCCCCTCTGGCCCAAGGCGAGTCCAGAAATGCTGTCCAAGAGCCAAGGCCTGGACTCAGGGACTCCAAAAGACTGCTTGTTGGTCTACCCCATTGTGGCTGAGCTGGTACCTAGGGTGCAAGACAAAAATCGCCTTTACTTTCCCTCTGCTTTCCTCAAACAGGGGTCTCTCGCCATAGCCACTACAGCTGGGAATGTGCTGGGTCACCCCGAAGCCAGCATGTCTCAGTCCAAGACCCACAGCATACTCCATGGGTCTTGCCGCTGATTATTCAGGGCCCAGGGGCTCTTTACTTAGCAAGTGATGAAGCCTGCCAGGACTGCTCCCTTAAGGCAGCAGTTTCCTTTTGGGCCAGCAGGGTATGTCTAGAAATGTCACCTGGGAGCTAGGGCCTGGAATCAGGTCCTCACAACTCTGCCTGGTGTCCTATCCTACTATGGCTTAGCTGGTATCCAAGATGCAAAACAAAGCCCTCTTTACTTTTTCCTCTCCTTTCCTCAAGAAAGGAGTCACTTTCATAGCCACAAGCTGCACTGCCTGAGGTTGGGGGAGGGGTAGCACAAGCGTTCCCTTAGCCTCACCAGCTGGTATCTCCCCTGGTCACCTGCTACCCTAGTTCACTGGCTCTAAGCCCAGCCTAGCACTAGGAGTTGCCTAGGAATTACAGTCCTCCTTTCCTAGACTGCCTTTCAAGTTTACCTAGGACCCCAGAGCACTTCAGCCCGCATGGTGAGGCCTGCCAGGAAATTCAGTGCCCATTGCTGGGATGGGTGATTCTCCTCTGGCTAGGGCTGCTTCAAATGCTCCTATGCATGGGCAGTGGTGGAGCCCAGCACAGCTTTATTCTCTGCTGTGACAGGGCAGCACTGAGTTCAATGTAAAGTCCCCCAGTCGCTATGCTCCCTCCCCAGAGGGCACAGACTCTCTGTGCTGCAGGTCTGCCACGAGGGAATGGGAGAGAGGTGGCATAGGTGATTCAAGACTGTCTCTTTTGCCCTTCTCAGTGTCTTTGCAGGTGATATGAAGTTGAAACCAGGTACTGTGAGTGCTCACCTGATGTTTGCTTCTTGTGCTTTTCTGTGTGCAGACAGCTGTTAAAATTTCATGTTTCAGTGAGGGTTGGGGGGAATGACAAATTTTATTTCTCTTCCCACGTTCTCTTTGCCTCTTCTACCCAGTTCTCACTCTTTGCCTTTAGTTGTCAATCCCAGAAGAGAATCTCTTGAGTTTTTCTTCCTGTTTTTCCTTTTGTTCAAATGAGTACATAAATATATATTACTTATTTCCCCTTCCTTCTTACCTCCAAAGGCGTAATCCTATAGATACTCTTTTATACTTTGCTAACCATAGAATTTTAAAGCTAAATCAGACTTTATTGTTGTAGTTTTGAGATTATTCTTTCCTCATTTTTTTTCTTTTAGACATTAGATCAGCAACAGTTCTTCACAGAGGAAGAACTAAAAGAATATGAAAATATTATTGCTTTACAAGAAAATGAACTTAAGAAGAAGGCAGATGAGCTTCAGAAACAAAAAGAAGAGCTACAACGTCAGCATGATCAACTGGAGGCTCAGAAGCTGGAATATCATCAGGTGGCATTTTGTCAAAAGATTATGGCATTAAAAAGATTTTAGGTGCTTTGTTAAAAGCCTGTGTTTTTGTAACATATTTCATTGTACTATATAGTACACTGCTATAGCTATACTATAGTATTTTAAATTTTAATACTTTAAAACTGTTTTGTGGAATATTAATCTAAATTTTATTTTATTTCATTTTATTTTATTTTGAGACAGCCTGTCTCCCAGGCTGGAGTATAGTGCTGTGATCATAGCTCACTGCAGCCTCAAACTCCTGGGCTCAAGTGATCCTCCCACCTCAGCCTCCCCAGTAGCTAGGACTACAGGTGCATGCCAGTGTTCCTGGCTAATGTTAATATTTTTTGTAGAGACCAGGTCTCATTGTGTTGCCGAGGCTGGTCTCGAACTCCTGGCCTTAAGTGATCTTCCCACCTGGGCCTCTGAAATTGTTGGGACTATAGGCGTGAGCCACTGCACCTAGTCAAATCTAAATCTTATAGTTTGAATATCTTTGTTTTAGAAAACAATTTTCATTTACTTTGTTGTGCTTTGTCAAAGGTCACACATATGATAGAAAATCAAGTTATACTTTTAACTTTCATTTTCCATTCACCAGGTCATACAGCAGATGGAACAAAAAAAATTACAACAAGGAATTCCTCCATCAGGGCCAGCTGGAGAATTGAAGTTTGAGCCACGTGTGTAATTTTGTTTGATTATTTATTTAGGAAAATAAATTATTTTATCAATTGAAATCCACATTTATTACAAATATAATTTCAAATCATTAAGATGTTATGTTATTTTTTGTGTATTTTTTGTGGTATTAGAGCAATTTAGATTATAGAAAAATGAAAATGCCTCCAAAAGTTTTATGTAGCAGCAAATTTTAAGTGCTGTATCATTTGTATAATTTGATAACCATATTTATGGTAAAATGATTTATTTCAACTTTATTTGTAATTCTTTCTAATTATATTAATCTTACCAGAGAATATGTTTTTTAAAATTGTGATCTATGATTAGCTAAGCATATTTTTTAAAACAAGTATATTTGTATATGAAGGAACATTTAGAATAAAGGAAGATACTTTTAAAATAAGAACTTTTTTCTTTTTTCCAACAGACATTTAAAGTCTGAAGTCCACCAGAACTTGGAAGAAAGCTGTTAACTCAACATCTATTTCATCTTTTTAGCTCCCTTCCTTTTTCTCTGCTCAATAAATATTTTAAAAGCATATTTGAAATAAAGGGAGATACTTTTTAAATGAAAACACTTTTTTTGGGACACAGATATTAAAGGATTGAAGTTTATCAGAACCAGGAAGAAAACAAACTCACTGTCTGCTCTCTGCTCTCACATTCACACGGCTCTTTTATTTATTTTTTTGTTCTCCTTTAATGATTTAATTAAGTGGCTTTATGCCATAATTTAGTGAAACTATTAGGAACTATTTAAGTGAGAAAACTCTGCCTCTTGCTTTTAAATTAGATTGCTCTCACTTACTCGTAAACATAGGTATTCTTTTATGGGTGCTTATCATTCCTTCTTTCAATAAATGTCTGTTTGATATTAACAATTCTGGAAAGGCCACAGTATTTCCCTGTGTTTCCTGGTAACGTTTTTCTAGTTTTGGCAACCTCAACTGCTAGAAATTCTTCACCTGAATCACTTTTGCTACCACTTCAGGTCATTTTTCATTCTTTTTTATTTTGCTCTATACTTTATCATTTAAGATTAGGTTATGTTACATATAACAGAAAAAACAAAGATAACAGTGGTTTAAACTAAATAGGAGTTTTTCTTCTTACATAAGTCTAGAAGTAGGTGGTGTCCAGGTTCCTATCTTTCTGCTCTGCTATCCTCAGTGCATGATTTTTATCCTCAGATTACCTCACTCTCACTGTTCAAGTTTGCTCCTGGAGGCAGTGGGGAAGGCAAGAAAACTGGACTTTCTCTGCTTGAGTTAGCTTCCCTGAGGCCATTTTCCAGAACCAGCAGCACCTGAACTTATGTTTCGACCAGAACTGGGTCACACTGATGGCCACACCTAGCTGCTAGGGAGGCTGAGAAGTCAATGTGGCAATGTGACCAGCTAAAAGTTGGATTCTTTTACTAAGGAAGAAGGGAAGAGGGAATGTTTGGTAGGCAACTTTGGATTTTAAACTCAGCCAGCCTTGTTGGCTACCTAAATTCTGTGTACCTTCTTCTTCCGAGAGAGAAAACACTCACCCCTCTCTCCCTGAAGAGAAACCACCAGAAATCCAGCCCATTATTGCATACTAGATGAAAGACCATGCTATCTGGAGACAGTCCCCTCCATCATGTTAGGGTGTGGCTCCTTGTGTTCTGGCCACCTACAAACTGAAAGACAAGTTTTCTGCCCTGAGAGCACCAGATGCATAATGCAAAGGTGCAGGAAAACTGACCTTTTAAATTTTTTAGAGACAGGGTCTTACTCTGTTGTCCAGTCTAGAGTACAGTGGTGTGATCATAGCTTACTGCAGCCTTGAACTTCTGGGCTCAAGTGATCCTTCCACCTCAGTCCCCCTAGTAGCTAGGACTACAGGCACATGCCACGAACGCCTGGCTAAACATTTTTTTTTGTAGAGATGGAGTATTGCTATGTTGCTCAGGCTGGTCTTAAACTCCTGGTCTCAAGCAATCTTCTCACCTCAGCCTCCCAAAGCACTGGGATCACTGGTGTGAGCCACCATGCCCAAGATCCCTAAAATTGACCTTTTAGAAAAAGGGAGAAATAGAAATATAGTGGCCACTGATCCATAGCAATTTGAAAGTACCACTTGGCAAAAATAATTAAATCTCTCTGCTATAGTTCATGAATATATTCCTTGGTTTGCCTATCAGGCAACCCCTGATTCACCTTTCTGAGAGGAATTCCTTTACCTAATGTCCTCAGGGGGCCTTGGTTTTACTTTCTTGGAGGTTTTTATTGTACATTAATTTTCAGACACAATCTGAATGGGCATTGGAAAGTATACCCTTCTTGGAGGCTGGGCAGCCTTAGCAGTTTACTTCCTATAATTGTGAGTCTGGGGGCAGGCTTGGGAATTAGAGTATAGATCCGTAACAGCTACAGTCTATTGCAGGCCAGGTTTGGGTTTTTGTTGTTGTTTTGTTCTGTTTCTTGGCCAAGTGGATTCCTAAAACTTTAGTAAGTTTCTGGTCTGTTGTCTTCAGTCATTTACATGGACAGTATTAACCAAGGTAAAATACATTGTTTTTAACAAAGAACCTCATCATTTACTTGCTGGCCTCTGTGTGCTCTCCATCCCCTTTGTTCTTACAGGAATGGTACCTCCTTGAGATCCTTTGAGACTGTAGGCTTGCATGGAATGGCAACAGTCTTAATCTGATCTCTTCCCCTAGGATGGCTCCTATTATTTGGCAGAAAATTCTTAAGGGAAGGTTCTTAAAAAAGGTTGAGAAAGTTTTAGTAGCTCCCTCAGAGCCTTTACTTATAAATGTTTCAGTTTGGAGTACAGTTTTCAATTCTTCAGGGCTCCAGATTTGGGACTTGGTCAATTTATATGGTAGACAAAGAGCAATTCTCTCAGCAAAGCTATTTTTCCCTTGCGTCACTGCAGACTTGTTAATCTTAGTCCAAGTCACATATCTCTTGTAGGGCTTTGCTGAAAAGAGGCAAGAAGCAGCCAACACATGCTAGCACTCTGAAGTTCTACCACCTTCGTCTCTGTGGCAGGAAGTCTCAACCTCACCTTGACTTCTGTTGGCAAGAAGTCTCACTGCCCAAAGCCCTACCTCCTCAACTAAGCCAACCCCAGATTTAGGGCCTTCGACTTGCTGTGCTTTACTTCTAGCTGCCAAATTCTGTATAGGTCAAGATTCTTGGCTGTAAGCAATGAAATCTTCTTTAGCTATTAAACAGAAGGGAATTGATGAATGAGTATATATAGGTCACAGAATCAATGGGAGGGTTGAAGAAACAGATCTAGGCTGAGCTTCTAGGAATTATGTCACAAGAGTAGGCTGCTGAAAGAGCTGCTGCTTTTAGAACAATCAAGAAGCTGCCTGCTGGATTAGGAAGCTGCCTGCTGAACAGTTGCCAGTTCCAGAGCCACACCACCTCTGCCATGCTTTATGCCAGCAAAAATAGATACATCTCTTCCTGCCTCTGTCCCCACGTTACTTGGCTCTGAGTAAAAGTCTCAAGTGAGTGAATCTGATGGACTGGACCAATCATATCTGAAACCCTAGCTGCAAAGGAGGTTGGGAAATATAATGTTCAACTTTCCTACCTCTGTGTGACAGGAATGCATGTTAAAAGCTACCCTAGGCCGGGCATGGTGGCTCACGCCTATAATCCCAGCACTTTGGGAAGCCAAGGTGAGTGGATCACCTGAGGTTAGGAGTTCCAGACCAGCCTGGCCAACATGGTGAAACCCCATCTCTACTAAAAATACAAAAATTAGCTGGGTGTGATGGTGCACACCTATAGTCCCAGCTACTCAAGAGGCTGGGGCAGGAGAATTGCTTGAGCCTGGGAGGTGGAGGTTGCAGTGAGCTGAAATCATGCCACTGCAATCCAGCCTGAGCCACAGAGCAAGGCTCTATCTCAAAAAAAAAAAAAAAAGGCTACCCTAGCACCTCACAAGTTTACATTGTTTCACTTAATAATTTTTAAACTGTTAGTCCTTATTTTATAAATTTTTAGATGATCATTGCATATTCCTCCAAACATACTTAAATAATGGATCCCAAAATTAAATATAGCAGTTTAGAAAAGTTATATACAGCTTTAAAAACCCTACAAAAACCACTCAATGTAGTAATAGTGCTTGCTATTTTTTTTAAGAAATGGAATAGAATCTCTATTGCTTAAATTATAAGCAATAGAATATCTCTATTGCTTAAATTATAAGCAATATGGAAAAATGGTTTGGAATATCCTTTTGTTGATGACTACTATCTGTGACATGAAACTGATAAGACATTCTTTTGGGTAAACGTTTTTAGATGGTAAACTGTGGTTAAATCGAATTAATTGGAAGACATAGAGTAATTTCTTGAAATGCTTTTTTGGCTCAAGTAAATGATGGATATTAATGTAGAAATATTTCACAGTTTCCAGCAAACTAATGTAATTTATATTATTCAGAAAAGAATTACTAAGCCTGAAATTATGGATTAAGGAATTGTAATTTTTTGAGTACTAGGCATTTATGAATGAATATTATTTCTTTTTTTTTTTGAGACAGAGTCTCACTCTGTCACCCAGGCTAGAGTGCAGTAGTGCGATCTCGGCTCACTGCAACATGTGCTGCCCAGGTTCAAGCGATTCTCCGGCCTTAGCCTCCCAAGTAGCTGGGATTACAGGCACCTGCCACCGTGCCTGGCTACTTTTTGTATTTTTAGTAGAGGCGGGGTTTCACCATATTGGTCAGGCTGGCCTTGAACTCCTGACCTCGTGATCCACCCGCCTTGGCCTCCCAAAGTGCTGGGATTACAGGCGTGAGCCACCGCGCCCAGCCTATTATTCCTAAGAAAGTTGCAAACAGTATTCTTTTCAGTTGTGTTAGAAAGTATTGGTCTGTGTTTATACCATTCTTCTTCATATTTCTTTAGTTATTAAATGTCTTTGGTTTAGCTGACTTAGTGAAATTTATTACTAATTTGAAGTTTTGTTTCACATATGAATTTTCATGAAGCATGTACATTTTATAATATACTTAAGTAGAGGTTGAGCATTCCTTATCCACGGTGCTTGGGACCTGAAGTGTTTTGGATTTCGGATTTTTTTGTAGCTGGAATTAACAGGAGTGAGTCACCACACCCAGCTAATTTTTTTATTTTTAGTAGAGTCAGGGTTTCACTATGTTGGCCAGGCTGGTCTCAAACTCCTAACCTCAAGTGATCCCCCCACCTTGGCCTCCTAAAGTGCTGGGATTACAGGTGTGAGCCACCACGCCCAGCTTGCATTGTACTTTTATTGGTATAATGCAGGTGTAATCCAATATCTAAAAATTAGACATCTGAAATGAGCATTTTCTTTGAGCATCATGTTGGCACTCAAAAAGTTTTGGATTTTGGAGCATTTTGGGCTTCAGAATTTTGAATTTGAGAATCTTAAACTGTATATATAATTAAAATTAGATTCTGAAGTTAAATATTCTAGAATATTTAACTCTCACTAAAGACAATTTAGAACTATAATTAAAAAATACGCCTGTAATCCCAGCACTTTGGGAGGCCGAGGCGGGCGGATCACGAGGTCAGGAGATCGAGACCATCCTGGCTAACACGGTGAAACCCCGTCTCTACTAAAAATACAAAAAATTAGCCGGGCGTGGTGGCGGGCGCCTGTAGTCCCAGCTACTCGGGAGGCTGGGGCAGGTGAATGGCGTGAACCCGGGAGGCGGAGCTTGCAGTGAGCCGAGATCGCGCCACTGCACTCCAGCCTGGGCGACAGAGCGAGACTCCGTCTCAAAAAAAAAAAAAAAAAAAAAAAAAAAAAAAATACTCTGAGACATAGATATATGTTTTTTATGCCAAGATTTGTTTACAACAGCATTATTTTATGTACAATTGAACAGATTTGTATTATAATAAGATTAAATGCAAATCTTTCTCAGGAAAAATATAAAGAAAATTATAAAATTTTTTTGATAACATGATTTTTTTTTTCTTTTAGAGATGGGGTCTCTCTCTGTCATCCAGGCTGGAGTACAGTGGTGCCATCATAACTCACTATAGTCTCGAACTTCTGGGCTCAAGCAATCCTCCTGTCTCAGCTTCCTGAATAGCTGGGACTCCAGGTGTGTGCTTCCATGCCCGGCTAATTTTTAAATTTGTTGTAGAGATGGGGTCTTGCTATGTTGCCCAGGCTGGCTTCAAATTCCTGGCCTCAAGCAATCCTCCTGCCTCAGCCCCCTAAATTGCTGGGATTAGAAACATGAACCATTGTTCCTGGCTGTTAATGTGATTTTTAAGAGAGGGGTTAAAAAAATCTGTTAACTTAGAATAAAGTTTTGACAATCCCGGTTCTGGTTAGTGCATAAGTTTTCATCTTTGTTTTATAGCCATGAAGTACAATCAAGAAGAAATTGAAAAACAGTCAGAGTTAGATGATGAGCTTCATCGTTTGTCATGCAGGATTTTTATCCCCTGAAGAACCTGCTAGAGAAGTCCACCTTCACCCTTAACCACTGGTGCCTCAACTTAATACTTTTAAAATTCATTTGTTTCTGTTGGAATTGGGATACTAAGGTGTGTTAAGTAAAATACAATATTTACTTTTTCATTCCTTATGAGTGACAAAATGTCTGCTTTCCAGGTGTGAGATTTGAAGGAAATCAGACCTTTCCTTTATTTATTTATTTATTTTTTATTTTTGATACAGAGTTTCACTCTCGTTGCCCAGGCTAGAGTGCAATGGCTCACTGTAACCTCCACCTCCTATGTTTCAAGCGATTCTCCTGCCTCAGCCTCCCAAGTAGCTGAGATTACAGGTGCCTGCCACCACATCTGGCTAATTTTTTATATTTTTAGTAGAGACGGGGTTTCACTATGTTGGCTAATCTGGTCTCAAACTCTTGACCCCAGGTGATCTGCCCGCCTCAGCCTCCCAAAGTGCTGGGATCACAAGCATGAGCCACTGCGCCTGGCCTTTTCCTTGATTTTTAAAAAGACCTAATATCGTTAGTAGAATTCTAATCTTTCTCCACCTACTTTTTAATTTATTTAAAAAATGAGTTGTTAGCTATGAATTAGTAACCATTTCTTTAAAAGTCTAAGAACTCAGCCAGAAAAAGCAGCATCAGCAAGTGGTGAAGACACCAAATTGAAAAATGTGCATATATTGTTTCTAGCATTGCCAACCTGTTTATTGAGACAAAAGCAAATCAAAACCAATCAAACTTTTGATTTAGTTTTAGGAATTTAGATTTTTTCAAATATTGCTCATCAAATTATGTAGACAAACAATTATATTTCATGTTTTTATATATATATAATTTTCACAGCAGAGCTTTTAGTTTATATTTTAATTGATGTCAGCCATGCTCTTGGTGATCCTGAATGCCATGTAGCAGTTTGATTGTCAGCCAGCCCTTGACAGTGCACTTCTCTTTCTCTGCTCCACCCTCTGGTTACCATCAAAGCTCTGCATGCCTGTGTCAACAAGTTTTGTTTTACTAATTGTTTATAATCAATTGCAGTTAATAGTTTAAGTTTTGCTGGGAAAATTTGCTTACCTCCTTTTATTATTTTATAATTAGTAATAAATATATTTCCCAAGCCTTTCCAGATTTATGAATATATACCTCAGAATTAAAGTGTTACAATATTTATTTTACAATTCTTATAATTTTGGCTACTCTGTAGAATTTTTATTTTTATTTTATTTTATTTTTTTGAGACAGAGTCTTGCCCTGTCACTCAGGCTGGAGTGCAGTGGCGTGATCTCGGCTCACTGTAACCTCCGCCTCCCAGGGTCAAGCAATTCTCCTGCCTCAGTCTCCCAAGTAGCGGGGACTATAGGCATATGCCACCACACCTGGCTAATTTTTGTGTTTTTAGTAGAGATGGGGTTTCACCATGGTGGCCAGGCTGGTCTTGAACTCCTGACCTCAGGTGATCCACCTGCGTCGGCCTCCCAAAGTGTTGGGATTACAGGTGTGAGCCACCGTGCCTGGCCTATTTTTATTTTTTATTTTATTTTATTTATTTATTTATTTTTGAGATGGAGCCTCACTCTGTTGCCCAGGCTGGAGTGCAGTGGCGCAATCTTGCCTCACTGCAGCCTCTGCCTCCCGGGTTCAAGTGATTCTCCTGCCTCAGTCTCCTGAGTAGCTGGGACTCCAGGCGTGTGCCACCATACCCAGCTAATTTTTGTTTTTTCAGTAGAGACGGGGTTTTGCCATGTTGGTCATGCTGGTCTTGAATGCCTGACCTCAGCCGATCCACCTGCCTCAGCCTCCCAAAGTGCTGGGATTACAGGTGTGAGCCACTGTGCCTGGCTAATGGAATTTTCAAATGAGTAATGATTTATTTTCCACATGATTTCAAAGTTATGACTAGTCCAAGTGATTTTTTTTATTATACTTTAAGTTTTAGGGTTCATGTGCACAACATGCAGGTTTGTTACATATGTATACGTGTGCCATGTTGGTGTGCTGCACCCATTAACTCGTCATTTAACATTAGGTATATCTCCTAATGCTATCCCTCCCCCCTCCCCCCACCCCCACAACAGGCCCCGGTGTGTGATGTTCCCCTTCCTGTGTCCATGTATTCTCATTGTTCAGTTCCCACCTATGAGTGAGAACATGTGGTGTTTGGTTTTTTGTCCTTGCGATAGTTTGCTGAGAATGATGGTTTCCAGCTTCATTCATGTCCCTACAAAGGACATGAACTCATCATTTTTTATGGCTGCATAGTATTCCATGGTGTATATGTGTCACATTTTCTTAATCCAGTCTATCATTGTTGGACATTTGGGTTGGTTCCAAGTCTTTGCTATTGTGAATAGTGCCACAATAAACATACGTGTGCATGTGTCTTTATAGCAGCATGTTTTATAATCCTTTGGGTATATACGCAGTAATGGGATGGCTGGGTCAAATGGTATTTCTAGTTCTAGATTCCTGAGGAATCGCCACACAGATTTCCACAATGGTTGAACTAGTTTACAGTCCCACCAACAGTGTAAAAGTGTTCCTATTTCTCCACATCCTCTCCAGCACCTGTTGTTTCCTGACTTTTTAATGATTGCCATTCTAACTGGTATAAGATGGTATCTCATTGTGGTTTTGATTTGCATTTCTCTGATGGCCAGTGATGATGAGCATTTGTTCATGTGTCTTTTGGCTGCATAAATGTCTTCTTTTGAGAAGTGTCTGTTCATATCCTTTGCCCACTTTTTGATGGGGTTGTTTTTTTCTTGCAAATTTGTTTGAGTTCATTGTAGATTCTGGATATTAGCCCTTTGTCAGATGAGTAGATTGTGAAAATTTTCTCCCATTCTGTAGGTTGCCTGTTCACTCTGATGGTAGTTTCTTTTGCTGTGCAGAAGCTCTTTAGTTTAATTAGATCCCATTTGTCAATTTTGGCTTTTGTTGCCATTGCTTTTGGTGTTTTAGACATGAGGTCCTTGCCCATGCCTATGTCCTGAATGGTATTGCCTAGGTTTTCTTCTAGGGTTTTTATGGTTTTAGGTCTAACATTTAAGTCTTTAATCCATCTTGAATTAATTTTTGTATAAGGTGTAAGGAAGGGATCCAGTTTCAGCTTTCTACATATGGCTAGCCAGTTTTCCCAGCACCATTTATTAAATAGGGAATCCTTTCCCCATTTCTTGTTTTTGTCAGGTTTGACAAAGATCAGATAGTTGTAGATATGCGGCATTATTTCTGAGGGCTCTGTTCTTTTCCATTGGTCTATATCTGTGTTTTGGTACCAGTACCGTGCTGTTTTGGTTACTGTAGCCTGATGCCTCCAGCTTTGTTCTTTTGGCTTAGGATTGACTTGGCAATGTGGGCTCTTTTTTGGTTCCATATGAACTTTAAAGTAGTTTTTTCCAATTCTGTGAAGAAAGGCATTGGTAGCTTGATGGGGATGGCGTTGAATCTATAAATTACCTTGGGCAGTATGGCCATTTTCACAATATTGATTCTTCCTACCCAGGAGCATGGAATGTTCTTCCATTTGTTTGTATCCTCTTTTATTTCATTGAGCAGTGGTTTGTAATTCTCGAAGAGGTCCTTCACGTCCCTTGTAAGTTGGATTCCTAGGTATTTTATTCTCTTTGAAGCAATTGTGAATGGCAGTTCACTCATGATTTGTCTCTCTGTCTGTTATTGGTGTATAAGAATGCTTGTGATTTTTGCACATTGATTTTGTATCCTGAGACTTTGCTGAAGTTGCCTATCAGCTTAAGGAGATTTTGGGCTGAGACAGTGGGGTTTTCTAGATATACAATCATGTCATCTGCAAACAGGGACAATTTGACTTCCTCTTTTCCTAATTGAATACCCTTTATTTCCTTCTCCTGCCTGATTGCCCTGGCCAGAACTTCCAACACTATGTTGAATAGGAGTGGTGAGAGAGGGCATCCCTGTCTTGTGCCAGTTTTCAAAGGGAATGCTTCCAGTTTTTGCCCATTCAGTATGATATTGGCTGTGGGTTTGTCATAGATAGCTCTTATTATTTTGAAATATGTCCCATCAATACCTAATTTATTGAGAGTTTTTAGCATGAAGTGTTGTTGAATTTTGTCAAAGGCCTTTTCTGCATCTATTGAGATAATCATGTGGTTTTTGTCGTTGGTTCTGTTTATATGCTGGATTATGTTTATTGATTTGCGTATGTTGAACCAGCCTTGCATCCCAGGGATGAAGCCCACCTTATCATGGTGGATAAGCTTTTTGATGTGCTGCTGGATTCAGTTTGCCAGTATTTTATTGAGGATTTTTGCATCGATGTTCATCAGGGATATTGGTCTAAAATTCTCTTTTTTTGTTGTGTCTCTGCCAGGCTTTGCTATCAGGATGATGCTGGGCTCATAAAATGAGTTAGGGAGGATTCCCTCTTTTTCTATTGATTGGAATAGTTTCAGAAGGAATGGTACCAGCTCCTCCTTGTACCTCTGGTAGAATTAGGCTGTGAATCCATCTGGTCCTGGACTTTTTTTGGTTGGTAAGCTATTAATTATTGCCTCAATTTCAGAGCCTGTTATTGGTCTATTCAGAGATTCAACTTCTTCTGGGTTTAGTCTTGGGAGGGTGTATGCGTTGAGGAATTTATGCATTTCTTCTAGATTTTCTAGTTTATTTGCATGGAGGTGTTCACAGTATTCTCTGATGGTAGTTTGTATTTCTGTGGGATCGGTGATGATATCCCCTTTATCATTTTTTATTGCATCTATTTGATTCTTCTCTCTTTTCTTCTTTATTTGTCTTGCTAGCGGTCTACCAATTTTGTTGATCTTTTCAAAAAACCAGCTCCTGGATTCTTTGATTTTTTGAAGGGTTTTTTGTGTATCTCTTTCAGTTCTGCTCTGATCTTAGTTATTTCTTGCCTTCTGCTAGCTTTTGAATGTGTTTGCTCTTGCTTCTCTAGTTCTTTTAATTGTGATGTTAGGGTGTCAATTTTAGATCTTTCCTGCTTTCTCTTGTGGGCATTTAGTGCTATAAATTTCCCTCTACACACTGCTTTGAATGCGTCCCAGAGATTCTGGTATGTTGTGTCTTTGTTCTTGTTGGTTTCAAAGAACATCTTTATTTCTGCCTTCATTTCGTTATGTACCCAGTAGTCATTCAGGAGCAGGTTGTTCAGTTTCCATGTAGTTGAGTGGTTTTGAGTGAGATTCTTAATCCTGAGTTCTAGTTTGATTGCACTGTGGTCTGAGAGATAGTTTGTTATAATTTCTGTTCTTTTACATTTGCTGAGGAGAGCTTTACTTCCAAGTATGTGGTCAATTTTGGAATAGGTGTGGTGTGGTGCTGAAAAAAATGTATATTCTGTTGATTTGGGGTGGAGAGTTCTGTAGATGTCTATTAGGTCTGCTTGGTGCAGAGCTGAGTTCAATTCCTGGATATCCCTGTTAACTTTCTGTCTCGTTGATCTGTCTAATGTTGACAGTGGGGTGTTAAATTCTCCCATTATTATTGTGTGGGAGTCTAAGTCTCTTTGTAGGTCTCTAAGGACTTGCTTTATGAATCTGGGTGCTCCTGTATTGGGTGCATATATATTTAGGATAGTTAGCTCTTCTTGTTGAATTGATCCCTTTATCATTATGTAATGGCCTTCTTTGTCTCTTTTGATCTTTGTTGGTTTAAAGTCTGTTTTATCAGAGACTAGGATTGCAACCCCTGCCTTTTTTTGTTTTCCATTTGCTTGGTAGATCTTCCTCCATCCCTTTATTTTGAGCCTATGTGTGTCTCTGCACATGAGATGGGTTTCCTGAATACAGCACACTGATGGGTCTTGACGCTTTATCCAATTTGCCAGTCTGTGTCTTTTAATTGATTTAATGGTGAGAGAGAAAAAAAAATTGCATCTAGTTCTCTTTGCTATCTCCCATGAATCATTGCATTTAACATGTTATTTCTGCTCAACTTTAGTTCATTTTCAATGTGCATTTTTAGTGATGTCAGAGTATGTGTCATTTAATTAAATCCCCGCCCTTGCTTTAGATTTTCTGTGCATGGGGTGTGAGGCACATATGCAGTCTGTGCCATGTTGTATTTGTTTTGTACCATGTTGTTTGGCCTATTTTGCTTCCATGCTGTCCTCCATTGTTAAGGTGATTTGGAGTTGTTTTACTTTTGAATTTTATCCTTTCTGTTCTTGGTGTGACAACTTTCTAAATATTTCCTTATTAAAGTAGTGATATATAGATGATTTCCTTTTTAAAGCATATTTACTATGTCCTTTAATGTTTTAAACAGTTTTATGGAGGTATTTATTGAAGTATTTTTATCAAACATGACTATTTAAAATCCCTATCAACTTTGTGTAGTGATTCTTTCTTGTTCTATGACACTTAGTAATATATCTTAGAATTTGCATCTTAATTTTTTTCTAACTAAATCTCAGTCCTAATCCCATATCATTTTTTATTTCTTTTGATATGTGTGTGTATTTATTCCCTTTGATGTTCATAGTATGTTTCATTGAGGTTCAAGGTTGATTTTTTGGGGAAAAGAAAAAGCACCTTTGCAGAAAAGTCAGTTTTTCTAGAGCTAGTTAGGCAGGCCCTCATTCCTGGTTTGGTTTCAATTGCAGAGAGTTCTTGTATCTCTGCAGGGGAATTTCTGACTCATGGGGTGGGTCCCTGACTCCTTACTCCTCTCTGATTGAGTGAACCAGCATCTGGGGCAAATACGTAGCAGTCAGATGCTCTGATGAATGTCCCTGTTCAGTTCTTTGACTTTTTTGTATCCTCCTTAAATAATAATGGTTTTAAAGATAAGCAGAAGCCTATCTATAGTACTTTATAGATCTCAGCAGGGATTATTCATCTTACAGTTAATACAGGAAGAAACATCTTTGATACGGAAAGACTAGGGTGTTAATTCAGCAATCTCTGGTTAGGAGAAAAGTAGCCTAGTTTATTACTTCTTCACTACTTTTGCCTGGATGACCTGAATTTTAATCAAGAAGTTCTTTCCTCTCTATATGCGCTCCCCCATTTTCCCACTTTTGTATTGACTTTCCCACTATTGTATTTCTAATGCACCTTCTTAATCACTGGAGAAAGCTTTGAGGCATGTAAGAGGTCCTAGCACCATTTTCAGTCTTAAAGTTTCATAGCCACCAGCTTTATGGGACTCTATTATCAGGCCTTTCAAACAAATTCTTCCCTTCCCTCACAATCCCAAGCTATTGATCTTTTCTCTAAGGAAGCCTTTTGTATTACTAATTAAGACTAGGTGACTATATTAAAACAGGGTTATCTTCTAAAAGATTTATATAAATGATAAAACAGAGGCTAAGTATTTTTGTAAGGACAGCAATTTGAAGTCAGTTAATGCCTAGAGTGACTGTTTCATTCTTCTGCTATGGCTCTGGTGACTTCCTGATAATTCTGTCCGAGCCCCTGTGTCCAGTTCCAGGACCTAAGAATGGAAGAGCTCTGGAGGCTGAAGGTGGAAGATGGATCCCCCTTTCAGGGACAGTGAAAGGAGGGTTAATCTTTCCTGAAGCTGTTAGTCTGGTATCTATTAGCACACATGAGAATTAGAAACCTTGCAACTTTAGAAATAGTATCTGTGTAGTAAATGCTGTCTGTGTACCAATTTGTATAGCTTTTAATAGAAATATCTTATTTTTGGATGGAAAATGTGTGTAAGCTTGTGACTAAAATAGTTCTGGATGGAAGACCATTCAGTATCTTCTGAAAAAAAAATTGTCTTCTGGAACTAAAACATGAAAAAAAAACCTATCCATTATTGCTTTTTTTTAAATAAAGAAAACCAGTGCTGTGTAATCCATATTTTACCAATATTAATTATGTCTTAGAACCATTTAAGAATGATGGTTTACATATCCTATTTTAAAGTCAAGATTTTAAAGAGCTTTTATTTGTTATTACTAATTATTGGGAGAATATTGAAAAATTTTCAATTTAAATGTTGAATTAAAAATGTAACCTTTTTGGCTGGGTGCGGTGGCTCACGCCTGTAATCCCAGTACTTTGGGAGGCCAAGGCGGGTGGATCACGAGGTCAGGTGTTAAAGACCAGCCTGGCCAAGATGGTGAAACCCCATCTCTACTAAAAATACAAAAATTAGCCGGGCGTGGTGGTGGGCGCCTGTAATCCCAGCTACTCAGGAGGCTGAGGCAGGAGAATCACTTGAGGCCGGGAGGCGGAGGTTGCAGTGAGCCGATAACGCACCACTGCACTACAGCCTGGGTGGCAGAGCGACACTCCGTCTCAAAAAAAAGAAAAGTAACCTTTTATAAATATGGGGCTGAAAACGTTATTTTTAAATTTTGGAAAAAGTTCTACTAGCTTGAAGATTACTTAGATTTATTTTTTCTTGGCTTATTTAGATATTTGGCCTATTTTTAAAACTATAAATAAATAATTGGATTTTAATTTGATAGAGAATCAGAAAAACAGAGACTTTATATAATTTTTGTTACATTTGAATTCATTTTATAAATATATGTTGTAAAAATTCTTCCAGTGCAATATTTTTTGGAAAATATTGTTCTAGTCGTTGTTTGTATAGGTTTATTTCTAATTATATTAAAAGTAAAATTAGAAAAATATGTAATATTTGTTGTAATTTTCTGGGAAAAAAGATTTGACAATGTTAATAGAATGGATTATTTGTAAAACACCAATATTAGAGAGTCATAGAGCCTGAGTAAGGGCCTTAGATACTATCTTCCAATGAAGGAACCCCTTCTCCAGCATGGCTAGTAAGTGGTTATCCACCTCCTGCTTCAAGTCTTCCAGTGATAGCATTGAAGTGGAAATCACAGTGGTTTCCAGGCTTGTCTGCATATTGGAATCACCTAAGAGATACAAAAAATACTGGTACCTGGGTCCCATCTCCAGGTGATTCTAATATGCAGACAAGTTTGGGAACCAGTGGTAAATCATGTGGAAAAGCACCTCACTCTTTTTCATCATTAGAGAATCCATAATGGAAAGGAAACCTGGCTGATGTTATGAAGAGTCTAATAAGCATTTAGATGTCATTGAGAGCATTTATAGCCACACTCCCTACCCTTCAGTGTTGTATGATAAATAAATATTTCCATTTAAATTCAAGAACCATTTAATAAGATAGCACACTGACAGAGTCCATGATGTTGGTATAGTGGAAAGTCCTGGACTGGGTGTTAGGACTTCTAGCTGCCCAACTTTAAATAATTTTAGCCTTACAAAAAATTTGCAAAAATAGTATAAAGAATTCCCATATGCCCTTCATCTAGCTTCCTCAAATATCAACATGTTATATAACTACAGTAAAAGTATTACAATCAGGAAATTAACATTGATACAATTCTATAAACTAATCTGCAAATTTTGCCAGTTATCCTACTATAAATTTTTTCTGCGCTAAGATCCAATCTGGGATCACACATTGCATTTAGTTTTGTTATGTGTTTGTTATTTTGAAAAAAAATTAAATCATTGCAACGATAGTATAATGAATTTGTGAACCCCGAAAATTTGAGACAGGTCTCAGTTAATTTAGAAAGTTTATTTTGCCAAGGTTGAGGACACAGCCATGACACAGCCTCAGAAAGTCCTGACGACATGTGCCCAAGGTGGTCGGGGCACAGCTTGGTTTTATACATTTAGAGAGACATGAGACATCAATCAATATATGTAAGAAGTACATTGGTTTGGCCTGGAAAGGCAGGACAACCTGAAGCAAAGGCAGGAAGGCTCTAAGTGCGGTGGGAGCTTCCAGGTCACAGGTGATACACAAAGGGTTACGTTCTTTTGAGTTTCCCATTTTGAGTTTCTACCTTTCCAAAGGAGGCAAGTCAGATATGCATCTATCTCCGTGAGCAGAGGAGTGACTGAATAGAAACAGGGCAACAGGAGACAGGTTTACCCTAAGCAGTTTTTCATCTTGAGTTTTCCTTAGTGATTTTGGGGACCCAAAATATTTTCCTTTCACAAATTCTAGTATACCTTGCTTTCACTCTTTCTGTCCAATTCTTTGTTTGACTGAAGCGTTTCAGAATTAAGCTGCAAACATTGTGATCCCTTACCCTAAATATGTGAGCATCTCTTATGAACAAATATTTTTTTAATCATAACCATCATATAATTATCAAATTTGGGAAATTTAACATTGTTACAATACTATTAATCTAACACATAGTCCGTATTCAAATTTCACCAACTGTCTCAATACTGTCCTTTATAATAATTTTTTCATGATCCAGGATTTGTGTGTTGGATTTTGTTGTAAGGTCTCTTTAATTTCCTTTGATCTGGAATAGCTCCTCAGTTGTATTTTGTCTTTCATGACATTTACATTTTTTGAGAGTACAGGTCATTTGTTTTATAGAATGGCTCTCAATCTGCATTTGTCTAGACTGGTCTTTCTCACAGTGTGGTCTGTGACTGGTGCTGGTCTATGCCTGGCTGTTACCTAATGGTGAGAAGGCCAACCAACATTACTCATGCTGTTGGAAACTTTTATAGCAATTCAAAAATAATTTTATGTCTTTTGAATCTAAGAATAAAAATTGAGGGCTTGGATTTTTATGTCTTTTTATTTCATTTCTCTAGTAATTCATTTTTATTTCACAAAATGACAGTTCTTCGTGGGTTGGACACTTATTTTTTATTTTTACTTTTATTTTTTAGAATTAAGAAAAAATAATAGAGACAGGATCTTGCTATGTTGGCCAGTTGGTCTTGAACTGTTGCCCTCAAGCAGTCCTCCTGCCTCTGCCTCCCAAAGTGGGTGAGCCACCATGCCTGGCCAGGTTGGACACTTTTAAAGAGTCCTTCAGCACAGCTACTTGGAACAACAATGGTCTAGAATGAGGTGTTTTTTGTTTGTTTTTGTGTTTTTTTTTTTTTTTTTTTTTTTTTTTTTTTTGGAGACAGAGTCTCACTCTGTCACCCAGGCTGGAGTGCAGTGGTGCAATCATGGCTCACTGCAGCCATGACCTCCTGGCCTTGAGCCATCCTCCCTCCCACCTCAGCCTCTCAAATAGCTGGGAATATAGGTGACACCACCACACCCAGCTAATATCTTGATTTTTTTTGTGGAGATGGGGCCTCACTATGTTGCCTAAGCTGATTCCAAACTCCTGAGCTCAAGTGATCCTCCTGTCTTGGCTTCCCAAAGTGCTGGGATTACAGGCATAAGCCACTACACCTGGCCTAGACAGATTTTTTGAAGCTAAGGACTGTGCTTTAGCCATCGCTGAATTCGTCACTCCTAGATTGTGCCTGGCAGAGTTCAATAAATTGTTGCTGAGGGGCAACTTGAAATGTCCCATTCCTTTAATAGAAAAGCTTTCCTTTCCTTTTTTTTTTTGAGACAGAGTCTTACACTTGTCACTCAGGCTGGAGTGCAACGGCATTGATCTCGGCTCACTGCAACCTCCGCTTCCCGGGTTCAAGTGATTCTCCTGCTTCAGCCTCCCGAGTAGCTGGGATTACAGGCGTCTGCCACCACACCTGGCTAAGTTTTGTATTTTTAGTAGAGACAGGGTTTCACCATGTTGGCCAGGCTGGTCTCGAACTCCTGACCTCAGGTGATCCACCCGCCTCGGCCTCCCAAAGTGCTGGGATTACAGGTGTGAGCCACCGCGCCCAGCAGAAAGCTTTTCTTATACTGAGCCAAAATCTCTCTCCAACTTGCTTTTGCCTTCAAGAACATCACCTAACATGTGTACTCACATACACAGGTGTTAGCTTTTCAGAGACTTACAAGACTGGTACCATTTCTTAAACCCCCAGGCTACTCCAAACAAAATGGGCTCAGCTCCTTTACTCATTTGTAGTGATTAGGATTAGGTTCTGCTGAAAATGAGAACATTTTAAATAAGAGTAGCTTACTGACTTTATTTCTTATGTTCCACAGGTCCAGAGGTGTCCTTCTAAAGCTGGTAGAGGTTTCACGAGTCATCAGGGACCCAGAACCCTTCTCTTTTGCTGTCCCTTTGTCCTAGTGCATGGTTTCCACACTGTGGTGCAAGATGTCTCCTCAAGCTCTAGGCATTACATCTGCTATCCTGCTGTCAGAAAGAAGGAAGGGGAAAAGAAGATCATTTCCTTCTCTTTAAGGACATTTCCCAGAAGTCACACAGAACATTTCCATTTATATTACTTTGGCCAGAACTTGGTCATATGGCCACATTTAGTTCCAGAATGATTAGGAAATGCAGTCTTTTATTGATCCCTGTGCCCAGGAAAATATTGGAGGCCTTTTTCAAGGAAAAAGGGGAAAACAGATATTGGTTGACAAATAGCAGTCTCTGCCATACTGTCCCTGGATACATGTCTTTGAGTGAATGTCCCTTATTTACCATTCTGATTACTTGTTGGATATTTTCAATATGTGTTACAATATGGTTCCAAAATTGTATGTGATATTCCAACAGCAAGTTGGATGCAATGTGTCATAAAAATGACCTCAGTGTCAACCAGCATTTGAATACCGTGTCTCAATGCTGTGCACCAATAAAGAACACAGAAAGTCAGAGTTTTCCATAAATAATTCCTGAGAATATATGCTTATTTTGTTTGAGAAGCATCGTGAGGTATCTGCTGTGTGCTTTAGGGTTGAATGGAAAGTTGGCAAAAGTATTAAAAGACATGTTCAGGCCGGGTGTGGTGGCTCACGCCTGTGATCCCAGCACTTTGGGAGGCCGAGGTGGGCGGATCACTTGAGGTCAGGAGTTCAAGACCAGCCTGGCCAACATGGTGAAACTCTGTCTCTACTAAAAATACAAAAATTAGCTGGGTGTGGTGGCAGGCACCTGCAATCCCAGCTACTTGGGAGGATGAAGCTGAGGCACAATAATCTCTTGAACCTGGGAGGCAGAGGTTGCAGTGAGCTGAGATCACGCCACTGCACTCCAGCCTGGGCAACAGAACGAGACTCTGTCTCACCAAAAAAAAAAAAAAAAAAAAAAAAAAAAAAAAGATGTTCAAATAGACATGATATTGGTAAAAACGAAAACACAGGTAATGACTTTTCATTCTAATGAAATATAAATAGAGAAACCTGCCGGTTTTACCCTTTAGAGTAAAAAGGGTACAAAAAAATTACCAAAACAGTAAAAATTACCAAAAGAGTAATTTGATAATTTCTACAGGGTGATGTGTATGTGTCACAACTTTGTGAATCACTATTCTGGGCATGTATAAGAAGTCGTCATATACCTCCATTGGGAATGTTATTTAATGATGTCACTAATACCAGACAAGGATGTCTCCTCAGGTAAGGCTCCTTGGAGGAGGCAGAGGTTGAGAAGAGGTGTAATTTAGGTTTTAAAAATTCAATAGCTGGACTTAACCTTGCATATCTCTACCTGTTATAACGGTGGTCCGGAAGGCTGCGATCTGAAGGCCCCTCAGCTAGTTGCTGCCACTGTGGGCACTCTGCGCATCTTTCACTTCTGAGCTCTTTCTGTATGCACTCTGTTCTGCAGATAAGTGAGAATGTGACTATTTGCTTAGTCAGTGACAGTGTCTCTAACCCTGGAAAGGAAGCTTTTACTCTCTCAGTTTTAGAGACATGTGAACAGGCTGGGGATATGAGGTCACTTACCCACTGTCTTATAATCAGCAGATGGCATGGTTGGCATTGGAGTTTAGGTCTGTCTGTGCTTTTCTGTACATTACATCCTTTTTAATGATGCGAAGGAAAAATGCAGTAGGGTCAATGAGACAAATGGAATGCAGGTTGCTGGGGAAAGAATGCAGGTTCTGCGTTATAAATGCACACACATTTACTGTGCCACTTGGGTTCTGAACTTTGCGGTTAAATTGATTTAAAAACTGGTGTAGAGGTGGTAAAACTTAATCACCGAATGAGAATATTTGGGTTTGCTTCAGGAGGTCGCAAGCCACTTCTTGATTAGTAGAAATGGGAAATTAAGGGCCACCTTCAGGCGTTTAACTGAATTGTCCTGGGGATTTAATTTGCCTTTCGACTTAATGCTAAATTTTTGTTGTTTTTGGTTTTTAAAGTAATGTAAGTTTATCGCGCCAACGGTAAGATGTCGCTCTGGACGCGTGCACCTGCTCTCGCAATCACCGACTGCGGTCAGCATCTTCCTTAGAGCAGCGCCCCGGGCCACTTGGATCCCGGTCTCAATTTACTAAGCGAACCCAGAGGATGCCCCGAGTCCTGGACCGCAGAGCCGCTCGCGAGAGGCACCGGGGCTGTAACCGCGCAACCTCGTGCCGCGGGCGGAGGCGAGGGAGGATTCCCCGGCCGGTGCCCGCCCCCGGGCTAAAGTGCGGCGCGGGTGGGGCTGGTCACGCGCCTGGCTTCCTGCAGTGCGAACCTGGGAAATCCAGGCGACTTCGCAGTTGCCGAAGGGATCTGAAGAAGTGGGATGTGCAAAAGCGCCGGCTGGAAATCCCGGCTGTGTCTCCGTCAACTCTTTACGCAACAGAGGTCTCCCCCTGCCCTTGGTTTCTACCGGGCCGCCTGCTCCCACTCGGCGAAAAAAATTACACAACAGCAGCCGCGGCGATGACGTGGAGGGCTGCCGCCTCCACGTGCGCGGCGCTCCTGATTCTGCTGTGGGCGCTGACGACCGAAGGTAGGGGGCGGCTGGGGTGGGCTGGGGCGGGGGCTCCTGGCGCCAGAGGGTCCTCGCGGGTCGGCTCCCTAGCATCCCGCCAGGGGACCTCAACTTCCTGGGGGCTGAGAGCTCTATTTTCTTTTCTATTTCTTCTCCTTTTTTTTTTTTTTTTTTTTTGAGACGGAGTCTCGCTCTGTCTCCCAGGCTGGAGTGAAGTGGCGCGATCTCGGCTCACTGCAAGCTCCGCCTCCCAGGTTCACGCCATTCTCCTGCCTCAGACTCCCGAGTAGCTGGGACCACAGGCGCCCGCCACCATGCCCGGCTAATTTTTTGTACTTTTAGTAGAGACGGGGTTTCACAGTGTTAGCCAAGATGGTCTCCTTGACCTAGTGATCCAGCCGCCTCGGCCTCCCAAAGTGCGGGGATTACAGGCGTGAGCCCCCGCGCCCGGCCTGGGGGCTCTATTTTCAAGCGTCCCTCCTTTGTGAGAAGCGGAGTCCCCGATGCAACAGGTTTACATTGAAGGCCTGCCCTGTGCAGGGTCGACACCTGTGAGAGCGGAAACGGTGCTTCCTTGGATGTCGCGCGTTTGGTGCCTCGGTATTTGGCGCCTCTCTCGCATCATCCGAGGGGCCGGAGGAGAGAAGAAAATCAGGGAATCGGTAAATTGGAAAAATCATTCATCCGCATATCAGTGGGTCCTCCTGGCTTTGCTAAGTTAGGTCTTTACTGAGAGAGGGAGGGGAGTGTTTTGATCTTGTGGTGACCTTCAAACGTTCTCTTGCTTTTTTGGGAACTCGTATGGGCGTGTTCTGCGTTAACTTAAACAGGAGACTAAAAGGCTGAAACGCGTATGTAGAGATATTTAAACTCATTTCTAACTAGAAGAATGGCAATTAAACAACAAGATGCTGCTTGACCCTTACTAGGCTGGCCAAAATACGCTCCTGGGTGCCGGGTGGTGGAGGTGGAATGTAGGAATCCCGGAGGCGCGCTCTGGGCGCCCCGAGTCACTGCAGGTGGAGGAGAGCCGCGTGTGGACCTCACCGTGGAGACCTTGGCGGCAGCTTCACACCACGCCCTTGCTGCTTGCCGAGCAGCGTGAACGGATGTTGAAGGCGTAGAGCCAAGTAAACAGTGGACATACAATGCAATACCATTTCCACAGTTTGAGAAACAGAAGATACAGCCTTAAAGAGAACAAAAATTACATGTTAAACACCTTAGAATGGCTGCCCGATGGGAGAGGGAAGTGGAAATAAAAACGAGTGAATAGTATTTCTATACATTTGCAATAAGCAATGTGAAAATAAGACAGTTCCGAGTGAAGTGTGGGCGGTGAAGTGGAAAGCCAAAATTGCGCTTGTCTCCGCGCTGCGGACTTGAAACGCCTGTCACTGCGGTCTGGAAACGCCTGTCGCTGCGGTCTGGAAACGCCTCCGCGCTCTATCAGTCTGGGTCTCCTCGAGCTCGAAGTGGCGCCAGTGGGCTGCCGCCGCGCCCACCCGGTCCCATGCCCGTCCCGCGCCCCCTCCCGGGCCCGGCGCCCCCTCCTCAGGGGCCTTGGGTCCCCGCCACTTTCGTCCGGTCTCGGTCCCCGCGGATGCTGGTGGTGGTGGAGAAGGGCCGCGAGTTCTCAGGGAAGCGGAGAGGGAGGAACGCCGTTTGGCTGTGCGGCGGCGCCCAGTGACGGCAGCAGCAGCAGCAGCTCCTGGAGGAAGCTAGTTCCGGCTCGTCCAGCCACGAGGAGCGCGGCGGCGGCTGCATGAGGGTCGGACCCCAGAACCAGGCGTTGGTGCTGGACTTTGGCACCGGAAGAGACTGTGAAATGGAAAACCGTTTCGGAAGCTTTCGCCTAACAAATCATTTCCGCCTACAAGAAATTCCTACACCTTAGGATGGAGCATCTGTTTGCCTGGCTGCTATTCTGCGTGGAAGCAAATTTAAAGTGGTACAAGAAAAAAAAAATCCAGTCATACAAAGGAATTCGTCAGATTTTAATGCAAGAGATTCTAGCCCGTCTTTGTATGAGAATGTCTTTAAAGGTTGTTGATATAGAAAATGTTTTAAAGAACGTTAGGTTTTATTTCAGAAATGAAGTTGAAAAGAGCAATTTGTAAAGCTGTAGTTAACAGTCCTCCCTAGTTGGAGAGCTCTAGAACTGGAGGTTCTCTATGTAGGTTATACCACTAGTTGATTTGAAAAGATAAATGCATAAATGCTTTTCCTTGGAAACAAGACTGCAGAAAATTCCAAGGATCTAGTCCTTGAAAAAGGCGAATGCTGTTAAGCTGTTAAGGTACTACACTCTGTACCTTTAAATGAAAATACATGGAGGTCCTGGGTGAGCGCTTGGGCGCTCTGAAAATAGACGAGGTTTCCCAAATTTGCCTTCTAAATTTTGATTTGTTGATTTAAATCTTCTAAATTTATGTAGTCTGGCACTCAGGTTTGTATTCCTTTTAAGCACATGTTAGTGTTTTTGATATTTTCCCTTCTCCCTCCGACCCCCCAATTCTTCTTCTTTTTTTTTTTTTTTTTTTTTTTTTTTTGGTAGTCACTTTTCGTTTTTAAGAGTGACAATACAACTAGGTGGCCTGGCTGTTTCATATCCTTGGTTTCTCCATTTCTTGGTTGGCCACCAGGGGGAAGCATACTGTTTTTTTGGTTACAGTTGACCCTATCTTCATTTTGTAGGTCAAGTCTGTTTTTGCTTTGATACATAGAACAGAAAGCTTGTCACCGCGTTTCCCTAATGTATTATTTTAAAAAATAGACTTGCACAAATCTTTGAGTAAGTTGGCAGGTTTTTGGATACATTTTTGTTAACATTAATTTTGAAAACTTTATTTAGATATGTTGGATGTGACTAATGAAAGGACATGTTTGATGGCAACAAGGGGAATTCGGTTTCTGACATTTATCTAAATATAGATGTCTAGCTCTGCATTGTTAGTAATGAGTCTGACTTCTTTGGAGTTGTACTCTTCTTTGAAATAGCAAATGTAATATTTTGAACTGTCCTTGCACTTTTTGTTGGAATAGGTATAAGCGTAAACTTGCTAGCAACCTACTGTTCTAAAATGGAAAACATCTAGCCAGTCGCAGTGGCTCATACCTGTAATCCCAATACTTGAGGAGGCAATGAGAGGATTGCTTGAGCCCAGGAGTTAGAGACCAGTCTGGGCAACTTAGTAAGACTCCATCTCTACAAAAAATGAAAAAATTAGCTGAGCATGGTGGCATGTGCCTGTAGTCCCAACTACTTGGGAGGCTGAGACAGGAGGATCACTTGAGCCCAGGAGGTGGAGGCTGCAGTGAGCAGTGATAGCACCACTGCACTCCAGCTTGGGTGACACAGCGAGACCCTGTCTCTAAATAAATAAATAGGAAAACATCAAAAAAAAAAGAGAAAATTCTCTTTACAATAGCATCAAAAGATAAAATACTTATGAGTAAATTTAACGAAAGAAACAGAAAATATATACTCTGGAAACTGTAAAATATTGCTGAAAGAAATTTAAAATCTAAATAAATGAAATGGAAAAATGTCCTGTCTTAGTCTTGCCAGGCTACCATAACAGATATATACTGTGTGGCTTAAACAGAAATTTATTTCTCATGATTCTGGAGGCTGGGAAGTCCAAGAGGAAAGTGTGGATGATCTGGTTTCTGGTGAGAGCCTCATTTCTAGTTTATAGAAGGATACCTTCTTGCTGTATCTTTACGTGGTGGAGAGAGACATATCTCTCTGTCATGTCTTTTCTTATTTATTTATTTATTTGTTTGTTTTTGAGACAGAGTCTCACTCTGTCACTCGGGCTAGAGTGCAATGGCATTATCACGGCTGACTGCAGCCTTGAACTTCTGGGCACAAGGGATCCTCTCACCTCAGCCTCCCAAGTAGCTGGGACTACAAGTGCTAACCACCATGCTGGGCTAATTTATTTTTATTTTTTTGTAGAGACAAGGTCCCATTATATTGCCTAGTCTGGTCTGGAACACCTGGGCTCAAACGATCCTCTGGCCTCAGACTCTGGGAGTGCTGGGATTATAGGTGTGAACCACCAGGCCCAGCTTCATGTCTTGTCTTTTTCTTTTCTTTTCTTTCTTTCTTTTTTTTTTTTTTTTTTTGAGACAGAGTGTCGCTCTGTCACCCAGGCTGGAGTGCAGTGGCATGATCTCAGCTCACTGCAACCCCTGCCTCCTGGGTTCAAGCAATTCTCCTGCCTTAGCCTCCCGAGTAGCTGGGATTACAGGTGTGCACCACCACGCCTGGCTAATTTTTTGTATTTTTAGTAGAGATGGGGCTTCACCATGTTAGCCAGGATGGTCTCAATCTCCTGACCTCATGACCTGCCTGCCTGGGCCTCCCAAAGTGCTGGGATTACAGGCATGAGCCACCGTGCCTGGCCTCATGTCTTTTCTTGTAAGGGCACTAATCCCATTCGTGAGGACTTTCCTCTTATGACCTAATCGCTTCCCAAAGGCCCTGCCTCCAGATACCATCACACTGGGGGTCAGGCCTCCATATGAATTTTGGAGGACTCAAGCATTCAGTCCATAGCACATCTCAAAAAGATGTTCATACATTGGTAAACTGAACATTGTGTCCTCTTATTGCCACAGGTGATCTGAAAGTAGAGATGATGGCAGGGGGGACTCAGATCACACCCCTGAATGACAATGTCACCATATTCTGCAATATCTTTTATTCCCAACCCCTCAACATCACGTCTATGGGTATCACCTGGTTTTGGAAGAGTCTGACGTTTGACAAAGAAGTCAAAGTCTTTGAATTTTTTGGAGATCACCAAGAGGCATTCCGACCTGGAGCCATTGTGTCTCCATGGAGGCTGAAGAGTGGGGACGCCTCACTGCGGCTGCCTGGAATCCAGCTGGAGGAAGCAGGAGAGTACCGATGTGAGGTGGTGGTCACCCCTCTGAAGGCACAGGGAACAGTCCAGCTTGAAGTTGTGGGTGAGTGTCTCGGGGCAGTGCCCTACAGTTCCCATGGTGTTGGGGTTAGCAACAACAAAACCCACACACCTCTTTGAGCTCCACTTTCCTGTATTATAAAATGGTCTGATAATACATGGATGAGCTTGGTGGCTGTATTAGTTTGCTAAGGCTGCCATAACAAAATACCATTGACTGGATGCCTTTAAACAACAGATGTTTATTTTTCACACTTTTGGAAGGCTAGAAGTCTGAGATGAAGACATCAGCAGGATTGGTTTCTTCTGAGGCCTCTCTTCTCTGGCCATCTTCTCCCTGTGTCTTCACATGGTCTTTCCTTTGTGCCTATATCTGTGTCCTAATTTCCTCTTCTTATAAGGATACCAATCATATTGGATCAGAGCCCATCCTAATAACCCCATTTTTAACTTAATTACCTCTTTAAAGAACCTATCTCTAAATACAGTCACATTCAGAGATACTGGGAATTCTGGGAGGACATAAGAATTTTAGGAGGACATAATTCAGCCCAGCATGGGCCCTCCATAATTGTACATAAGACTTTGAATGTTTTGTCCGTAGTAATTTTGGGAGTGAGAGGCATATTAATTAGGATTCACTTCCTCTGCAACTGACAGAGGAATAACAGTGACAGTGGCTATATATACGGCCAACTGACAGTGGCCGTATATATATAGCCACTGTTCTTCTAGGCTTTATATATCTATATAAAGGGTCTACATAGGAGACAGGGTCTCCCTCTGTTGCCCAGGCTGGAGAGCATGGCACAATCATAGCTCACTGTAACCTCAAACTCCAGGGCTCAAGTGATCCCCCTGCCTCAGCCTCCTGAGTAGCTAGGACCTCGGTTGCATGCCACCATGCCTGGCGAATTTTTACATTTTTGTAGAGATGGGGCCTTGTGTTGCCCAGGCTCGTCTCCAACTTCTGGCCTCAAGAGATCCTTGTGCCCGGGCCTCTCAATGTGCTGGCATTACAGGGATGAACTACCATGCCTGGCCAACAGTGGCTTTTAAAGACATTAATAGACTTTTTTTAAGGACAGTTTTAGATTTACAGAAACATTGCAAAAATAGTATGAGAGTTCTCATATCACTCACGCCCTGCATACCATTTCCCCTGTTATTAACATCTTGTATTCGTATGGTACCTTGATATAATTAATGAACCCATATTGACATTTTACTATAATGAAAGTGTGTAATTTATTCATATTTCCTTAGTTTTTACCTAATGTCCTTTTCCTGCTCCAGGATCCCGTCAGAATACCACATTGCATTTAATTGTTATATGTTCTTAGGCTCCTTTTTGCTGTGACAATTTCTTAGACCTTATTTTTGATGTCCTTGACAGTTTGGTGAGGGTATTGGTCAGGTATATTGCAGGATGTCACTAAGTTAGGATTTGTCTGCTGTTTTCCTCATAATTGGACTTGGGGTTATGGGTTTTTGGAGGAACATCGCAGAGGTAAACTGCCATTTTCATCACATCAAATCACATGACTTATGACTGTTGATGTTGACCTTGACCATCTAGTTGAAGTAGTGTTTGTCTGGTTTCTCTACTGAAAAGTTACTCTTCCTCCTATTTTCATACTGTACTCTTTGAAAGGAAGTCACTCTGTGCAGCCCACACTTAAGGTTGGGGGTTACTTATGTTCTTCCTCCTTGGAGGTGGAGTATCTACATAATTTTTTTAAGAATTCTTCTGCATGGGAGATTTATCTCTTTTCTCCCATTTATGACTTTATTCAATCATTGATATCAATAAGGACTCAAGGATATTTATTTTATACTTTGTGTTATAATGCAATACTACTTTATTTTTTCTCAAATTTTTCCAGCTTTGGCCACGGGGAGCTCATTCACTTGGCTCTTGTGTCACATTGACATACCCCAATCATTGTAAGATTTTGTTTTGTTTTATTATTTTATTTTTTGTTTTATTTAATTTTTGGCAAATTCATATCAAGAATTTTGTTTGATTTTAAGCACTTTTTACATTTTGGCACTATAAGATGCTCCAGACTCATCTTGTATATTTCCTCTCTTGTATATTTCCTGGTTCTAGTCCTAGAACCAACCAATACTCCAAGAAACCTTGGTTCCTTTTATTGGAAAGTGATCTTAGAAACCAAGACCTGGACAGTAAGTGTACTTTTTGCTGCTGAGGTATCATTGATTCTAGACCCTCTCAGCCAACAGAGCAAAGAAATACATGTATGCATACTAACCTCTGCATATACACATATCTACAAATATTTCTATGTGTAACCATCTGTACCTATATTACATTAAACATTTGTTCTTACTGATGTCTCCAACTTTAGTCCATCACCACATAGATCATTCTAGTTTCCTTCTCTTGCTCATCTGTAAACTCCCACTCCAACAGTGAGAAACCTGTACCCACCATCCTCTGTTTATTGAATTAATTATTAACCTGTACTCCGATAAGAAACAACTTTATCTACTAGAGTACAGTGCTTTTTGGCAATTCCTTTTTTTTTTTTTTTTGAGATTTTTTTTTTGAGACAGTCTTGCTCTGTTGCCCAGGCCGGAGTGCAGTGGTGTGACCTTGGCTTACTGCAACCTCCACCTCCCAGGTTTAAGCGATTCTCCTGCCTTAGCCTCCCAGGTAACTAGGATTACAGGTGCCCGCCACCACGCCTGGCTAATTTTTGTATTTTTAGTAGAGATGGGGTCTCACCATGTTGGCCAGGCTGGTCTTGAACTCCTGACCTCAGATGATCTGCCCACCTCAGCTTCCCAAAGTACTGGGATTACAGGCATGAACCACCATACCCAGCCCAGATTTTAGCCATTTTAATAAGTATATAGTGGTATCTCATTTGTTGTTTTAATTAGCAGTTCCCTAATGATATAATGTTGGACATCTTTTCATATTCTTACTTGCCATTCGTATGTCTTCTTTTTTTGTGTGTTCATTGGTTGTCCAGGCTGGAGTGCAGTGGTGTGATTACAGCTCACTTCCCAGGCTCAGGTGATTCTCCCAGGCTTCAGCCTCCCAAGTAGCTAGGACTACAGGTGCACATCACCATGCCTGGCTAATTTTTGTATTTTTTGTAGAGATAGGGTTTTGCTGTGTTGCCCAGGCTGGTCTTGAACTCCTGGGCTCAAATGATCTGCGTGTCTCGGCCTCCCAAAGTACTGGGAATTGTATGTCTTCTTTGATGAGATGTTTGTTCAGATTGTTTGCCTATTTTTTAACTGGGCTCATTTTTTAAATTGTTGTGTTTTAAGAGTCCTTTGTACATTCTGGATACAAGCCTTTATCAGATAGATGTCTCACAGATATTTTCTCACAGTCTGTGGCTTGTCTTTTCATTCTCTTAACAATGTCTTTTGTAGAGCAGAAGTTCTTAATTTTAAAAAGTCGAACTTACTACATTTTTCTTTCATGGATCATGCTCTTAACATTGTGTCCTAAAGCTCATCACCAAACCCAAGGCTACCTAGATTTTCTCCTGTGTTATCATCTAGAAGGTTTATAGTTTTACCATTGACATTTAGGTCTATGATGCAGTTTACTTTAATTTTTGTGAAAAGTGTAAGGTTTGTGTCTATATTCTATATGTATTTTTTTTTTTTTTGCATATGAACACCTAATTGTTCCAGCATCATTTGTTGAAAAGACTGTCCTTTCTCCATTGAATTGCCTTTGCTTCTTTGTCAAAGATCAGTTGAATATATTTGTGTGGGTCCATTTCTGGGCTTTCTATTCAGTTTCTTTTCTTTTTCTTTTTTTCTTTTAATACAGGCTGGAGTACAGTGACACAATCTTGGCTCACTGCAGCCTCTGCCTCCTGGGCCCTGGCAATCCTACCATCTCAGCTTTCCGAGTAGCTTGTGCTACAGGCTCGCGCCACCGCTCCCAGCCAATTTTTGTATTTTTGTAGAGATAGAGTTTCGCCGTGTAGCCCAGGCTGGTCTGGAACTTCTGAGCTCGAGTGATCTCCCCCGTCTCAGCCTCCCAAAGTGTTGGGATTATAGGTGTGAGCCACCACACCCTGCCCTATTCAGTTTCATTGATCTCCCTCTTCTTTCCCCAGTACCACACTATCTTGATTATTGTATTTTAGTAGTAAGTCTGGAAGTCAGGTAGTGTTAGTCCCTCATTTTTGTTGCCTTTCTTCAGTATAGTGTTAGCTATCTGGGTTTTTTCTTTCCATACAAATTTGAGAATCTGTTGATATCTGCAAAATGGCTTTCCGGGATTTTGACTGGGATTGCATTGAATCTAGAGATCAAGTTGGGAAAAATTGACATTTTTTTTTTTTTTTTGAGACAGAGTCTCGCTGTGTTGCCCAGGCTGGAGTGCAGTGGTACAATCTCAGCTCATTGCAACCTCTGCCTCCTGGGTTCAAGCAATTCTCCTACCTCAGCCTCCCGAGTAGCTGGGATTACGGGCATGCGCCACCACGCCTGGCTAATTTTTGTATTTTTAGTAGAGACGGGTCACCAAGTTGGCCAGGCTGGTCTCAAACACCTGACCTCAAATGATCCACCAGCTTCGGCCTCCCAAAGTGCTGGGATTACAGATGTGAGCCACCACACCTGGCCAATGGTATTATATTTTTAATTTCAAATTCCAGTTGCTCAATTGTTCATTCCTGTCAAATAATTGATTTTTGCTTATTAACTTTGTATCCTGCAACTTGCTTTAATCACTTATTCATTCTAGGGATTTTTTTGTTTTTGTTTTTGTTTTTGTTTTTGGCCAAGTCTTGAGATTTTTCTACATAAATCAGGCTGTCTGTTAAAAATACAGTTTTATTTCTTCCATTATTTTATTTTATTTTTTACAGAGGTGAGGTCTCACTATGTTGCCCAGGCTGGTTTTGAACTCCTGAGCTCAAGTGATCCCCCTGCCTTGGCCTCCCAAAGTGCTGGGATTACATTGTGTGAGCCACTGTACCAGGCCTCATATTTCTTCCATTCTAACTTTATACCTTTTATTTCCTTTTCTTGTCCTGTTATGCTAGCTTAGACTTCCATTACAATGTTGCACAGGAGTGGTTAGAAGGGACATCTTGTCCATTTCTGATTTTACTTTCTAACCATGAAATATGATATTAGCTATTTTTTGGTAGATATTCTTTAGCAAGTTGAGGAAGTTTCCCTTTTATTCCTAGTTTGCTAAGAGTTTTTCATATGAATCAGTCTTGGGTTTTGTCAAATACTTTTTCTGCATTATTGGTATGATCATATAATTTTTTCTTTAGCCTGTTGATATGATGACTTACATTAACCAATTTTTGAATGATAAGCCAGCCTTGCATATGTGTAATATGCCTCTCTTGGTTATGGTATGTAATTTTTTCTGTATTGTTGGATTATATTTGCTAATATTTTCTTGAGGATTTTGTATCTACTTTAATGAGTGATATTGATCTGTAGTTATCTTTTCTGGTAATGTCTTTATGCGGTTTTGGCAGTAGGATAATATTGGGCTTGTAGAATAAGTTAGAATGTGTTCCCTCTGTCTACTTCTACTTTCTGGAAGAAATTGTAAAAAACTGGCATTATTTATTCCTTAAATGTTTAGTAGGATTAACCAGTGAAACCATCCGAACCTGGTGCTTTCCTTTTTGGAAGGTGATTTTTTTCTTCTTCTTTTTTTTTTTTTTTACTAGTTATTGACTCAGTGTCTCCTTCCTTCCTTCCTTCCTTTCTTTCTTTCTTTCTTTCTTTCTTTCTTTCTTTCTTTCTTTCTTTCTTTCTTTCTTTCTTTCTTTCTTTCTTTCCTTCCTTCCTTCTTTCCTTCTTTCTCTCTCTTTCTTTCTTTCTTTCTTTCTTCCTTTCTTCCTTTCTTCATTTCTTCATTTCCTTCCTTTCTTTCTCCCCTCCCCTCCCCTCCGCTCCCCTCCCCTCCCCTCCCTTCCCTTCCCTTCCCTTCCCTTCTCTTCCCTTTCTTCCTGCAACGTCTTGCTTTGCTGTCCAGGCTGGAGTGCAGTGGTGCGATCATGGCTCCCTGCAGCCTTGACCTCCTGGGCACTAGCGATACTCCCACCTCGGCCTCTGGAATAGCTGGGACCACAGGCATGCACCACCATGCCCTGCTAATTTAATTTTTTTTTTTTTTTTAAGAGATGGAGTCTATGTTGCCCAGACTCGTCTTGAACTCCCTCGGCTCAAGTGATCCTCCCACCTTGGTCTCCCAAAGTGCTGGGATTACAGGCATGAGCCACCATGCCTGGCCCACTAAAGCACTTCTTTTTATGTTTCTCGCACAGCAGGTCTATTGGTGAAAGGTTTGTCTGAGAAAGTCTTTATTTATACTTCACCTTTGAAGGAAAATTTTTCTGGATATAAGATTCCATGTTGGTGTTTTTCTCTTTTTTAAGTTTCAATGCTTTAAATATTTCACTTCACTCTCTCCTTGCTTGCATTGTTTCTGACAAGAAGTCCAGTGTTGTTCTTGTTCTTCTATATGTAAGGTGTGTTTTTTTTCCTGTGACTTTTTTCTGTCTTTCTTTTCCCTCCCTCCCTCCCTCCCTCCCTCCCTCCCTCCCTCCCTCCCTTCCTTCCTTCCTTCCTTCCTTCCTCTTTCTCTCTTTTCTTTTCTTTTCTTTCTTTCTTCTTTTGAGATGGGGTCCCACTCTGTTTCCCAGGTTGGAGTGCAGTGGTATGATCACGGCTCATTGCAGCTTCACCCTAGTGGGCTCAAGCCCAAGTGATCCTCCCACCTCCGCCTTCCAAGTAGCTGGGGCCACACGCGGGTGCCACTAAGCATGGCTAATTTTTGTATTTTTTGTAGAGATGGTGTTTCATTATGTTGCCCAGGCTGGCCTCGAACTCCTGAGCTCAAGTGATCCACCTGCCTTGGTCTCTGAAAGTGCTGGGATTATAGGAGTGAGCTACCATGCTTGGCCATCTTTGTCTTTCTAAAGTTGAAATATGATATGGCTAGACGTGGATAGGCATATTTGGATATTTATCATGCCTGGTATTCTCTAAGCTTCCTGGGTCTTTAGTTTGGTGTCTATCATTAATTTTGGAAAATTCTCAGCCATTATTTATTCAAATTATTTCTTCTGCTCCTTTCTCTTTTCTTCTTCTTGTATTCCCATTATATATCTGTTACACCTTTTGCAGTATCCCACAGTTCTTGGCTATTCTGGGGTTTTTTTTAAATTCTTTTTTCTCCTTGTATTTCAGTTTGGGAAGTTTCTTTTTTAAAAATTGTTTGTGATAGGGTCTTGCTCTGTATCCCAGGCTGGAGTGCAATGGCGGGATCTTGGCTCAATGCAACCTCTGCTTCCCAGGTTCAAGCAATTCTTGTGCCTCAGTCTCCTGAGTAGCTGGGACTACAGGTGTGCACAACCATGCTGGCTAATTTTTGTTTTTTAAGTAGAGACGGGGTTTTGCCATGTTGGACAGGGTGGTCGCCAACTCCTGACCTCAAGCAATCTGCCCACCTTGGCCTCCCAAAGTGCTTGGATTATAGGTGTGAGCCACCACACCGTGCCCAGTTTGGGAAGTTTCTATTAACATCTTCAAGCTCACTGATTCTTTCCTTGTCAGTTTCTTTTTTTTTTTGAGACGGAGTTTTGCTCTTGTTGCCCAGTCTGGAGTGCAGTGGCGTGATCTCAGGTCACTGCAACCTCCGCCTCCTGGGTTCAAGTGATTATCCTGCCTCAGCCTCCCAAGTAGCTGGGATTACAGGCATGCGCCACCACCCCTGGCTAATTTTGTATTTTTAGTAGAAATGGGGTTTCTCCATATTGGTCAGGCTGGTCTCGAACTCCTGACCTCAGGTGATCCACCCACCTCGGCCTCCCAAAGTGCTGGGATTATAGGTATGAGCCATTGCGTTCAGCCTCCTTGTCAGTTTCAAGTCTACTGTTGAACCCACTGAAGGCATTCTTCATTTCTTTAATGGTGTTTTGAGCTCTAGCATTCACTTTTGGTTCGTTCTTAGCATTTCCATCACTCTGCTTATATTATCCATCTGTTTGTGCATGTTATCTGCTCTTTCTGTTAGTGCTCTTAACATTTTAATTATAGTTTTTTAAAATTCCCTATATGATAATTCTAAAATCTGTGTCATACCTGAGTCTGGGTCTGATGTTTGCTTTGTTTTTATGTATTTTTTAGCCTTGTAATTTTTTAGTTGAAAGAGAGATATTATGTATCAGGTAATAGGCTTTTATTATGCGGCCTTATGTTAATTTGGCTAGGAGCTGGGTTGTGTTTAATGCTTATTGTAGCTATAGGTGCCAGAGACTTCAGTTTCTCTAGTGTTTTTTTCTCTCCTTTCCTATTGTCTTTGGGTTTCCTTATGAACTCCTTAAATAGGTTCTGTGCCTTGTAGCTCTCTCACTTATAATCTTCTGTTATTATACTGGAGCCCTGTTGATGTGGTAGTAAAGTGTTGGAGGAGAATCTGTTTATACTTTTATGATTAAATCTTATTCTTTTAGTGGCCTGAGCCTCTGGACTGTGGCCTTCAGAAGTGTTTCTTAGCCTTTTCTCTTTCTCTCTTCTTAAGTAATACAGAAAGGCTATAGACAGCTGGAGTTGGCTAATTTTCTTCTCTCAGGTCAGATAAGGCTCTGACATCTTCCCTTGAGATGGAGGGAATAATCTAGGTATATTTTAAAATGATTACTTCTTTCCATCCCCCAGAAAGAGGAGGAGATTTTTCTTGGCTCTTTACTGTGAGAATCTGGTGGGGTTCCTGGAAGTAAAACTCATGACAGTGTGATAGCATCCCCAAGACTGGGTCCCGAGGATGAAAACCCATGAAAGTGTGGTAAGCATCCCTAAGACCAGGACCTGAGGAGGTTTTTATTCTCAAGCTAGTCCACACTCATCCTTTAGCAGTTTGTCGGAGTTACTGCTTAAGTACTTCTACTGGTTTATGACTCCAGCAGCTTCTGCATGAGGTGATTTGATCTTAGCTGTAATTTTCTTAATCTCCTTCTTTCTCCAGTTTTCTGAGTGGCAGTTTGCCCTGTCACTTCAATTCTCTGAGGAATCTAAGAAAAGCTGTTGATTTTCAATTTGTTCAGCTTTTGTTCTTATTATAGGGTGGGAGTGATGACCTCTCATGTGAGAGGGAAACCTGGAAGTCAATAGTGGCTTTGGAAATGGCAGTTTATTTTTCTTTCACACTAATGTAGCCAGCCCAGGGCAGATATGGCAGCTAGCTCTGTGATCATCTGGGACCCATGATCCTTTTATCTTGTCACTCTGCCATCTTCAGTATGTATCGTCCACCTTGTGTTTGGAAATGGCTTATCCATCTCCAGTCATCACATAGTATTCCAAACATTCTGCAGGAAATAAGGAGAGAGAGAGAAAGAGACAGTCTTTTAAGACATCCTTTTAGTTTAAGGATACTTCCTAGAAGTTGCTCTTGCCACTTTTGCATAAATCCAGGCCTACTAGACCCCTGAGTTTGCATGACCAAACATACCTGCAGTGGAGGTTGGGTGATACAGGTTTAATCTGGATATGTCATGGCCAGCTAAAAATGCACAGAATGGAAATTGAAGAGCAATTAGCAGTCTCTACCACAACAGTGTTCCAAGGCTTTCCTCAGATTATGAAAGGTGTCTGTTTCACAACACAGCTTAAGAAAACTCTGCTTTACAAAATTGCTGTGAGAGTTGTGGTCACAGCATGTCAGTACCCGGTTGGCACTGGCACCAACATACCCAGAATATTTAGCCCAAGCTGACTTGCATTCAGTCACTCACATGTCCTGAAGGCTTACCATGGCTCAGATGTCAGGCTGATAATAAGCTAATCCCTCCCTACCCTTAAGGAGTGCCCAGTCTGGTATTGTAAATCTCCAGCTCATTGCTGGACATGGTTGCAGCATTTTTAAAGAGTAGGCATCCTGTGTTTTTTGTCTTATCTGGCTACAGGAGCAGTGATGCATAGCTGTGAGGGTATGGTAGAAGCCAGTTAGCATAAGGTGTGGTGGGGATAAAAGGGTGCTGGGCCCAACTCTGTATGATTTTTTTTCCCTGACAGCTTCCCCAGCCAGCAGATTGTTGCTGGATCAAGTGGGCATGAAAGAGAATGAAGACAAATATATGTGTGAGTCAAGTGGGTTCTACCCAGAGGCTATTAATATAACATGGGAGAAGCAGACCCAGAAGTTTCCCCATCCCATAGAGATTTCTGAGGATGTCATCACTGGTCCCACCATCAAGAATATGGATGGCACATTTAATGTCACTAGCTGCTTGAAGCTGAACTCCTCTCAGGAAGACCCTGGGACTGTCTACCAGTGTGTGGTACGGCATGCGTCCTTGCATACCCCCTTGAGGAGCAACTTTACCCTGACTGCTGCTCGGCACAGTCTTTCTGGTAAGGGTCTTTCTGGACATTTCTTCTCTTCCTTGCCTTGAGGGACTATAACATAAGACTTATTCCCACACAGCCTGGGTCTTAGCTGGGGACTGAAGGGGAAACAGAGAAAGCTTGGACTGGAAGGACCAAGCTGGAGTCTGGCCTAGCTCAGCCCCAGAGTCAGCAGTCCAGCCTAGGTCCCTACACCTGGGCAGATGATGGTCTTAGTAGGTGGAGAGTGGTGACTGTAGTCATCAGGTGGAGCAGGGCTATTTGTCAGCTCATGGCAGCTTCAGGGTTTTGGATGGTCCATATGGCTTGAAATAGGAAACCTGCCAGTTGCTAGGGGAATGGGGACAGTATCCTACCCGTGTTCCCTGAGGATAAGGGGCTATCAGGGGCCAGGGACCAGTCCTGCTAGCAGCCCTTCTAATAAGGCTCTAGGTCCACTGTAAACTGTTGGCTGGTAGAGGCTGACTCAGTAGTCTTGTCTTTTTTTTTTTTTTGAGATGGAGTTTCGCTCTTGTTGCCCAGGCTGGAGTGTAATGGCGTGATCTCAGCTCACCACAACCTCTACCTCCCGTGTTCAAGCGATTCTCCTGCCTCAGCCTCCTGAGTAGCTGGGACTACAGGCATGCACCACCACGCACGGCTGATTTTGTATTTTTAGTAAAGATGGGGTTTCTCTATGTTGGTCAGACTGGTCTCGAACTCCTGACCTCAGGTGATCCGCCCGCCTCAGCCTCCCAAAGTGCTGGGATTACAGGTATGAGCCACAGCACCCGGCCAGTAGTCTTGTCTTATGGGCTGTGTCCCAAGATGGGGAGGGCTACAGTAGAGTGGTTCTGCAAATGCTCAATGCCTTCCCCAGGCACACTGGATCCTTAAAACACAGTTCACGGCAGACCCACTCCTGCTGGTGGGCTGGGGCTTTTTGAGCTCATATGCCTTGGTCATAGCTCTGGTCTTGGGTGTGGGTGGCTCTGCTGGTAAAATGCATCTCCCTGGGGCTGAGAAGAGTAAGGAAGGCAGGGAGTGACTGGGGCACTGAGGAATGTGGTCAGGCAATGCCATATGGGGCCCAGGATGATCCTGGGGAGAGAGGAATTATTCTTGGAAGTTAGGACTAGGTGTGTGTGTGGGTGGCATGTGCAGGGATGCAGGGAGGGTATGTGTGTCCATGGGGAGTATGAAATGGAAATATACCTTGCATGTATGGTACGAGGGGTTGTCTATGTGGTATGCACATAGGGATAGAAGATGGTGTCGTATTACACAAGGTTTGAAGATGAGGGTAGCACAATTATGTGGTACGTGGTGTTCATCTTCCATATTTTTGGCAAGTGCTACATACACTGTTTGATGTATGGAGGTGTATGTGATAGGAATGGAGATGCTGAGACATGTGGCAGAGGGCTGGTGGTTAAATCTCTGACAAGGAGGATGACACAACCACACAGTTCCCAGCAGCAGTTGTGTGGTTTCTCTGGCCCTTGCCAGTAGGTTTCCTGCTAATGTTTTCCTTCTCTCTCTGCAGAAACTGAGAAGACAGATAATTTTTCCATTCATTGGTGGCCTATTTCATTCATTGGTGTTGGACTGGTTTTATTAATTGTTTTGATTCCTTGGAAAAAGGTAAGGGGCTCCAAAGCAAAGTTCAGCCCTGTGTCTTGGGCTAGTAAAAAGCTTTTAGAGCAGCTGCTGCCAACCTTACAAGCCTCAAGGGACAGGCCTGCTGGAAAGGACTTTGTCAGTCCCTCTTCACCATCAGGTGTTGGGAATGTTGGCTGTGTTCCAATCCAGTTTCCTATCACAGAGGACCTAGCTGTCACATACCATCTGACCTCTGTATGGTGGTTTGTGACTCTGGGGTGATGTGTTGTAAAGCCTCCCTCTCTTTCTCCATACTAAACAAGTATTATATCTCTGTGAATGAACCAGACTTTAGTGTTCAGACCAGGCCCTGAACTATGTGTGGACTGCTTGTTTTTCTCACACATTTAGAAACTATGGCTTAGAGAGGGGAATTCCTCATATTTTATCTGATCAATAACTGACCACCAGATCTCACTAGTTTGACTAAGAATTTCTAACCCTCACTAGGTATTTCTAAACTAAAACATGTTTCTAAACATTTTTATCCCTGACTATGGCCCAAATAGTAAATAAAACAGCTCAAGCTTTAGAGGCCCAAGAGACCTATGTAAATGTGTTGGTTAAAATAGTTTTAGATAATAAAAGGGCCCTCAATTATTTATGGGCCTGTCAAGGCAAAATCTGCACAACAGCCAGTACATCTCATTATAAATAATTTAGGAGAAGTGGAATAATCAGTCAATTAAGAAAAATGGCCCTTTATCTAAAGTTGGCCATTTAGATTCACGGGACTTATTCCTGTTGGATCTAGGCCATGAGAAAACTGGATAAAAAGTGGTTTTCAAATGTTTCTTGTGGTATTTGTGACTGTTGTCATATTTCTTGCCTTTCTCTGGTTCTGATATTCAGGTGCTATTGAGAGAGGAGGAAGGAAGAAACTAGTCAGGCAGGCAGTTAGGGTGGGCCCTCAGTCAAATTCCTTCAAACAAAAGAACAGCCTGAAAAATCAAACTGCAGATAAGGGAACTTGTACAGGGGGGCTTGCCTAAAACATGCCCACAGCCACATACATTAAAACAAGGCTACACAGGAGACTTGCCTAGACATGCTCACAATAGAAAATTCCATCCCCTGACACATGCACAGTAAGGGGAACAAAGCCACATGGAGTAACTCAAGCTAAGGGCTTGCATGCACACTACGAGGATGGGGTGGAGCTACCAGAAATGTGTGCCTTATGCCTTTGTATTCAGCTGTGAAATGGCAACCCTCTTTTGGGCCCCCTCTCTGCAGTGGAGTGCTTTCTTCTTTTGCTTATTAAACTTTCACTTCAACTTCATCTTTGGGGTCCGCGCTCCTTAATTTTCTTGGTCATGAGACAAAGAACTTCAGGTGATACCTTGGGCAATGAGAGACTGCTACATTGTGGTGCATTGACGAGACTAACATTTTGGTGCATTGGCCAGGAAACATTGGAAGGGTGAGTAGGAGCGGACCTCCAAACTCTTTACTTTCATTTCAGAGGCTTCTTGTCCTCAGATTTTTTCCTGAAGACTGAACAAAACACTGGGCCAGTTAAAAGCTTTTAGAGCGGCTGCCAACCTTATGAGACTTAAGATACAGGCTTGCTGGAGAGGACTTTGTCAGTCCCCCTTCACCCTCAGGTGTTGGGAATGTTGGCTCTGTTCTAATCCAGTTTCCTTTCACAGAGGACTTAGCTGTCACATGGGCTAGAAGGAGGTCCTGGGGCAACTGAAGGTTTCTGTTTGAGGCTACTCCTCAGTGTTACCTGAAGGTCCCTGGACTAACTCCAGCCCCCGACAGCCCGTCAGAATGTTGGCACCAGGACTTCCAGACTTTTCTATTGCATTTTCTTCCTTGCTTTTCGCAGCTACTATGTCTCCTATTCCTTCTTTGTATGCAATGTTGTGGGTGTCTTTATAGCCTGGGGAGATAATCCTGTTAAGCAAAGTCAGCAAGTGCCTTAGTAACGAGGAATGTAACTCAAATAATTGTTGTTTTTGTGATTTCCTTGAGACAGGGGGACTTCAAGATTTCAGCCTAAATTTTCACTTAGGGCCTTTTTGTCCCCCAGTGATAGACATTCATGGCACTCTATAGGGGGATGTTTCACCCCAAGTGAATACCCTTTTCTCCATCAGGTTGTTTTTCCTTCATGTAAGAGCTCAGCATTGCCCAATGAATTTAAGCATTCCCTCTATGAGACAAACTAGTTTTTTTTCTACTGGACAGCATATTATGGGGACAGCCTATTAAGCCCCAAACCTCCCTTTCTGACCTCTGCTTGGAAAGAATTTGTAGTCAGAGTTTTTTCCTAACATTTCAAACCCTATAGTGCTACCTAGTGGGATGGGATTTTTCTCTGTGAGAAGCCTTGTCAGCCCTTTGCCCAAAACCTCTAGTTCCCTGATTCCTTTCTCTCTTATGTCCCTCTTTCAGTGATCAGGCCCCATGCCCTATTTGTAAGCATAAAAACTCCTCTTTCAACAGCCAGGAAGAAGCTACCCTGGGAAGACATATTTTAGCCTCAGTGTTATCCCCATTGGAGGGAGAACAGCCATTCAATTTTTACATTCTTTTGAGGCATCTGTTCTGTACACAGCTACACTGGCATCTAAGTGAGAAAGGGATCTTGTGTTTAGAAATCAATCAGTCTCATTCTCTAGGAATTCATAACTTTGCCAGGGTGGTAGTAAGAGGATGTAAGGATAGAGTTAAGATGTTCCCTTCCTTAAAGGGTCTTGCCCCAATCCAACTACTGCACAATCTCTCCCATGGTTCTAGGGAATCTCAGGAGCCTTATGGGCCAAGTAGGTCTAGGAAACCAGCAGGGCAGAGAGCTAGGACCTTGTGCAGGTGAGCACAAGCTAGCTCCTCCGGATTCATGGGTGAAGGTCATGCTTTGATCCATGGGCAGCACCTATAATGGTCACCAGGAACCTGAGGAAATGGGAGGGAAGAGGAGAAGGGGGACGCCCCTTCCATTTTTCTCTCTGCTGTCGATCACTCCAGAAGGACAAAGGAGACTAAGGGATGCCTTTTCTCTCCTCTTTTTCTAGATATGTAACAAATCATCTTCAGCCTATACTCCTCTCAAGTGCATTCTGAAACACTGGAACTCCTTTGACACTCAGACTCTGAAGAAAGAGCACCTCATATTCTTTTGCACTCGGGCATGGCCGTCTTACCAGCTGCAGGATGGGGAGGCTTGGCCTCCTGAGGGAAGTGTTAATATTAATACTATTCAACAACTAGATGTTTTCTGCAGACAGGAGGGCAAATGGTCCGAGGTTCCTTATGTGCAAGCCTTCTTTGCCTTGCGAGACAACCCAGATCTTTGTCAGTGTTGTAGAATTGACCCTGCTCTCCTAACAGTTACATCAGGCAAGTCCATAGATGATAATTCCACAAAGTCTGAGAAACAAACCCCTAGGGAACACTCGGATGCAGTTCCGGATGCCCCAATCCTTCCTGTCTCCCCTATCTGGGAACCTCCTCCAGCCACAACATCAACAACTCCAGTTCTATCCTCCCAACCCCCAACTTTACTGTTACCCCTACAGTAAATGCCTGATGGACCTGGTGCCACTAGGGTCCAAGTTCCCTTTTCATTACAGGACCTTGGGCAAATAAGAGGGGACCTGGGCAAGTTCTCTGATGACCTGATAGATATATAGAGGCTTTCCAAAACCTAACTCAGGTGTTTGACCTTACTTGGGGTGATGTTATGTTGCTCTTAAACTCTTAACTACTACAGAGAAACAGGTAGCCCTGCAGGCAGCAGAAAAATTCAGAGATGAACAACATGTCTTCTATAGCCACTCAATAAGGAAAGAAGGTGAGAAACAACCAGCATTCACATACCCAATAGGAAGCGAGGCAGTGCCCCTTGAACAACATAATTCGGACCCCAGTGGTACCTTAGATGAGTGGCAAAGAAAACATTTTCAAATGTGCTTATTAGAGGGCCTACAGAGGACCAGAGCCAAGCCTCTTAATTACCCCAAACTCTCCATGATAGATCAAAAACTAGATGAAAATCCCTCAGCCTTTTTGGAAAGGCTGAGAGAGGCTGTAGTGAAACACACTTCCTTGTCTCCTGTTAGGTATGTTTATACCTCACATAAATAATTCAATTGAGGGACAGCTAATTTTGAAAGACAAGTTTATTACTCAGACAGCCCCTGATATCAGAAGGAAGCTAGAGAAACAGGCCATGGGATTAGATAGCACCTTACAAAACCTCCTGAAGGTAGCCACCTCGGTCTTTTATAATAGGGACCAGGAGGAGGCCCAGGGGAAGGAGAGGAAACACAAGAAAAAGGCAGAGACTCTGGTGGCCACTTTGTATAAAACCCAGTATCCCCAAGGTACACCTGCTAGTTGCTACCAATGTGGCAAACTAGGGCACTTCAAAAGGGACTGCCCAGGCAGCAAGAAGAAGCCACCTCAACCCTGTCCAGTATACAATGGGGACCACTGGAAGGCAGACTGTCCTGGGAAGCATAGGTCACTGAGTCCAGAGCCAGTCTCACAAATGGTCCAGCAGGACTGATGGGTCCTGGGGCTCAACTCCCTGGCTCCAGTGGCTCAGACTGCTGTTACTACCCGGGAGCACCAGGTGATTCTGGAGTTCGAAGGGAGGAAGGTAGACTTCTTTCTGGACACTGGAGCCAGGCTTCTGTTTTCCTCTCCAATTCAGGCCTTCGTTCCTCCCATAGCACAACCATGATGGGCATCTCAGGAAAGACTTTAACTTGATATTTTTCTCAACCTATTAGTTGCAGTCAGAGGGACCTACTGTTTACACAGGCCTTTTTAGTCATGCCTGAAAGTCCCACTCCTTTATTAGATAGAGATATTCCAGCACGTATGGGGGCCACCATCCTTATGGCTCCAGGACAAACTCCGCCTCCCCTTAGTGGAAACCAGTATTAACCCAGAGGTTTGGGCAACTCAGGGAAGAAGTGGCCGGACTATAACCACTATACCAGTCTGGATCCACCTCAAGGATCCCACTTTTTTTCCTAACCAGAGACAATACCCTCTGAAGCCAGAAAGTAGAAAAGGGCTAGACGCCAGCATTGATAACCTAAAGGCACAAGGCCTCCTTAGGCCTTGCAGTAGCCCTTGAAACACCCCAATATTAGGGGTGCAAAAATCCAATGGGGAAGGGAGACTAGTTCAGGACCTCTGCCTTATTCATGAGGCTGTGATTACGATTCATCCAGTAGATCCCAGTCCCTATACTTTGCTAACTCAAATATCCAAGGGAACTAAATGGTTCACAGTTCTGGGCCTAAAGGATGCCTTTTTCTGTATACCTTTATACCCTGACTCCCAATACTTGTTTACCTTTGAAGACCCCTCCAATCAAACCACCCAGTTAACCTGGACTGTACTGCCTCAGGGATTTAGAGATAGCCCCCACCTATTTGGGCAAGTATTGTCAAGAGATCTCTTCGAATTCTTCCATTCTCAGGTTAAAGTTTTACAATATGTAGATGACATTCTCCTCTGTGCCCCAACTGAGGAAGTTTCTTGAGACGGCACTGAGGCTCTCCTTAATTTCCTAGCTGGAAAGGGATATAAGGCTTCAAAATCTAAGGCTCAGCTCTATCAGACTTTGGTAAAGTACCTAGGTCTGGTCTTGTCAGAAGGGAACAAGAGCACTAGGCGAGGAGAGGATTAATCCCATTTCCTCCCTTCCTCTCCCCAGAACCCTCAAGCAGCTGAGGGATGCTTGGGCATTACAGGTTTTTGTAGGTTATAGATACCCAGGTATGATAAAATAGGTTGCCCTTTATATCACCTTATAAAAGAAATTCAAGTGGCTAAAACTCACTTCCTGACCTGGGAACCTGAAGGTCAAAAGGCCATTAATCAGTTAAAACAAGCCTTGCTTAAAGCACCAGCCCCCAGTCTTTCTGTAGGGAAGTCCTTTAATCTTTATGTATCATAAAGGAAAGGAATGACCCTGGGAGTTTTAATTCAAGTTCAAGGCCCAGCTCAACAGCCAGTAGGTTACTTAAGTAGAGAGCTTGACTTGGAGGCTAAAGGATGGCCAGCTTGCCTCTGAGCAGTTACAGTAGTGGCCCTGCTAGTCCCAGAGGCCACCAAGTTAACCCTGGGGAATAACCTGTTTATGCCTCACATAAATAATGTGGCAGGCTTGCTGTCCTCTAAAGCGAGTCTCTGGCTAACAGACAGCTGCCTCCTCAAGTATCAGACTTTGCTGCTAGAGGAATCTGCAGTCCAGTTAAAAACCTGACCTTGCCTGATCCCAGACACTTTCCTCCCAGAGGAAACTGGAGAAACTGAACATAATTGTGAACAGACTGTAGTACAACCTATGCCGCTAGGGAGGATCTCAAAGAAATTCCCCTAGAAAATCCAGACTGGACCCACTTTATGGATGGGAGCTCTTTTGTAGGACAGGGAGTCTGAAAAGTGGGATATGCAGTAGTCACCCTAAATAACATTGAAAATGTGCCTCTCTCACCAGGCACACACACTCAATCAGTTGAGCTGATCCCTCTCACAAGAGCACTTGAACTAAGCAAAGGAAAGACAGCTAACATTTATACTGACTCCAAGTGTACCTTTCTAGTTCTCCTTGCCCATGCTGCCATCTGAAAGGAAAGGCACTTCCTCACCGCTAATGGGTCTTGCATTAAATACCATCAAGACATCAACAGGCTATTATCCTCAGTGTTCCTCCCATGAGAATTAGTGGTCAGACATTGCAGAGGGCATCAGAAGCGGGTAGATGAAATAGCGAAAGGAAACAGGCTAGCAGACCAAAGAGCTAAGTCAGCAGTAAGAAGGCCCCAAGGTCCCAAAACACTTGAGGCCCCTCTGATTTGGGAGGGCTACATAAGGGAAATAAAGCCTCAGTATTCCCCTACAGAGATAGAATGGGCCACCTCTCGAGGTATACTTTTCAACCCTCAGGATGGTTACAATCAGAAGATTGCAAAGTACGCTTGCCAGCCTCCAGCCAATGGAAGATTCTTAAAATCCTCCACTGAGCCTTTCACTTAGGAAAGCATAAGACATCAGTGCATCCAAAGATTGTTCTCAGGAGAAAATCTACTAAAAATGGTCAAATAGGTTGTTAATACTCGTGAAACCCTCTTAAAAATAATCCCTTTAACAGATGACTTCTTCCCCACCACAATCAAAGGATGGGAAGTTACTCAGGGGAGGACTGGCAGATAGACTTCACCCATATGCCCAAAATAAATGGCATTCAATGTCTTTTGGTGTGGGTGCATACCTTCATTAACTGGGTAGAGGCATTCCCATGCCCAACAGAAAAGGCCTCTGAGGTGGTGAGAATACTAATTAGTTAAATAATTCCTCACTTTGGGCTCCCTAAGTACTTCCAAAACAACAATGGTCCCTCATTTAAAGAAGCCTCTACCCAGTAGGGCCGAGTCTGCTAGGACTTTTTATTGGGTTTGGTAATACGTCACACCCTTTAGCCTCTACTGTGTCAGCCATGTCCCATTTATACAAGACAAATTGCTGGGTCTGTCCTGAGCGGTTTGCTCAGTTCAGTAACACTAAGGAACCTCTTGATGACTTGGTATTTACTGTCTTAGCATTCCCTTTGTTAGCTTTACCTTTAGCCATTAAAGACTTGTCAGGCATAAATGGAACATGGTATGGGAACACTTTCAACTGAGTAACTAACTCCTCCCAGGAAAGCATTTCCTCCCTGGTGCCAGAAAACACTTTCCCCAAAGATAAGCCTCACACCCTCAGGCTAGGAAAAGTTGGCCGGGTAATAGCAAATGCCTCCTCCTGTTTTAAAAGCAGAGGAAAAGGACCATACCTGGGAGATCTCAAATATTATAACACCATACTTGTAATTGCTGAAAGCTCGGAAGTTTGGAGAAAAAGACATAAGAAGGATGATCTAAGAAAATTGGAAGCCATATGGAGGGGAGGCTTTCAGAATTCAGCGTCTCCTCCTGGTTGAAAGTCCTGCTGGGAATGGCAGGCTCTGGGTAACCACCCTGACACATGGCACTATAATGTAAAAAACAACACATAGGCCTTCCCAGACATGCACCCTCATGGGATTCCAGACCCCCTGTATGATGCTTAGTAGTAGTGGCCTACAAATCTGTGGGTGAACAGAACAGGAGACTTCTGGACTGACAGCCCCTGTCACAAGGGGGCATTATCTGAGATATTGGCCAGGGCATATCGTGTCCCTGGTCTTTTGAAACTCCATTTGTCGGCCAGGTGTGGTGGCTTACGACTGTAATCCCAGCACTTTGGGAGGCTGAGGCAGGTAGATGATGAGGTCAGGAGTTCAAGACTAGCCTGGACAATATGGTGAAACCCCGTCTGTACTAATAATACAAAAAAAAAAAAAAAAAAAGCCAGGCGTGGTGGTGCATGCCTGTAGTCCCAGCTACTCGGGAGGCTGAGGCAGGAGAATTGCGTGAACCCGGGAAGCAGAAGTTGCAGAAAGCCAAGATTGTGCCACTGCACTCTAGCCTGGGCAACAGAGTAAGTCTCCATCTCAAAAAACAAACAAACAAACAAAACTCAATTTATCAGGTGGACCTTTCTCATTTAGCATGTAAAATTCCAAATGGCATCGTGAGTGACTATCCTGAGTATAGATATCCCCATCCCAAAGATGTTCCTATTACATGCAGGAGGGGGAAGCTTCTAAGATATGAGAAAGATCTGCCTGTGTCTCTCACAAGCTACAACTTAGAACTGGCCCTTCAGGGGACAGGGCTTTATTTCCTTTGTGGCTCCTGGCTACACTTAATCCTCCCTAGGCACTGGAAGGGAACCTGCACTATCGTGGCAGTGGTTCCTGACCTGTTATCTTTAAATTCCACTGATATGGCAGCATCATCTGGGGACATCCCTAGCCTAGCGTCTTTTCTAGTGAGTGTGCTATCTCAGATGCGCTGAACAAAGAGGTCTATCATTTCCATGCCCTCATATGGAGACTTAACTGAAAGAGAAGATTGGGTAGGACCTGCACATGACAATCCTATCTCAGAAAAACCATGGATAGGGGATTCTATAGTCAGAGGCCTATTCTGGTTTGCTGGTATTCCTCTCCTTGAAAAATCAGTACTTAATATTTCTATTATGATGCCACAAGGGTAGAAGCTAACAGTAGGAGCCATAGAAGCACAACAACAATTCATAAACTCTTTAGCCTCAGTAGTTATGCAAAATAGACAGGCCCTAGATATCCTTATGGCCAAAGTAGGGGGTACCTGTGCACTTTTAAAAAGAAGCATGTCACTTCTAGATCAATACCTCTAGTCAAGTAGAAGAGAATGTACAGGTGCTTAAAGATCAAATTAGAACATTGACAGATTAAGAGAGAATGCGGGCTCCAGTCCCAGTTGGCTACAATCCCTCTTAAATGGATTCCAGTCTTCTTTGTGGAACTGGTTAGCTCCTTTATTAGGCCCCCTTTTGCTCGTGTGTTTTGTACTAATGTTTGGACTTTGTATATTCAATACTGTAACTCAAATTGTTTCCTCTCACTTAGAGGCTATTAAACTCCAAATGGTGCTGCAGATAGAACCACACATAGACACGCCATTCTTCTGGGGACCCTTAGACCAATCTCAGGAGGAGCCCTAACTGCTGTAACCCCAACGACGCCCCCTTCCAGCAGGAAGCAGCCAGGAGTGGTCATCGTCCACTTTCCCCAACAGCAGTTGGGGTCTCCACTCCTGAAGCAGGGAATGAGAAAGGAGGAAGGAAGAAACCAGTCAGACAGGCAGTTAGGGTGGGTCCTCGGTAAAATTCTTCCAAACAAAAGAACAGCTTGAAAAATCAAACTGCAGGCACAGAGAAGAGAACTTGTACAGGGAGGCTTGCCTTAGACATGTCCACAGCTGCCTAGGTAAGAAAGACTACACAGGAGACTTGCCCAGAGATGCCCACAATGGAAAATTCCATTCCCTGAGACATGCGCAGTAAGGGGAACAAAGCCATATGGAGTAACTCAAGCTAAGGGCCTGCATGCACACTGGGAGGATAGGGTAGAACTACCAGAAATTCATGCTTTATGCAAATGAGATGCCCAGCACTCATCAATTTCTTACAAAAGCCTCTGTATTCAACTGTGAAATGGCGACACTCTTTTGGGCCCCCTCTTGGCAGTGGGGAGCTTTCTTTTTTCACTTTTTAAATTTTTGCTCCAACCTCACCTTTGGGGTCCATGCTCCTTAATTTTCTTGGTTATGAGACAAAGAACTTCAGGTGATACCTTGGGCAATGAGAGACTGCTACATTGTGGTGCATTGGTGAGACTGTAAAACTATCAGTTTATTGCTGATAACCCCAACATCAGCAATGATGCTTATGGAAAAAGAAAACAAACCCTTTATGATCAGCTGGATCCTTTAGTTGTTTGCAAAGATGACTCCAATCCTACACCCTTCCCTGAATCCATGTCCATTGCTGTGTAACTTTGTAGTGCCTCTAACTGTGTGACCTCTTTCAGCCAACTTAAGAAGACAGCAGTGAAGGCGTGCCAGTTCCAAGTGTAAGCCCCAAGAGGTCTTGTGTGTCTTCATTTGCTTCCTCGTGTGCTTCTAATGGTGCTGGGAGAAGAACAGGTCGAGACTAGCCTGCTGGAGGATGAGAGATGCTGGCTACCACATCCTTGTTGCTCCAGTGGAGGCCAGGCTAGATTAGATGACAGCCACCTGACTCCATGTGAGCAAATCTGAGATCAGCAGAGCTGGCAGAGCCAACTCTCAAATACTTGGAAAATACTTTTAATATGTAAAACATTTTAAATATTACATTAATATTTAAAATGTTTTTTAAAGCCACTGTTTTATACTGGCTTTGTTACACAGCATAAGCTAAGTGCTACAACTCCTCAGGAAGCTGAGCTTTGACCAAAAGAAGTGTGGTAGCCACAGAGATGTGTCTGAGACCCCCTTCGAGAGAGAGCCTGTGTGAGGAGTGCAGTCAGCTGATGGGCTCCAGCTACAGATCTCAGGGATCTGCATCAGTGTTCCAGCTGGTGCCATGCTCTCCCCAGACTGCTTCTGCCACTGACTGAGCAAGGCAGGAGCTCCGTGTTGGGAGCTGATGCTGGAATACTGAACTATATCCCGAGATCTCCAGCTGCTGATCTCGGGGATCTGGGGTGGCCAAGACTTTCTCAGAGTGTATATTAGGTGCTAGAATAACATCATTTTATTTGATGTCATTTTGTTATCACATTGATGAAAAAAAATTCAGTTCCCAACCTGAGCCACTGTCTGTGTGGAGTTTGCATGTTCTGCATGGGTTTTCATCAGGTACTCTGGTTTCCTCCCACATCGCAAAAATGAGCACTTCCAGTAAATTGGGGTGTCTAGATGGTGCCACAGTGAGTGAGGGTGTGGGTGTGAGCATGCCCTACAGCCAGATACCATCCTCTCCAGGGTTGATGCCCACTTAGTGCTCTGAGCCACTGGGATAGGCTCTGGCCACCCACAACTCTGAACTGGAATCATTGGGTGAGTAATTATTATTTGTTTTTAGTAATTTTTTTTTTTTTGAGACAAAGTCTCACTCTGTCACCCAGGCCAGAGTGCAGTGGCACAATCTTGGCTTACTGCAACCTCCACCTCCTGGGCTCAAGCGATACTCCCACCTCAGTTTCCTGAGTAGCTGGGACTACAGGCGCATGTCACCATGCCTGTCTAATTTTTTGTTGTTGTTGTTGTTGCGATAAGGTCTCGCTGTATTGTCCAGGCTGGTCTCAAACTCCTGAGCTCAAGCTATCCTCCTGCCTTGGGCTCCCAAAGTGCTAGGATTACAGGCATGAGCCACTGTGCCTGGCCTAGTATTGGTCATTAGTATTAGTAATCATTCCTAAATGTATATGTAAACATTTATTTCAGTGTTAAATATTGAAGTGTTTGGTCTTTATTTAGAAGTTTGATGTTGTGTTTTATGACCAGAAATATGCTGTGAACTTAATTCTTTCTTATAGCAGTTAGCCTATGGGAAAATTGGTTTTGTTCTACATTATTTTATTTAAAGTCATAATTTCCAAGATCCTATCAACTCCATTAAGTGAGGACTTACTGTACTGTAGCCTGAGGCTCATCTTAGTCTTCCCTCATCCCCCCTGCCTTTCCTTCACAGTCAGCCTGCATGGTGGTCTGAGGCCTTCCCCCCTACAGCCTCTCCCCTTTATCTTTCACGGTAATCACCCCTCATTACTCGTACTTCTAACTCCATCTTGAAAGCTGCTTCCTGGAAGATCCAAACGGACACAAGGAGGGACTGAAGGATTAGAATGAGGGAAGTAACCCATGCACTGCTTATTTGAGATGGGGAACCGAAGGACTTTGGCAGTTCCTACACAGAGACAGATGGCAGAGATGACAAGGTTTCTCAGAGAATGCGTGAGTAACTGGAATGGCTTTTCCTGATGACCCAGACAGCCTGCTCAAGAGCACACTGTTGCAGCTGCCCTCCTTGGATGGAACTATGGAATGATTTTTATTCTTCTACTTCCCAGGTGAATGGGAAACCAAGGACACAGTCAGCATTTAACAAAAAGGAATCTGCATCTCAGTCAGAACTGTATTGCATTTGCTTCTCTCTGGATTACCTTGAAGTTACTCCCCTTCCCTCAATAATAATGGCATTATGAAAAAAATTGGAATTGATCAAATGAAGTAAAGAGTAAACAGAGGAAAGACTACCCAAAGTCTGTTTTGCTTCAGTTCGGGGCTGATGATCTGGGGAGGAGGAGGTTGGGACATATTTGTGCTGCAAGGAACAATATTGTTTCATGCAGGGGAGGTGCATGACTAACAAAAGGGTTAACTGGATCCTATAAGCTATAGACAGCTTCTAGGCAGTGCCAACCTGTGCTGCATACCTGAACATTGTTGCTTCCCCCACGGAAGGTAATAAGCTGTGGAGCTGCACAGGCATTTTGTATTACTCGTTTCACTCATTGGCCTTGGTGCCTGCCAGAAATTGAGGTCGGGGGAAAGGCAGAAGTTCACACTCCTGGACCCAGTTTGGCCAGTCCAGGCAGCCTGCTCTTCACATCACTCCAGAGTTGGACCTGCCCAGAGTGGAACTAGAATAGGGTGTGGGTAGCACCTGCTTCCCCTCCCATAGATTAGTGCCCTAGACGGGTAGCTCTGGCAGAGGGGCTGCCAATAACCCAGAATCCAGCACAACGAAAGGCACTTCTGGCCCAGCTCTGACTAACCCCACTGTTCTTCCTTTCCCCAGCTTCTTTCAAGCTGGAATCAATCTGTTGTTCTTCGGACCTGAGGTCAACATGACTTTGATGAACGGAATTCATGTCTTCTTGCTAAAGTTATCTGGACACTTGGTACAACACAGAGTGTCTGATATCTGGGCCTGGGGAGACCTCAGAGGCCCTGGGGAGCCCAGAGACTTGTGGAGTGTCAGGGCAGCTCTCCTGCTGTGAATGCAAGCTCCCTGGGAAAGTTCTCCCTAGAAAAAGATGTGGGGGAGGAGCTCAGGTGAAGGACAGAGCCTCCTGCCCGTGGAGAGAAAGTGGGCCCTGGAGAAGCTGCATGAGTCCTCTCCAGCAGAAGGGCCAGAGGTGCACATTAGTGGGGCTCGGGTGGGTCTCATGGTGACATTGGCTGGAGATGCCAAATCCACAGGCGTTAGGCCTGGGCAGGTTCTAGTGTGCGAGTGGGCTAGTTTTTCTAGACTAGCACACAGGAAGAGGGTGGCCTGGCTTGCCTTCCCTCTGAAGCTCAGGACTGAGGCCCAGGACATGTCTCACACCATTGATATGAGTTGGGGACAGATGGGTGGCAGATGTGCCCAATCAGGCTGCATTGACACCTGACTGGCTGGAAGAAGAGCCTGTAAAGCAAAGAGCCCAGTCTTCCTGTAAGAAGGAAGAAGATGGAGGGCTCATCATGCACGTGGGCCAGAAAAAGTGCCAGTGAGGTTGTTCTGACTCCATAGGTGTTCTGGACATAATCTAGGCTGTCACAAAACAGCCAAGCCTGCTGCCAGTTTCCAATCTGGGATCTCAGGGAGGCCCAGGGGCTTGCTGAGTTCCACCTTCCCTCTTTCCCTTGGTTTGGAGACAACTTTCTCCCTGTGGTGAATGTGACACTTAGAACAAGGTGCAGCCCTACTAAAAGCTGGAGCTTAGGTCACTGGGACTGTGTGCTAGGGGAAAGAGGGGGAGGGAAGAGCAGGGCTGTGGCATTAGACAGACTTTGGCTGAAATCTTGGACCTGCCTCCTACTAGCTGTGAGATCTTAGCAAATTACTTCCTGCTATAGGCTAAATGTCTGTGTCCCCCTAAAATGCACATGTTAAATCCTGATGCCCAAGGTGATGGTATTTGGAAGCGGGGCCTTTGGGAGGTGATGAGGGTGGAATCCTCATGAATGGGATTAGTACCCTTATGTAACAAGGCCCCAGAGAGCTCCCTCACACCTTCCACCATGTAAGATTACAGGGGAAAGACAGGCCCTTCAGCAGACACTGAATCCACTGGCACCTTGATCTTGGACTTCCTAGCCTCCAGACTGTGAGTAATAAATGTCTATTGTTTATAAGCCACCCAGTCTATGGTATTTTGTTATAGAAGCCTGAATGGTCTAAGACACCACCCTTTCTGACCCTGTGTCCTCATCTACAAACTCAAAGAAGAACAGTGCTTCTCTCATAGTCCTGCTGGGCCACAGTGATACATGGTACTTCCCTTCTCCTTTTCAGGGGCCCTGGAGTTGAGACAGCTCTGCACATAGCGTGTGGATGGGCCAGACTGCTTCCTCTGCTGTCACATGATGACTAAGGGATGCAATCCTGGAGGCAGAATATCACAAACAAAATTATCACAGAAGTTCCTGCTGGGCTGAGTAGTGCTCAGGTGAACTTCTTTGTCCAGTTGAGGCCAGTGCCATAGAGAAAGGGTGCCCCCAGATGGAGGTAGCACCATCAGTGGGCAAGAACACCTTCGCGGAGGAGGGAGGCTTGGTCGAACTGCCTCTCTATGCCTGGAGCTTTCCAGCCCCTCCCTGGGTTATGCCTTAAGGCTGGGGGTCTCCCTCAGAGTTGGTGGAAAACCTAGGACCAGTGGTCCTGATTTTTCTCTGCCGAAGTAAGTCTTCTCTGTGGCCAGCAGGTGGCGCTAAGCCCTCAGTTCTGTGGGCTTCACACTCACCAGCAGCTTAAGGTCCCTGAGGGGTGGAGGAAGGTTACTCTGGTTTGGGCTCCAAGGATGGTACTGCCAGCAGGTCCTTAGTGAGTCTGGCCTTTCTCCTTGGCCTTAATGGCAGCCAAGCTGAGTCGCAAGAGCCAGCCTCCTAGGATCCTGGGCTGACTCTGAGTAGCTTTCACCCCTTCACCCTCAAAACCAGAAATGGGTCAGCTCTGCAAGGAAGGGAATCAGCGCTGGGGACTGCATGGGTGCTGGGAGAGGGCAGCTTAGAGCTCAGACCAGCAGCGGCAACTTCCTGGCCCCTTGGCCCTGCCTCTGGAGCCGCCTGAGACAGACCCTCACTGATGCCCTGTCTGCAGGCCTCACACTGTAGCAATAACCCTGGCTTTTTGTCCTGTACGCCATCCATCCGTTATTCATTCATTCATTTGTTCATTCATGTAGCACCTACTCCATGTAAGCCAGCCACAGTGCTGAGTCACAGTCCCTGACCTCAGGAAGCCATGGACTTGTGGATGGGGAGACAGACCCCTAAACGTAGGCAAAAGGAGAATGCCCACAGCACAGCAGAGGGAAGGGACCTTCCTTTTCCAGAGAAATCAGGGAAGGTTTCGAGGAGGCATCACTCAGCCTGGATTTTTATGGATTTCAACAGACAGAGATGAGGCCTGGGCAGTCCAGGCCAAGGGAGTAACATAAGCAAGGTCTGGGAGGTAGGAAGCTCAACATTATGTGTCAGGAGGGATAGGACAGCGAGGTACCTAGGGAAGTGGGTGGGCAAGTGCAGACTCCTGGCAAGAAAACAGTGGGCCATAAGGCCGGAGAGGCAGTCACAGCCTGAAATGGCTGCTAAGAAGCTAGCCTTGACCCAGAGGTGATGGGGAACTACCGAAGGTATTTCATGATGAGGGTGGGGGGTGACCCACCCTTCTAAGACCACCCTGGAGGCTGTGTGGCAGATGGACTACAGTGGGTGAGATGGAGACAAGGGGACCAGGTCACAGGCATTGCCACAGCCCCTAAAATCGTGGTCTCAGCTAGGAGGGGACACCGTGTGGAAAGAAAGACCTGGCAAAGAAACATGACCAAGGGCAAAATAAAAGCACCGTCTCTCTTTAACACTTGTTTGGCCGTTTCCTCAGCATGTAGCTGATTCAGCAGCAATCACAATAGTTAACATTTATTGAGCACTTACTGTAGACCAGGCACTTCAGCATTTTACATATTTTTCATTTACTTCCAAAACAATTCTATGAGGTAGGTACTATTAGCATCCATGTTATAGAAGAGGCAACTGAGACACAGAGAGGCTAAGTTACTTGACAAAAGTCATACAGCTAGAGCCAGGATTCGAACCCAGGCAGTTGGCTCGAGAGTTAGTGCTCCAATTACTACACTAATGCCTATGACACCTCTATACCTCTCCCTGGGCACTCCAGCCTTCCAGCAGGTCCCTGGGAGTAGAGACAGAGCCCAGGGCTGCAAAGCCTGGTGAGTGCCCAAAGGCTGAGTTGGCCAGACAGGCTGACAGGGCTGGGCCACCTGAGACAGGAGAGGGGAAAGTCCCCCTGAACTGGTGGAAGAGGTGCCAGCCTTCCGTCCCTCCCCTGCCCTCCCCGCTAGGGTCTATGGCGCCTCTTGAAGGGGGTGGCAGCTGCCAGTCCCTGCCTCCCTTCCCACCAGCATGCTTGCTGCCTCCCCAGCAAGAAAAGCCCAGAGTTTAGGTCATGAGGGGGAGGCTTTATTGACAACGGAGAAGGCAGAGTTCTAGGCAAGTTCACACAACACTGCTCCAAGGGTCCAGGCACGGGTCAAACCCGTCAGGACCAAGGGCCTCTTCACCTCAGGGACCTCAGTCCCTCCCACCATCCTGAACCTTCCCACACCTTTTCCAGCAACCCAAAGATATCCACCCCCAAGCCACCTTCTGGACAAAGTGAGTGGCAGCCACTGTTGTGGAGCCAGGACCAGAGTTGGGTCTGAGGCCTAATCATGTGTGGTGGGCACAGTACCCCCTCTCCTCAGCCTCTGGGGACAGGCAGGAGGTAGGCAGGGGCAGCAGCCCCAGCCCACAGAGCCCTCACTGCACGAGGCCGATGTGGCAAAAGGCAGGAGCCCTGGCATCTCCTCCTCCCTGTGCCTGAGCGGGGCTCTACAAAGCCGAGCCTCCTCAGGTCACCTTCCCCTGCTTCCTCCCCTTCCAGACCTGAAACTGGCCCTCGGAGGGGAGCCCTGTCAGCCCCAGGCTGTCCCTGCCGGTGTAGGCTCCACAGCACCAACCCTCCAGCGGGAACACCCTCTCTCATCAACTGCCCTCCCTGCTGGCCAGGCCCAGCCCTTAGCCAGGTGCTTTTTCAGGGACCAAGTAGAGCTGGGGCCTGACCACAGGCACTTCTTGGAGCCACAGACGCAAAGCAGCAGCCCTCGGGGATTGTTCTTCCCCAGCCACCGGCCCAGAGTGTGGCTGGTCAATCGTGGGGACCCAGGACTGGCTGGACGCACAGCTCTAGGGCCCAGTACCTCCCACAGCCTCTGCAGCCTTGGGCGGGGGAGAGGGGTGAGCCAGTCCTGAATTGGGTTGGGAGGAGCAGGGACAAAAATAACCCAGTACAGGTTCCTGCTGAGGCCAGAAATAGCATAGTGACAAGTGCCTTGTAACACCCTGGATGAGCAGCAGGGGGAGGCTGAGCTGAGGCTGGCCCAGCCTCACACCAGGCCCTGGCCGGGCTACATACCACATGGTCCGTGTGTACACACGCGTGTGGGGGGCCCGAGAGACCATGGCTCAGGACAGGGAATCTGGAGAGATGCTGAACTTGGGCTTGGCCTTGGCCATGGGCACGCTGCGCTTGCGCAGGGGCCCGCGGGCTGAGGCGAGGGTCAGAGCTTCCAGTAGGCTGTGGTCCTCATCAAGCTGGCGGGCCGTGCAGAGTGGTGTGGGCACTTTGACGGTGTTGCCAAACTTGGAGTAGTCCACAGAGTAACGTCCGTCCTCCTCAGCTACAATGGGCACAAAGCGCTGGCCCCACAGGATCTCATCGGCCAGGTAGGAGGTGCGGGCCTGGGTGGTGATGCCCGTGGTTTCCACCACGCCTTCCAGGATGACGATGATCTCGAGGTCCTGGTGGTGGTGCAGGTCGCTGGGTGCCAGGTCGTAGAGTGGGCTGTTGGCATCAATGACATGGTAGATGATCAGCGGGGCCACCAGGAAGATGCTGTTGCCACCCACGCCGTTCTCCATGGGGATGTCCACCTGGTGGAGGGGCACCACCTCGCCCTCGGGGCTGGTGGTCTTGCGTACCACCTGCATGTGGATGGTGGCGCTGATGATCATGCTCTTGCGGAGGTCACCCACACGTAGCATGAAGCAGAGGCGGCCGTGGCGCAGGGCGATCACCGCATGCTTGCTGAAGATGAGGGTCTCAGCCCTGCGGTGGGCTTGGGCAGTCTTCATGAAGATGCAGCCAAGCATGATGGCGTTGATCATGAGCCCCACGATGTTCTGCACGATGAGGATCAGGATGGCCAGTGGGCACTCCTCAGTCACCATGCGCCCCCCAAAGCCAATAGTCACTTGGACCTCAATGGAGAAAAGGAAGGCAGACGAGAAGGAGTGGATGCTGGTGACACAGGGCTCAGCAGTGCCCTCGCTGGGGGCCAGGTCACCGTGGGCGAAGGCGATGAGCCACCAGGCCATGGCGAAGAGCAGCCAGCTGCACAGGAAGGACATGGTGAAGATGAGCAATGTGTGTGGCCACTTGAGGTCCACCAGCGTGGTGAACACGTCCTGCAGGAAGCGGCCCTGCTCCCGGATGTTCTTGTGGGCCACGTTGCAGTTGCCTTTCTTGGACACAAAGCGGGCCCTCCGCTGGCGGGCACGGTACCTGGGCTTGGCAGGGTCCTCTGCCAGGCGTGTCAGCACGTATTCCTCGGGGATGATGCCCTTGCGGGACAGCATGGCTCCGGTGACCCCCAGGGAGGGGCTTCCCCCATCGGAGGCACCCCTCGGACGTGGCCTAGGGCCTCACTGCAGAGTCCTCTCGGTGGGCACCTTCTCACCCTGGGGCTGCACTCAGCCTGTGCTGGCCTCACTTCTGAGATAACTCCCCACCAGACTCTTCCTTACCTCCACCTGGGTCCCACTTCACTTCTTAATACCAGCCTCAGGCCGGGCGCGGTGGCTCACGCCTGTAATCCCAGTACGTTGGGAGGCTGAGGAGGGCAGATCACTAGGTCAGGAGTTCGAGACCAGCCTGACCAACATGGTGAAACCCCATCTCTACTAAAAATACAAAAGTTAGCCGGGCATGGTGGTGCGCACCTGTAATCCCAGCTACTCAGGAAGCTGAGGCAGGAGAATCGCTTGAACCCGAGAGGCGGAGGTTGCAGTGAGCCAAGATCACGCCACTGCACTCCAGCCTGGGCGACAGAGCGAGACTCCGTCTCAAAAACAAAAAACAAAACAAAAAAAACAGCCTCACCCTTGAGCCCACCTGCCTGGCGCCTAGGGAGCCCCCAACCCTGCCGGCTCTCCACCTGGCCCTGCGTCCTCCCCCAGCTTCCCCCACCAGCTGACCACCCCTGGGCCTCCCGCTAAGAGCCCTTCTCCCCGCCCAGCCTGCCTTCCCAGCCCAGCTCAGAACTTAACACCTCCGGATCTCTCCCACTAACCGGACCTCACCCCCACCTCCGGGTCTCCCGCCTCACCTGTCTGGCCTTCGGGCTCCCAGGCTCCAGCTCAGGTCCTGGCCACCCCCGCCCCGTCTCTCCTCCAGGTGCGCCCCCTATGTCCTACTCCACCCCTCCCGGAGCGCCCCCGCCGCTTTCCGGATCCCCCTCCAGCTCTCGTCCTCTCTGTCTCCTTGGGATCCTGCGTTCTCTGGAGTCACCACCCCACCCGGCTCAACCGCGGCTCCCCGGACCTGCGCGCGACCCGGCGGGGCTGACTCCGAGTCGCGGCCTCCCGGTCCCTGCCGCCCGCCCGCGCCGCGGCTCCCGCTCCGCGCCGGGTCCCGGCCCCGCCCGCCGCCGCCGCTGCACCTGCTCCTGCTCCTCACGCCACGGCCGTCGCCTCCCCGCCCCCTCCCGCCGCCCGGGCGCTCGCGGCTGGCCGTCCTCCCGTCTGTCTGTCCGTCCGTGGGTCCGCGGAGACCGACCTGGGCTAGGCAGGGGTCTAGGACGGCGGGAGGGGGGCGCACGAGGAGAGGAACGGGGCCGGGGACCGCCAGGGGGAGCCCGACCTGCACCGGAGCGCAGGGGGCGGGGCCGGAGCAAGCCCCCGCCCCTCCCGCGCCCCTCCCCGCCCCCGCCCTCCACCTCCCCTCCCGGGACTCACAACCCGGCCTTTGGAGTTTTTCTGATCCGCGGAACCCAGAGGTTCCTCCTGCCCACGCTCTACGAAAGTGGGGGGCTGGGAGGGATCTGTGACCCGCCCTCCCAGTCTGGGGCCGCCGCCCTGTCGCCCTGGCTCCCCTCCCCCAATATCCCCATCCGTATTTGGGTCAGTAATCCGCCTCTCGGCCGCGCCAGGTTTGCAGGTTCCCCGGGAAAGGAGGCGCTGAGAGGCGGCGCCACCAATCCCAGGGCTGGCGGAAATTAGGCGGTCCGAGGACTTCTCAACCTGCAGCTGCTTCTCTTTGGGGGATGCTCTTAATCTTAGTCTTGAATCCTTTGACAATCTGATGGAAGCTCAGACTCCCTCTCATTAAAAAAAAAAAAAAAAAAAAAAAAAAAAAAGGCCTCGGCAGGAAAGGAGCACAGTTTAACACCTGCTACTGCTGTGGGGCAGCCTGGGCGGCTCCATCTTCTCAGCCATTCCGGCCCTACTTTAAAGAAGGTTTGAGCCGAGGCCACTTGCTTTACACTTTCTCACACCTGTCACCTGACTTCTTCCACGTTAGGTCATGGGTGGTATTTAGGCCTGAACAGTGTGTTAGGGCTGCCTCGGGCACTGGGGGACCCAGGCTCTTGGTCCCGGCATGGTGGTGTTTCTGTTCAGGCATCAGCCTGAGGCTGCCCTGTGGCATGGACCCGGGTTCTCAGCTGGGAGGGAAAGCCTGCTAGATCTCTGTTGTTGGAACAGTAACGGCTTTACCGCTGTCTGTGGCTCAGATCCTTATGGAAGAACCCCTGACCATCTGCGGCCATTTTGTTGGAGTGGGGGCTTGAGACAGGGTCTGGAAAAGGCAGTGTGGCTGTGGGCCACAGTGGGGGCAAGATATGCATTTTATATTGGATTTTCCTTTCTCTCCCTACCCACCTGCAGGCAGAGCGAACACCGCTACAAAGGATGGGTGTGATCATGGGCTATATTAACAAAGATGCAGTGTCTAGGAAGGGGAGGGTAAAATGAGATGAGCAGAGTGGGAAGCTCAAGGAGACAGGGTTACATGGGGAAATCTCTGAGGCAACTACAACTGTCCAGCCATCAGAAAAGGAAAGTCCCCCAGGGATTTGGGCACTATTGCAGAAACACCTGGCCTTGAAGGAGGATGAACTAGTAGTTTTTTGTGGCCCAAAGGGTAGAACCAGGACACTAAGTGGAACAGAGGCAGGCTTTGGTTTCACATATGCAAGAGTCAGTTCTAATAACAATAACCAGAGATGAGCCACATCTGTGGGGTACCCAAATCAAGTCGGTGGGCCATGAGGGATGTTATACAGGGATTTTGGGCCAGGATGACCTTGGGCATCCCTGCAACACCTCACTGTGGGCCCAGCCCTGCCCCTGCTACTTCCCTTCAATCTGTTGAGGTGGGGTGGCTTTGGAGCAGTGGTAGGCTTGTGGAGTCCTCTTTCAGTTCCCCGGCTCTGCTCTTGGGAGATCTCACAGTGGAGGAAGCTGCTGGGCCCCTGGGGAAATCTCAGAGCTGGAAAGGCTGGGTTCTGCCTCCTGGTGCAGCCTTGAGGCCTTACCTCCCTCCCTGCTGCTCACCCTTCTGAGAGGCTGAGTCTCCCACCTGAAAGGCTCAGCCTCCCCTTTTGCTCCATCCTGCACTTGCTTATAGTCATCTCCACCAAATACTGAACTTGTCAAGTCGCTTTCTTGCTCAAAACCCTTCTCCCTTTTTGTCCATGGGCATAGCCCACACTCCTTGCTCTGGCATTCAGGGCTCTCTGATATGATGCCCTCCCCACTGCTGTAATCTCTCTCCCACCTCCCTGATCAACCAACACTCTTAACACACTTCCACCATCACTCCTTAGCTCCTGCTGTCCCTACCTGCCACCCCAACCCTTTCTCTGACTTTCTGCCTAACCAATCCCTATCCCCCACAATATTTAACTCAAATTTTGTCTTTTCCAGGCAGGCTGCCAGGCTTTACAGAGCTCTTCCTTTCCGAGCTTCTCTGGCTCCTGGAACATCCACAGGGGTCTGCACTGGACCTGCCTCCGATAACTGGTGGGCTTTTCTTATGTTGTGCCTCTATGATCCCCTTGCAGCCAAGAGGATGCAGGTTCAAGACTCTTAGGTCTGCACCTCAGGGCTTGGTGCAGCCAGTACTGCAGATGATATGCAAATGATCATAAAATGAGATGTAAATGAGCACCTGCCATTTCTTGGCCAAGGGCAGGTGTGCACTCTTGTTTCGTGATGCAGAGGAAGTCAGGACAGCTGCTGTTTTAGTCTCCCTGGTGTCTGGGCTCCAGCGTCTCCCAGACACCACCTGGCTGACCTGTGACTCATGCACTGTGCTTTCCCTCTGAAGGACCACCTTTCCACTTCTGAATGCCCCTGCTTGAGGGATGGAGATGGAGACATGATCCAGGCCTAGCCAGCCAGTGTATGCCACCCCTCTGATCACAGTGGGGTGGGGATGGGAATGTGATCCAAGTTGGTGCATTGAGATTTGCTCCCAAGCTTTTGCTGGAACTATTGGGAAGGAGTATCTGTTTTGCCTCTTGGGTTGCCTTGGGGCAGGATGTAAGCTGGACCTGCTAGTGGCCATCTGTCATAATGAAAGGGGAGGAAAATGGAACCCAGAAAGGAAGACACATCCCAGATGGATGTCAAACACCTGGGTCCAGCCATGCTTGAAGTAGTATACCTCTTAGCCTTGTCAGTCACATATTCAATAAATTCAGTTTCTGCTTAGGTTACTTTGAATTGGGTTCCTGTCATTTGCAATTGAAATAGTGTTAATCCAGATTTTAATTCAAGAATGAAAGTGAGAAGAAAGGAGACCAAGCTGTATGGAGATCTGTTACCTTATCTGATAAGCTCATTGCAGAAATGCTATCACCCTTGCTATGGACATAATTGTGTCCTGCCAAATTCACAGGTTGAAGCCTAATCCTACAATGTAACTGTATTTGGAAACAGGGCCTGTGAGGAGATAATTAAGGTTTAATGAGGTAATAGGGGTGGGGCCCTAATCCAATATGACTGGTGTCCTTTTAAGACACAGAGAGAAAGCAGGGATGCATGTGCACAGAGTAAAGGTCATGTGAGCACACAGCCAGAAGGCAGCCCTCTGCAAGCCAAGGAGAGAGGCCTCAGGAGAAACCAAACCTGCCAACACCTTGATCCCAGACTTCAGCCTCCAGAACTGTGAGAAAAAAGTCTGTTTTAAAGCCACCCAGTCTGTGATATGTTGTTGTGGCAGCCTGGCTGACTAATAGAGGCCTCATTTCACAGGTAAGGAAGCAGGCTTTTGCTCACACAGCTTCTGCCTGATGTCAGAGCCAGGCTGGTTCTACTGAACCCACCATCCACCGCCAGCCCCTGCCCACCAGACTTAGGGCCTCTAGTAGGAAATAATCAAATCTATTTATTTACAAGTGATTTACAGTTAGAAAACCCAGGCAGGGGTATGGGCAGGGTCCGAATGTGGGATGGCACTTGGGCTCTGGCAGGTCACTTGTCTGCACGGACGAAGGAGGCGAAGACGCTGTCCTTCCGGCTGAGCAGCTTCTCTGGCTTATCGAACTCAAGGATGGCACCCCGCTTCAGGACGATCACCAGGTCTGCACTCAGGATGGTGTGCACTCGATGCTGGGCAGGGCAGGAGGGGGCGGGTCAGGATGGTGGGAATACCACCCGCGGTGGGGGCCACAGCTGAGGGTGGCCCTCCTGCGGCTTGGAGGAGGAGGATGAGGCATGTGGCCAGAATGTCCTGTCACTGTGGGGACTGCACTTTCCTGGGGTGGATGTGACTACAAGCTCTCCATCTGCTAATACCACCCTTCTCTCCTCTCCAAGTCCCAACTCTACCCCACCTCCAGGCTTCAAGGCTCAGAGACCCTCCACAACCCCTCCCCCACTTCCTATGGAGAAGTAACGCCAGCCTAACATATAAGGCCTTGGGACAGGGGCAGGCCTTGGAACCTGGAGAAGGAGAGGGGAGGTCTGAGGGAAGCACAGGGGCAAAACCCCCCACCCCAAATCCTGCAACCCAGGCTCCCTGCATGCCCTCCAGGCCCCTTGCCCTGAACTGCCTGCTTCAGGGTTCTTTCTTGATTACTGGGACCAGGCAAGCCCAGGGGCTGTGCACTGATGACGGCCACAACAGGCCAGTCCTGTCCCTGGGTGTCCCTCTGCACCCCATCAATGGGCCCCTTACCGCGATGGTGACCACAGTGCGGTCTGCGAAGGCTGTCATCACCACCTTTTGGAGGATGTTTTCCTGCCAAGTGGGGGCAACAGCTGTTGGCTCACCTGCCCAGTGGATGGGGTCTGGCCTGGCTTGGGGGATGTGGAGCCCAGGTCTGTGGCTCAGCTCCCATCTGACCCCGATCCTAGTCCCACCCCCACCCCACAGGACTGAACAGGTTCCCGGCACTCAGGGACTGGACTCAGCCTGTTGGGAGCTCAGCTCTGTGTGTGTATGTAGGTTGTGGTTGTGGCTGTGTGTGTGCTGTTGTGATAGGTGACAGTGTGAAGTCTGTGTGGGTCTGTGTGTGCAGCTTATGTGTGTGTTTGCATAGTGTTTTTGTGTGTGCGTGTGTGTGTGTAACATTCCCTAAGACTAGACAGAGTCAGGGTCCCCCCAGCTCTTTTCATTTTCTGCAACACATAGCATTTGATGTTAGAGGCAACTTGAGCCTCAGGACTACTTCGTGCAAATTTCTCCCTAGCATCCCACTAAACCCTTTCCAAGACCATGGTCCCATGGAGGGGCCCAGGACCAACCGTGGCCATGTCAATGGAAGCCGTGGCCTCGTCCATGATGAAGATGCTGGTCTTCCTCACGAAGGCCCGGGCCAGGCAGAACAGCTGCCTCTGTCCCTGGCTGAAATTCTCCCCGCCTTCTGTGATGATGGCATCTGAAAACAGCCCGGGGAGATGAAGTAGGACTGAGTTAATCTTGTGCTGTGAGTGGAGCAGATGGGATGGCTTGGGGGGCTGTTGGAAAATGTGTGCATGGGGGCAAATAGGTGGGTGTGTGTCCAAGAGCACAGGCGTGTGCAGGGCTGGTGCACCTGACACAACAATGTGGAGGCCGTCTGCAAGGACTGCAACGAGAAGGGCACCCCTGGAGGTGTGTGCTGCTGTGGCCCTGGGCAGTTCTGGGAGGGGGCGTGTGCACTGAGGGGTGCACTGAGTGTGTATGTAGGGCCTTGGTAGGGTGATTCATTGAAACCAAGGCTTGGCCACCCCCAATGCTCCAGGAGCTGCAGCAAATATACCAAGGCTTTGCCAATCACCGGTGGCCTTGATGAGTGACCCGTGTCTATGATTGCCCAGTCCATCTTCTCCTCCCCTAAGGCAGAACTGGGCATGCAGGTGGATGGGGCAGGGCAGGGCTGAAGATGCCCCCTTGGCATGGGGGACTCGCAATCTCTGTCTCACAAGGATCCCTGACTGTACCCGCTGTACCCTGCAGGAGGAGCCAGACCCTGAACTGACCAGTTGTGTGACCTGGGGCAAGACACCTGACCTCTCTGGGCCCCCGTATAGTGAGAAGTAGGACTAAATGGTCCTGCCAGGCTTCAGACTCCAAACTTGGGGCAAACCTGAGACACGGGCTTCTGTCTGCCATCCTTACAGGGTCCTTGAGTGCCCAACCAACCCAGCTGCATAGCCAGGAGTAGTTACCGAGGCCTCCTGGCAGTGCCTTCACCACCAGCTTCAGCTGGGCGATTTCCAGGGCCTCCCACAGTGTGCTATCTGAGCACTTCCTCTCAGGGTCCAGGTTAAATCTGGAAGTGGCACAGAAAGCCCCAGTAGGGAGGGAGCAGGGTCCTGCCTGCATCCCCAGGCGGCAAAGAGGGCAGTGAGCGAGAGCAGACTGAGTTGGAGGTCTGGCTGGGAGAAGCACCGAGGTGGTGGCAGTGGGTGGGGGACAGCATCTTAGACCCATGGGTGGGGGATCCCCTTCCAGAGGCTGCCTGGGCCTGATGGGATGGAGAAGGGCATGAGCAGGAAACACCTCTGGGATCCTGGTCTCCCCCAACCCCCTCCTCTTTGTGCTCCAGATCTGATGGAACTGAGCCGGCCTGGGGCTGGGTGGGCCTGAGGGGTGGTGGGGCTCACCGGATGGTGCCGCTGAAGAGGACGGGGTCCTGCAGGATGATGGAGAGGCGTGAGCGCAGGGTGTGCAGCGGCAGTTTGGCGATGTCAATGCCATCAATGATGATGTGCCCTGCATGGGTCCCAGTGAGGGTGCAGGGGAAGGCGGTGACTGCTGGGCCTCCTGTCATGTCTGACCACGTGCCAGGGCTGAGGCCTCATCTGGTGGCTGTGGGTACACGTGGGGTGCCCGCCTTACAACTCACCTTCGAACGTGTCCACCATGCGGAAGAAGGCAAGAGAGAAGGAGGACTTCCCACTGCCGGTGCGGCCGCAGATCCCGATCTGGAAAGAGAGAAGCAGGCACCGCCACTGGGACTCTGGGGCTGCTGGGAATAGCCTCTATGCTAGCTCTGGGTGTGTGTGCAGGTGTGGGAGGTCACAGGGTATCTTTTTGGCCTGGTTTTCTGACTAGTTTCTCTTTGGACACCACAGGTTTGGGCTTGTTTCCTGCAGTGGGTCCAGAGAGGGCTTACACAGGGACCGGCACGCAAGTGCAGGCATGGATGTCCATTTGCCTGGGCCTTGGTGTGGGTCTGGGTGTGCCGGGTACTTGGCTGAAGGAGAGCTGGGGGGCAGTGGTGTGTCTCTATGGGCATGGGTGTGGCAGGAGGACACAGGGGCAGCTGAGAGTGGTATGCATGGATGTGTCTGTGTGCCCCGCCCTACAATGGAGCCACCTCTGATCCCGTTGCTTCCTGGCACTTGGGTACCAACAGAAATTACAATACGGAGACAGATAGTGACATAGAAGGATGAGAGAGGCAGGGACAGAGGTACATCCCAAGGTCAGAGAATGACATGGACAGCCACAGCAAAGTGAGACAGAGACAAAGAGACAGAGTGGGAAACGAGAGGAGAGCTGGGCCAGGGCCATAGGCAGGGGCTCACCCTCAATACAAGGGTGGCCTCGCTGTCTGCCCCCAGGTCCCTGCCCTGAAGCTCGGGGCAGTGCCCTAGGGAAAGCCCCTGACCATTCGCAGAGAGGGAGGCCCTGACAAAGCCCGTGTGAGCTGGGGGAGTCCAGAGTGTCGGTCTCCTTGGTGGATGAGTGAGAAGACAAGGCCTGAGGGCAGCACTGGGGGAAGGCAATAGAAGGAGAGGAAAGATGGGCCCCCACAGGCCCAGGGCAGGAGACTGCGATGTCTGAATAGTGAGAGGCCTCGGCCCTGGAGGGCCACGAGGTGACTGCGAAGCCATCCAGCTCCGTGCATGCCCCATCCCCTGCTCACGCCTGTCCTGCAGCATTGGGTTGGGCCCGTGCTCTGACCTTCTGTCCAGGGGCGATGAGGGCATTGACGTGCTTCAGCACCGGCTTCAGGGAGCTGTCGTAGCGCACGCTCAGGTTCTGGATCTGGATCTTCCCTTGGTCTGGCCAGTTCTTTGGGATCAGCGATGGTGCTGGGGGCCGGGCTGGGCTCAGCCACCAGGCATGGGCCACAGCTAGTATCCGAAAGTGCCACCCCATCCCCAGGCTCCCTTGTGGCCCCCAACCCAGACACACTCCTCCTTGGACTCTTCCCCACCCCTCTCCCTGAGCCTCTCACCCAGGAGCCCCTCGTAGCTCTCTGCCTCGGTTTTCAGGAGCCCATGGATGCGCTTCACAGCCCCCAGCTGGAGCTCCATGTCTGCCAGGTTCCTCACCATCCAGTTGAGGTAGTTGGAGACCTGTGGGGAGCAAGCCAGTGGCGCACACTCCATGGTCGCTTAGTTCTGTCCTCAGCCACCAGAATGGCTCTTCTTAAGGCTGGAGAGGGGCCAGGGCCCCAGATTCCTTTTGCTGCCATCCACTGCCTGCTCAGAGCAGCCCTCCCTGGAGGCACAGGGAGGGTCAGTCATGTGGCTCCCCAACCTCCACCTGTCTGGGGCCTGGGCCCTGGGGCCTGCTGGTCAGCCTTCCTGCCCGCACTGTCCCTCTGGCATCAGATGCAAATGAAATTGGGGTAAGGCCTGGGAGTGTCTCATGTCTCCAGTGACGAAGGTGCTCCGGGAGTGCTGGTGTCTGACCCCTCCTCTGCCCTAGCCCACTGCCGCTCACCATTAGGGCGTAGGTAAGGCCCAGGCCCACCAGGCCAGCAGAGAGCTCCCTGTGCAGGGAGTTGGAGATGGAGGTCACCGCTGCGATGAGCACCACACATGCACCGATGTACTCCTGGGGAGGGAGAGGAGCTGACCTGGGCGCTCAGGGGTTAGAGCCACAGGCCCCTGTTCTACCTCACTCCTTTTCGGGGCAGAGAGCAGCTCAGCCAGGCCTCCACTCCAGCCCTGCAACTCATGCACACGTCACCAGACACACACAAGGGCTGCGAAGGCTGGAGCCCCAGGAGCCAACATGTCCCACAAGCTCATGCTCCCCTACCCCCTAGCCCCTGCACACCCTTTAACATGCACGCCTCAGCTGGCCCACAAACACACACAATGTGGGTGTCATATGACCCACTGCAGATACACATTCACCACAACTGTTCTTGCCACTGGCACACACCTCAGATACACAAGCCTCCAGGCAGTGATATGGGGAAAAGGAGCACAGGCTAGACACTAGGAGGACCACCAGGGCTGGGGGAAGCAGGAAGGCTTGGTGTCCACACGATCTGGTATCCTATCCTCTCTTTCATCCCCAGGTACCTGTGTGCTCTTGCTCTGGCCCCACCCTCCTATCAGAGGCCAGGGTAGAGGGGAATAGCACTTGCCATTCGGACTTCCAGCCATCTGTTGGCAGCTGTGAGGAAGAGGGAAGCAATGTTGTTGGAGTCTGTGTATTCGAGAAGCTTCTGCTGGAACCGGGCCTCATACCTGGAGGGAGGATGAGAAGCTCCTAAGGGAACAGTGTTGGTCCACATAGCTCCTAGGAGTCTCCCTACCTGCAGAGGGAGGCTCCAGGGCCCCTCCAGTCCCCAGACATGCCACCGTGGCCACTTCATGTAAGCTATCCCTCTCTGGAATGTCCACCCCACTCCTTTCTGCTTATTCAAACCTGTCCAGAATCCCCACCTCCTCCAAACTCTTGTTTTCACCCCAAGATCCATTTTCTCTAGGTCTTTCCCATTATAATAAGGGGCACCTCCCTTTACCCAGTTTCTCACCCAGGAATCACCTGGATTCACATTCAGCCCCTTGGCAAGTCCTCTTATGTCTCTCTCTAAAAGAGTCCTTGCCTCCCTCCCCCTCTATCCTGCTTCCTGCCCACCACAAACTCTCACCTGGACTACTGCATCAGCTTCCTGAATACGTCTACCTGCTGTCTCCCTACAGTCCATGCTCCACACAGTGGCTGGCTTAATCTATCTAAATCGCAAACTGTGTCCTCTCCCCCACTGTTTAGAATATTAATGATCTCCGGCCGGATGCGGTGACTCACCCCTGTAATCCCAGCACTTTGGGAGGCTGAGGCGGGCGGATCACCTGAGGTCAAGAGTTCAAGACCAGCCTGGCCAACATGGTGGAATTCTGTCTCTACTAATAATACAAAAATTAGTAGCTGGGCATGGTGGTGCACACCTGTAATCCCAGCTACTTGGGAGGCTGAGGAAGCCAGGATAATTGCTTGAACCCGGGAGGTGGAGGTTGCAGTGAGCCAAGATCACCTCACTGCACTCCAGCCTGGGTGACAAAGTGAGACTCTGCCTCAAAAAAAAAAAAAAAAAAAAAAAAAAAAACAAATAAAAAAGAATATTAATGACCTTCCACTGCTTATAGGATGAAGAACCCCCTCCTGCCAACCTAATTCCTGCCACAAACACCCCACACACTATGCTGCAGCCACTCAGCTTTTTAAAAGCTCTGTGACAATACTAAAGTCTTCCCTACCCCAGGGCCTTTGCACACACTATTCCCTTTTCCTGGAAGGCTTTTGCCCTTGCTCTTCATAAGGCTGGCTCAACTCAACCTTCAGGGCTTGCCTTAAATGCTGCCTCCTCAGAGAGGCTCTTCCTGGCTACTACCTTACTATAAAGTAGGTTTCCCCTATTATTGTCTGCAACCTGTTTGCTCCACAGTATCTGCTGTACATGCATTTCTCTAGCTATTTATAATCATCTCCCTCAATAGACTGCAAATTCCATGAAGATGTTTTATTCACCAATATACCCCAGCACCTGGCACTATCAATAAATATTTGTTGGATGAATGCATGGCACTCCCCTGACCCTCTGAAATTGATGGAATCTCTCTGCACAGGGAACTCTGGAGGCTTCTTTCTCATCCTTAGGTCCTCATCATGTTTTCCCTGAGTTACTGCGCATGGACCTGCCTCCTTTCTCTGATCAACCTGGGCTGCCGTCATCACTCTCCTTGGCCGCTTCCCTCAGACCTTGCTGACGTAGGCCCGGCCCAGAGGAGATGCAGGAGCACTTGTTTGATGATGGAGGAAGGAACGAAAGAAAAGCTGCCTCATCATCGCTGGTTTGATAGGACCAAACTCAGGGGACACGGAGGCACCCAAGACGTACCTTACTGGGCATTTGCTTTTCACCCTGGAAGGTGTTAGTTCAGCTTTGATTGTCTCTGCGTGGAGAGAGGGCATGTGTCTGAGGGGACTGAAGGGAGGTTCTGAGGTGGGAGAGAGCATGCTACTGCACACCCCCAGGGTGGAGACGTGTGGGAGGGTGACGTGTCTGCAGTGAGTGTGAAACCATGCCTGAAGGGTAGAGTAAGTGCGTGTTGAAAATGTGTGTGCATCAGGGCATGTGCGTGTTATAGGAGTGTGAGGCGCTCAGCGTATGTGGGTCTCAGGACTGTGTGAGTTGAGGGTCGGCAAGTGTGAGATGGGAGCTTCTGCCACAGGCGTGCGACAGTGTGTCTGAGGACTAGAAAAGAGCCCCAGCCTCGGAGCCATGTAAACCCAGGTTGGAGCCTGAACATCACAACTTCCTGGCTGTGTATCAGGACTGAGACTCAGTTTTCTTATGAAAAAAATGGGGAAGTGATAGTTCCTACATGAACGAAAACAACCTCCGAGCCCGCCACTGAGCCCAGTGCTGGGCACTCTTGAAACTCTTTTGGGAAAAAATAAGATCTCTTAGGAAAGCCCAGAAGGTCAGGCAAACCTGGGTTCCAAGCTCAGCGCCAGCCCCCGCAGTCTGTGTGACCTTGGATTGATTACCCAGCCTCTCTGGGTCTCGCTTCTGCATCTGGAGAATGTGGCGATTCGTACCTATGTTATGTGGTCCTTGTGAGGATTAAATGTAATAATGCACATACAACACTTAGCACGGTGCCTGGCATACAGTAAGTGGGCAATCAATAAGTGCTAATAGCTCTCAACAGGCTGCTGGATTAAAGCCAATGCATTAAATGTGTATGGGGTTGATTAAAAAGCCTTTCATTCAAATTTAAAAATCATTCACCGTGTCAGTAGGGTGTGGAAGACCTCACTGGGTAGCAGTGGCTCTGGCTGACCACAGGTTTGGCCTGATCTGAGGCTGTTTACAGGAAGCTGGGATCTGCACACAAGGGGCTGTGGCCCACTCTAGAAGAGTCACCATCTCTCTACCCCAGGGCCCTCTGAGACACCAATTGAGAGAGGGAAATCACCAAAACTTAGAGCAAAGGCTAGGCTCAGTAATGTCGAGGGACCTGGAAGTTGAAGGAACGGGAGAAGTTCAGGCTTGAGAAGAGGAGGCTGGGAGGAGACTCTAGAGTCATAATCCAGTCCCCAGCAAGCTTCTTTGTGGAAGACACAGCATAGGCTTGTCCAGGGGCAAGGGATGTCCAGGGAGCAGCGCCAAGGCCAGGGCAGAGCTTTGCTCTGCTCTTCTTTACTTAGACAAGATCCCTAAGAGGTGGATTTCCACTGGCCCTAGGTGCTCCAGGGTGGGCAGAGGGGCCTGGATACCTCTCCAGGGCTGAAGCTGGACTTCAGGGGTTGGGGGGAGGAGATGTAAGCCTCTCTGGCCCTTGGCTGGTCCTTGTGCCCTATGGTTACTCCTGGACACAGTGCTTGGTGTCTCATGGTTACTGTCATACTTCGTGCAGCTGTGCCACCCTAAAAATAACCTATTATCACTCTCTGGATGAAGATGAGAAAAGAGCCCAACTTTGTGTGTCAGGGGTCTCTGGCCTGCCTGACTGGAAGAGAGATGCCTCTGGAGATCAGACAGACTCTTGGGGAGTGGGAAACAACAGCTTCCCTCATTCCCCAGGCAACCTCAGATGCTCCTGTCCACCCCAACATCACCACTCAGGGTAGTGAGACGATGGCAGGGGCACTGAAGTTTTCAGGAATTCCTCAGCCTGGTGAACTCCTGCCCCTCCTTTGAGTCCTAGTTCTGATGACACCTCTGGTACAAAAACCTTCCCGGACTGTCTCTCTTCTATGCTCCCACAGCCCTTGAATCCGCTTTTTTCAGAATACTTGTCACGTGGATTTATCCTGGCCTGCTCAAAGTCTGGGCTGTAAACGCCTGCAGGGCAGCGGCTTATTTGACTCATCTTTTTAGTGCCTGGCATGGGGCTTAGCACATAGTCGGGGCTTAGTAAATGTTTGTTGCATGAACAAATAGGTTCAAGTCTGGGCTTTGTGGCACCTTACACAGAGAGGTTATAGAACGTCTCTGTGCCTCAGTTTCCTTGTCTGTGCAATGGAAATGACCATTCTCAGCACCGAGGGTTGCAGTGCAGAATGAGTGGGATTGGCCTGTACAGTACTCAGCATAGTGTTTGGCACACAGGGGCTCCTTAATAAAAGAAGGGCTTAGGGTGGCCCGCACCTAAGGCCCTTTCTAGCGTTGATACATGAAGACTTGTCCCAGCTTTGTCTCTTTTCATGCTCTGCCTCACAGAGGTCCTGGGCTTGTCTACAGAGCTGGAATTTTCCTCTCTAGAACATTCAGTGGGAGCCCACCTGGCCTGTCCCTGCTGGTGGATATCCCTTGGGCCTTGGGACCTGAGGCAGCTTGAGAGAGAACGTGTCCTTGGCCTTCCCAAGTGGAGTCCTGAGAATCAAATCTCATGGCCTGTGCCCCCTGGCCCCACCCCTGTTCCACTCCTACCTTGGGGGAATGTGGACTCGTACCTGAAGGCCCGGATGGTGGTGAGTCCTTCTACGGTTTCGGCAAAGTGTGAGAGAAGTGGAAGCTGGGTGGTGTCATCCAGCTGCTGCAGGTCCCTGTGGCGGGGAACAGAGTGGAACAGTTAAGAGGGCAGGCTCAGGGCTCGGCCTGGGCCTGAAGCCTAGCTCCACCTGCTACCGCTGTGTGGGTGAATGGCCTTACCTCTCTAGGCCTCAGCTTCTTACCCCGTGAAGGGGGAAGACAATGCCACCAGCCCATTGAGCTTTTGTGAGCACTGAATGAGATCGTTTATGTACAATGCTTAGACACAGCCTGATGTGGGGCACAATTACTGCTGTCCTGGGCATTGTCAACCCCAGGTCGCCATCTGTCCCTGTACTTCTGCTGCACAGCCTGGAGCTGAGCTAAGGCTGGGCAGGCAGTGCTAGTTCCATTTTACAGGTGAACAATCTGAACCTTGAGACAGCTGGCCAAAGGAACAGAAGACCAAACTCAAAGCGTTCAACCCCGTCTTCCGCTTACCCCATCAAGGAGCTCTTTAGACCCTGGCCAGTGATGTGCTGAAATGATAGGTTTCGTCTCGGGGTAAGGCCAGAGGTTTCCATGGCAACAGAATTGCCTCCTGCTCCCCAAAGCTGCACCTCGACAAGCACATCAGTGCCAGGGAGGCCAGTTTGGGATGCAGGAAGTTGATTTCCCTGATAAACCATCTCCAGGGTCAGACTGGGTGCCACAGAGACTGGGCTGTTTCTCTGGCAGAAGAAATGAACTTTGTAGAACAGCTTGTGCAGCACTTTGAATTTTTTGAGTGTCAAAAAGCTATGTTGTTCGTGTGGGTGTCGGGCCATTCTGGATCATCCAAGCAAAAAGCCATTTATACAAATGTTGATCCTTTGGGGCAGGTAATTGTGTCCAAAATGCATCTAAATTTTATTATTGCTAATAAGTATCTCAACTCTAGTTTCTAGCCAACTATGTGCACTTGGGAAAGGTACTTAACCTTTCTGACCACAACCTGCAGTCAGAAATATATTTTATCTCACAAATCAGTACTCACACACCTCCATGACCAACACAAAGGTTTCATGAAGCAAAGCTTGCTTTACTCTATGAATACAGTCTGATGTTTTTTTCATTTTTAAAAAAATGCTGGTTGTGATCCATGATATTGATTTCATGACCCACTGATGGGCTGTAATTGGCAGTTTGAGAAACACTGGCCTAGACGTTCTTTAAATTTTTTCCTACAATTTTTTGAATCTATGAGTTTCTATGAATCTGGGAGAATCACTCCCAGAAAGAACTCCCTAGAGAACATTCTTAGAAAATTTTGAGGAGGAAAGAGGCGTGCATGGATCCAAAGCTCATGAGGGCAAATGTGATCCATGAGAATGGCTGTGAGAGGCTCCCTCAAGTCAAGGCTTACAGCTACACTCTGGACTCACGTGGGCTGGGAGGTGTTATCATAACACTGCTTGAATCAGGTGCCCGCCGATTTCATGCATCAGCAATCAGCCTGACCACTAGAATGATGCAACCCTCCTGGGAAGCATGTTGGCAAAATGAATGAAGGGCATAAAATGTGCATTTATCATGACCTAGCAATTCCAGTCCTGACCATATCGCCCAAGGAAATAATTCAGATGTCAACCTCAGTGTGTGCGTGTGTTGGCAGACTATTATATTAGGGCGGTGGAATAAGATGTGGATATTTCTATTTCCTTCATTTCTGTTTTTTGTTTTTATTTTTTGGAGGGAACACGACCCTATTACTCTCATAACGATGAGTCTAGCAAGTACACCAAACTGCACATTGCAAAGCACCTCCCACCCCTCACCCCTGAGGCCATCACCTGGACGCCACCCGGAAGTACTTCTGGATGAAGTAGCACACGATGGCCAGGGGCAAGAGGGCCACGAGGAACACAGGTGTGACATAGGAGATGACGGCCAGGGCTGAGACACAGAGCAGGGTGGAGCGGCTCAGGCACTCCAGCGTGGATGGGATGTGCTGAGGGAGACGAGGGGGAGAGAGTGAGGTGAATTTTGGTATTGACTGTGTTTAGAGTGCTACTGGCCGCCATGTTTTGCTCTCACTTTATTTTTTGATCCTTTATTTTTTTGAGACTGAGTCTCACTGTTGCCCAGACTTGAGTGCAGCAGCGTAATCTCGGTTCACGGCAGCCTCTGCCCCTTGGGTTCAAATGATTCTCCTGCCTCAGCTTCCCAAGTAGTTGGGATTACAGGCACCTGCCACCACACCTGGCTAATTTTTGTATTTTTAATAGAGAAGGGGTTTCATCATGTTGGCCATCAGGCTGGTCTTGAACACCTGGCCTCAAGTGATCCGCCTGCCTCCGCCTCCCAAAGTGCTGGGGTTACAGGAGTGAGCCACTGAGCCCGGCCTTGCTCTCCCTTTATTATAGGCACGTATCTCATCTCTCCAGCTACAAGGTAAACTCCCTGAGGTAGGAATCAAGATTTTGTTTTCACACCATCTGGTACAATGGTAAATAAAGAACACAGGCTGAATCAAAATGAATATTCTCCATACAATCAGCCACCTTGGTTCAGAATATGCTGGAACTTTACTAGAGAAAGCCAGTGGGATCTCAGGTGGAAGCTAAAGGGATCTGGTTTCCCTCAGCCTTACTGTGAGGCTCCCACGAGGGAGGCCCCAGCCCTGAAGCAGCATTATAATCGGATCGGGGACACTGGCTTCTTCCCAGAGGGCTGTGATCACCTGATCTGGGGAACCCAGCCTCAGACAGGAGAAGCCCCCAGGGGTCCGAGGTGTCTCTGGAAGGGGGGATAGTGTGGCACGGTCCTCTGTACCTGGTCGATGGTGTTACAGTCAGATGAAAATCTGTTCAGGATGCTCCCAAGGGGCGTGGTCTCAAAAAACCTAAGAGGCAGCCAGAGGAAGAGTTACTCATTTGTCCATTGATTTACTTCCTGTTTACTGAATGAGATAGTTAATTATTTCATGTAAGTGTCTCTGGAGTCATTCATGGGTCTGGCATCCTCTGCCAATTTGTAGACATCTGGCCTGTATCCCCGTGAATTCCTGCAGCTGCCCAAAGGGGCGCTGGCCTTTCGTTAGCCTTTCAGTTTCTCAAGCCCATCTGACGACTGCCGCCTTTCTCAGCTGCCGGCTCGGCCTGACTCAGCAGCTGTCCTCCTGGGACACAGAGTCCTCTCCAGAGGGACAACCTGCCAAGAGGAACAGGGCCCTGGGGACAGCCTGCCGGCTGGCTGACCCAGAGTCAGCCCAACCCCAACCAGGGAGTTTCAGAACTACAGAGCTGGGGCAAATAGAGAGTAAAAGTAAATAAACTTGGAGGCCATATCTGTGGGCCACAGAAAACTCATGAGGCTGGAAAGTAAAAAGTGCAGTTAGATTGTGAGGTCTAGCCTCGACAAGGGGCCAGAAAATCTGTTTGCCTGTTGTGTTTTTAAGCCAAGTTGGCCAACCAATTGGGCAGGGACAACTTTAAACCTCTTTGACATCAAGTGGCCTTTGAGATTTTTATCCATCCCATTACAGGAAATTATTAATAGAACAGCTACCTGTTCCCCCAGTGTCAAAACCTGAGGCTGGCTGAGGGAGAGAGAGTGAGGGGAGGGCAGGGAGCTGAACTCATGGGTGGGGATGGGCAAATTACACCCACTTAGGGAGGAGAAAACAATCTTTACTTGGATGTGCAGACGCTCACTTTAAAGGGCCATGGTAACAATTAAATGAGCTAACCACACACAATGCCTATCACAGTATCTGGCTGAGTAAATGCCAGTTTCTCCCTGCTTCTTGCACAAGGAGGGCACTTTTACACACACTGTCTCCTTGAGTCACCCCCACAAGCTTGTGACAGGTTGTATATCCCCATTTTATAGATGGGAAGACTAAGGCTCAGAGAACAGTGACTTGCTCACAGTCCCAGCCTGGCCAGGGGAGACGGGTACCTCATGGGGGCTAGGATGATCCGGTTTAGCAGGCTGCGGTGCAGTCTCTTGGCCACCTTCAGCCCTGTCCACTCCACAGTGACAGACGTGACGAGGCACAGCACAATGCCCAGGCTGCAGAGCACCGTGAACACCATGGCATAGACAGTCTGGTCGAGGGTGCACTCCTTCACAGGCAGAGAGTGATTTGGAGTTCCAGGGTGCCCATGGGCTCAGCCCTTCCCCCATCCCCACTCCCAACCTCTGCCATGGGCCGCCAGTCACACCTGGCTGAGGGAGCAGTTCCTGGCTGCAGGGGTCAGGGTCAGGGCGCTGTCGGTCCACTTGGCCAGCCAGTAGTCGATGGCCACCAGGACCATGTGCTTGAGCAGCTGTGAGAAGACCAGCAACGACAGGAGCAGGATGCCGGCGGAGGACAGGTACTTGGCGCAGGCTCGCCATGGGATCTCAGCACGCTGGTGCAGCATGGACGACAGGTTGTCATCCTCCTCGCTCTCAGCTGCCTCCTCTGCAGGCCGCAAGAACCCACTCTGTGGCTACACATTTCCATCCCTCTGAGGGTGAATCAGGGCATTTTATCCCCACTTACTGAGGGGACAACGGGGGCACACAGAGGGAAGCCATTTAATCAAAGGCACACTACTGCACCACACCCAGAACCCCAAACCTTAGCCTCTCTGTGGCTGATCAGACCTCAGGCCATAATTTCACTCCCAGTCCCATTGCCTGTACCTTCCTCCTCTTCCTCATCCTGCAGAAGGCCATCCCTCGAGGACATGGCACGAGATAGGCCCTGGGGTGGCTCTGTGGCTTTTCTCTCTGTGACAGTCTCCTAAAAGACAGATGTGGCCTGGGCAATGTCTTCAGGATATATGGTTGGTGGGGGAAGGGGAAGTTAAGGGGTAACTACTCTGGTGATGACCAATGTCAGATTTCTACTTTGTCCCTGCCTGAGGGAGGGGCAGACAGACACACATTCATCTTGCCAGGATTTAGTCCTTCCCCTTCATCAGATAATAGCACCCCCATATCCCTGTGGGGAACCACTCTTCCCCTGTTTTTAGTCTCTGTGATTCAGGTGGATCTGGCTCCCAAAGTGGCACGTGACCCAGGACAGGCCAATCCTCACATTCCACACCGCTGGCCACAGTGATTTGTTCAGGGGTGGGCACATGACCAAACTGGACCAGTGAGACTCAGCCCTGGGACTTTTGCTGAACTATGGGGAAAGAGGCACTTTTTTTCTGGCAGAGTTGTTGAGCTGGGAGAATGTAAACCTAAGACTGCTGGTGGCCCTCACTGATACCATGAGAATGGAGCCAATTTGAGGGGAGCTGAGCCAATTTGAGGGGAGCAGAGTCAAGAGATGGGAGAAACAGATTTCTGATTACACTGACTACCTGGATCCAGCACACTTAAAGCTATGACACACCTGGACTTTTTGGTTTCATGGGTCAATAAATCCTTAATTCCCTCTTGTTTTCTTTGCTTAGTTTTCTTTGCCAGTTTGAGTTGATTTTCTGAAACTTTGCAACTAAATAGTATCTGACTACCTCAGGATAAGGCGAAGGTGCCCACCTGATTCTGCCCTGGGCACCTGGCACAGGTACTGTCTCTCCTCTGGTAGGAGCCAGTTCATGCCCAGCTCCCACATCTGCCCTTTAGGGGGCTTCCTGGGGCACTAAGGACAGGAAGACCTTTATGAGTTCAGGTTCTAGCAGAACCTTTGCATCCAGGGGTGGCTGCTTGGCCATCCCTGGATATACCCACCTTCTCCAGCTCTTGGTCCTGTCGGTTCATGAGGGTCTTCCAGTGCTCAAAGAGCTGGCATTCAGACCTCTGGAAGTCCTTGAGGGTACCCTCCCTCTGGATGGTGCCATCCTTCATGGCAATGATCTGGAAAGGCAGCAACAAACGTGGTTTGGGGGCTGGCTGGGGAGGAATGGTGGTCACATCCCTCAATTGTGGAGTCTAAGATGGAGGTTGACACATCCCTTTCCTCACTACAAATGGCCACCAGCTCATCCACTGCAAGTGGGCTGGTATTGATAACCTACCCCAACCAACATACTCCTAGGACCTAGAGTTCGGTACATCTGAGGCGTATTTCTCAATGGCTGGGTTTGCAGAGCAAATTAGTGCATCCTGCTCAAGCTGGCTGGTTACTCACAAGGACTCCACCCACGGCAGCGGCCGTCATACACTAAGTGGGCTCATTGTACACTACCCTTAGCTCCTCTTGACGGCGGGTCTGGCAGCCTCCATCAGGGCTTAGCAAAGCACCTGCTGGTCTAAGTGTGTGTGGCCATGCCTCTTTGGAATCAATAAATCTTTTTTTTTTTTTTTTTTTGAGACAGGGTCTCACTCTGTTGCCTAGGCTGGGGTGCAATGGCACCATCTCAGCTCACTGCAATCTCTGCTTCCTGGCTCAAGCCATCCTCCTGCCTCAGCCTCCTGAGTAGCTGGGACCACAGGTGCACGCCACCATACCTGGCTAATTTTTTTTTTTTTTTTTATAGAGATAGGGTTTCACCATGTTGCCCCAAGCTGGTCTCGAACTCCTGGGCTCAAGCAATCCACCCGCCTTGGCCTCCCAAGGTGCTGGGATTACAGGCATTAGCCACCGCGCCCGGCTCAATAAAACTTTTTATCTGGAACACTTGATGACACCATCACGTAGACCTGACATTAATTCAGACACCCACCCCTGCTGCCCTCACCCCCTCCCGCCCTATGCTGGGGTTCAAGGGGCTCGAGAGTCCTGATCACTGATTCCTCAAGGAAGCCAGCACTTCTGTGTTCCTCAGGATTGTCCTGAACTACAAGGTATTGCCAAGGTCACTACAGAAACTCAGAAACAAACCTTCTGTATCTGTATATATATTTAAATCTTTAGGTCTTTGGGTCTTATCTTTGGGCCTTTTTTCTTTGGGTGATTTTCTTTGGGTCTTCTTTATACTGGAGGGGGTCTCATCATACATGGAAGGAAGATTTATTTTGGGGAAAATAAGCAGAGCCATTTGGCACCAGCCTGAAGCTCAAAGAGGGCCTCAATTTTGGCTGTTGTTTAGAGGAGAATTTATATAGGAGTAGGCAAGACCTAGAGTTCAAAATTACATGATCTCCATCTTAAAAATTAAGTGCTTTCTAATGAATCAAAAAGTAATTATTTTCTACCTACTGAAGAGTATGGAAATTTAGTTAATGAGGGGTTTCACAACATTGGACTCTACTGATAATATTGAAGTTTCTTTCTTTCTTTCTTTCCTTTTTCAAATTTTCAGAGACAAGGCTCTGTCGCCCAGGCTGTAGTGGAGTGCAGTGGCATGATCATGGTTCACAGCAGCCTTAAACTTCTGGGCTCAAGTGATCCTCTTGTCCTGGCCTCCCAAAGTGCTGGGATTACAGGTGTGAGCCCCTGCGCCCAGCCTGAAGTTTCTATTACTACTGCTATTGTTTGGTTCCATATTTCCCATATGATTCCCGGGGTGGTGCATCCATCCACCCCGGGAAGGTCATAGGGTGGGAAGAGGGCTTTTCCATCCAAATGGGCACTCCCCATGACTGCGGGGATGGGTCATCAAAAGGGCAGGAATCAGAAGGTGAGAAGTGAGCACTTGATTATTCCTGAGACTTCTTGGTGCCAGCCTTGAGTGTACCATGGGGGGCCCGGGCCAGGATGGGGAGTGTCTGTGGGTCTAGGTGATACCAAACCCCTGGCCTGTACAGGGTCTCCCTGAAATGCCCAGCATGCATAAAGCCATCCAGTGCTGGTCTCTTATGCTTTGTGGCCCTCAGCAGTTGCTACCAAGACAACGGATTGGTTCCTGCCAAGATGCCTGACAGCCTCCCCAGCCCTGCCCCCTATAGCCTGACCCCCTTGTTCCCCCTCACCCAGTCTGCATGGGGCAGGTACTGTAGCTTGTGGGTCACTAAGACCACTGTCCTCTTGTCGTCCCGGAGCAGCTCAAGGATGCCGGCCTGCATTAAGTGGTCACTCAGATGGATATCCAGAGCTGAGAAGGGGTCATCCTGGGCAGAAGGGAGAGGAAGAGAGTAGAGGGTAGGGAAAGGCATGGTGGGGAGGGGTGACAATGAGTATAAAACCCATTAGAGTTCTATCAACTCTGCTCTAGGGACTGAAGCTAGTTAGCTGTGTGGCTTTGGACAACTCACCCAACCTCTCTGGGCCTTGGTTACCTCATTTAAAATGGGGCAGTTGTCAGATATCACTCTCAAACAGATCTAATCACTTCACTGCCTGACTCCTGGACCTTCAACGGCTCCCCATCATCTCTAAAGTCAAACCCTGTGGGCTGGTGTTCCAGGTGCTTTATAACCTCTCGCTTTCCCTTCTAGACTCATGCTTCATCTGTGCTTTCCCAGCACTCTGCATTCCAGGTTCCCAGGAAGCCTGCCGTCTGGGCCTTCTCCTGAGCTGTTCCTCTGCCTGGAGTGCTGCTCTGCCTTTTGTCTGCCTTGTGAACTCCCACCCATCCTTCGCTCACCTAAGCACCAGTTCCTCCTGCATCCTGTCCTGACCCCCACGCCTACCCTTCCTTCCTCCCTATTCCCGTGACACTGGCGCAAAGCCAGATCTGATCATTGTTTGTCCATTCCTGATTATGGCACTCCCAAGAACTGAGACTTCTTGTGCCTGTGCCTGGCACAGAGTAGACGCTTCATAAACGTTTAGTGCCTGGCACAGAGTAGACGCTTCATAAACGTTTACTGAAATAAAATGTCCACTTCACTTTTCTCTAGCAGGGTTGTTTAAATCTCATGAGAGATCGCGAATGCACCCATGCTTTGTAAAACGCTGTGTGTGTGTCAGACGGTAACGGAGACTGAATCTTCCCACTGTGAAGTGTCTTTAGTAAAGGAGTGCTTGTGCGTGTGGTGTAGGGAGAGGGGAGGGAATAAAGCTGGAATCAGAGACTTGAGCTTCCTTCTTCCAACTCACTGTGCAAATGGCCTCCCTCTTTCCTTCTGTTTAATTGACTCTCCCTTTGAGGCTCTCCTCCAGGAAGCCCTCCCTGATTACTCCAGCCCTCACAGTTGTCTCCCTGGACAAGGCCCCCTCATAGTTTATGCCGCACAGTTTGGATTTGAACCGGGCTGGGCCTCTTGAACTGGGTGAGCTCTGTCTCCCTAATCAGATTCTAAATCTTTGAGGCCAAGGACTGGTTCTTAGAATTCTTCAGTGTCAGTCAAGGCACCTGACACAACAGAACTTGACATGAAGTAGTGTAAGGATTGCGAATACGTTCTTTTTTTTTTTTTTTTTTTTGAGACAAAGTCTCGGTTTGTCCCCAGGCTGGAGTGCAGTGGTGCGATCTCGGCTCGCTGCAAGCTCCGCCTCCCGGGTTCACGCCATTCTCCTGCCTCAGCCTCCGGAGTAGCTGGGACTACAGGCGCCCGCCACCGCACCCAGCTAATTTTTTGTATTTTTAGTAGAGACGGGGTTTCACCGTGTTGGCCAGGATGGTCTCGATCTCCCGACCTCGTGATCCGCCTGCCTCGGCCTCCCAAAGTGCTGGAATAACAGGCGTGAGCCACCGCGCCTGGCCTAGTTTTATCTCATGTTTGATGGCTAGTGGTTACCTGGAGTGCTGTGTTGAGAAGGATTCTGAGGATGAGTTAAGTTCCATGGGAAATAATGCTGTGAACAATTAGCAATGTCTGCACTGGGCATAAGATGGGAAGTGGCAGCACACATTCTGTTATCAGCCATTCTTATAGTCGGGCTGCATAAGTGTTGAGGGGTTGGGCTGTCCCACAGACAGGCAGCCTATAACTACAGCTTGCCTCTCCTCATTGGCTACTGCAGAGCTCCATCTGAAGTCTGCAATGGGTCATTTGTGCTATCCTTGCCTGCCTCAGTTTCCCTATCACTAGGATGATAAGGCAATATCTCTGGCAGGAGGGATTTACTCCTGGAGAGGGAGATTGTTGGATGATGGTGGGGTTGCGGGGAGGTGGAGGTGGGCAGTTAGGCCTGGGAGGCAGCCAGAGACCAGGACCCCAAGGGAACTTGCACTCACCAAGAAGACAACGTTGGCGTGCTGGTAGAGGGCTCGGGCCACACTGATTCGCTGGCGTTGACCACCAGACAGGTTGATGCCCTGTCACCAAAGAGGAGGAACACATCATGCCCTCAGCCATTCAGGAGACACTGTCCTGTACCCTACTGGACTATGAGCTCTTTGGGATGGAGGCCTGGCTCTATCCACTTCTTTGCCTGCTTCTCACCTTGCATAGAGAAGGAACTTGCACGTGTTTACTGAATTCATTCAGAAGAGGGCAGCATGAGCCCCAAGTCTTTAAAGATTCATTGTGTAGGCGCTAGGGACCATCTGACCAGTACAAACAAAGACAGAGGCAGCAGGGATTAAAATCACACAAAAGGAGGACAGTCACAGGAGAATCCTGTTCGTCTAAGCTTGTGGAGGGGACCCCATCTGGAGGATGAACAGGAACAATACAACCCCAGGCTGAGCACAGTGCTGTGTGGGCTCTCAGTGTATACCTGGGGTGCAAATGAAGAAGATCCCCAGCCTGGGAGGGCACTAAGCTGACCTTGCCCTCCAAGCAGGACTGAAAACCTGTCAAAGGACATCATCAAGAACAACATGTTTGACCTTACTGCAGGCAACTCTTCAGCCTTCAATGTCTCCTATTTCCTAGTTACCCATTGTCCTGAGTAGTGTCTCAGGGCATGGTAGGTTGGGGGTCCTGGCTTTGAAAAAACCCCTCAGAGGCTGCTACTAACCCGTTCCCCAATCTGGGTCTGGTCTCCATGGGGCAGGATGTCGATGTCTGGCTGCAGAGAGCAGGCTTCAATGACCATCTTGTACCTGGCGTGGGTAGAGGCAGGGGATGCAGCTGGTCAGCCTGGTCAGAGTTGGCCCGAGCACTTGCAGAGGGTCATTAGTCTCTGGGTAGCTATGCCCAGGGTGAGCAATGGCTTTAATAGGCCTCCCGCTTGGGTGCAAGCAAACACCGTGTGAGCTTGAAAAGAGCTGAGGTCAGCACTTCACACAGCGTTTGGGCAGGTTAAATACTAGAAGGATGGAATTGGTTGGGAACAAATATGCAGAGTAAGTGATGAAAGGGCGCTCATGATCTCTGTGCAGTGGGAAAAGCTGCAGCCGGAACCCGTGCTTGGGGCACTGCAGGGAAAACCACTGCTGGTTGGTTTAGGCAGTAATGATGATGGCTGGTCAAATATTTGCCCAGCCTGTTCCTCTCATACTTCCCCAGCCAGCCCTTAGCCTGGGCAGGTGCCAGCCAGAGTTCATGGAGGCATCAGAGTATGTTGGTGACAAACATGTACTTAGGTGTTAGGCAGCTTTGGATTTGAGACCCATCTTGGTCACTTACTGGCTGGGTGGCCTTGGGACCTTTCTGAAACTTGGTTCTTCATCTGTAGAGTGGGAATAACAATAATATCTACCTACTGAGGTTGTTGTAAGCATGAGAGGAAATTCCGTGTACAAAGAGCTCGGCACTGTGCCTGGTATGTAGTAAGAGCGCAGTCGATGCTAGCCCTAACTATTATCATTGGAGGGAAAATAGTGCAGGAGCCAGGCGAATGGAGACTCACAGAGAGAGCTAGCTAGCCCTCCCACCAGCTAGAGAAAAGGCAGCGGGGCTCTCTCCCTTCCCTCCATTCCTGCCCTCTCCCCTATGGGAGCTGGATTGCCCCAATGCTCAGGCACACCTGGCCCCTCTCCAGGTGCACCATATGGAGAGGCTGGAGTGCAGGTAAGCACCTGGGGAGTGAGATGGCTGGGTGTGGGTGATCGATGGAGGGGCCCGGAACTGGGGCAGGCTGGCCAGAGACAGTTCCTCCCCTCCACATCCTGCCTCCCTCCGACAGGCTTTTACCGTTGTTTGTTGAAGGGACTCTCAAAGATGATGTTCTCCTCCACAGTGGCATTTAGCAGCCATGGTTTCTGCGAAGCATAGGCCACGGGGCCTCTCTTCCTGGAAAAAGCAGGGCGGGAGTAGGGGGTGCGGAAGGCATTCTCAGGGGCTTGTTCTCAGAGGCAGTTGTCAAGCTGATGGCTCAGATGGAGGCAAGGGGATGGGGAGGTGCAGTTGGTAGAAATCTGCTTAGTGTGGCCTCTGGTGGCCTTGCCTTCCCCCAGGCAGGTTTGAGAGGTCTGGGTCTCAACTGACTGGGGCAGCAGGACCTCATCCCCTCCCTGCCCTACACCCAGCCTGCCCCAGCCCTGCAGTCTGTTGTTCCTTAGTCAGGGAGGAGCCCAAAAGTGTGACCAAACCAAGGGAACACTCAACTTCTGGCTTCCTCCCTCTTTGGGTAGCCCTCAAGCCACTGGACTTTGAAGTCAGCAGGTAATTCTCCAAATGGAAGAACTTTTTTTTTTTTTTTTAAAAGCAGAGCCAAGGAAGCCACATTTTGAGTGATGTGGTTTTTGAAGAAAAAAGAAAAAGAGATCCCAGATAAAAATGATCTTATGTGAAGGGAGTAAATGGATGCACAGAAACAGCAGCAGCTCCCGAGCCACCTGGTGGAGCACAGGGGCCCTCCCTGGCCTCCCCCAACACTGGGGCTGGGGTCTGGGGGCTGCCCAGCAGGGTGATGTGGCTCCCTTGGGCCTGAGAGCACCCTGGAGGGAGTTGACCCTGGGGGGCAATGTTCCCAGGACGCAGTACCTGATATCCAAGTCGGTCGCTGTCTCCCGCTCTGGGCTGCAGCAGGGGAGGAAAGGCATACTGAGCTCTCATGGGAGTGAACCATATCCTCCAGGAAGATCCTGAGCTCCCTCCAACCCAACATGAGCATGCCTTTACAATCCCCTGGACCCAGTCTGTAGCCACAAATGCTGCATAGAGAGGTGTGGAGAGTGGGGTGTGCCCATCTTGGGGAAGCCTCTGCTGCCTGACCACGTGGGTGTGTGAGGAGGGCCCTGGAGGACCCAGTTAAGAGGGAGAATGGGGAGAGGTGCCATTGGTGCAGGCTCTGGGGGGAAAACTTGTCAGATCAGGAGTATGAAGCCCGCAATGTGGCTCCTCCAGACCCAGCCTCTGCATTCAGGTTGGAATGAATAGGCTGAGGTCTGAGGCTGATACAGCTGCACAAACAGCTGGGGCAAGGAGTGCTCTGGACAGAGCCAGGCCAGGCCAGGCAGGCTGACACCAGCACCTGCACTCTGGGGCTGGGAACCCGCAGCCCTGGAGCTGCGAGGGCTCCAGGCATGATCTGCAGCCCCATATGGCCCCATCAGAAGACAACCACGGAATGTGGGGGATCTGCCAGGGATGTCAGGTGCAGTGCCATGTGCCCTGGACTGCCCAAGCTGCTCCCGTGTCAAATATTCTGCCACTCTGTTCTCATCCACATATGCAAACTTGTCACATGCCATGAGGTCTGATTTTTGGCTCAAGAAATATGATCACTACCATTACAGAGGCTGAGCCTGTCATCACATACTGACAGTTGGGGACAAGGAGGGAGAAAGGGCAGAGAAAATATACCAAAGTGAAGCCTCTTTGGTGTTGGAGAGCAAAGGCCAGAGGCTTAAACTTATTTGCAAAGCTGAGCCAACCTTCCCATCCTGACTTCATACCACCTCTAGGGTATCTCAAGTGTTTTTTGGAGAGGTAAGGGGAGGGAAGGTTTTGAGGGACTCAGAGCCTCATTAATCTATATCACTTGGATTTTTTAGATTTGCACATGAACATAAAGCAACAAGACTGAATTTTCTGCCTGGCCTGAGGGACACCCATCTCCTTTCCTTACAGTCATATTTCTTAACTTTCTTTTCCATGATCACCCCTAGAGCCTTTTTAGATATACTTTTTTCTGTCTTTCCTGTCACTTAAAAAAAAATCAGAGGTTTAGAAAACCTCTGAAACTAAAAGTACGTTCACCAGGTTGTGCAACTATCTCCACTATCTAATTCCAAAACATTTTTATCTTCCCCAAAACAAATCCCATACACATTGGCAGTCCCTTCCCTCTCTCTCCCACCAGACCCTGGCAATCGCTAGTCTATTTTCTGACTCCATTCACCATGAAATTTCAGCACCACAGATATACTGGCATCTGTTTGGTACTTTGGACAGCCACAAAGCATTGCAATGTCTAAGTGTTTTCTGTCCCCAAGAACCAAATTTTGCCCTCATTGAGAATGCAGGCCTTAGCCCCATGTCTCTGAAAATATGTAGGCTGCACATCCCTGAATCCATACTCAGCATTACCCACCCACAAGTCCTCCACCCCCACCCTACCCCTTCCCTTTGTTGAGACCCACTTCTGACCCAGTCCCAAGGCTGTACCTGGGGTCCTCTCCTATCTCGCTGTCAGGAAGGCTGCTGGGACACAAATGGGACAGACCAACACCAGTTAGTTCCCACCCCATTGCCTTTCCATCACGCTGAGTCTTAGGGGAGAAGCAATCCCCACCTCCAACCCTCCCACCCATTCCCAGGGTTTCCAAATGGCCTCTGTGGGGTCAGAAAGCACTCTTCTCAATCTCTGTCCCTCCCACAGCACCTGGATGGGTACCCTCCAAATAGCATGTGCTAAATCAGCGTTCCTGGCATTGACTCGGAGCAGCGGTGAGGCTGGCTGGGCATCAGGAGCATTTTATAGTTGGAAAACTAAATCCCAGAGAGGGAAAGTGAGAGGACACAATCATTTCTTATAGTGTTTTCCAAACTGTGGATAGGGACCCAATCATTGGGTCTGGAATAAGTAGGCGGCAAGTGCATTTGAGGAAAAAGAAAAAAAAAGAATAGATGGAATCAGTGTGTACTGCACGTGGTACTGTATTTTTCGTGATTTTTTCTCTTGTTTATAAATGCATAAATATAGTGGACTGTAATGTCAAATGCTTTTCATACTGTGGATTTTGATAACTTAAAAAACACTGAGTGAGGTGACTTGAATTGTGATGCCAATTTTGCCAGTGCTCTATCCCCTCCCCCAGGATACCTCTCAACCTTCCAGAAGCAGCCCCTTGCCAATGAAATATATACTTCTGACATGAACATTTGGGGGAAAAAATCTGCTTTATTTTCATACAGATCTTACTTTAATAATACTAACAACAGCTAAAATTTATTGAACTTTTATAAGCACCATAGTAGTATTTTCTCTCTCTCTCTCTCTCTCAGACAGGGTTTCACTCCTGTTGCCCAGGCTGGAGTACAATGGCGTGATCTTGGCTCACTGCAACCTCCACCTCCTGGGCTCAAGCGATCCTCCTGCCTTAGCCTCCTGAGTAGATGGGATTACAGGCACGTACCACCATGCCTGACTAATTTTTGTATATTTTTTGTAGAGACAGGAGTCTCATTCCCTATGTTGCCCAGGCTGGTCTCCAACTCCTGGGCTCAAGCGATCCTCCAGCTTTGGCCTCCTAAAGTGCTGGGATTACTGGCAGTGAGCCACCGTGCTCAGCCAGTATTGTCTCTTTATAAAGCTCAAAATAACCATATGAAGGAGGTTTATTCTGATCGCCCTCACTTTACAGATAAAGAAAGTGAGGCTCAGAGAAAGGCTAAGTAACTTGCCCAAAGTCACACAGCTAGTAAGTAGCGGAGAAAATAGCTCCGACTCCAACGTTCATACTCTTAAATGCCATGGTACATTACTCCCCTGTGATTTCCCATGCCATAACTCTGATAAATGCCCCTTGTCAGGAGAACCAGGATGGACGAAATCAAGGATGGAAATGAGCCTGATGAAATCCCCCTCCTGCTGAGGGTCAGGACTGAATGAAGATTCTGATGGGTATGTAGTCCCCAGTCCCCTCTTTTCCTGTTCTCTAATCTTCGTGGTCTCATTTCATTCTCTTAACCAAACTTCATATTCCCTAACCATCAGATGGCTGTAATTTACAATTTATAGACAAGCTGGTAACATGAGACATAGAAACCTAAAGCTTACAAATTCCAGCTCTGTGGCCACAGCCCAGATAAGCTTATCTCTGGAGTCTTCCTGATGTGACTACTTCCAGAGTAGCAGAGGTGGTTATTGATGCATCTGTGGCATTCCTGAGGACCCCAGCACACAGTAAGCTCTCCAGGCCCTAACTCAGTTTGCAACATGGTCTGCACTGCTCAATTAGCCCTCATAATGGACTGCCTTCCTCTCTGATCAGCTCCCGTGTAATTTGTTCATCCCCAGTGGAATTTTAAGGCAGGAAGAACATCTTTTTCAGCCCCCATGGTGCTTAGCACATGACAGAGCTATATAATGAATGGAGGCTGGTAACAGATATATTAATCATTTGGAAAGAAGAAAGGGCGGGGCTGGCTCTCATTGCTGACCTTCACTGTGCACTGTGAGAAGTTGTTTGCAAACAACTCATCATCTCATCCTTACAACCCTATAAACCCTATCCCCATTTTACACATGAGGATACTGAGACTCAGAGTTTGCAAATGTGACAGAGCTGGGAAGAGGGGAAGCTGGGGTGTGAATCCAAGTTCTTCTCTTTCCAGTGTAGCCCCAAGCCTCCTCCAGTGAGCCTCCCCAAACTTTGTATCTGTTTTAAGCTGAAAAGTAAAGAATGGTATGTCTGGCAGGCACCATCTCTCACTCATTGCTGTGGTCTTTACAAGAGTGCTGAGGGGATTCGATTCCTCCTCTGCCTGCACTCTAGGGAGGAAGCACACAGCTGAAAGCATGAGTCTTCCAGTTCCCCAACCGCATGTCCTTCCCTCCAGCCCACTAGGAGCTGGCATATGTGTGGCAACCTGAATCAGGGTGCAGAGGCTGCCTTCCAGGGGCTCACACTCTGGTAGGGCAAATCAGAAAGGTACCGAAGTCAGGAAGTTATAAGGGTCAAAAGAAAAGTAGGACAAAGTATCGGAGAACTTTTGGGGAAAAGTAAACACAAATGCATATGCAAATGCATAAAGAAAAACTGGAAGCTTCTGGGTGATGGGATATTAGGTGGTTTTTATCTTCTGTATGCTTGTGTATCTTTTCTAATGTAATGTGCATTCTTTTAGAATCAGAGAAAAAACATAATTTTTACAAGAAATTTGGAGGAGGAAGAAATCTGAGAAAATGAGTAGAGCCTCATAGAAGAAGTCATAGCTGAACTGAACCTTAAAGAGTGGGAAGGATTGAGACGGTGGAGGTGAAGGGAGGGAACTGCAGGTTAAAGGAAGAGGCAGCATATGATAACAGGTGCGAGAAGTAGGAAAAATATGGGCTCTGACATTTGAATCCCAGAGGCTTTTCCACTCATTGGCTGTGAAATCTGAGGCAAGCTCCTTTACTTGGAGGAGCCTCTGTTTCCTGATCTATAAAATGGGGGTGAAGGCACAAACCTCACAGTGACACTGGAGAATGTATTACAGCTCACAGCTGGTTAGGGGGCAGGTTGTAGGCTTGGAGAACTAGGAGGAATTGTCTTTTCAGCTCAGTGCTTGGCCCCAAAAGTACAGGCAGAGGGAGAATCAGATACCCCCAACACTCATTTAAGACCCCGGCAATAAATAAAAAGGGAAGAAGTGGAAACTGAGGTTCAAAGAGTGAGCTAGGATATACAGGGCTCCACAGCCCATTCATCCTGCCCAGACAGGCTTGTCGCTGTCCTGAAAGGTTACCTTTCACCCACAGCATCCTTTCCAATTGATGTCATTGGGTCCCATTGCCAAATCTCTGAGACAGGAAAGGTAGGGTTTTACTCATTGTCCAGACAGTGAGTCTGTCTCAGAGAGGTGAAGTAACCTGCTCAAGGTCACAGAGCTAGCAAGTGGCAGCATCAGGACTACAGCCAGGGGCCATCTGGTTCCCATGGCTGGACAGTCACTTCCTCAGAGCATCCCTTCTCCTGTCTGTCAGCTGTCTCACCACACCTGCCTCCTCCAGGAAACCCAGGGGCACTTGAGCCCCTGACTTCAGCTCCCCAAAGGCTCCAGGAATTGTACAGGCAGATGCGACCAGGGCCGTCCTGAGAGAAGCCTTTTTCTCTCTTCCTGGGGAATCAGGGCTCTTGGCAGGCAGCATCCACACCAACCACCACAGGCAACAGCATTGCAGCAGGGAGCTCCAGTGAGACTGCATGTGCAGCTCCTCACAGGGAAGTGGGAGCCTCTTCCCCACGCTGATCCTTTCCTCAGGGCCCTGGTTCCTGCTGACCCCCCGGGGGCATTTAAAGTCACTCTACTGTGGATATTAATGGCTCTATTCTTTATTTCCAGGGAAAGAATTTCACCCGAGTGTATCTGCTAATCTTGACTTTTTACCAAAACATTTTCCTCTTAAGGATTAAAGAGAGAGTTTGCAAATCCCAAGGTTGTCACAGTTCCTTGAAGCAGAGAGCCAGGGAGGGGCAAGTGATTCTTCCTAAAGTGAATGCTTGGGAACCACACAGTTCTCTCTGAGACCAGGAGCCAGGCTGCTGACGTGAGGGACAAGCTCGGGGCTGCATCTGCAGGACTTCAGCAGATGGACCCTTTGTGCCCACCCTGCAGCTCTGTCTGCACACCTCTGTCCATCCTGGGTGGGTGAGCTCCCCAAGGGCAGGTGCTAGGCCTTTTCCTTTGTAGCCTACACAGAACAGTGCACAAAATACACATCTGCATGGGGCACCTGGGGTACAACATGGAATAATCCCTCAAGGAGCTCAGAGTCATGGAGGAGACAGACGCATTAGCAAATAATTATAATACCATGTGAGGTATGCACTAACGGTATTTGCTCATTCCAAATATTGATGGAGAAGAGGGGTAGTGAAATACTGGGTTAGGAAACAGCTCGGACAAAGGCATGTGGAAAGGAGAGAGATGTCAAGATGCATTATAATGGCAGCCTCTTGAAGGTCTTAAGTTGTTCCTGGTTCATTCATTTAGCAAGTGAATTCGTTTAGCAAAAAGCACTACGGATACAGTGAGACAAACAAAATATGGTCCCTGTCCCCAGGGAGCTCACAAGAATCTTTCCCAGGAGACAGACTGGAGGACATTTAAAGAGGAACAGGTGAATTTTGTTCCTGGCAAAGAAGTACACTATTGAATAATAATATTTATAGGATATTTACTACATGCTAGGTTAATCCTCACATCAATCTCATGGGTAATAAGGGAAACTGGTAGAGAAAGCTTATGAAATTTTCCAAAGCACAGAGACCAAATGTGAACCCAGGCAGCTTGGCTGCAGAGCCTGTGTGTGCAGCCATACTGCTCACGTGGTCACTGGAGGAATAAACGAATAGTTGCACCAACAAAGCACCCATCTCCCCAGAGCATTCTCCATTCTACACCTCCTAATCCCCCAACTTCCTGCCTTGTGCCTCCTGGAACTCCTTCTGGCTGCCTGGTCACCAGGTCTTGGCCTGGGTATGGCTGAAAAGCATCTGAGCAGCAGCCTGGCATCACCCTCTCCTCTGGCTGCAGGCGTGCAGACTTGGGAATGCTTGCCAGGTCAGAGGCTGTTTTGCTTTTAGCTCACTTTGCAAGCACGTCTTCTCCCTGCAGACCTGGGGCTCAATGTCTGAGGTGTGGAGTTCCTGCCAGTAATGGAGGGGGACTCTCAACACACAGCCCCCACACTTAACTCAATGCCCAGGATAGGTGGGCCAGCCAGAGCAGTGCACATGTCTAGATTTTGAGAGACAAACAGCAGATGAAGCTAATTGAGTCGTATCTGCCTAGACTCCTTCTCCTAGCCACTATAAGGAGCTGCAGACTGACCTTCCTTCCTGGAGTCTGTCTGTCTTTTCTTTTTCTCTCTCCCCAGTCCATCATCCTTTGTCATAAGCATGATCCTTCTGCAGCATTTGGGCTAAAACTTACTTCCTAGAGGTAAGCACTGTATCCATAGTGCTTTTGCTAAATGAATTCATTTGCGAAATGAGTGAACCAAAAACAACTTAAGATCTTCAAGAGGCTGCCATTAGAATGCATCTTGACATCTCTCATTTCCCCATGCATTTGCCCAAGCTGTTTCCTAACCCAGTACCTACCTCTCTTCTTGATCAATACTTGGAATGAGTGAATATTAATGCACACCTCACACTGTGTTATGATTATTTGCTAATACCTCCCTTCCTACAGTCTGTCTGTCTTTTTCTCTGTTTCCCCAATCCATCATCCTTTATCACAAGCATGGTTCTTTTGCAACCTTTGGGTTAAATCTTACTTCTCAGACCTACTACATGGGATCTAAGCCAAGTTCACTTCTTCAGTCCCATCTTTCATAATGCACCCCATGCATCCAGTGTTCCAGGTGCACAGAACTATGTTCTTTAATATCAGCAAGGCTTTGCCCACACCATCACCCCTGCCTGGACCACCTCCCTTTCCCATCCCTGCCTTTTCTACTTGATGAAACCACACTCATCCTTCAAGGCTCAAATACCACATCCGCAGTGAGCCTCCTCTCCTTGACTGCAGAGTCAATTGTGGTTCCTCTGAGCTCTTCTAAGGCCCAGGTCTTCTCTCCCCTCTCTTAAAAGCGGGGCCGGCCAGGGGTGGTGGCTCATGCCTGTAATCCCAGCACTTTGGGAGGCTGAGGCGGGCGGATCATGAGGTCAGGAGTTCGAGATTACCCTGGCCAACATAGTGAAACCCCGTCTCTACTAAAAATACAAAAAATTAGCCGGCATGGTGGTGTACACCTGTAGTCCCAGCTACTTGGGAGGCTGAAGCAGGAGAATCGCTTGAACCTAGGAGGCAGAGCTTGTGAGGAGCTGAGATCGCACCACTGCACTCCAGCCTGGGCAACAGGGCGAGACTCCGTCTCAAAAAAAAAAAAAAAAAAAAAAAGCAGGGGCCACGTCTTAGTCACCTTTGCACTCCTGTTGCTGTCACAGGGTCTAGTATACACTAGGCGCTCAACTGGGTGAGTGAATACGTCACTGTGGACGCTGGAGAATGAGTTGACTTGGGAACAAATTCTCATGATTTCCCAGGGTTGGCTGCAAGCTAACAAATGCACTTCACTATGCTTGAAAGGGAAGCTGGACCAGGACCGGGCGAGAGAGCAAAGAGGATCCTGGAGAAATGAGACCCCTTCACTACCGCCCCTCTGCGAGCCTCGAACAGAGCTGGGAGCTGGGGCCTAGGCTACCTGTAAAGGAGAGTAAGTGTTGATAAGGACAGAGCTGTGAGGACCCACGTGGCAGTTCTGGGAGGAGGCAGGTGTGTGTGAGTCATGGCCACAGCGGCTGCTGGCCTTTGGACTGTCAGGCTAGCTATGCCTTCTTCATGAGGCTCTTGTGCCCCTTCTCTTTGAGCACATGGTGGCAAACCAATGCACTTGAGCACCTAGGTGCAAATCCCACTTCTGCCATTTAACAGCTGGGTGGCCTTGGACAACTTGCTTCACCTCAGTTTCCTAATCTGATAAATGAGGATATAATAATATCTACTGCACAGAGTTCGGTGCAGACTGACTGAGATGATGAGGTGCCTGCACAGTGCCTGGCCTATAATAAGTGCTTAGGCAGGAACAGAAAACCAACCACCACATGTGCTCACTATAAGTGGGAGTTGAACAATGAGAACACGTGGACACAGGGAGGGGAACATCACATACCGAGCCTGTCGGGGGGTGGGAGGCAAGAGGAGGGAGAGCATTAGGACAAATACCTAATACATGTGGGGCTTAAAAAGATGACAGGTTGATAGGTGCAGCAAAGCACCATGGCACATGTATAGCTATGTAACAAACCTGCACACTCTGCACATGTATCTCAGAACCTAAAATAAAATAAAAAATAATAAAAAAAAGAAGTGCTTAGGGTCCTCTGCCTTGGAGAGGCTCCTTGTGTTCCCTGGGCTGGGGCAGAGGTTTCCTAAGAGAGAGGGGCAGCAGTCAGACCCGGAGGGTTGGCACAGCTTGGAGAAGAGGTGGGGACTGAGGCAGGGCAGAGCAGACCCCTGCCAATCATGCCTGCTTCATCTACATAGGACAAGGAGAGCTCCTGAGGCAGGCACGATGCCACATGAGGGCATGAGGGTGGGGGAGGAGAAGAAAGCAGGGCAAAGGGACCAGGTTCAGAGTGGGTTTTGACATCCATGCTGAGCAGGTCAAGGCAGGGGCAGCTCCAGTGTCTGAGCCCTGCAATCCTTCTGGAAAAGCCCTGCCTTGGAGGAGAGCCCAGATCCAGCCTGACCACTACATGGGGCTTGGACAATAACCCTTAGGACTAGGCCCTGGGGGCCCCAGCAGTGACCAGGTTTGAGGGAAAGAACATGGGCAGAGTCTCTGCTCCACACACTGACTAGTAAGTCACCCAACTTCTCTGAGCCTGAGTTTCTGCTTCTGTGAAATGGGGTAACAACACTCCCCTCCTAAACTTAGTAGGAGGCTTGATGAGATCATGTTGACAATGCACTTAGCAAAGGGCATGGCCCATAGGAGGTACCCAATAAATATTGGTTACTTTCTTCAGCTCACAGTGCACTGGGGACTCTTGTCTTCTTGCTGCAGGCATGCAGTTGGACAGCAGAAAAGGGCTCCTCCCTCCAAAGGCTGGAGAGGCAGTCGGAATAAGGCAATATGATCTCAAACCGAATACCTGGGCCTTCCCAGTCAGGCTATGTTGAAAAATCTCCCAAATAAAATGGCGAATGGAGGCAAAGACCCCTCTGCCCCCAAAGACATCACAGTCCCTGATGGGAGGTGATGGGAAACCCAAGGGGCTCATCTGCTAGCCCACGACCCCACTGAGGAGGGAAATTTGCCATCTTTTGGATACACCATTCAGGGACATCTTGGAAATGCAGGAAACGGGGGTGCATGTTGATATTCAGACATTGGGCCCAAAGTCTTTCTCCCTGCTCAGTTCTGTACTCATGCTTATGAAAAACCTGACACCTTCAATAATTTTCCCCTAGAAATGATTGGTAGGGAAAGCTTGCCCTTCTGCTGATTGGCTGCAACTTTTATTCCTAAATGAATACTCCAAAGCCCAGAGATCCCTTTTTCCCTTGGCTACCAGAGGGCACAGAGCCAGGTTTTATGTTGATGGCTGTAGTTGTCCTCTGCCCAGGTTGCTGAACATCTTTTTACCCTCTTCATTTCTCAGTTCCTATTTTCTTACCTTTTTAAAGGGTTTTATTTTACATGCATCTTTTTTTATTATACTTCAAGTTCTGGGATATACGTGCAGAACGTGCAGGTTTGTTACATAGGTATACACATGCCATGGTGGTTTGCTGCACCCATCAACCCTTCATCTACATTAAGTATTTCTCCTAATGCTATCCCTCCCCTTGCCCCCCACCCCCAGACAGGCCCCAGTGTGTGATGTTCCCCTCCCTGTGTCCATGTGTTCTCATTGTTCAACTCCCACTTATGAGTGAGAACATGTGGTATTTGCTTTTCTGTTCCTGTGTGAGTTTGCTGAGAATGATAGTTTCCAGCTTCATCCATGTCCCTGCAAAGGACACGAACTCAACCTTTTTTATGTCTGCATAGTATTCCATGGTGTATATGTGCCACATTTTCTTTATCCAGTCTATCATTGATGGGCATTTGGGTTGTTTCCAAGTCTTTGCTATTGTGAATAGTGCTGCAATAAACATACGTCTGCATGTGTCTTTATAGTAGAATGATTTATAATCCTTTGGGTATATACCCAGTAATGGAATTGCTGGGTCAAATGGTATTTCTGGTTCTAGATCCTTGAGGAATCACCGCACTGTCTTCCACAATGGTTGAACTAATTTACACTCCCACCAACAGTGTAAAAGCGTTCCTATTTCTCCACATCCTCTCCAGCATTTGTTGTTTCCTGACTTTTTAACGATCACCATTCTAACGGGTGTGAGATGGTATCTCATTGTGGTTTTGATTTTTACATGAATCTTTCATCAACTAGTTTCAAGTGCTTCTTGGAAGTAGGTGGGTATAAATAACAGATTCGTGATTGACTGAGCCTGGGGTTCTGGCTCTTTAATTAAGACAGTGATCTTTGCCCAGAAACCAACATTTATTGGTTACATCTGGATCTTCAGAACACCCACTTATGGTGTGTAGGTCAGTGCAGCTCAGGACCAAGCTGGAAACCAATGTTGGTGTTGCAATTTCCCACACTGGGAAATTACTGCCGTGCATCTGAGTAACCATGGGATTCAGAGTCTGACAGAACTGAGTTTCAATTCCAGCTCTGCCACTTATTAGCTGTGTGAATTAGGACAAATAGTTTAACCTTCCTCTATAAATGAGAATTGAGAACAGTATGGACCTTGTTAGTTATCATAAAAATTAAATGAAATAATGCATGCAAAGGACTTAGCAAAGAACCTGCGCATAGTAAGAGGTGAATACGTACTAGTGATGATGATGAGAATATCCATTAGCAGCATTTATTGAGTCCTCACTGAACACAGAGTGGGCCCTCCAATAAATGTGTGTGCATCCTCAACTGAGGAGGATGGTTAAAAGGAGATTTCCCCTCCACTGGGCCCTGAGGATACATGTATTACCTGCTCCAGAAGACAGCCCCTGAGACCTTCTGCATCTCCCCCAGTGCGGCTAGAAGGAGCGAGGACTTGCCGCAGCCCACCTGCCCCACGATCATAGTCAGCTGGCCTGCAGGGAGGGAGGGTGGCAGATGTGAGTGGGGCCGGGGGAGTCTGAACAACCATTACCCAGAAAGACAGACAGACAGATGCACCCAACCCTGGGGCCCCTGTTTTCTTTCTTCCTACCTAGAATCCCCAGCAAGTCCTCTCCCTCTTTAATCCTTTCCTTCTGGAAATCAACATCCTCCTCTGGCTCCCCAGGTCCTTCCCCCTCTCTGATTTCCTGCCCCGCCACCCTTCCTAAGCACTCGCTTCTCCTTTCCCATGCTCCTAGTATGAGCCCAGGCTCCTTGTGGTCCCAAGAAACACCATCCTGGGTCCCACCTCCAACCCACCTCCATACTTTGCTCATGGCTGCCTCTGCCAGAAAATCCTCCTGCCTCATGGCCTCAGGGCCTTTGTCCATTCTCAGAAACCCCATCACTTCCACTTGCGTTCCTTGGCTACCCACTTCTGATCTTTTTGTGCATTACCTATACTGTCTGCAATGGATGGTTTGACATTAAGGCTGGCAATTTTACCCTGTCCTTAGTGCTTCACTCCCACCCAGCACACGGAAGCCTCTAGAATGTAGCCTTCCCCTTCTATAATATACCCAGGGCATACACCAAGAATGAGCAGAGAGTAGGTGCTCAATAAATGCAGCTTTGTCTTTTTATCTCTATGTTATTCAGTGGGACATGGGGAGGGGCATGCTGGAGGGGTGGACTGGGCCATACCTCGGGGGATACGAATGGTGATGTTGGACAGTGTGGGGATTCCATCTGGGGTCCACGTGAAGTAGCCTCCCATGATCTTCATTAGGCGTGTCCCACCGCCCAGGAGAGAACAGAAAGGCAGCCAGTTCCCAGTGAATAGTCTCTGGCTTCCCCTCCTCCATGAAAGCCAAAAGACACTGATTCCAGCCCCTGGATCACTTCCAGAGCAGGGGAGTGGGAGACTGGCCTTCTCATGCTGACCCTTGCCTAAGGCTGGGGGTCCCCCCACTTGGTGGTCCCTGGTTTCTGGACTCCTATGGACCGTACAGGCAGGCAGGGTGACCTCTGCAGAGGACTAAGCATGCAGCTTTCTGGCTTTCCAGGTGCTGAGCTCCCTCTGGGAGTTGGTGCTGGGTGGCCAGGCATGGGGCAGCAGGACTCACCTGGACACAGCAGTTGTCAGCATCGCCATCTGCACTGGGGACCAGGCTCTGCAGTGGGCCGGTGAGGCCCCGACAATCCTCCCGGGCTGGACGCTTGCGGTTCACAACCCTGAGGGGCTGGGGGTGGTTTGGAGGTGAGGACCCACTGGGCTGGGAGCTGTGTAGGGAAGGGAGCCCCTCTTCCTGGGAAAAAAGGCAGAAGTCCGACACAGCAGGCCCAAGTTTTGGGCCTTAGAGGACCATGCTGGGAGTAGCAAGGGGAGGCCGGGCACTCACCACCGCCTGGTACTTGCTGGCTGGGCCCTGAGGTGTGGGCTCATGGGGGGCACACTGCTCCTCACGGATCTCTGCACTGGACAGGAACTCGCTTAGCTTTTGCACGCTGCTCGGGAAGCACAGAGACACCCCTCACCCCTGCCAGGGGCAGAGGGGAGGGGAGAGGGCGCAGCCTGATAGAGAGCTCTGAGCAGGATCTCAGGCCTGAAGTATAGTCCCACAAAGCCCACACTGAAGGGGGCAGACCAGTGGGCATGGGGGCAGGTAATTGGTGTTACCAGGGTTTGCTAGGGTTGACCAGTCAGCTGGAATAGGCTGGGGTCTGGATTGGAGGTGAGATTGGTTAGTTTTAGGGTTAATGTTGAAGTTAGTTAGTCTGGGTTATTAGACTGAAGGATGGTTGGTGTTGGATTGGTCAGGGTTAAGGTTAGTTAGGACTAGGATTGGTAAAGAATCAATAGCTAGTATTTTGTGAGCATACACTAAATGCCAGACACTGTGTTAACTGTTTTGTAGCATTATGTAATCGGATCCCCATAACAGCCTGCTGGAGGAGGTGTCATTACTCACGGGGGAGGCGGCTATTCCTACCCTCTCCCCTGTCCAGATTTCCCTGTGGACCTGAGGAAGCACTGGAAGCTTCACTCTTCTAGTTCATTCTCTCCCATCCTGGAGGTGTGAAAGCTTTCTGGGAAGCTCAGGATTGTTTGTATTCCCCTTTCTTCTCTTTTGCTAAATGTCCAACAGGCCTGGGGCAGACAAGCCATCCCACCCTCAAGGCAAGGTTATTCTGGGGTGTAAGTGAGCTGTGGCCTGGAGTCTCCCTTTCTGTGCGCCACCCCTAGATGGGAGGGGCAGACCACCAGGCTCTGCCTTCATGCCCTGTCCAGCCTCCCTCCCCCACAGGCGGTGACTGGGAAGAGTGGAGCTGGCCCTCATCTCTTGGGGTGAAGCTTCAGGTAGTGTCCTGCGCCCACCTTCAGCCAGAGCCTGAGCTGCCTCACTGAAAAGGCCTCTGCTACTCTGGTGTTCCATTCCTGGAAACAGTGGGATCCAGAGTGTTTGAAAATATGAACGCTTTGGGATCAGTGCAACAGTTTTCAGGCAGGTGCAGCGTTCTTAAATCTGTGGTTTCTACACAGAATCATAGGGCTGGAGAGTGGGTGGTGGGAGGAGGGGTGATCTTCAGACCCCACAACACCCTGGTCAAGAAACTGAGTCAGCACAGCCGACTGTGGAAATGGGAGCTAATCCCTGTTTAACCAGCTACTGCCTGGTCAGATACTCCTTAGAGCATAATTTTGCTGAGTTATGCCCCATTCCATCTTTGAACCCATGCTAGAGTCTCCCCCTGCAAGCTACCCTCTCTATCAGCTACTTCATTCCAACAGCTACTCCTTCCTTCCAGCTTCCCAGTACCTGCCAGGGTCCCATGAGACAGGGGTGTCACCTTCCTCAAGGCTGAAGACACAGAGGACATTTGTTACTGACTGGTTCTCTGGCCATGGGTAAGGACAAGCCAGCCCTCCATAGAGGCATGACAGGCTCTTGCTTTCAAGGAGGCAGAGCTACTTCAGAGGCCCAAGGACATCTTCTCACTCCAGACAGGGCATTTCCCAGCCAAAGCCTCAGCCTTCTACCTTCAGGCTTTCATTCCCAAGAGGGCAATGCCTCTGGGACAGTGGCAGAGTCCCCATGAGGCTCTAGAGCCTGGAAGTGGGAGCCTCCAAGAGCTGTGGGCCAATCAGAGCAGGACCCAGCGCTTGGGGGAAGCTGTTTCACTGGCTGAGGCTGTGAGGGCTCAGGGGCTGTGGAAAGGGTAGGGGATACTTGGCCTGGGAAAGATAGACACAGTGGATGCCTTCTGATATCCATGGGGCAGCCACGTGGGGACGGGATGGCCTCATTCTTGGTGGCTCTGGAGGGTGAAGTTAGGACCAGTGGGTAGAATTTAGGAGGATTCCACATTTGGCTCAACACTGGTTTTTTTTTTTTTTTAAGTTGTCGTGAAAGTGACAGTGAGTCCCCTCTCCTGGGAGGTATGTAAGCAAGTCCTTGCTCAGGGATGGCGAGCTGGGAAACCATACAGGCCAATGTCCCTCTGACCAACCAGGACCAGCTACAGCAAGGCCCAGCAATGGGGGTGTGTTCCGGGACCAAACAGCTGTGGTTTGGCCATCACTCGAGCAAGCCTTGAGGCTGACACAGGACCTGCCTGCCCAGTGCCCTCGCCCGGACCCTCCCCTCACCTCACTAGAGCTTTGACGGTAGATCGGACCACACTGGACAGCAGGAACAGCGGTGTGACCAAGATATGGAAGAGGGAGAGGGAGGCAAAGGCCACGGAGGGCGAGAAGTCGGCCTCTTTGAAGAAGCTGACGTGGCCCACGAAAGTCTGTGGACAGAGGCACAAGTGAGGCCAGGGTGGCCCAGGGTGTGGGTCCCTCCCACACTGGAAACGCTCAGCACTGGAAGGGAAATGAGAGGGCTGTCAGGGAGCAGGCTCCTAAGAGGATCTTTTAGTTGGAGACACCTTCATCATCCCCACAGTCATCTCATGGAAACGTCCCCAACAAGTTCAGGACTTCAAGCTGGAGAGCAGGGGCTGCTCCCTCCCTGTCCTGGCCAAGACTCCCTGTCCTGCCCAGTCTTGGCTGGGAATAAGCAGGGAGGAGATCTCGGGTTAGGTCAGCACGGCCCCCTCTGCAGACAGCAGGCGGGGTGCTCATCTCCCCAGTCCTCATCGGGATAACGTAAACAGAGTGATTACGAAACTGCACAGTGCTTTGCCCCAGCCACCTGGCTGGCTCAGTGGCCTCTGTTACCCACAGTTCCCCCAGGAGCCAGGCCAGGAACCAGCTCAATACATCACATTGGAAGTGAATTCCCAAGTGTATCCGACAGGCTGTGAACTCTACACAGCTCAGGGACACTGGCCCCGGGGGAAATAAGCAGATCTTTTTAAGGAACTGCAGCCATCACAGAAGATGGGGATGGGAGGCTGGGTGAGGGGGCTGCAGGCTCGTAGGGGCCCAGGCCTTTCTGTAGGAGCATGCTGCTTGACCCCCATGGCTCAGCTCACACACAGCTTTTATCAAAATTGCTTTAGAAAGCCACCATCATAATATTCAGTGGCATGGAGAATTGTGTGTGGCATATTCCTAAATTTAAAAGAGCAGGTTGCAAAACTGCATGCATAGCACATTCCTATTTTTGTAGAAAATGACATATCATAGGCCTTAAAAAAAGACTGGAAAGAAACACATTAAAAATGTTACCAGTGGGATTATGGGTGATTTTAATTCTCTTTGAGCTTTCTGTTCTGGATTTCCCATCACTTCTACAATACACATGTTTCACTTTAAAAATTAAAAATTTGGATAGCTATTTTTTAAAAGAAAGTTTAATTTCTCTAAATACTAAGCCTCCGGTCTTCCAGGCCTGGAGGCAGAGGCCCCTGTTCGGCTGGAGTTGGGGAGGGGCCACACCCTCTATAAACTTTCGATCCTATTTTCAGTCTGGCTGTGGAGCCTGTCTTCTGAGGCCCCTGTGCAGAAAGGCCAAATCTGGGCAGCCTGTCACTGCAGACGCCCTCCCCCTCCACCCTACCCCCAAGAGATGGAGAAAGGATCCACTTACTATGAGGACAGCTGCAATGGGGATGGCCGTGTTCATGAAAACTGCAGAGGAAGCACAGGGAGGCGTTTAGTGGGAGGAGCGTGACAGCTACACATGGAGATGCCCAGGATGGCTTGGAGGCAGCGCAGTCCAGTGGGGCCAGCCTGTGGGGCACAGCTCCAGTAGGCTAGGGGCAGAACTCTAGCCCTGTGGCACTTCCAGTTCCTCACCCCATTTCCCTCAGGACTCTTGTCCCAGGTACCCCGGCCCCCGACTCTGGGGCTTAAACTGTTAAGTCACTCCGTGTGGACAGGGTGAAGTTAGCCCCACGGGAAAGTGGTGGGAGAAGGATGGGAGAGTTGGCTGGCTGTGGCCAACTGTGAGGTCAGGAGCACGTGTTTCTGGGGGCACAAAGCTGCCACTTCTTCCTCTGCCTTTGGCTCCTGTGTCCCCCCAAGCCAGGCTCTCTATGAAGCTTAGAGACTTCCTAGTCTCCCATGGCTCTTGAGAAAATTTCAAACTCATTCTCACTGAGGTATTAGTAACTAAGGACAGCTTAAAGCAGGATGTCCCTTAGAGTCTGTGTGCGGGTGGGGTAGCTGGTTTGCTGCAACAGAGGCCTCCTCCTTATTCTGTTAAACATGTGGCCTTTAGATCAGTCACAGGGACTCCAGGAAGAAAAGACAGTGGGACTTGGTGTGACAGAAGGGCAGAATCCCTGCTACTTATAAGCTGTGTAACCTAGGGCATGTCATTTACCTTCCCCGTGCCTCAGTTTCCTCATATGATTTTTGTAAACTTATAAATACTTGTTCATACACCCCAGCTCTTTCCAAGGTCAGAGGAGATAACATGGGTAACAGGCTCTGTGAGCCCCAGGTGCTGCCTACACATCATACCTCATGGGCTACTAGCTTAGCCCTGCTCCACAGGTCACCCCTCCTCTGGCCTAGGGTGTAAAATGCTCAACAGTGCCCTGACCCCAGGCCTAAATTTCCAGAGAGAGCAGCCCCCCCATGGCATAAGAGGTAACCATGTCAGCTGCCACCTTCCCATCTATCCTCTTTCATTCAAGGATCCCCTTCCAGGGCAGCCCAGAAAGGAGTCTGGTTCTGCCATTAGCCAAATTAAAGCAGAGGGACCAGGAGTCAGGAGCCAGAAGCCAGAGGCCAGGGCTCTGCCTGTGCACATGGCCCCTGTCTAATGAATGGCAAAGTCTTGGACACTCTGATGAAGTCCAGATGGTCAATACCAGTCCAAGAAGTTGACTGCCCATTTACTCCAAGAATCCTGCAGCAGTCAGTACATACAAAGCATTGTACATCAGAGATGTGGTCCCCAACTTCAGGGAATCCCAAGTGGGTGGAAGGACATGGCCTCTGCCCTTAGGGGATTCCCAGTCTGAGGACGGAGACAGGAGCTATGCTCCCAGGAAGTTCCAGATACAATGGGGAGACAGAGTACATGCCCCTTAGGAGTTCTCAAGCAGGTGGGAAGGACATTGTCCCCATCCTCGGGGAATTCCTAATCTGATGGGGAAGGCAAGGCTCCTGCAATTGGAGAGGTCCCAGTCTCCTGGAGGATGTATGGCTGGAGCCCTCGTATGGCTGGGGCCCTGGCAGATGGCGAATTTCTCTGCCCGTGAGGCTTTTAATCAATACCAACATCATACATGCCTGTGCTTTAACTGCCCTTCCTCATGAAGGCTAGATGGTTTCCAGGGCCCACTACCATGCCACAGCCCTCCTGCACCGTTTCCGGCAGGAAACAGCGTAAGTATTATTGGTGTTCCCACAGCAAAAGGGACCCAGATCTAGGACATACGACATAGTGCAGCCATTACTGGCTGAGGAGGAGAGGGAGGAGGATGCCCATCAGACCTAGGACCTTGACCATCACCAACTACATAGTTCTAAATGTGAGGTAGCCTCGCCCCTCCCCTATGGGGTCAGTCACTCCAAGGAGCAACTGGGAGGGCAGGGGCCTCTATTCTGCTCCTCCTGGCCCATCCCCATAAATAACCAATAAGGAGGGGTCCTGTGCACCCATCCCTCAGCCCCTGCTCCAGGCCAAGACCCCTCCTTCACATTCTGGGGCTTGACTCCCAGCCAAAAAATAGGCTGAGTGTTGGATTATAAATTGCTACAACGCTCTTGGAAAGCAATCTGGTGCTTTGTAGCTAGAGCCACACAGAAGTTCAGACCTTCTGATCCTATAATCCGTCTCCAGGAAATTTATCCTGAGTAATCATTCAAGAGCAGCGCAAAGCCATCAGCAAGATGGTATTAGCTGCAGCTAACACAAAATTCAATAAAACAAAACCACAACCACAGCAACAGCAACAAACCATCCCAAACGAAATAAACTGGAAATGTCCAACAAGAGGGGCTGTTGTAGTAAATGATGGTGCATCAGCCGTGGGGGAGATTTTGCAGTCAGAAAACGTGATAATTGACACTTCATTCTACTGCACATTTTCCCTGGTCATGGTTTTTTTAATTTAATTTTTTTCAATTTTATTGTCTTTATTTTTGTAGCTCCCTGAACTCCTTTGAGGAATGAGACAAGCTATAAATAAATTTAAAAATGAACATCCCAAAGCTGATGCAGCAACATGGAGTATGCTTCTGATATAATTAGCTTCTGCCCAGTTCTGGCTGTTGTATGGAGACGCTAAAGAATGAAAATGTGATTTTCCACTTCTTTCACCCTCCCCTTGAAGGACAGCCTTTGTGCAGGGAGTTCTGGGTCCCCTTCAGGGCTGGGGCTGGGAGAGTAGAATCATCAGCTGCGTGTGTTCGCGTGTGTGTGTGTGTGTGTGTGTGTGTGTGTGTGTTTTGCAAGAAAAAGAAATAACCTTTAATATGTTCAATGATAATTTTCTGGATCTTCCTGTTGTGTCAAAAGCTATACATTTTCTCCTCAAAGCAGCTGCTCCAAGAACTAACTAGCCCTCTTTATCTCCCTCTAGCTGGGATAGACTAATTCCCCTCCACCCCCGCCTCTCTTCTTTCAATAACACTGCGTAGGTGTTAATGGCCTGGGCTCTCACCAATGAACAGAATTGTCCTTTAAGCCAGCAACCCACAGGCAGTGGCACCCAAAGCCTCACCCCCAGCCCCCAGGGCAGAAGCCACACAGCTGGCATTGTTTCCACTGTCTCAGGAAGAAGGAGCCAAAAGCTGACCCTCAGCACAAATCAAAGGCCAATATGGAGACAGAATAACCACTTCTAGGCCCAGAGAGGCAAGCTGTAGGCAAAAAAGGGGAGTTTTTTCAGCCACCCCATCTTTAGAAACAAGGAGAAAACTAGACCCTTTTCCACTCTTATGGTCTACAAGGTACTCTACTGCTCCAAGGGGATCTAAAAGCACAAAAGGATTTAAACAAATAAGGAGAACTTTTCCCAGGCTGGAGATAAAAGTGAGAAACAGAAAGATGGGTGAATGTAATAATGTGTAGGAAGATGATGCTGGGAACCTCTGTTCTTCACATGGCTGCCAGCCCTACAGAGGACAGTACAGTAAGAACCGGGACAACCACTCCAGATTGGTATAGCTGGGGAATCTTCAGGCCTTTTCCTAGGTCCCACATCAAGTGTCAGACCCCATTCCAGATATGATACATGAGAGGGAAGATGAGTGCAAACTTAGCTGTGTGGATCAGTGCTGGCCCCGGACACAGGGACTTCACGCATTCCAAATAAGACTCAAAGTTCCCAGGGAGTAACAGGGCCAACATGCCAAAAAGAGAGACCCCTGCACTCAAAGCAATACCAGTGCCACGGTGGCAGATGGACATCGCCATGGGAAGAGACCAACTGTAGATAGTGATGTGGGGAGATATGGGACAGTTTGAACTTGTGTTCTTATTCCAGAACTGCTCCATCTCTTCTTTGGCTGTGATTCCCAAAGGAACAGCATTTCTGGTACAGAGCTGAGGGCTAAAGTGGGCTCGGAGGCAATGACAACCAACATGTCTCAGCAAGAGCACAGCCATCTTGGGTTCTGGTCTGGATGGAAGTGACCAGCTACTTGTGTTTTAAAGGTCTCTCTGAAGATCATCTTTTGGGGCTCTGGGGTGGATGTGGCTGGACCTGGGAAGTCTGGGGTTGTTACAGGCTCTGGCACCTCTCTGGGCACAATAGTCAGTCCTGTGCCCTAGCTGGGGGTAAGACAGGAAGGCAGGGAGCTGGGCATACAGCTGTCATGGGTTGAAGATCTGAGGCCTCGCCCTCATTTTCCTGAACCACATAAAGTTCTATAAGGTTCCAAGGTGGTGGAGGGGTGGGGAATATAGCCAAGAATAGATTTCTGTCCAACTCAGGCCCAAGGTGAGGTGACTCACCTTAATTTGATTTAGAAAAAAACAAAAACAAAAAGAAGAACATTATAGTGCTCAGATCTTGAAAGTTAAGGAGGAAGAACTATGTTAAATAATGGCAAGTGGATTATAAAACCTTCTTCTTGTGTAAGTGTGATGCTGTTATGGAAAAGTTTAGTTGCGTGTAGGCTGGCCTGAAAGGCTGCCATCAAAACTGAAAGCCCTTCTGCAATAGTGTAGAGACATGGGTATTTTTTAGAATATCCTTTCCAAAAATATCCCTTAAGACTTATCCATTCAAGGCTGGGCACAGTGGCTCACGCCTGTAATCCCAGCACTCTGGGAGGCCAAGGTGGGTGGATCACCTGAGGTCAGGAGTTTGAGACCAGCCTGGCCAACATGGTGAAACCCCATCTCTACTAAAAATACCAAAATATTAGCCAGGCGTGGTGGCGCATACCTGTAATCCTAGCTACTCGAGAGGCTGAGGCAGGAGAATCGCTTGAACCCAGGAGGCGGAGGTTGCAGTGAGCCGAGATCGCGCCACTGCACTCCAGCCTGGGCAACAAGAGTGAAACTCTGTCTCAAAAAAAAAAAAAAAAAAAAAAAAAAAGACTTATTCATTCAAAAAAGGTATCCCTGTTCCAGGCCTTGTGCTGGTGTGCTGGGTTCTGGGGACTACGGTAGTAAATGATAGTGTAAGTTTTTCATACCCTCAACCCTTGCCCCATACAAAACGAAACAAACAAAACAACAAATCAACAAACCTGAGCTGGGATCAGATCACCCACTCCCCCTGGCTTTGCCCAAGGAATGTTTTCTGGCCCTTATGGGCACCAGCCTGGCATTGCAATACCAGGAGCTTTTCATTTCCAAAGCATTGATACATGTTCCAGAAGTTACGTGTCAGAGAGGCATAGCCAGCCATTTGTACCTCTGATTAACTTCAGCTTTGTTGCCTGTGCAGGGCCAGGGGAGGAGCATGCAGGCTCACAGTTTGGGCCTAATTGCAAGATGCATCTGCAGGAGGGGAAGTGCATTTTGAGGTGCACGGGGCTGTTTCCCATTCAGTCCAATAGTCAGTGCAGTCAACAGAGGGGGAAGGAAATCAGGTTAATGGTGTCAGTTGCTGGCAGCTGAGGAAGTGTGGCAGGAGGCATCTCAGTCAGACTGATCTTTACCTCCTTAATTGATGGGTGCCCCGGCTCTCCCTCAGCCATGCTCCCCACCAAGCCAGGCCAGGATATGCATAAGCAGCCCACTGTGGCTGCACCAACTGGCAGAAGGGCAGGTAGATATTGAAGAATTTCAGGCCAGGCACAGTGGCTCATGCTTGTAATCCCAGCATTTTGGGAGGCCAAGGCAGGTGGATCACCTGAGGTCAGGAGTTTGAGACCAGGCTGGCCAACATGGCGAAACCCTGTCTCTACTAAAAATACAAAAAATATTACTGGGCATGGTAGAGAGCACCTGTAATCCCAGCTACTTGGGAGGCTGAGGCAGGGAGAATTACTTGAACCTGGGAGGCAGAGGTTGCAGTGAGTTGAGATCGCGCCACTGCACTCCAGCCTGACAACAGAGTGAGACTCCATCTCAAAACAACAACAACCAAAAGAATTTCAAAGATGCTGGGGAAGGAAGGGGCACCAGGTCTCCAGGTCATGTTGTTTTTCTCCACTGCCTGTTCTGAGTTAGCGCCTCCACTGAGGAGGACAGAGGCTTCTCCCACTGCATCCCCAGGCCTGGCACACAGAAGGTGGGCAGGAAATATTTGTTTAAAAAAAATGAATGGAAGAAACGAAAGACCCAGAGTCAGGTGAGTAACACAAAAGAGAAACAGGGGCATTTGGAATTGACCCTGTGGCTCTGACCACATGGTCACTATTCATGGGCATGATCAATCTCCCACAAGACTGGGAGGGCCAGGGCCATGCCTGCTTCCTCTTTAACATCCAGAACCTCCGTAGAGCCTGGCACAGAGGAAGCGCTCTGGAATGGGTATCTCACAATGGACAGAATGAACTGGCAGCATATCGAGTGCTTGCCTGATAGGACCTAGGACCCCTTTGTCACCTCTACAAAGCTTGTCCTCAGATACAGAGGAACCACCTAGAGTTATGCTGCTTCCACAAGGAAAAAAAGATTGAACTGACTTCTAAAGGAAGAGACCACAGTCCTTGTCTCCAGCTTCCTCCCACTTTGTCTTCTCCTCATTGAAATCCCACCATCTTGCAAGGTACAGCCCACATTGCCCCTACATGAATCTCTGGGTGAACTCCCAGCCCACATGGACTTCCTTCTCTGTGCTTCGCCTTTTGCTGTGGAAGACCTCACTGAGACATTTCAATTCACTGAGAGTCAGTCCTCTCTGCTGTAAAATGGGACAACAGAGCAACACACCTCACCAAGTTGTTATGAGGATGAAGTGCAATCACGCTTGCTAGGCGGCAAGCATGGAGCTGGCCACACGGTTCTGCTCTCGCTGCCACACTGTTCTGTGCATGTTAGCTCTGACTTCTTAGTGGAGCATAAACTCCTGGAGAACGGGGAGAACATCTTATCATTTTTCCCTTCCCTCCTTCCTGGTGCTTGGCACAGAGTGGGGCACATGAATAGGGCTCACTCAACATCCACTGAGCAACTTATATTTCTATTTTTACTCAACAGGAAATATCAATTCTGGATGTGACTTTTGATGCCAGAGAAACTGTGCCCATTCATTCCCTTTTCAGCCCCCTGTTTTATCCTGTACCAGTTCGGGACTCCATACACAGCTACTCTCAGTGATATTGATGGCGAGACCATCAGACAGAGTCACAGGTAATCTTGCCTGCCCAGAAGTCTGATGGTGCCGCATATGAGCAGGATGGGCCCCAACAGGAAATGTGACTCTGGGGCTCCTCTGCAGCGTCAGGACTCCAAGACTGGCGCCAGGGGTCAGAACAAGAGATGCCCCATTACCTCACGCCTAATGACCTGTGTCTTGATCCCTGGTAACAGAAGGCAGGAAGTCCAGAGGAGGTAAATGAACACGCACTCAAAGCATATGCCTGCAGCCAGGAGGTACCCTGCACCCTACCACCCGTCTCTCTCCCCCTCCCACTGCTGACTAACGGAGGGAAAAAAAAACACATCCTCGGAAAGGCAAACACACTGAGCAAACAGCACTTGACTTTCAAAGCTCTCCCCAGGGGCTCTCCCCTTTCCCCTCCTCCGCTGCTCTCTTCCAGGGACCAACCTGGGCTGCTCTGTTTCTCTCCCTAGGTGACTTGGACACGTGAGGAGTCCTGGGCGGGCTCCTGCTTGGCTCCAGAGCCCCTTTTTTCCAGAGTCTTCTCAGCTCTTCACAACATATCCCTAGGTCCTCCTGGCCCCAGGCCCATCACAAAGCCACGGCTTGTCTTCTGGGGGCTCTGGGGGACAATGAGCACCCACTAGGTAGGGTTCAGTGGGCTAGCCTGGGAACTCACACATCTTTTGATGCTGTTTATATAAGAAAACATGTCCCAGGCTGCAGTTTGGAATCCAGGAGATGAGTACATATCTCTTAGGAGCAGTCAAAGCAGATGTCACCTGCCCCCACTACATGACCTGAGGCTGCCCCAACTTCACTGCTTGCTGTGCCAGGAACCTTGGGGACCCAGTGCCCCCACTTTCCTTGTTGTTTCCCTTCCCTCTCTCTATCTCAGCAACGACAAGCCTGCTCTACCCCACCCTGTTGTTCCTGGGAGAGGAAGTCCCCCGGCTATCGGGAGAAGCCCTCTCCCACCTCGGCAGCTGTTCCTACTGCTGGGAACTGTCTCTAAACCTGTACAAAACTGGGGGGCTATACACAAGCAGGGGGTTACTCTTCATGTAACCAGCCTCCAGGGGCAGGCAGGACTGACAGAGAGAAGGTTGAAGTGGGCCTGGGGCTAGGGACATTGGCTTTTCTGAGCTCCCTAGATGTTCCTTCCAAATTTCCCCTGTCTATGGAGTGCTTAGCCTGAGTGTGTTTGGAGGCTCTGAGAACCACAGGGTCAGGGATGAGGATAACGGGGAGAGACCAGGAACTTGGGGTGTCTTGGTGAAGAATCCAGGAAACAGTGGTTGCCTGCCATGCTCACAGCTCCATTCTGAGAAAATCAAATGCTAGCAGGACTTTCTGCATAAAACGCCATGGCTTGCACCATGTATGGCAGACGGCCCAGCCACTGATGACTGGACCACATTCCCTGCCTGAGGCATAGGACACCATGGTCTAGCTGGACAAAGGGAGGTTGGACTCCTGGGGTATTCATGGCCAGCCCCATACTGTGAGAACACTGCTATGGGATATTTCCCCAGTCCCCTAGACAGGGACATGCCTTGGTGCCCATGTTTCCAAACTGTCTTGGGGAGTGGGACAGCTTGGTGGCCACCTAGCTCCATCAGACTCTCTCTCTAGGCAGCAAGAATGCCAAGAATACGCAGATGACCTGAGTGACCGTCTCATTCTCCATGAGACTTGTTGGATGGGTCTATCTGGGAGACACTACCAGCACCCCCTCCATTACCACCTTCCCTCCCCCACCAGGTGTGTCTCTTCCTGGCACCAAAAGAACCAATTTTAGTTGGAGGAGGTGGTCGGTAGCCTCTCTTAATTTCCTACCCTAATTCTACTCCTTTCAGAGCCCAGAGATTTTTTTTCTCCTAGGAGGAAATGGCCTCATAATGGTGCCCCATGGTGTCCTAAGTCTTCTTCACCCCACAGAGGCCCCCAGCTCTTTGTGGAAAATAGCCTGAGACCAGGAGTTAAGAGACTTTGGAGGATCTAGTCCGAGCCATGCTACTAACCTCAGGAGGGATCTCAGGAACACACTCCCCTCTGGCCTTAATTTCCCATCTGTAAAATGGTTCTACCAACTTACTCTCCTTGCCACGTTCTGTGTAATCCCCACTCATCTGTCTTCTAATTCAAAAATTCTCTCTTCAGCTATACTCATTCATGTAACCTGTGCACTGAGTAAGTTTTGGTTTCTTTTTTGTTTTCTTCTTTCCAGGGGCTTCCACTTGGCCATAATGACTCTTAGACTGGACAGGTCAGGGAACTAGTGTGAAGTCAGCTGGTTGCTAAATATCTACATCCCAATTATGCACTTGGGAAGTAACCACCATGGGATGGGTCCACGGAGCCACGAGACCAACTGTGAGATAAACTTGGGCCAGGACTCCATGGATCACCTGACCTCCGTAAGCCCTCACTCTGACCAGGGGACCATTGTTCACTGAATTAATTTCCATAACTAAAATTTCAATTTCTAAAAAATCTTTTGGGCTGGGCACAGTGGCTCATGCATGTAATTCCAGCACTTTGGGAGGCTGAGGCGGGTGGATCACGAGGTCAGGAGTTCAAGACTAGCCTGGCCAATATGGTGAAACTCTGTCTCTACTAAAAATACAAAAATTAGTCGGGTGTGGTGGTGTGTGCCTGTAGTCCCAGCTACATGGGAGGCTGAGGCAGGAGAATCACTTGAACCTGGGATGTGGAGGTTGCAGTGAGCCGAGATTTTGCCACTGCACTCCAGCCTGGGTGACAGAGCGAGACTCCATCTCAAAAAAAGAAAAAAAAGTTTTACATTCTCAGTAAAATGGTTTCAAGTATATGGGACTCTAGGACTTTTACCAGTTTTGGTCTTTTTCTTCTTCCTTGGCTTGGGGTTCCCAAACTACTTGGTTAATATAAATTCAGTCCCTACACCTGTGAGTACCTTCAGCCTGGGCTTCTGATATTTAAGGATAACTAGTCTTTTTCTTTTGCATAGCCCCAAGTGGATGGAAGCTTTCTTGTAGCTTCCCCAGGGCAATGACAGCTCAGTCTGACTTACTAAAAAGTCTTCATTCTTAGGAGAGTTCAAAACTGTGGTCATTTACTTACTTGCTGCTGTCTGTCAATAACATATCAGTTCCATGAGGAATGAAACTTCATCTCTCTTCCTCATCACTGTATCCTGAGGGCCAGCACAGTGTCCAGCACATAGCAGGCTTTCCATGCATGTTTGTTGGATAAATGAATGAAGAGTACTTTGATTTCTGGGAGCTTAGCTATCAGAGCCAGTTTGAGGCTCCCCTACTGAGTCGGATAATCTCAAGGCCTCCTGCTTCTGTCCCTGCACCCCCTCTTACCCGAGCTCTGACACCCTCTCCTTGCATGTACGCAGCAGCACCCAGGGCTGGCTGTGTGGGGTGAACTCACTGGAGATGGAGGTATAGATGGCAAAGGCCCTGAGGCTGGTCATCTCCTTCCTGCGGGTCGTCTCCACCCGCGTGCGGAAGATGTTCTCCCAGGCGTACAGCTTCAGCAGCTTGATGCCGCGGAGCATCTCGTTGGTCTGCTTCAGCCGCTCATTGGAATACTCCTGCAGGGGTCCCCGAGTCAGAGGGGAGAGGCTTCTGCTCCGTCTCCCACCCGAGAGGAAGGCCTGAGTGTCAATACTGTCACTGCCATGCCCGCCTCCTGTCCTCACCGGGAGGCAGCCTCCTCCCCCATTGACTCCATTTCCCAGACAAAGAAGCTGAGGCCTGGACAGGTGAAGTGGCCTACTCAAAGTCAAAGTCAAAGTCAATGACAGTGTGGGTGTGTGGGAGGAGACCTGCTGCTGTCGAGGGAAGGAGGGGAAGAGGGACAAAACACACACACCTTTGGGCACTCACCAGTGTGCTCCGCTGGGCCTGAGACAGCTTGGTGGCCACGAAGTACTGGACAGGAGCCAGTAGAATGATGACAGCTGCTCCAATTAAGGCACTGACTCCGAGTATGTAGTAGAGGAGAATCACACCCACAATGATCTGAGGAAGGGGTCATGGGTCAGGTCCCTTTGACCTGATGGTTGCCCTGCCAGGAGGTGCTGGCAAAATCCCTGTTTCCCCAGTCCCCTAGAGTGGGACAAGCCTTGGTGCCCAGGTTTCCAAATTATCTTGGGGAGTGGAGTGCAGGGAAGGAGGAGAAACAAAGCAATTTCAAAAGGAGGTTAGCATAATGGGCTCTCATGCAAGCAGAGGGTTGCTGGGCTGGTAACTAACTGCATTTATCTGCAAGGCTGGTTGAAGCCTTAACTCTCTCCAGTCTATTTTCCAGATGGAAATCTCAGAGATGAGATTGCACAATGTTTGTGACAGCACCTTTTGTTCTATTTGCTGGCTCTCAGGGCTTATGGTTACTGTCATTGGAAAAAAGTGATAACTGAGCAAAGAGGCAAAGTTACTGCACCCATGCCAGAAAAAACCAGCCTGGGGTCCGAGAATTCGCTTTTCATTCTTATGCTCTTGGTTTCTTTAATTTTTTTAATGAATCTGCCAGGTATTCCCTGAAAAGAGAATTCCTTCTGCATTTAGCTTTATGTAAATGACTGCCTACTTCTGAATATTTATGAGAAGTGTAAATGGCCAGTCCCCAAAGCGCCAAGATGACAGTTTCTCAGGTTGCCTTCAAAGGCAGACACCTCTAAATACAGGGCTTTTTCTCAAAGAACAGATGTGCTGGCTTCCTTAGCTAAAAAGAGAGAGAGAGAGAGAAAGGACTGCTTGCCTTGGTCCTGTAGTCCCAGAGCCCTACACCAGATTGGCATTAAGCTTCCAGCACCGCCTCAAGGATAAAGGAGTAAGTGGGAGGCCCTGTAATTTAATCACAGAATGCCTCCTGGCTTAGGAGGTATCTTAGAGGCTGGGAAGTGGCCCCTTCACCACCTGCCTCCCAGTGTTTAACAGGTGTTAGATGCTGGCATGGATGGGCAGAGGACCATGATAGAGATGAAGTACCCTCTTCCCTGGCCTGCCCTGCAGCATCACCCTCCTGGACTTATCTCTGGCATCCAGTCCTTCATTAGTTGTGCTCAAATGGAGGCCATCAGGGTGTTCTTCAGCCAGCTTGGGTTGGGCCTGACAACAAGAAGGCTCCCATGGCACCCCAAGCTCACTAACAGGGCACCTTGTGAGCCGGTGTCTGCACCCACACCACCTCCAAGAGACTGGCAGAGGCTGGGGTGGGAGCTGGTGCTGCAGCTGCTGCTGTTCCCTGGCTCCTCCTCATGCTCCCCCATCCCCTCCTCCTAGGTGCTCCCAAGACTCCTTGGTCCATTACTCTCTTCTGCACAGGTCTGAATGGCCCTCATGCAGAAGAAATCATGGATTCTGAGTGTGCAAAGCAACTGTGAGAAATAAAAGGACTATTTTGTCTCCTATTCACAGGTTAGGAAAAAAATCTAGCATAGTGGGGAGGACATAGTCTTTGGAGTCTGTGGCCCTGAGTTTCAAAGCCCCAGCCTTTTGCTGTGCAGTCTTGGGTGAGTTACTTAACCTCTCTGGTTTTCAGCTTCTCCATCTTTAAAATGGTGATTATAATGCCCACTCTGAAGGACTCTGTCCACTCTGCAGGACTATTGTGAAGATTAAATGAACCTTTATGATAAGCACCTAGAATTGTGGCTGGCATATAGTTGGAGATCAATACAAGATGGCCTACCCTCCTCTCAGAAAATAAATGAAAAAGCTTCCTGAGAACTCTGTCACTGGGGAACCGCAGAAAGGAGATGTGTGAGTATGGTGCTGCCACTGGTTCACTGCGTGGCCCAGGGTAAGGCACCTGCCCTCTCTGGGCCTCTGATACCCAGGAGACTGGGAAACACAGAGGCCTCCATTATAGCTAAATTCCTTAACCTGGTGTTCTTGATAAATGTCAGGGGGGCACCCATGAAGCCCCTGAAATTATAGCCCAAATGTTTGAGCAAGCATTTATTTTTCTGAGAAAGTTTCACTAGCCTTTCAAAAGTATGTGTAGATAAACGGTGGCCAAGGGCTGGGGGCGAAGATGAGGAGTGACTGCCAATGGGTACGGGTTTCTTTTTGGGGAAATGAAAACTTCCACATTTGTGATGATGGCTGCACAGCTCTGTGAATATAGGACACTAAAACCCACTGATTTGTATGCTTTAAATGAGTGGGTTATATCTCAATAAAGCTGTGTGCATGTGACCAAAAAAAGATTATGAAACAAGAGCCCTCAGGGCTTACACGGGAATGGGGCTTCTGCACTCATGTCAATATTATAAAAAGCCTTACGTGCCCTGTGGCTAACCAGGCTGCACACAGAATCCTAACCACATGAGTTTCTTTGCCATGGGGCTGGGATTGTATTAACTCCCAGGAGTAACACTGGTTCTTGAGTGCTGGTCAAATCTATAAGTGGTAAAGGTATATACAAACACAGAAAACCAAAGGACACTCCATGATAAATGAGCAAAGGTAAGAAATCAGTAGATATGAAAATCTCTACCCCCAGTGCAAGGGTTAAATTATACAAGGGAGGGGGGCTGGGACAGGGCCAGGCATAGGGCAAGGGCTGTTAATATTAGTTAGCACTATTAGCAACGATGCATGTGCAACAAACCCTGTGAGTACTAGTAACGGTAACCGTGCAGCAGGTTTAGTAGACAAAACCTGATTTCTTTTTTTTTTTTTTTTTTAGACCGAGTCTCGCTCTGTTACCCAGGCTGGAACGCAGTGACACGATCTCAGCTCACCACAGTCTCCGCCTCCTGGGCTCAAGCAATTCTCCTGTCTCAGCCTCCGGAGTAGCTGAGACTACAGGCACACGCCATCATGCCCGGCTAATTTTTGTATTTTTAGTAGAGACGGGGTTTCACCATATTGGTCAGGCTGGTCTCGAACTCCTGACCTCAGGTGAACCATCAGCCTCAGCCTCCCAAAGTGCTGGGATTACAGGAGCGAGCCACCATGCCTGGCCAACAAAATCTTACAAACTGCTTGTTCAAGGGGACACAACAGAAAGTGTCTTGTAGCCTTTTGAATGCTGTGTACATGTTAGGATCCTCCCAGGCTGTGTCTCTCTGCATCAGACCCTCACAGCCCAAAGTGTTAACTAATGAGAGAAGCATGGTCAGAAATCTTCATTTTTCATGTTTCAAAAAAAAAATTGTGTTAGAGATGAGGTCTCTCTATGTTGCCCAGGCTGGACTCGAACTCTTGGGCTCAAGCCATCCTCCTACCTCAGCCTTTTGAGTGGCTGAGACTACAGGCATGAGCCACCACACCCAGCTTAGAAAGTCTTGTGCATAAAAGGTTGGTTGGTAACTAAACTAGATGAGATCTCCAGGCCCTTTTGTAGCTTTTATAGTCATTGATCTGTCTTGGCAGAATGGAGCGGGGGCAGTCTGGGCATGGGTAGGTGGTAATGGGGGATGGCATATATGACTGTTCCCATAAAAAAGAACATCAGATTCCCTGCATCTCATCTTGTCTAGCTGTGTCCCTGTGGGAGCCTCTCCCCTTTTTTTCTTTTAATATTTTTAAACTCTAAGCTTTACAAGTAAGGAGGACCAATACAAATCACTGGAGATGAAGGTTTATGGAATCTTTATCCCAAGAAGCAATGGATTCTGGATTGGTAACACCTCACTCATACCAAACATGTGCAAGGTAGAGGGATCTGATATTTACGAAGTGAAGACTCTGGGGGCCACTCTGCCTGCTGTGTTACTTACATTATCTAACTGAATTGCCATAGCAACTCCAGAGGGTGGGCAGCCTCCCCATTTCATAGATAAAGAAACCAAGGCTCAGAGAGGTTAAGTATTTGAATCAGCCTGTCTCACCCAAGTCACTTTCTGCTACATCAAGCTCTCCCGGTGGAACCTTCCCGCCCTCTGGGAATGGGTCTGGGATTTCGGTTTCTGGCCTGAACACCAGGGTGAAGATTTAGTCCCAGGCATAGGACAGGATCAGACTCTGTGGTGGAAGAGCTCCGGGTGGGAGATGGGACACATGAAGCCCGAGGTCAGATCAATCATGCTGACGATTCTCCTCTGATTATTGGGGGGTAATGTACCTCTTCCTGAGCCAGCACCAAAGGTTGTCTTGCTTTAAAAAAATACCATGTTTTAACGTTTTTATTTTTATTTTTTAAGAGACAGGAGTCTCTCTGTTGTCCAGGCTGAAGTGCAGGGGCGTGATCATTGCTCACTGCAGCCTTGAACTCCTGGGGTCAAGCAATCCTTCCATCTCAGACTCCCAGGTAGCTGGGACTAAAGGGGCGCACCACCACATCTGGCTAAAAAACACCAGGTTTTGTTTGTTTTTGAGACAAGGTGTCACTCTATCGCCCAGGCTGGAGTGCAGTGGTGTGATTGTAGCTCACTGCAACCTCTGCCTCCTGGACTTTAGGTAATCTTCCCACCTCAGCCTCTGAGTAGCTGGGGCTATAGTTGTGAGCCACCACTTCCAGCTAATTTTTTGTACAGACAGGGTCTCACTTTGTTGCCTAGGCTAAAAGTATCATGTTGTTGATTTCCAAATCTTATACACGCTTATTAGAGAATTTAGAAACACATAAAGAAAATAAAAATCACTTATAATCCCACTATGTGATTTTCCAATTCTTTTTCATGTGTGAATCTGTACAAATGTATACATAACATATATTCCAGTTTAGTAGTAAGCATACAACATATACTATTTGTAACTTACTCTTTTTGCTTAAAAATACATCACTAACACTTTTTGATGTAATTAAATATTTTGCTACAACATAGCTTTTAAGATCTGTGGGCATTCCATGTACGATTTTTCTTTTCTTTCTTCTTTTTTTTTTCTGCATAGAAGGGGTCTCACTGTGTTGCCCAGGCCAGTCTTGAACTCCTGTGCTCATGTAATCTTCCTGCCTCAGCCTCCCAAAGTGCTGGGATTACAGGTGTGAGCCCCTGAACCTGGCTTGATTTTTCTATAGTTTATAAAGTTGGCTCCATTTTTAAAGTCTTAATGATACTGCCTTCTCTGGTCATTAAGAGAGATGGTCAGTGCTTGCAGAGTATGGGACAGGAGGGACCCAGAGGTACAGCCTGTGGTATAGCCAAGTGTGTGAAAGGTACAGGCAAGCATGGAGTGGAAGACGGTGTGCTCCTAGTTACTGGCCATGGACCAGCAGATTCTGGTTGTGTGTCCTGCTGCCCCCCTCCCTTCCCCTCAGCCCATCTAGTACCTGTACTGGCATAGCCCAGAGGTTTGGGCACAAGAAGAAAAACCACATGAGCTGATTGGTGTCGATGGCAACCAGATTACAGATCTGTCCAGCAGTCATTTCTCCCATGGACAGGTTGGAGGTGGACAGGTGCATAATTTTATTGTAAATCTTGGTCTAGAAATGAGAGCAGAGTGTTTCACATTCATCATCATTCTCATCATCATCACCACACCAGATGCCACCTGTTACAGTGTGCCAGGGGCTTCTCAGACAGTCCCCATGGTGCCCTAGAGCAGCTCTGTAAGGTGGTACTGTATCACCGTTCCAACTTACTAGTCTACTCCAGCACAGCAAGCTACTTCTCCAGCAAGTAAGGCCTTTTCCTGTAGACAGGACTTAATTGGTTCTTTATTTTTATTTAATTTAATTCATTTACTTATTTATTTAGAGACAGAGTCTCGCTCTGCTTCCCAGGCTGGAGTGAAGTGGCATGATCTCAGCTCACTGCAGCCTCCACCTTCCGGGTTCAAGCAATTCTCATGCCTCAGCCTCCGGAGTAGCTGGAATTATAGGCACGTGCCTACCATGCCCAGCTAATTTTTATATTTTTAGCAGAGATGGGGTTTTGCCATGTTGGCCAGGCTGGTCTCAAACTCCTGACCTCAGGAGATCCATCCACCTCGGCCTCCAAATGCTGAGATTACAGGCATGAGCCACCGCACCCGGTCTGTTCTTTATTTTTTAAAGCAGATCTTCATGTCCACTTGTATTCTTGATTTACCAGAGGCCAGTGGAGAACACAGATCAGAGCCATAAAAATGATGAAGTGGGGCAGGCCATCTGTTTTAAAGTGGCCTTCTCCAGCCTAGGGAGGGGATCTGCTCTGAGACCAAGTCCTGTCATAATTGAGCCTTGAAACAAAACAAGGGTTCGACTTTGGAAGGTCTGATGTGTTACACGACCGCGTGAGTCAGTCAGCCCCAGCACCATCCCCAGAGTGCAGCCACCCCAAGGACCCTCACAGGGCAGACAGAGAGCAGCCATGGTAATGGCCTCCCCGAGCTCTGAACCTAAACGCTTTATGTGCAGAGTGATCATGACTCGCAGAAAGACTGCAATTTTTGGATGTGTGCTCTTGAACAAGGAAAAATGCATCCGGGTCTTAAATGTCCTCAGGATGCCTGCTCTTGGATAAAATTCTATTATTCATTCTGTTGTAAGGTGGGCTCCCCGCCCTTAATTCCTCTTTTGTGTAAACCCAGGCTTTTTTGTGGGTCAGGTTTTCTTAAGGCAGGAACCTATTCTATGTCTTTCTGTGAGCTAATATACACCATGGGCAAGGTTTAAAATAATGAACCTATTCTGTCTTTCTGTAAGTTTATATATACCATGGGTAAGGTTTAAAATAATGGCAATGACATTTTTAAAGAAATCTATATACCTCCTAGGTTATGTGAAATGAGACTTCAAAAGATAATCACCTAGTTTCAGTGAAGTAGGGACACCAAGTGATCTGTGAAATAAAGTCTTATTAAGTGAAGACCAGCATACACAGAAATGCACAACTGACTGACAGCTAGTAATTATGTATAATTCAGGAATTGTGCTTAATAACTTTTTATGCACAAAGCGTGGTTATTCTCTAACCCATGAAGACACAGGCTCTCATCCGTAAGGGTACATTTTCCGGAAATCTCCAAAAGAAAGAAAGAAAGGGTTTTTTTCTCCCTAACTCCTTTCTTTTCTTTTTCTTTCTTTCTTTCTCTTTCTTTCTTTCTTTCTTTCTTTCTTTCTTTCTTTCTTTCTTTCTTTCTTTCTTTCTTTCTTTCTCTCTCTCTCTTTCCTTTCTTTCTTTCTTTCCTTCCTTTCCTTTCCTTTCTTTCCTTTCCTTTCCTTCTTTCTTTCCTTTTTTTTTTTTTCAGAGTCTTGCTGTGTCGCCCAGGCTGGAGTGCGGTGGTGCCATCTCGGCTCACTGCAAGCTCCTCCTCCTGGGTTCACGCCATTCTCCTGCCTCAGCCTCCCGAGTAGCTGGGACTACAGGCACCCGCCACCATGCCTGGCTAATTTTTTTTTGTATTTTTAGTAGAGACGGGGTTTCACCATGTTAGCCAGGATGGTCTCGATCTCCTGACCTTGTGATCCACCCGCCTTGGCCTCCCAAAGTGCTGGGATTACAGGCATGAGCCACTTTTTTTTTTTTTTTTTTTTTGAGATGAAGTCTCACTCTGTCGCCCAAGCTGGAGTATAGTGGCACGATCTCAGCTCACTGCAACCTCCACCTGCTGGGTTCAAGCGATTCTCCTGCCTCAGCCTCCTGAGTAGCTGGGACTACAGGTGCACGCCAACATGCCTGGCTAATTTTTGTATTTTTAGTAGAGATGGGGTTTCACTATGTTGGTCAGGCTGGTCTCAAACTTCTGACCTTGTGATCCACCCGCCTCAGCCTCCCAAAGCGCTGGGATTACAGTCATGAGCCATTGCGCTCCACCCCCCTAATTTGTTTCTATAATTAATGCCAGTATTTGCTTTTTGTGGCATAGTAATGAATCTCTCTTATTAACATGAAAGATTCAAGCAATTTGATAAAAACGATTATATGCTAACCATTAAAAAACCATTTTTGGCTCTTTTGGCATAATTGGAAAATGTAATTTATGACATACACACATTAGTATATTTAATTACAAAACTGCCCAACCACAAAAGTGGCTGTTGCTTGTGGTGGTGCAAGTCTGCCTGTCACTGGAGGGGTGTGAGGAGAGGCTGGGATTTCTAGAGAAGTTTTCTGAACTGAGCAACAGCTTGGTTCCTCCCAGCTCTGGGCCCCCATGAGTCTTAGAAGGTCTTAGATTTTCCTGGGCTTTTTCCACTATTGTCACATAATGACATCCCTGAGGAAATACTCTGCTTTCCCAGTGAGAAACCACTGGGGATGGGCAGGGTTGCCATATATAGCTGCACAGGTTGTGCACTGCACAACTTGGGAGGGCACCGTTCACACAGACTATTCCAAGATAGCCAGAGTTTGGACTCTGACATTGTCCCCAGCCCAAGCTATATCCTTGTCCTCTCGGTCCCTTTTCTGCAGAGCTTCTTCTCCTGTCTCCCACATGACTAATGTTAATGATTCTGAGGAACATTTCCAAAGAACAAGGTAGCTTCAGGATTTTACCACAACTTCATGGACATCACTAGGCATAGCTGCATCTAGTTATTCCCAATGCCCATTCTCCTCTTTGCACAGAGAATTTCTAGCAGTGCATATATAGCTGTCAAGAATAAAGACCAAGCTCTTTCTAGACTCTCTAGATACGGCCATTTGGCCACTTTCTCACCAATGGGATGCGAGAGGGTATGTGCAAATCAGGTATTACCATTTTAAAAGGAAAATGCGTTCCCTCCTCTTGTCCCTTCTTCTGGCTAGTTTAAATGTAAATATAGTGGCAGTTTCAATACCCACCATGGCTATGGAGACAAAAGTCACAAAAGAAGGCTGGCAGAGCAACATGACAGAAGAAGCCAGGTCTCTGATCATTGAGTAGCTCCTGTGTCAGCCCTGACTCTATCTGAAGAATAAACAAACTTCTATCCCATTTAAACTACTCTCAATCAGGATGTCTCTCTAGTCTGATAGCTGAACCAAAATCCTAGTGAAGACCCTGGGACTTGGACAACTCTCATCATCACCTTCTTCAGAGGGGCCCTGAACACTCCCTGGCTTTGATCATCTTTCCAGAAACTCTAAGAAGGAAATCACAGAAGGCAGGACCAAGAGCCTAGACTTAAGTGACCCAACAGACCAAATAGGTCACTCTCATTAGTGAGCAAGACTTAAGGGTTCAAATAGAACTTAGAGCAGTGGTCCTCAACCTTTTTGGCACCAGGGACTGGTTTCGTGGAAGACAATTTTTCCATGGACCTGGGGGAGAGGGATGGTTTCAGGATGAAACTGTTCCACTTCAGATCATCAGGCATTAGATTCTCATAAGGAACACACAACCTAGACCCTTGCCTGCACAGTTCACAATAGGGTTCGCACTCCTATGAGAGTCTAATGTAGCCGCTGATCTGACAGGAGGCAGAGCTCAGGTAGTAATGCTTGCTCCCACTGCTTACCTCCTGATGTGTGGCTCAGTTCCTAACAGGCCATGGACCAATACCCCATCTTAGAGGGGACCCTGTCTTAGAGGCTATCTAGACCTTGTATGTCAAGCACATTCCTTTTTTCACACCCAAAGAAGACTGTCTGGTAGCAGAACTCTGGAACAGCCACTTAGAGAGGATTCCAAGGTTGCATTTACCCTTGGTCAGAAAGAGTGCTGTGATCAATTAGTGACGTCTACCACTTTCAAGCCAAGGGCTGAGCAGCTGGATTTTCAGACCCAGTCCAAGGCAGAACCAGAGCCAGAGCTACACTGTCTCCCAAGTTCAGCCCAAGATATTTTCCACTATCCCACACTGCCTTGTCAATGGTTACTGTTTTAAAACATCGTTAATGGGCAACAAAAAATAAATTTACAGCAGAATTATTCTTGAGTGTCCATGAGGATGAATAACACTCATGGACATTATTCCTAATAATGGTTCTTATGGCAAAGTGAAAAAATAATCATCCAAGTACCTGTATTGCTCCTCTCAAGTTAATTCCAGTTTCAATGGCCACATAGTAGGATGCTTGCAGAAATGTCCTTTGCAGTAGGAGGGCAAGGAACAGAAGCACAGCTAAGACGTAGGCATTGGCAAGGAACTCTTGGGATGAGACAAAGTAAACCCCGAGAAATTGTGTCTGTTGGAAAGAGAAGTTCAGAGGTGACTGTCATTGCCAGCAAAATGACCACCGTAGAACACATCACTGTGCCATAATGGACCACGGCCATCATTATTACAAGACCCTCTGGGCTTGCAAAGGCTTGTGCAATTGTTTATGAGTGAAAAATCAGACTGATAAATCCAACTAAACGTTTTTCTAACTACAGGGAAGGTTGCTTACACCCTGTTCATCTTTCCACTTGGGGGAACAGAATGGGGCCCAATTACAACTGCAGGCCCATAAATATGACTCTTAGCATTGTGGCCACAGACCCAGGGGAGAGCATTCTGAATGGGGCAAGAATAAATAGAGCACCTAAAACCTGAACTGGTACAACAAGTCTCACGGTGCATGTTCTCTGCTACAGAAATGGAATCAGCAGCTCCCTTGTTCCGAACTTACCAACAGCCTGTAATGTAGCAATTACTGAGCAGAAAAGGCCAGTGGAAAACATGGCACCGTAGAGCTCTCAGGAGAGAATGAGAGCTCATCACTTACAAGAGACTGAAAAGATTTCAGACCCAAGCCCGCCAGCCTCATGGGCTCCCAGGGCCTCCTGTTAAATTTAAGGTTCTCTTGTGTACTTCCGGCAAGATCTCAGATGGCAACCAGTGAAGAAAAACAAACATTTTAACTTTGTTGCTAAAGATACCAGGGATCAACAGTGTGTCTATTTCCAAATTAAGCATCAATAACTCCCAGGAAAACTTTGATCTTGATAAATCCATTGCTCCCCAGCAGAGCCACATCAATATTTCCATGAAGACAGATCTCTGCTCTTTCTCAGACACTGCCCTGGACTGTGCATCCTGTTTGGCAGGGTGTGGGAGCTGCTGCAGGGTAAAGAGGGATGGAACAAAGTGATGAGAAGGAGTTTGAGGGCACATCCACAATCAGAATCAGGCAGAGAGGGCCCAGGCTCTCATTGGAGGCCTTTCCCTAGAGTCAGGGATTCCTGGATCTTGGATCAGAGCTTCCTGATGGTGGCCTCTCAGTTTAACAGAGGTTCTCTAAGCCAGCCCTCACTGCTCCCTGGAGCTGTCTGGTCCTGCTCACCACTGTCTCTACCATGATCTGTGCGACAGGGGTCTGTATCTGTTGGTGGCAGCAGGAAGCAGCCACAGGGAGACCACTGAGGGATGCGTGCAAGACTCTAAGAGGAAGGCCCTACCGAGGCTCTCTGTCCCATTTGCCAGTGCACCAGAGGGAGAGGCAGAGGGAGGAGGTCGAAGGTAGAAGGGCAGGGGTGGGCTGGAAGCAGAAAAATGGGCCTTAAAATTAGGCTGCAGGGAGAGACCTGAATTTCCAGGGGAGGAAGGGGCAGGAGACAATATTTATCAGGTGCAAAACTCTATCCTCACAATACCCTAATGAGGAGGGTACCATTATTAGCCCCATTTCATACATGAAAAAAAGGAGTTTCAGTAGGGTTAGTGGCTGGCCCAAGGTCACATGCTGGTAAGGGGACAACATGTGAACATGAACCTGAGTGATGTCAAAAACACTACCCCAGACCCACTGTCTAGGCCTCGTCCAGGCCTTTGACCTTAAGCATCCTAGTGTCAGTTACAGGTTTGTGACTTGTGGGGGATGGAAACTTGCCCCCCTGGCTGGTACTGGGTCAGAAATATAGGCATGTGGGTTTAGGAAGACCCGGTCCTTTTTAACATGCCCTGGGATTCTTCTGTCCCACTGTCCTCTGCAGAGACGCAGCTCTGGAGACTGGAGTCCACTATTTTAAAGCAACAACACATCATGAGAATTTATCCCAAAGAAAATAATTTCACATAAGGTAATAGCTGTATGAACACAGACATTTATTTTGGGGTCAGAGCAGAAGGAGAATGCAAAAACCCATATAAATTTCCAACCACAGGGAATGGTTAGGTAATTAAGGTACTCATGGGAACACTATGCATCCAAGACCACTGATTCTCATGAAAGCTCTGGAGAAACATGGAATGCCACACACACGCTGTGTTACAATGAGCAGAAAACACACAGGCTGGAGAATGAGGGCTGGAAAAGCCAACTGATCATGTTTGTTCGTTAGACTATGGGTGTTACTTAAATATACTCGTCGGTATTTGTGCATTTTTAACAAAACAACAAATTCTGGTTTTGCAGCTCTAAAGGCTGCAAAACCTTTGACTTCCTCTCTCCGCCCCCAACAAAATAACCTAGGGTCAGAAATCTACTTTTGTGGATTGAGAATTTTGTGACCTGTTAAAATAAAAATCTCACTGCAGCTATAAGTCATTGGGTCATTATTAGACCTCTCTTCAAAGAGTTGGTTTAAAAGGGATAGAACCTGGAATAGCTAAGTTTCAGTTAAGAAGTGGGTACCTGACTAGGCGTGGTGGGTCATGCCTGTAATTCCAGCATTTTGGGAGGCTGAAGTAGGCAGATCACCTGAGGTCGGGAGTTTGAGACCAGCCTGGCCAACATGCTGAAACCCTGTTTCTACTAAAAATACAAAAAAATAGCTGGACATGGTGATGCATGCCTGTAATCCCAGCTACTTGGGAGGCTGGGCCAGGAGAATTGCTTGAACCCAGGAGGCAGAGGTTGCAGTGAGCTAAGATTGCGCCAGTGCACTCCAGCCTGGGAGACAGAGTGAGGCTCCATCCAAAAAAAAAAAAAAAAAAAAAAGAAGTGGGTACTAGACTAGCCAAGAGGCCTGCCATGCTGCCCAAGGAAGGCAGGCCCTGTTGGAGTCTACCGAGAAGAGGGTCCTAGGAAACGGGGAGGGGATATGATAGCACTGGTCAGCACCCTGCAGGTACCAAGGCAAGAGAGAAAAGACCAAGGACCTACAACCTGACACTTGGTGGAAGAAAATGCTTTGGAAAATCATAGGCCCTAGTCTTGCATTTTCACAAGCTCTCAGGGAAGAATTGTGTTTGTTTCCAGGGATTTCCCCAGTAGTGCTCAATACCGATTTTTTAAAAGCAATCAAGCCAATGATCTTCATGCCCCCATGTACTTTCTACAGAAGTTATTACACATTTTGCATTTGAGGCTTGCAGAATGTGACTGCTGAGGAGAATAAATGAGTTAGCTGCAGAGGTAGGACTAAAACCCAGCACTCCCGACTCTACAGTTTGGAGCCCCATTGTCTCTGCCAGGCCAGAGGTATGATTGGAAAGGTCCCCTTCACATGTTCTCTGGTGCTTAAAGGAGAGGGGATCACTTGGACTCTTGTTTCCTATTTTGGCAGGTGTCAAAAGGTGAGTTGTCCGTAGGTCCCAGCCCCGGGAGGCCCTGGGTAAAGAATAAAATTATCTTTGGCCACCCAGAGACCAACACACCTACCCATTCATACAAGACTGTTTGACACGGTGGTTAAGAGCCTGGACTTAGAGGTCCTGACTCATCATATATTAGCCACTGTGTCCTTAGGTAAGTTCCTCAACCTCTCTTAGCTTCAGTTTCCTCATCTGTAAGGTGAGGCTATGAAGGGACTTCAGAGAGTTGTTATGAGAAGTCAATGTAACAGTGCATGTGAAAAAACAGTAAGTGTAAGCACTCAATATATAGTAATTGCTGCATTATTCCTTCTTTGCAGAACCATTTCCCGTGCATCTCCTGGGTGTCAGGCAGTGGGCTGAGTGCTGGGCACACAGAGGTCAGGCAATAGGGGACAGAGGATCAAGTCAGGGAAAGAAACAGGGCGCTTTGATAGGATGTTATGTGAGCACAGATAAGGGGCATCTAATTCAACCAGGTGAAGGCTCCCTGGAGCAGGTGACATTTGAGCAGAGTCTTGATGGCCAAGAAGGAGCTAGTGAATTGAAGGCAGGTACTCTAGGCCAGACCAGCTGCATGGACATGGTTATGAAGAGGCCAGCCCATGCATCAAAACCACAAAGTCACAGAAACACCAATGCATATACACTCATTAAGTCACTCATAATGATAGCCACAAATATGGCAATCCAAACGGGGGCATAGACACACACACATGCACACACACACGCAGAAAAAGACACACCAAAAGACACAGGGACAAACAGAACACACATATAGAACCATAAGCAGTTCTTAGGGGAACTCATTCGGAAACACATACACCCTCCCAAACCTACACATTTTCCTACTGAGACTTAGAGGCTGTTTGAAGCTTTAGCCCTTCGATCAAACCCAGACTGTTCCTTCTTCCTTTGGCTCAACTGATAGCCCAGGGCAGTGCTGGCAGGTTTCAGACACCAGCAGCTCATTATGAATCTAATTCTCTTGTCCTTCAGCCAGATCAGTGGCATCCATGGGAGGTGACAGATTGGGAGTAGGGGTTGGGTTGGAGAGGAGGCTGGAAAGAGCTATAGATCATAGGCAGAGCCCAACCTGGGTCCCAGCTTTCCCTGGGGAGTGGCAGCGGGGTGACAGGAGCATCAAAGATCTGGCAAGTCACAGACACTTTCAGTAACTAAAGAGGACATCAGAAATGTTCGTCCTTGCGGATACCAAGGATGACATGTTTCTTGCCAACTCTGAGTATCTTAGGAAGGAAGAGTGATGATGAATAAACCACAGGTGCCTCGCTGTGCCAACTGCTGCAGGATGGATTCAGGCTGGGCAGAAAAAACGGCTTCCTCTCCCAGACTGTGAAACACTGCAACATGTAGCTAGGGAGCTTCCTTCTTTGTCATTCATAAAGACCAGAATAGCACTCGGTTCTCTCTGGATTAGAATGGCTTGGGGGCTGGGAGATGAACCAAATGATCTCAGTAAATGATCCCTTTCCCCCATTTTCTGAGCTCAGAAGCCCACATGAGAATTAAGCCACATCCCAGGCAACCACATGATGGAGAGTTCTTTGTTGCGGACACTGGAGACTATATTTACTTTCAACTCTTGTTTCTGTGTCGGAAATTTTCTGATTGTGTTTGGGCTGCAGGGAAAAAATATTAAATCTGATAAGGCCCACTGCCACTGAGGCAGGGCCATCTGTCTCAGGGATTTGTGTGCTAAGTAACTGGGACAAGAGCATTCCAATGAGACGGTAATAAACCCCAGGGTTTGTGTATAAACAAAGAGAAAAAAACGGCAATGATAACGTTCAGATGAACTAAAATTCTAAGTGCTTTCGCCATCTCTTTGGCACGTCCTGCCTCAGAGCTCTCTCCTTAGCAGAATCCCACAAGGGTTTTGGGAAACACAGGAAGAAGAGCGTGGTGTGGACACTCTGATAAGGGCTCTGGCCTGTGCCATTTCCCCCTGATATTAACAACTGGCTCCATGCTGCTTCAGGATCGCCAATGGGGGTATTCTGGGGTAGCCTATGGTCAGGCTAGAGCCAAAGGTGACACTCCTGTAGACAAGAGAAGCAGCCGCTTCCCCTCTCTTTTATGGGCCAGGTAAAGTAGAGAGGCTCAAAAAGCCAGATATGGCTTCAAAAGCCATCAAAGTTTAAATAAGCAAAAGTGGTCCTTGCATTCTTGGTTGAGCAAGAAATCTTCCCATGGCAGCCTGGCAAATTCCTACTCATCCGTCAAGACCCCTTTCAAACATCCCCTCCTCTATGAAGCTGTTCATGACCACTGGCTAAGTTAATCACTATCTTTTCCCACAATTCCCTGAATATTCCTCCTAAGAGTCACATGTAACACATAGCATAAAAGTATTTTATTTTGATTTCTCTCCTCACTGTTGGATTTCATAATCCTTGGAGCCAGAGGTGATGGCTTGATAATAATAGTCAATTTAGCTTCCTGGCTGTAAATGCCCAGACTGTGGAGTGAGTCTTGTGTTCAAATTCTGCCTCTGTTATTAACTAGCTGAGAGACCCTGGGGAAAATTACTTAAACTTTCTGAGCCTCAACTTTCTCATCTGTAAAATGGGGATAAGAATACCTATCATCTCATAAACTGTACAGTATTTGAGGTATACCACAGTAAAGATGTTGCAAAATATACTCACGCCAAAGGATAGTTTTAGGGATTAAATAACACATGGATAACTCCTGCACACAGCCAGGTATGTATTATGTGGTCAGTAAGTGGCTGTTAATATTGTTAATCATCCTCATCATAACTATTGCTTTCATATTCCCACAGCCCAACCCAGGCCTGGCACACAGCAGTGTTCAATGAAAGTTTGCTGCATAAATCAGACTCAACGTATCTCATATCTGTGGCCAAAACTGTTCAGCTGACTAATTATGTCTCCAGAAAAATGAACATAAACCTCCTGAGGATTAACTGCTGGCTGCGATTTTGGAGCTCATGAGATGAACAAATGTTACGCAAAGGGTGTCATAAATTATTAAAAACCCTAATTCCCCATTCTCTGCATTATTTTCAGACTGTCTGTGGTTAAAATGTTATAATGACATCCTCACTTGGAAACTAAAACTCTGAAACTTATTAGGGGTGAAAAAGTTTTCATTTTGTGGCCATTTAAACCTAAACGGCTGCAAGGAAACAGACAACAGAGCACAGTCTGCCCAGCCCCCGAAGTGGATGCTACGGCCCCACGCAGGGCAAATAACCCCGGGGAAAGGTTTTCTAGCTCCAACAAATTTCAGTTTGCAGAATCGTTACAACTGCCAAGGCCATTGGATATAATCTAGTCTAATAAGTCTCCAGTGTTTTTTAAGCCATGGAAACTTTTCTTAAAAAAGAAATTTTAATGGAAAAGTCCAACATATTAATAAAACTACGGGCAGCTTTGAATGAAATTTGGAGTGGGGAGAGACAAAGCTCCACTCGTGAGGGTTTCCCACTTCTCTCTCCTCTGACAGTAGCTCCCAAGATGCCCCTGCAGAAAGCTCAAGTGCCAGCCTTTACAGGACTGAAGAAGACAGATCTTGAAAACTTTTAAAGAGTTTACTAAGATGACATGAACTGAAAGCCAACAAATCCAAGTCACAGAAGCTCTAGACACTGGACAAACAAAAGCACTTCCTGCAGTTTTCGGACTGACCTAACTACCGGGAGAGGTACTATGGTAGTGACGGTGAGAGGAGAGTAGGATACCCTTGGGGCATAGGCTCGCCCTCTGGCATTTCTGTTGACCAGATGTAGAGTATTCTGTGGTGGGGATACTGCTATGGGCTTTGCGCATGTGTGAGGAGCCACTCCAGTGTGGCCATGGCTCACACACATTGGCCTGTTGCACTCTCAGAAACAACTGAAAACCATCTAGAGGGTGCCTTACCCTACCCCTGGGGCTGCCTACCTTGGGCTGGAAGACGTCGTTCTCCTTCCCAAGGTGGTCCACGATCCCAAAGATGCACAGTGGCCCGGCGAAGCCCAGCAGGTCGGCCAAGATGCGGAAAGTGCTGCTGAGGACCAGGCGCCTCCCGAAGGCATGGCTGAGTGCCTGCCAGATGGCCCGGGCACCTTGAGTGCCCTGAATGTCCTTCCGCTGCCCAGAGAGACCATGGCCAGGTCAGAGTGCCTGAGGGCTAATTCACGGCTGGGCCTAGCCTCCCAGGATGCCCCTAGCTCCTGTTGTCTGGGGAAACCCAGTGGTCACATCCTCTGCAAATAGGTGAACTCCAGGAAGAGATCATGGAATCAGCAAGTGCACAGTTGGGAGGGCCCTATCAACACCAACATGGTCTAGATGGGGAAACTAAGGCCAGATGATTGCTCAAGGTCACACAGCTGGTCAGGGACTATGTGATGAGCACAGCACTGGAATGAGGAGGTGGCCATGTGCCACACTCACTCATTACCACCTGCCACCGTGTCTGCCTCAGCAACTGCCCTGGTGCGAGGGCAGAGGAAGTGAAGGAGCACTGGACTGGGAGCCAGGAGACTGCCTCTGCCGCCTGCCAGCTGTGGCCAGCTCTGGGCAGGTCACAGCCTTTCTCAGGGCCTCAATTTGCTCCTCAGTGATATGGGGAGATTCCTGTCTGGCTCAACTCATAGAGTTACCATAAGGATCAGGCCACTAACACCCCTGCTCCAAATCAAGTGAACACTCCAACCTTTATAGTCAGTAAGCTGCAGAGGAAAGAGCACAGGGATGTGAGAGTCCAGTGGGGTCACTTCCCTTCTCAGAGCCTCAGTTTCCCCATCTGGATAAGGACTTTGGACTAGACGACCTAAACGGTAAGGGCCATTCCAACTGTGCCTGTCCTATGAATCCTCAGCCCTGCACCTGTCCCTGGTTCACTGTGTGACTTAAGGCAAGCTTCTTCCCCTCACCAGCCTCAGTTTCCCCTCTTGTCCCACCAGGATTTTGACCTAATGCCCTTTGAGGTCCCTCTCTGTGACCCTAAACCAGAAGGCAGTGAATAGATGGTGTGGCTGTGCCCCCACTGACCACCTGGGCGTCAAAGGCCTCGCAGAGCCGTTGGTAGTTGGTGAGGGCCCTCATGGCGATGGGCAGCTTCCCGATGGCTCGCAAGTCGATGGGCTTCTTGTGGGCAGTCTTGATGAAGGCGTTCATCCACCAGTAGGTGCCTTTGGACAGCAGATTCACGAAGGGCTGCAGGAAGCGTACCCCCAGGTCTTGCAGGTCCTCGGGAGGCTTCACCTCCCTCGGTGTCTTGAAGAAGATGTATCTCTGTGGGGCACATGGGCCATGGGGGATGGGTAAGTCCAACTTCTCACCACTCCCTACCTTGCCCCAGCAAGGATCTGGGGTTGTGATATTCCACACTTGATCTCTAACAGATGGGGCCATCTTTCGCCTGTAATTATTACCAGGAAAAGGATTCCCCAACACTTCTTGGCCACCAATGTCAGGGCATCCTGACTTTGTAACTGCTCATTGAGGTCGACTTTGAACCCCCCATGGCTAGGCTGGGTTGGGTTTAGGTTGGGTTGGGGAGGAGCAGGAATCTCTCATATGCTATCTTCTCCACAGATCTAAGGATACCACCATGTTTCATATACAGTTCACAGAACTCCAAGTCATGCAGACCTGGTTTTGAATCCTGCCTCCTCCACTTACTAGCAAGGTGTTTTTGGACAAGCCTCATCTAAAATGTTTCCTCATCTATAAAGGGGATGGTGCTTGCATCACAGGGTTCCTGTGAGGGTCACTGGATGGGGGGACACATAAGGAGCTTTGTGCCCTGCAGATCACCAACTAAAAGCAGAAGAGTCAGAGAAATGCAGGCAGTCCAAGTTCGAAAGGGCTGTAGCCCTCACTGCTGGTTGGAAGGCAGGGAAAGGGTTTTCTCACTCATTGCTGGCAGATTACAGTCTTTCTGGAAGGCAATATGTAACACTGATCAAAATTTAAAATACACAGACCCTTTGACCCAGCAACGCCATTCCTTGGACTCTCTCCCATAGAAATAAAAGCAGCAATACATAAATATATAAGTATGTTCAACACACCATTATTCATGAAGGCAAGAACTTGGCAACAAAGTAAATGCCCATCCATAGAGAAATAGCTGAACACATTATGGCTCATCCATACGATGGAATATTATGCAGCCATTAAGAAAACGGAATTAGCCATATCAGATGGCTTGGAGGGAGTCCCAAGAGATATTTGTTGGGTGAGAAAAGCACAGTGCAGAAAACTGCATAATATGATCCCATTCTTACAAGATAAATACCGTGGGGGAAACCTACATATTCACTTGTGTTGAGAGGAAAAAACCTGAATAGGTATTTATTTAGACAGACACATATGGTATTATACTAATAAAAACAAAGCATGGGAAAGACAAACGAGTTCATTAGTCTGGGCTGCCTGGGGAGGTAGGGGCAGGGGAAGGGGAAGGTTGGAGTCTGGGGTGAGGAAGAGAGAGGGAGGCGGGAGCAAACAGAAAGGAAAACAAAACACTTACTCATTCATTTACCAGCGTGACGATATGAATACATTAAAGCAAAGTCCCCCACCCCCGAAGAAAGAAAGTAGGAGAGGCCAGTGCCTGATGCTTATCTTCCCTTTCTACGGAAAGTCATCCGCCAACCTCAGCGAACACACCCATCACCCCCCTCTCCCTCTGGGACCCTGGGGTAGAGCACACGTGGGCCAGATGCAGTGTCTATCCTGAAATTTCCGCCACGGCCCCACTCCCCTTTACACGGGCGGGTAAAACAAGCTGATCCCTTCTCAGTTTGGCTGAGAAGCAGGGTGGGGGCCTGAACCCAGGGCAGGACAGAGGCCAGAGCCTCTGCTTCCCACCCCACCCTGGCCCAGGTGGCCTGCTTACCCTCACCCTGATGACATTGACCTCCACGAGGAGCAGCATCCCATAGAGGATCACCAGCAGCCCTGTGAGGCAGAAGCGTAGCTGCGAGAAGCCGATGGCGTGGTCCAAGAACTTGACAAACTTGATGGTCTTGGTGATGAAGGCCAGGGTCCAATACACCAGCAGGGCTGCCGAGGAGAGATGGAAGATCGCAGAGACGTGTGTGCATCATGTGTGTACACTCACATAATGTGTGCAAGTATGTGGCAGAGAAGGAGACAGAATAAGCGTGCCTGGGTGTGTACATTTCCGAGTAAGTGGATGTGCACGTGTGAATATATCAGAGTACATGACTCTAAGATGACGCACGTACGTCTTAACATTCATGAAAAACACCAATAATCTCATAAATCAAACTGGTCAGACAAATGTCCCTTAAAAATAAATGATCATGGGAAGAATGGGAAATTTATTTATTGAATTTAACTAAGTTACAGGCACTGTGCCAAGTAAGCACTTTAAACACATGATCTTATCTATTCCTCACCATAACTTTTCAAAGAAAGTACACTGCCGTCACCCCCAATTTCTCAGACAAAGGAAATGAGGCTCAGAAAGGTTAGGTAACAGATCCAAGGCCACACACCCATTAACTGGCAGAGCTGGGCTGGCCTGACGCTGGAGCCCATGCATGCAAGCTCCATGCTATAATGACTTACTTGTGGAATTTCCAAGTGAGGGAAATCTTAAAGGTCATTCAATCCAGCCTTTCATTTTACAGATGAGGAAACTGAGGCCCAGAAATAGGATGTGACCTTGCCCAAGTGCACTGGCAGCTAGGGACAGAGAGAGGGTGAAAGCCTGGATCCCTGTCCTCACAGTTCAGAGCCCACCACAGCATGATGATGGAGCAGGGGCATGGGGGATACGGAAAGAGCCAGCCACAGTTCTGTGAGGCAGCGTTATACAGGGGTTAGTGGTGGTGGCTCCGCAGCCAGATACACCTGGGCTCAGAGCCTGTGACATAATAGCTGTGTGACCTTGGATTAGTCACTTAGCCTTCTAGAGCTTAGTTTCCTCATCCATTAAGTGGGAATCATAATAGTGCTACCTAGAAGGTTCTTGTGAGAAACATATGGAAAGCATTTAGTGCAGTGAGCCTCACACGCAGCGGGTGCTCTTTGGACATTAGCTGTTATATTTTTATTATCTCCAGATTTAAGACCTGGGGAAGGTAAACCTCAGAAGCTATCAGTAGATTCTATCCTAAATTCTCGCACACACACTCACTTCAATCTGCCAATAAATCACTGTCAGCTTCCAACAACCAAAACCAGCAATAACCTGTGAAGTCCCCCTTTGAGGGTGGGGGAGATTTTAGCACTGGCAGCTCCTTCCCTCCTCCCTCCTAGACCAGATGCGGATAAGGTCAGCTTCATGACACAGAGCCCCTCTCCAGAGGACCCGAGTGAGGGAGAGAGACTTTCACCCTGCCCTCTATCCCTATGTGGGCCTGGGCATGGATGCCAGAGCATCTCTTGGGCACAAATCTGGGATCTGTCCTGCCTGGCTCAGGGTTAGGAAACAGGTTGAGATGTTGGGCCCCACCATGCGCCCAGGGCTGAGCTCACCCGGGGGGATCGATGCCATCCACCTTGGGTCCCTGCAGGAGGACATTAGGATGGAGGGCAGAAGCATCGGCCTTCTGCTCTCATGCCTCAGGACTGGAATAATGTCCCCCAGCTCAGGCTGGTCTCTAGGACTGGAGGAATTCCACAGCTGAAGGCTGTCCCCCTGCCTCCACTCCACTCTGCCGGACAGATTCTATCCCAGGCATCAGAAGCCCTTTAGCCCTTAGTGAGAGCTGCCTACAGGAGCCGAGACTTGAAAATATGCCTCATGCTTGTCTTGTCCCTAACACTTAACAGATATGGTCTGCTTTGCTCTTCATTACAACCCTATGACTTAGGCAGGGACTTACTCTTCCTGCCCAGGTGGGGAATCCGAGGCTCAGAGAGCTTGGATGTCTTGTGCAAGGTCACACAGGGAATTAGCAGTGCACCCAGGACTAGGCCCAGAGGTTTTTTGCATAGTCCTGTCCTGCAGTGCTGAGTGCTCAGCCTGTTGTCAGACACAGAAGTACTCAGCAAAAGCTGAATGCCTGATGAGAGAAGAGGGAAAAGGAAGGAAAGAGGCATAACATGGGGGCTGCTGGTGAGCTCCCATTACTCCTCCTTCTCCCTCTATTCTTCTCCCTCGCCCCACACCTCTCCCATTAACAAATGCTGTCTATTTCACGTCCTAAATAGCTTGACTCTATCTACTTCTCTCCATCCCTGTGGTACCACCTAAGTCCAGGCATCATCATGCGTCCTCTGTATTCCCGCTATACCCTGAGAGCCTTCTCATTGGTTTCCACACTTCCTCCCCATCTTGTTCTCCTCCAAGCTGGTCTCCATAAAGCAATTATTATGATTATGTCGAAAACCCCTCAATGCACCCATGTTCATAGCAGTGCTATTTACAAGAGTCAAGAGGTGGAAGCAACCCACTGACAGACGAATAGATAAACAAAATGTGGCATATCCATACAGTAGAATATTAGCCTTAAAAAGGAAGGAAATTTCAATACATGCTACAACATGGATGAACCTTGAGGACATTATGCTCAGTGAAATAAGCAAGTCATAAAAAGACAAATAGGCCAGGCAAGGTGGCTCTCGCCTGTAATCCGAGCACTTTGGGAGGCCGAGGTGGGCAGATCACAAGATCAGGAGTTTGAGACCAGCCTAGCCAATATGGTGAAACCCCGTCTCTACTAAAAATACAAAAATTAGCCAGGCGTGGTGGCAGGTACCTATAGTCCCAGTTACTCAGGAGGCTGAGGCAGGAGAATCGCTTGAACCAGAGAAGCAGAGGTTGCGGTGAGCCGAGATTGCACCACTGCACTCCAACCTGGGCAACAGAGCAAGACTCCATCTCAAAAAAAAAAAAAAAAAAAAAGACAGTGCATGATGCCGCTTAGATGAGGTACCTAGAGTGCTCAAATTCATAGATAGAAAGTAGAATGGTGGTCGTCAGGGGCTGTAAGGAGGGAGAAATGGGGAGTTATCATTTAATGAGTACAGAGTTTCAACCTGGGAAGATGAAAAAGTTCTGGAGATGGATAGTGGTGATGGCTACACAGCACTGTGAATATACTTTTTTTTTCTTTTTTTGAGACAGGGTCTCACTCTGTTGTCCAGGCTGGAGTGCAGTGGCACAATCTTGGCTGGAGTGCAGTGGCACAATCTTGGCTCACTGTAGCCTCCACTTTCCAGGCTCAACTGATCCTCTCTCCTCAGCCTCCCATGATACTCCCACCTCAGCCTCCCAAGTAGCTGGAACTACAGGTGTACATTACCACGCCCAGCTAATTTTTATGTTTTTTGTAGAGACGGGGTTTTGGCATGTTGGCCAGGCTGGTCTCGAACTTCTGAGCTCAAGCAATTCACCTGCCTTGGCCTGCCAAGGTGCTGGGATTACAGGCATGAGCCACCATGCCCGGCTGTGAATATACTTAATGCCACAGAACACTATACTTAAAAACAGTTAAGATGATAAATTTTATGTTAAACATGTTAAACCACACACACACACACACACACACACACACACACACACACACACAACTTCCCATTGCTGTTGGGATAAAGGCAAACATCTGTGGTATGACCTTCCAGGTGGGTGCGGTGGCTCACGGCTGTAATCCCAACACTTTGGGAAGTTGAGACCTGATCACTTAAGGCCAGGAGTTCAAGACCAGCATGGTCAACAGGGTGAAATCCCAACTCTTCTAAAAATACAAAAAATTATCTGAGTGTGGTGGTACACGCCTGTATTCCCAGCTACTCAGCAGGCTGAGGCACAAGAATCCGCTTGAACCCAGGAAGCGGAGGTTGTAGTGACCCAAGGTGGTGCCACTGCACTCCAGCCTGGGCACAAGCAAACAAAACCCAAAGTCCAGCTCCCCTCCACTTTGCACCCACGCCACTCTTCTTCTTCTGAATTTTCTAATGTGTTTTGTTCCTTCTGCCTTGGGGCCTTTGCACATGCTGTTTCCTCTGCCTGAAGCACTCTTTCCTCCCTTCTCCCAGTTAGTTCCTTCAGTTCTCAGCTCAAATATGACTTTTTCAGAGAACATTTCCTTGGCCTCATCTGGGTTCCAGGATCATGGTTCCCTCACGGGACAATGTAAGCTGCATCACAGGTCCCCTTTCTGTGGGACTCCATACCCAGGCCAGACATCAGCCCCTTGGAGGGCTGGCCATTCTCCCAATACCCATTTCCTTCTGTCCCTGCAGTTCACAGGCACGTCCCCTCCACTTTTCCCTGTTCTAGAATTTCTGGCTCTGTGGAGTGTCCTTTCAAGGGGAGATAACTCCAACAAGGGGAATGGAGGGAGTTAGTCTTTGTTCCTTAGAAAAGGACAAATCCATCCACGGGTGATAACTTGTGCTTTAAAGAGAGAACATTATGTGTTTGCTGGAGAATGAGAAAATGAACTCCTCAGATGTCCAGACAGGGTGTTTCCAGAGGACACTGGTCAGCCAGGCCCTGGTTAATGAAGGGTTCTCTACAGACAAGGAGCTACTTCAGAAATGGAAGCAGGGTGGCTCTCTGAAGCCTGTATTTAACATCTCCCCTCTCAACCTGCTTCCCCCAGCTCCCATTCATACTCATGTGGGGGCCCCTGGGCTAGGGGTAGGGGGATCACCTGGATAATCCTAATGGAGCTCAGATCCCACCTTCTACAGAAAGGCAGACCTGTGACTAGTGCAAGAAACACCCTGTACTCCCTGACAACACCATGATGTCACTGGCTTAGCACAGAGTGTGCCAGACTCCAAATGTCAATTCGATGCTGTGATACCTAAAAATCAGTCTGACTTAAGGACATAGTGTGAACAAAGTCTAACTGCCAGATGTACAGCCCCAGCCTTAGACACACAGGCTGAACCCCAACACAGAGGCAGACCTGCGGATTGATACCTTTACCCCAAGGACGAAGTCTGAGGGCCCTTAGACACGCAGTCTCAGAAATGATTAGGAGATTGCACAGATGCTAGACTCCCGGCTGTGCCCCTTGACGAGCTAGACTAGTGCCAGTTATTTAACCTCTGAGCCTCAGTTTTCTGATATGTAAAGGGAAAATAATAATGGTACCTACCTCATAGAGTTGTTGCAAGGATTAAATGAATTAATATATCACATAGGTAGGATGGGGCCTGGCATACAGTAAGTACAAAGTGAGTATTTACTGTTATTATTTTTAACCTCTCAGTTTCAGGGTCCACACTGGAAAATGGGGATATTAACAATACCAATAAGGAGGCTGGGGGAATTAGCCTGTGGGACAATGAATGTAAGGAACATGGCATGGAGCCTGCCCCATGGCACATGCTCAGTAAACACCAACCATCATCCTGTTGCTTCTGCCTGGGACCCCAGTCCTGCAGTATTTAACATCTCAGAAGCTCTAAGTGGGCAGTCCTTCCCGAGTCTCTCTAAATGTTAGCAAACCTCAAGCTCTGGTCCCAGAGCCTTTCTCTTCTCTCCCCAGGTGACCTCATCCAGGCTCAAGCTTTCTTCTCCCTCCCTCCTCCCTCCCTCCCTTCCCTCCCTCCCTCCTTCCTTCCTTCCTTCCTTCCTTCTAGATGGAGTCTTGCTCTGTCACCCAGGCTGGACTGCAGTGGCGCGATCTCAGCTCACTACAATCTCCACCTCCTGGGTTCAAGAGATTTGACTGCCTCAGCCTCCTGAGTACCTGGGACCACCGATGCGTGCCACCATGCCCAGCTAATTTTTCTATTTTTAGTAGAGGTGGGGGTTTCTCCATGTTGGTCAGGCTGGTCTCAAACTCCTGACCTCGGGTGATCCGCCCACCTCGGCCTCCCAAAGTGCTGGGGTTACAGGTGTGAGCCACGGCAGCCAGCCCCAGGCTCAAGCTTTAGATGTCATCTACAAGGCCCACCTCCTGAAAGTGTAGCTCCTGTCCTGACCTCCCCATGAAAGCCCAACTTGACACTTGAGTTGGCTGTCTCTGTGACATCTCAAACTCGATATGCCCCCAGTAGAAAACTTTATCCCCACCACAGCCCACCTCCCCCTCCTCTGTCACATCAGTTATTGATGCCACAGTTCACCCAGGCTCTCAGGCCCAGAGCCTGGGACTCTTGCTCGCTCCTCTCCTGACGCCTGCCCTCACCTCCCACTCTTCCCCTTGCTCATTTGGCTTTGCCCACAGTGACATCTTTGCCAAATCTATCCCTATCAGAGGACTTTGCACTTGTCACTCCCCTTGCAGGGAATACCTTCCCCCAAATATCTGCATGCCCACAGTTACCACAGCCCTTCCCTGACCATCCTGTGTAGATAGCAACATTGTCATTGCCCCTACCCCTTACTCAGCTTGATTTTCTTCATAGCATCCCCACCACCTATTTGTTTGCTTGTTTATTCACTGTCTTTGCCTGTCTATCCTCCTTCACCAGACTGTAAGCTCCATGAAGGCAGGGATTTTTTTCTTTTTCTATTCCAAATCTCTACTGTTTAGAGCAATAGCTGGCACATAATGAGTCCTCAGTAAACATTATCTGAAGAAATGAATGAAGGTACTGCCCCTCCCTCCTACACCTCACCTACCAATTAGCAGCTTGGGGAAGTTGGAAGTCTCGATGTTGTGATAGTAGACCACGGAGGTGACAGCAGCCATGAACGCCATCCCGGCTGGCATGTACAGGTGCAGATGGTGGGATTCGGTCACCCTGAGATGGGAGAGAGAAACAGACAGGATGGGGACATGCTAAGTACTGCAATAGAGCAGCCCAGGCCTTGAATTTCAAAGGCTGAACACTGAACCTTTATAGCATCACTTTATAGGCTGCAGGGCCCTTTAGTTAATGGGCGTATTTGGGGTATGGGCTGGGCAGAGCTGCCAGTACATGGAGTAGAGCTGGGTATATGATCTGGAGGCCTTACTATGTGCTGAGCCCTAAGCACAAGGGTTGCTGGGGTCTCTTGAACAGTGCAGGGGCCTGTATGCCACAACTCACCCAGTGACAGCCCCATTTAACACGAACAGCATAAGTCAGCACTGGCGCCCTCCCCAGAGGCTGTGATAACAAACTGATGAGAGTCAGTATTTATGGAGCATTTACTCTGTGCCAGGCACTGTTCTAAGCATGCGATATATGTTAACCCATTTAATCTTCATTAAACCCCATCGAGTGGGTACTCTTAGTCTCCCATTTTATGGGGTGAGGAAACTGAGGCACGAAGAGGCATTTCCAAGGTCACTGATTTTGTCTCCTCTCTCGGGATGGGGAATGGAGCAGTCAATACCAGCTCATAGTCTCTCCACCTTAACTCACAGAGGCCTCTAAGTGGGTGGACTGTGGCCTGGGGGTAAGACCCAGAGGCAGCCAGAGCCTCCTTCCAGGCCTCAGTCTTCCCTGGGCCTGGTGAGGAGGGTCACCTTAGTTGGTCGTGATCATGCCCTTCCACAGCTCCCTCCTGCAGACAGCAAAACCCACTCTGCTCAGCCTGGAACGAAAGGCCCAGGCTATGTGGCCTCCAGCCACTTTATCAGATCTGCCCAGCCTGCCCTTTCTGCTCCAGCCCTGTGGTACCCACTCCATTCCCAGATGGCCTGCTACAGCTTGCTGCCTCAGTGCTGCTGTTGCCCACCAGGCTACTTCTATCCAGTGTGCCAAGGGTCCCTGCCCTTGAGAAGCTGATGGTATGGAGGGGGCTGCCATGCTCAGAGCTAACTGTTGGAGTCAGCAGGCTAGGGAAGTGATACTGCCGATGGACAGAGACTGAGAGAGCACAAAGGAGGGGGTGGGCAACCAAGGACAGCTTCCCAGAGGAGGTGGCACCAGGCTGGACTTTGAAGGATACATAAGAGTTCAACAGAGAAGGAGGAAGGACATGAGGAGAGCTATCCTGTGACCTCAGTGGGTCTGGTGGGACTGAGGTGCAAGTGTAGAGGCAATGTGGGCTGTCCACCAAAGAGTATCTTCCCCTTATTCTGTGCCAGGAGGACCACAGGTTTGCTCCAGCAGCAATATACCCAGCCCCAGGGAATGGATGGTGATTGGTTTAAGCAGCCATGCAATTCCATACTCCTTTGCCAGTGTTGGTCCACGTATTCTGGCCAGTGAGATGTCAAAGAAAGAATGATCTCTGTCATAAAGGAGAGGCATGTCGGCAGCATGCCCTCTCTGCTCATGCTAAGCAATACCCGGAGCTAGGCAGCCACCTTGTGACCATGGGGAAGATAGGCTGACACACACACACAGGATGGTATGGAAAGATGGGAAGAGGCTGGGTCCCTGAAAACATCAATAAGCATCAAACCAACTTGAAAAGGCAAACTCCACATTTCTTTTTTAATGAAATGGTAGATATTGATATTCTTTAGTGAATATTCTCCAAAAAAGGTCTTCAAACTAATATAGAAGGTACAAGACAGACAAGGCCAGAGAGCAGTCATGAATGGCAACACTGGGCACAGCCAACACCCTTCCTGGGGATCTTCAAAACTCTTGCCTCTTTACTCCTTGAAATAATTTTGAAACACCCTCTACTCTCTCACACATTTTTAAGCTGACATCTAGACATGTTTTATTATATGCTGATATAAATGCTTTTTTTTGCAATAGGAGGTAGAAATGTTAAAATTTTATAAGACGAAATAAGATGAGGATTAACCATAATTGAACTAAATATTTCATGACATGGCTTCATAGAATAGTTTTTAGCTGCTTTGTTAAATAATACACATTCAATTAGTTAAGAAATTAGGTAAAGTTTTATATACAGGCTTTATCCAGTGTATGGTGGTCTGGGAAAATATTGTAGTTATTAAAAAATATCTTCTTCACTAACTTATACTGTTTTGATTGTTCTGAATTCAGAACATCACAGAAAGAAATAATACCCAAAGGAAGAGGGGAAGCCCTACAGGTTTAAGATGGCTTAATTAGTCACTAAATGAGGCTCACTCTAAATCAAATCAGGGCTGCCTTAATCAGCCCCCTCCCACCTGCCCCCTAAATTTCCAGACAGCTCTGAAAACCCAGGCTGGATTAGACTGGAGGTATCACAAGGGTCTGTGACTTCTCCTGTCTGCTCTTTTCCTGCCCCTCACTCAGGCCTGGGGGTAGGAGCTCACAAAGACCAGATGACAATTACTCAGCTTGAGCTGATCTGTGCCCTGGGGAGGAGATGGCCCTTTGCACTGAGCTGAAGCAGTACAGCCACACACAGGAGGGGCTGCTGACAGCCAGCAGGAGGGCATCCCTGGACCGATTCATTCCAGTTTCCCACATTCTGGGAATACACAGTCTACCCAGTGCTCTGCCACTCCGGGCTCTGCACCCTGTCCATGCTCGAATTTCACCCTCCACAGCCCCATGAAGCAGGCAAGCCAGGGACTATGATGCTTGTTTCATAAGGCCAGAGAGCAGTCATGAATGGCCACACTGGGAACAGCCAACACCCTGCCCAGGGATCTTCAAAACTCTTGCCTCTTTACTCCTTGAAATAATTTTGAAACACCTTATACTTTCTCACACATTTTTAAGTTGGCAACTAAAATGTTTTATCGTATGTTTATAAATGCTTATGAGGCCCAGAAAGCCTGAATGACTTGTGCAAAGTCCCATAGCTGGTACACAGCAGCAGTGCTCACTGAAGACCCAGGTCTTCCTTCTCCAAGGGCGGAGGTGTCTTTCTCTGTCACCATCTGGTGAGTATTTCCCATCTGAGGGCTCACTGTGGCATTTGTGCTACTTTGGAAGGGGTGTAGGGGTGGGGGTGGAGGCGGACTTGTCACGTGCTTGTGTAGCAGTATGCCTTCTGGTCTTCTTGCTGGTCTAGGGACTTTAATAAGCAGGCAGAGCTGCTGCCTCCAAGTCAAGCAGGTATTTTAGAGATCACTGCTGAAGCCAGGATGCAGGGACATTGGGGAAGGGAAGGTGGGGAACGGGAGGGAGGATGAGGGAGCCTATCCCCTGCCATCCAACTACAGGAGCCAGGCAGCACTGCAGGAGTGCAGTCTGGGTATAATCTGATTCCAGCTCAGGGGGCGCTGGACCTCAGATACTCAAGCCAAATATCCCTCTCCTCCACCACTCCCTCTCCTGGCAGTCTCTCATCCTTGCTGGTTACTGGATTCTTCCTTAGTGAGATGGCTGCTCCCGCTCCTCTTCTGTCCCTGACTGCTGACACACCATTTCTGTCTGCAGTTATTGCTCACCTAGACTACTGCAGTCAATGCTAAGTCCTGCTTCTATTATACCTCTAGATTCTCCCTGCCTCCAGCCTGCGCTGAACACCTCAGGTTCCCACCTAAAAGTGTTATGCTGATGACATCTCTCTTCTGTTCCAAACTGCTGACCAAATCCGACCCAAACATGCAGGCTGGGATTCACAGTCCTCCTGAGATGCCCCAACCTGGGTTCCCAGCCTCAGCCTCCATCGCTCCCCAGCCTGTGTTTAATGCTCCAGCCCCTGCGCTGCTCCCTAGCCCTACCTGCTTTTCTCTTTGGTGCCTTTTCCCTTCCCTCAGGCACCACCAGTTCTCTCTCTCCTTCCTCCTCTGTGTGTCTGAAGCCTAGTCACCCTTCCAGACTCCGCTCCAAAGCCCTCTCAACCATGGAGCTTGCCCAATTCTGCCTTCCTCTCACCTCCCAGAGTACTTATTTGTAACATGGTTTCATTCATTCTCCTAAGGACCCAATAAATGTTTATGGACTGAATAATGTTTATGTTTATCACATGCCTTGCACTGTGAACACAAAGATGAACAAGACTCAGATTCTAACTCTTAGGCCTTTCTGACTCTGAAGACAGTTTTGCAAATAGACATAAACTTTAACATACAGTGTGATCTGTGCTGTAGCAGAGGTGTGAGGAGTGTGCTGTGAGGCCCAAACGGAAGGTGGGCATGGGGAATGAGGCCAGAGATAGGTGGGGCTGACTGTGAAGACCTTGAATGGTGGGCTGAGGATCTGAGACCACATCTTCAAAACAGCTGAGAACCAAGGAAAGGTCTTATGCAAGAGTGGGTGGCATGGTTAGATTTTTTTTTTTTTCCAAGAAGGTAACTCCGGCAGGTTGTAGAAGAGGCCAGACATTTTTCACTGGAGTTGTGGCATTCTAATAGGCTCTAGCATTATTTCACTGGGACTTGGCATGCAGGTCCGTGTTCCCTCTGCTCTCCTGGACTGATGGCAGGGCCTGGGACTCACTTGCGTCCAGTGCCCAGCTCAGAGAGGTTGGCACATAGAAGACACTGAGCTGCTGGATGTAGTAACAAAAGACATGGGCTTGTGGAATATAGGTGAGCTAGGATCTCCTTGGGCCTTTCAGGAAGTACCCTGGAGCAGATTCACTTTCCTGAGTCCTCAGACAGTCACTCACCCATCAGACAGGATGCCCTCTGCAATCTCACACACCAGGACGAAGAGCAGCATGAAGGTCAGGATCCACCGCAGGTTGTGCCCAGGGAAATGAAGCCATGTGCTGTGGTGGATGTGCACCTTGGAGCTCTGACTTCCCCATCCTGCAGGGAGAGACAGTCAGAGGCAGGATGCCTGCCCACTTGGAGGAGGAAGAGGGTGCATGAACCCCAGAAAGGTGCTTGGGCATTGGGTCCATGGTGAGGGTGACACCTACACATGAGGATCCCCAAGGCTGGTACACACAAACTAAACGTCCAACTCATTCAGCCTGGTCCTATGCTGGTACCTCCCCCACCACACCTTTTTACTGAGACAGGGTCTTGCTCTGTTGCCTCTGCTGGAGTGCAGTGCCACGATCACGGCTCACTACAGCCTTGATCTCCTAGGCTCAAGTGATCCTCCCGCCTCAGCCTCCTGAGTAGCTGGGACTACAGGCGCACATCACCATGCTCAGCTAATTTTTAATTTTTTGTAGAAAGGGCGGGGGGGGTCTCACTATGTTGCCCAGGCTGGTCTCGAACTCCTGGACTCAAGCAGTCTTCCTGTCACAGCCCACCAAAATGCTGAGATTACAGATGTAAGCCACTGTGCCCTGCCAAGGTACCCCATTATACATACTAACTTCTTGTGTGACAAGTCATCAGGTTAATAAACCGTTTGGCTGAGAACAGAAGTGTAAATGCTGTTCTTTTTTGATTTTTGATGCACATATGAGCACATATTTTGTATGTTTTATTTCTATTTCTATCTAACTGTCTTTGTTAATAACTAGCAACTCTGCTTCTGCAGCAACCTCTTGTAAATCTAATTTTGTGACAATCTTTCCTTTCTTCCCCAAAGCTGTATATGAATTTTAAGATTTGCTTGTTTTCTTAAAGTGAATGAACACGTTTTGGGGATGCAGGGGACACCCTATGAGTTGATAGACTTGACTGGTCTGGAAGAGTCAAGGTCTTGGAGAGAGATGGGGGGGACCTCAGTGGAGAGGCACGCACGATTGTCCCGGCCGTGGCGCCCAACTTTGCAAGCAAGGGCGCCGGGGTCGCTGCGTCGGCGAGTCGGAGCTACTTTGCGCAGAGCCTGAGAAGTTGCGCTCTGGAGACACATGCCCGGGTGGGGTGGCGGGGGAAGGGAATCCAAGTCCCTAGCTCTCGCCTCTCCTCGCCCAGGGCGCGGGCCTGGGACTGTCAGAGATCACGGACCACTGCGCGGCTCAGCCCGGTGAAAGCATAGGGGTTAGCTGGGCCTCCATCCCAGACTCCAAAGCACAGGCTTCCCTCTTCCCTAGGCCCAGCTGCGGCTGACAGGGAGGCTGCCTTGCGGGAGGGGTGACCCGGCTCCCTAAGCTGCGCCACGGAGGGTGAGGCCCGACCCCTCTCCAGTTTCCCACTGCGTGCTGAGACCTCCTCTTTCCCTTTTCCCCATCCCAGCTCTTGGCCCTGCAGAAGCAAAACTTGGTGATCCCATGGGTCACAAACGTCCGCTGTGTTTGGCGCGGGATCGGGGGCACCGGGGGAGTGAAGGGATGAGCTGGTGTGCGAGTGCGGGGACCGGCGGGCAGGACACAGGGCAGGGGACCCCGGGAACGAGGCGGACGGCGGTCGCGGGCCGGAAGGGGACGCCGAGCGGTGCGGCGCGCAGCGCCTCCTCCTCCCTCCCTGCTCTCCCGTCCCCTCCTCCGCGGCTCGCTGCGCGCACTCACCAATGAAGAGGATGGGGAAGGTGATGAAGAGTAGGAAGACGTGCGGCACCACGTTGAGCGCGTCCACAAAGCAGCCGTTGTTGAGGACCCCCTGGTCCACCCGGTAGGCGGCCGAGTGGTTCTCGCTGCCGCAGAAGGCCAGGGGCATGGCGGCGCGGGCGCGGGCTGGGCTCGGGCTCAGCTGGCTCCGCTGGCTCCGCGCGCCTGCCGCGCCTCTGTCCCTTGCAGCTCCGCCGCCCGGCCCGGCCGTCAGGCCCCCGCCCCCCGGGCCCCGCCCAGCCCCGCTGGCCTCCCCCTCCCTCACCCCGCCCTGCTCCACCACCTGCGGGGCCGGGGGGCGGCGAGGAACCCGACCGGCCCTGCTACGCTTGCGCCCACCTTCCAGATGTGGAGGCGCGTGCTCCCAGATGTTGCCGGGGTGGCTTCGTGAGTGCCCTGATGCACGCGTGCGCTGGGGGAGAGGGGAAAGGCAGGCTAAGATGGGGAGTGGGGTGTGGGCACACTGGAGTCTGGGTGGGAAAGGAGGGTGGGGCGTGCAGAAGAGGAGAGAAGGGCCCGCAAGGCCTGGAGTGGGCGGGTTCAGGGTCCCGAGTGTGAGTTCACCTGGGCGTGGTGCGGATGGATGTAGAGAGCCGAGGGATGGCGCAAGTCTCCACCCAACATGGATGAGAAAAGTGGGGCAGAACGTTACCTTGTGGTGGTGGTGGTGGTGGGGTGGGGCTTGGACATTTTCAAAAGTGGTCCCAGGTGGGGCACTCCTAGGTACTGCTTTACAGCGTATCTGGCACTTTCACACAAGGGATGTCCCAGAACTCTTGCTAAGTACAGGTTCTAATCGCTTCCAATTTTCTGATGGGGAAACCCAAGCTGCGAGGGAGCTGAAGGGAGGCCAGTAACATGACTTCCCCCAAGGTCTCAGTGCCAGCAAGCAGGGAAGCATAGCTTGAACCCAGCTCCTCAGGTCCCCCGTCCCCACCCCCATCATTTGTACTCATGCCTCTGGTACATGACAACCTTACAGCGACTGGCAGACCAATGGGTAGAATGGGTGACAGCCCCAGGCTGATAAAGAGGAGTTTAAGAAACGCATCTGGCCAGATGGATGTGAGGCAGTGGAGAGGGACTGAAATTCTTAACCTCACCTGGGACAGGCTTAACAGTTGGAGGACACCGTGCAATTGTAAAGACAACATTATGTCTTCCTATACGTTTTGGAGAGATTCTCACAAGACTGTGGCCCAAAGAAGTTTATATTGTATGTAGAAAGAACAGAAGATGGGATTTGGGGGTTAGATTTAAGGAGAACTTTCCTAGTTAGGGTATGAAGCATAAATGCACATGTTCTTAGGAACAGTCAGGGGAACACAAAAGAAAGACCCCTTCAGCCCCTTTGCCTACAAGCTTCACTGAGCCTGCCCTGAGGCTGCTGAGCCTGGTGAGCCTCTCCAGCACGCTGTCAGCAAGGCCGAGGCTCTGCCCAGGCCCTGAGGCAGAGGGCAGATGGGGTTGGGTGAAAAGCCTTGGGAAAGCAGGAGTTCAGGGTCTGAATGCCTCAGTCTCTGACTTTGGAGAATTTCTCAGAAGCCAAAAGATGTTTCTTGCAGCATCAGCCAAAATAGTGAAAACTTGGTGGCAAGAAATATCCAGCACCAGGGACAGGGGTTAATCAACCTTGAAAAATGCAACTGCTGGGACGGTGCTAGCTGAGTCTGTGTAGTCAATAGAAAAACTTTACAAGATAGTGTCAGGTGAAAAACGGCAAACAAAATTGTGCTTCCCATGATTATAGCCGTACGAAATATGTATACTTGCATGAAGCCTGCAGGGAAAGGTCAGACTTGGAAATTTGGTAAGGCGGTGCTCAGTATGTACTGGCTGCCGTCGCTGTGCTTATCCTCATTCCCTTTCTTTAAAAATGAGACAACTGAGGTTCAGAGAGATGAGATGACAGGTCCATGGTCACCCAGTAAGATTTTTTCTTTTAGTTTGTTTTTCTTGCTTTCAAGGTTTTTTTTTTTCATATTTTCTGCAATGTTGTTATTTTCTTTTGTAGTTACAATTTCAGTTTTTTCACACTTTCAGCAATGCTATCTTTCTTTTTAGCAGTAATAATATATTTACTTTTAAAGAACAGGGCTCCTAGTCCTGGCTCTACTACTACTAGTTGTGTGATTTGGGGGCAGGTTACCATTCTGCACTTCAGTTTCCTTATTTCTAAATGGAAAAGATAATAATATGGAACCCAGAAGATTAAGATGAGATCATGGGTATGAATGTGCTTTGCAAGTTGGGGAGATAGTCCAAGCTACTTCATCCCATGGGTGACTACACACGGCAGCCCCTTGATCAATCAGGGTTATTTAATGGTCTCTCCCTCACCCCACATTGCCTGGTGCAACCCTCACACTTGCCTATTCTGGGTCATTTGAAACAAACAAAAAGTCTGGTGTTAAGGGAGCATCAACTGGGACTAAGAGAGTGTTAAGTCTGGAGTCTTGGGGACTCGTGTTTGCCATCTCTAGCACAAACTTACTGTGTGACTGTGGACAAATTCCACCTTTCCCTGCACCTAGGTCTACACTGAGGACATGCACCACACTGCCCACCATGTGGGTGGGAGAATTACTTTGAAAAAGTGTGGAGTCAGGTGCGCACGGAGGCATGAAAGGACTTCCTTTGTAGTATATGGGTTGTATTCCTGGAATCAACCCAAATGCTCATCAGTATGGGGCTGGTTCAAACAGACAAAACCCAAACAGACAAAAAACAGATATTGTCTGTACTGTGGGATACTGTGGAGCAAGCGCAGAGAATAGAGTTATGCTTACTGGCAGGGGAAGATGTCCAAGACACAGACGCAGAGCGGTGTGTGGCATACAAAATCATTCATGTCTGTAACAGGGCTACGTCTGCCTCTGTCGGGGAGATGCTGGGTCTCTGGTGCTTCCCCACCTCTAGCCATGCCTTTTGTTTCTCTTGCTAGGGGCTGGAAGAAGGTCAGACTCTGAGAGCTTGCTTTGAGCAAGGGTACCCCGCTCTGAGAATTCCCAGCCATTCTCCTGGCAAAATGAAAACTAGGGCTGGATTTCCGGGATTGGATTCTCACACTCACCGGCTACTGGGTGGGTGTGGCCTCAGGCAGGGTGCAGTAAAGGGGCTGGTGCAGAGCTTCAGAAAAGTCCTTTCCAGATCCCTTGAGCCAGGGAGGTTAAGGCTGCCGTGAGCCATGATCGGGCCACTGCACTCCAGCCTGGGCGACAGAGAGAGACCCTGTCTCAAAACAAAACAAAACAAAACAAACAAACAAAAAGTCCCTTCCAGCTCTGATGTTGTTCTGGCCTTAGTGCCTTTGTCTCTATCTGGCTGACTAGGAGTGCCAGTGTTCCAGTGACCATGGCAGAGGGGGTCATTACAATGACAATGGTGACGTAATGGAGTGGGGTTATAGTTGAAGAAATAAACCCTTTCAATAACCACAATCAACAGCGGCCTGGTTAAAAACAGACAAAAGCAAAACTCATGGTGTGACCTATACTATGGAATAGTGGAGAACAAGTACAGAGCCTAAGTTCGGGTGACCCTTACTGACTGGGAAAGGTGTGTCCTTTCCTGTCTCCTTCAGGTGCTCAAAGCCTGTATCCACAGGGGAACTTGGAAGACTGTAGAACCAGTGAAAGAGAGGACTGATGTAGAGACAAAATGTCTTAACTGGAACCTGGGAGGGAGAAGTGATCTCCTGTCTCATCTCCATCCTGCCCCATGTCAGGAGGAGGGAAGTAGAGAGAGAAGTTCTTTTGAGAGGGAGCCTGTGCCCAGCCTCCCTGCCTGTCTGTTGTAGAGGTGGCTGGGGGACAGCCACCCAGAAAGGGCAGGTTGTGTGTAGACTGTGTTAGAAAATCCATACAAGGGCTTTTTAGGTTTTTAAGATTATTTTTTTTTTCCTGTAGAGATGGAGGTATTACTGTTTTGCCCAGGCTGGTCACAAACTCCTGGCGTCAAGGGATCCCCCCCGCCCCCTAACCTTGGCCTCTGAAAGTGTTGGGATTACAGGTGTGAGCCACTGTGCCTGGCTCACATACAAGGGCTGTTTTGAAGAAAGGTGTTCTTGTCCCAGGGCAGGGCCTCTAGACAACAGAGGCAGGGGACCCTCAGCCATACTTGAATGGCGAGGGTGAGGCAGGAACAAGACGAACTCTCCCCGGTCTCTTGGCATCACGTAACTGGAGAGGTGGGGAAGGAAATCCAAGAAGGCCCAAGGCTAATGTTTTCTGCCAGTCTAGTGGGATGGGGACTTGATACAGAAATTAAATAACATTCTTGCTCTTGCCCACTTAAGTTTTGGTCCAAGATCCCCCTCACGACAGTAACACAATGCAGAAGGGTAACTCCTACGGATGGCCTGGTTGCTCTATACCCTTGAGGCCACTTAAGGTCAAACTCAGCATCTCCTTGCATCCTCTAAAACAGCCAACACCCAGTCCATTGGTTTAAAAAAATGAAAGCTTTACTGAGCTCTTTACAGAGAGCTAGAAAAGTTGTAATTCACACAACTCACAGCAGAAACTTAGTAAACCCCCGTATTTCTCCTGTACCCCCAGTGGTCTTCTCCTTTGTGTGTATCTCATATCTCCTCTTCCTTTCTTCCACACGGTGTCTTTTTTAAAAAACATGCCCATTGTGACCCAGAGCAAGTCAATATTTGCCTTCAGCTTGCTTACCCACTTAGGACTTCTCTAGCAAGTCTTGCTCCCTTCCCAAGCTGCTGGTCATCCCCAAACCTGCTCTCTTCCTGGGAAGATTACTGAGGATAAGATTTTCTCCTTTTTGTTTCACCAATAGTTGTTGAGTGCTTAGTATATGCCAACCACTTTACGTGTTTTAAATCTCACAGTAACCCTGCCTAGTAGTTACAACTATCGGAGAACTGAGACTCAGAGAGGTTAAGCCCCATTCCCTAGTGACACAGCTGGAGGAGTTGGTGAAGAAAAGACCCAAACTCAGTGAGGCCTGGCTTCAAAGCCTGTGCTGTTAACCACTTCCCAAAGGGATCCTGGGGGTATCGAGGATTTTTCTGCTTCTGAGACTTTGGCTCCTGAGGAAGGAGCGCAAGGCCCAAAGAACAGACCTTTGGGGAAACCTGTGTATCTGTGCCTTTTGCCTTTTCTCTGTGTTAGAACCCGAAAGAAAGGCCTAGTTCTGTCACTGTTATCAGTCGGGGGTCAGATGGGAAGATTCGAGGGTGATGGGGCCCTGCTCCCTGGGGCCTTATACCCGTGGGTGAAACAGGTACACAAATGACCCTGCAGTGATTTGCTTTGGAGACAGCTGCCACTGCTGATGGAAGGAAATGTGTGTGAACAGCACGGCGACAGCTCTGGGTCTGGCCCAATGCTGTGGAATCCCATAAGGTGTGCTGGCTGAACCCGCTCCCTGCTCAGGGCCACAGTGTTGCAGACTGTCTCTCAGAGTTCAGCCAAAGAGGACTCTGCTCTCTGGCCCAGCCAGGACCTTGACAGATGCCTCTGGCTGGCACAGCATGGCCTCAGCTGTCTGGGCCTGGAGGGTCCTGCTAGAGCTGGGGCCGAGGCCAAGTGATGCGAGGGCACTGCTCAATAACTTCCCATTTCCTGTATGTTCCTCTCTTCTCCCCAGAGGGACTTCAGCTCCTATCCCCTGAGCAGAGCTTGCCTAAAACCAAACTCTGTGGTGGGGAAGTTTAGGTCCTGGCATTACCCCTGACCAGCTGTGTGACCTTGGGCCAGTCAACCTCCCTAAGCCTCAGCTGTCAAATAGGAAGAATAACCTCTCTTTTATGGGTTGTGTGTGTGAGAAAGCCTGGCACAAAGGAGACACTCGAGTCAAGCTTTTCCACTTTCAGGTCAGCCGAGGGCTTCTTGTCTGAAATCCCAAGATGGTCACTGATATTTATTTTTATTTTTGTTTTTTTAATAATTGATTGAGTTCCTACCTAGTGCCAAGTCTTTTATTACATTTTCTGGCTTAGTCACCATCTCTCTTTAAAGCAGGTAGTATGATTGCTATTACCAAGTTGAGAATAAGGCAGAGAGAAAACCTTGGTTGACCAAGGTCATCCAGCAAAGAAGGTGTCAGAGTCCGGGTTCCTACTGGGGCAGCCTTCTGAGATACAGGGATGGGCTTAGGCAGGGGTGGGATAGATGAAGAAGGCGAAAACGGGAGTGGAAGCTATCCCTTTGGAAGGGGGTGTGATGTGGTGGGATGGGGGACTTGTCTGGATGCAGTGTCTGCAGAGCAAGCCCCCTGTTCTTATTTATTTATTTAATTTTTGTGGATACGGAGTAGGTGGATGTATTTATGAGGTACATGAGATCTTTTGATAATGTATAATAATCACATCAGAATAAATGGGGTATCCATCACCTCAAGCATTTATCTTTTCTTTGTGTTATAAATAATCCAGTTATACTCTTTGAATTATTTTATTTTTTGAGACGGAGTCTCACTCTGTCACCCAGGTTGGAGTTCAGTGGCATGATCTCAGCTCACTGCAACCACCACGTCCTGGGTTCAGGTGATTCTCCTGCCTCAGCCTCCCGAGTAGCTGGGATTACAGGCCCACACCACCATGTCGGGCTAATTTTTTTGTATTTTTAGTAGAGATGGGGTTTCACCATGTTGGCAAGGCTGGTCTTGAACTCTGACCTCAGGTGATCCATCTGCCTAGGGCTCCCAAAGTGCTGGGATTACAGGTGTGAACCACTGTGCCCGGCCCTCTTTGAGTTATTTAAAAATGTACCAATAAATTATTGCTGACTGTAGTCACCCTGTTGTGCTATCTAAATACTAGATCTTATTCATTCTATCTAACTATATTTTTGTACCTATTAATCATTCCCCCCTTCCCCCGCTCCTCCACCCTTCCTAGCCTCTGGTACTTCTATTATCTATCTCCATGACTTCAGTTGTTTCCATTTTTAGCTCTCACAAATAAGTGAGAACAGTGAAATTGGTCTTTCTGTGCCTGGCTTATTTTGCTTAACATAATGATCTCCAGTTCCATCCATGTTGTTGCAAATGACAAGATCTCATTTTTTATGGCTGTATAGTACTCCACTGTGTATAAGTACCACGTGTTCTTTATCTGTTCATCTGTGGATGGACAATTAGGTTGCTTCCATATCTTGGCTACTGTGAACAGTGCTGCAACAAACATGGGAGTGCAGATATCTCTTCAATATGCTGATGGCCTTTCTTTTGGGTATATACACAGCAGTGAAATTGCTGGACCATAGGGTAACTCTAGTTTTAGTTTTTTGAGGAATCTTCAGACTGTTCTCCATAGTGGTTGTACGAATTTACATTCCCACCAACAGTGTCTGAGGGTTTCTTTTTCTCCACATCCTCAGCAGCATTTGTTATTGCCTGTCTTTTGGATATAAGCCATTTTAACTGGGGTGAGATAATATCTCACTGTAGTTTTGCTTTGCATTTCTCTGACGATCAATCCCCTGTTCTTACTTAGACTTGGCTGGTTGAGTGCGTTTCCATACATAATGTATATAGTTGACTTCCTTTTTGCAATGGACTGAGTGTTTAGGTACCCCCCACCCCCGAATCCTAATCCCCAAGGTGATAGTGTTAGGGGGTGGGGCCATCCGGAGATGATTACATCATGAGGGCAGAGTCCTCATGAATGGGATTAGTACCCTTATAAAAGAGGCCCCAGAGACCTCATTTGCCCCTTCCACCATGTAAGTTTACAGTGAGAAGATGGCCACCTATGAGGAGGCAGGTCCTTACCAGACACCAATTCTGCTGGTGCCTTGATCTTGGACTTCCCAGCCTCCAGAACTAGGAGGAATAAATGTCTGTTGTTTATAAGTCACCCAACTTACGGTATTTTGTTAGAGTAGCACAAACTAAGCCACTTGTGCACTGATGAAAACTTGCTATATAAGTGCAGGTAAGTGTGGCTACACGTGAGACCATGATTCTGTGGGAGAGGAGGGAGGAAGACCCTTCTCTGGTACTTGGCCAGAGAAGAACCTCTCCAGTCAGGGCAAACAGAAACCTGAAAGGGAGAAAGAGTGTGAGAGAGAGAGTTAGGAGTGAGAGAAACATGGAGACAGACTCACAGCCAGTACCTAACATTTACCTGCTGTAAGACGACATTGCCAAAGTGCCTCCTCATGCCCTATGTTGAGCCAAAAGGTATTTTTTAGCTAAAATTTGTACACTAAAATTTCAAATCGGTGAATATATTAAATTTGAAGGTTTTTTTCCAGTGTGTCCTTGAGGAGGTAATTATTTAATGATGCAAGTGCTCTGAGGCTTGGGCAGAGGACAGAGGCTAGAGAAGTTCTGTTTAGAAGAGCAACCCCAGCAGTGTGGAGAGAAGCATCACCTTTTCCACTGAAGCCAGAGAAATCATGTAAAATTCCTCTGCTGCCCCAGAGACTGGTCCCCTGGTGGGTTGGAGTAGGGGAGGAGAGTGTTGAGGTGTTGCTCATTCCCCTAATGGGAAATAACCTGGCTCAGCCAGGGAGTGCACCAATGTGTAACTGAGACAGTCAGTAATGGGCATTTATTAAGCACCTGCTGTGCCAGCTGGGTTTCTCTGTAAGCCTGCGAAGTCAATATTATTGTGTCCTTAGGAAACTGAGGCCCAGAGAGGCTAAAGGACTTGTCCTAGCTCACACAGCCCAGTAAGATTTGGAGCATAGATTGGAACCCAGGTTAAGCTGGGTCTGCTTTCTGTACTGATGGTTTTCAAAAAATGTGGTCCCTGGGACCAGCAAGATTACATGGGAATTTGTTAGAAATGCATATTCTCAGGTCAGCCCCTAACCTACTAAATCTGAAACTCTAGTCCAAACGTCTGCTTTAACAAGTCCTCCAGGTGACTGTGATTCATGCTAAAGTTTGAGAACCATTTCTCTCCACCACATTGTCTCCAATTAAGGAATAATAACTGATGGTCCCTGCCCTTAGGGGTTTACAATATGGCTGGGAAAACAAAAGAAATATATGTTTATTTAAAAACAAAAAGTTGTCTGGGAGCTTCCTAGAAGCTTTAGGGGAAGAGGTGGCCTTGAGGGTTGGCCCAGTCTGTACAGGTGAAGAAGACAGCCTGGTTGGGAAGGATATACCAGTGTGTGCAAAGGAGGGGCCGCTGAGATACAATTTTCCAGATGCAGTGAGTGAACAAATGAGTCTTTCTAGGATAGGGTGCAGGCTGAGGGGAGTCATGGAAAATAATGGGGTGGAGGGAGGCTGGATTGTTAGTGCTTCAGAACTTTCAGCCAATGAGTTCCCCACATAGCTTCTGCTCCTATAGGCAGCCATCATTCATTTGACAATCTATATTTACGAAGCACCTGCTGTGTGTGCCCAGAACAGGGCAATGGAAGCTAAAAGCAGGCCTTCCCAGAGGCTGTGCTGTTCCCTCTTGGGGATGTCACCTCCAAATCCCCCAGCCATCTGACGACCTGCTTCTCAGCTTTTAGCACTGGGCTCCGTTGTCACTTTCTAGTTAACCCTTTCCTGGTCCTTCCCCGAGGTGGGCTGACTTAAAGGCCCCTCCCCTGCATCCCCCTTCCTAAATGCACTTATGGACTCAGAGTTAGGAGCTGCAGGCCTGACGTAGCTGCCCACTGGATGGCTGTTGGACTGTGTCGAGGGTCTGGAATCACATAAGACAAAATTTTGCTCCTTGGTACCTGTCAGGTAAGTGATGGGGCCTGCAGAGTAGTCTGAGCTGGCTCACTGGTCTCAGGATCACCCTTGACCAACGAAGAGTCTGTGGCCAGAGTGGCCAGCTGTGCCACATACAGGCAGAGAGGGAGAGACTCTGCTTCCTTGGAGGCGGCTGCTTTCTGTGCTTGCCGAGAACCTGCTGTCATTGGCCAGCCTGCAACCATCATACTGTTTGCACACGTGGACTGTGGGGAAATAACATTTCCTTGAATTTCTCAGTGCTCCTGTAGAAAGCCCTAGTCTCCTGAGACTTGAAAATGTATATGACATAAAGGAAAAGAAGTTGTGCTTTCACCTTCCTTGGGAGCATTCTGCCCTTCATATAAGCATGGGAATCAGATCTGTAGCTATGTGTCTAGTTAATGGTTCTGTTCTAAACGGATAATAAAATGTGTCTACTCATATGAGGTACCTGGAATAGTCAGATTCATAGAGACAGAAAGGAGAACGATGATTACCAGGGGCCGCGGGGCGGGGAGAATGGGAGGTATTATTTAATGGGTACAGAGTTCAGTTTTGCAAGATGAAAAGAGTTCTGGAGATGGGTGGTGGTGATGGTTGCACAACAGTGTGAATGTACTTAATATCACTCAACCATACTTAAAAATGGTTACAATGGTAAGTTTTATGTTATGTGTGTTGTACCACATTTTTTTTAAGGATAAAAGAATTCTTATCTCCCCAAGGGGGCCAAAGGGTTACAGCTAGGGCTAGGTCCCCAGGCTAAGGTCCCAAGGTGCCAGGAAGACTAGAATGCTATCTCCCTACCTAAATCCCTAGGTATTTCTTTATTTTAATTTTTGTGGGTACATAGTAGGTGTATATATTTATAGGGTATGGGATATGTTTTGATACAGGAATGCAATGTGAAATAATCACATCATGTAAAATGGGGTATCCAGGGCCCTCAAGCATTTATCCTTTGAGTTACGAACAATCCATTATACTCTTTTAGTTATTTTTTAAATGTACAATTAAATTATTGACTATAGTCACCCTGTTGTGCTGTCAAATACTAGGACTTATTCATTCTTTCTAACTATTTTTTTGTACCCATTAACCATCTCCATCTCCCTCCCCACCCTCCCATTACTCTTCCCAGCCTCTGGTAACCATCCGTCTACTCTCTATCTCCATGAATTCAATTGTTTTGATTTTTAGATCCCACAAATAAGTGAGAACCTGTGATGTTTGTCTTTCTGTGCCTGGCTTATTTCACTTAACATAATAGCCTCCAGTTCCATTCATGTTGTTGCAAATGACAGGATCTCATCTTTTTTTATTGCTGAATAGTACTCCATTGTGTATATGAACCACCTTTTTTTCTTCATCTGTGGATGGACACTTAGCTTGCTTCCAAATTTTGACTATTGTGACAGTGCTGCAGCAAACACGGGAGAGTAGATATATCTCACAGATACTAATTTCTTGTCTTTTTTTTTTTTGAGACGGAGTCTCACTCTGTCACCAGGCTGGAGCACAGTGGTGCCATCTTGGCTCACTGCAACCTCCATCTTCCGGGTTCAGGTGATTCTTCTGCCTCAGCCTCCCAAGTAGCTGGGACTACAGACGCGCGCCATCACGCCCAGCTAATTTTCTTTTTGTATTTTTAGTAGAGATGGGGTTTCATCATGGTGGCCAGGATGGTCTCGATCTCTTGACCTCGTGATCTGCTCGCCTTGGCCTCCCAAAGTCCTGGGATTACGGGCATGAGCCACTGTGCCCCACCACAAATTTACTTTCTTTTGGATATATACCCAGCAGTGGGATTGCTGGATCATATGGTAGCTGTATTTTTAGTTTTTTGAGGAAACCTCCAAACTGTTCTCCATAGAGGCTGTACTAATTTACATTCCCACCAACAGTGTACGAGGGTTCCCTTTTCTCCACACCCTCGCCAGCATTTGTTCCCCTAAGTATTTACATTCAAAAAAGTTAGAGTGAAAATCCAAGATTCTTTCTATCCCTTCTCAAAGAAGAAAAGGTTTTTGTTTTGTTTTTTCCCTTCACCTCTCAGGAGAGGAGGCAGGGACGGCTGTCTAACTTCTGTATATAAATGGAGAAAACCATTGTTTTTGGTCTCTCACTGAGTGTCCTGCCACTCGGGGAGGAGACTTTTTCCTGTAGGCTTTTAACACATCAGGCAGGGATAAGGTCTGGGGCAAGGGAAGCTGACACACTTATTTACTGTAAGGTAACTGACAAGAAATCTGTCTCTTCTACCTCCTGTGTGCATTAAGGATAAAATTAATAAAGATGAATACTAAAACCCCAACATGTACATATGTGTGTACCCACATGCACGCTTTCAACTGGTGGTTTATTGGGGGTCCCTAGGGAAAGGGAAAGAGCTTAGAGGATTTCCTGCAGAGAGGAGAAGTTGCTACAGGTGTAAGTGCTACAGGTGTAAGTGGGGGGGCACAGTAAGGAACAACCCTTGCCTTAGAGCCTCCCCTTAGGAAACTCCATCCTCAAGAGTGAGATGGGCCCCAAGCTGCTCTTTCTATAGCATTCATCCCAGATTTTAAGTTAATATTAATTTCAGGGCCAAGAACTATTTCTAAGCAGTTTATCTGCATTTCTTTTGATCCTCACAATTCTATGAAGTAAGTTCTATTTATACCCCCTTTATAGCTGAAGAAACCAAAATGAGAATTAAGAAATGTGACCAAGGTCAGATTTCAGTTCTCGCCCCTGGACATTTGGAGAGCAAGTATTGGAACCCTCATATCTTAGCCTTGGGGGTCCTGTGGTCATGAAAGATCACATACCATTTTTCACTCCCAACTGTTGGCCGACTACCCAACCCTGGCAGCTGGGAGTTGGTGAGGGTTCCACATACCAAGAGAATGAACCCCTGGTGTCTTGGCCACAGGCCCCTTCCAGTGTAGGTCGCAGGGAGAGGAAAAGGGAAGAACAGGTGAAAAGGAGGAGAAAGGGCACTTGTGGGGACAAGGGTTCTCAGGGGACACCCCTCTGTGTCTCCCTTAGATCCATTTCTCCTTCTTCTGCAACAGCCCCCAATTTTCCTTTTGGAACCCACCTTTCCCCTTTACCTAGTCCATGTGGTACTAGAGGGGCTAACTCTAAACCCTGGCTACATGAGTGGGTGTGTGACCCAGGTCTGGCTAATCAGGGATGGCCACACCCGCATGTTGAGCTAATCAGAGTAAATCCTCAGGATTTAGCTGGAATTATTAGGAAAAAGGTGTGCTTTTCCCCCTGGGGTTGCACTACTTGGTGGAATACATTTAGAATAGCAGAGGCCATCTTGGCATCATGTGGAAAGAGCCCATCTGGGAATGAAGCCAAATAGAGGAGTCCAGAGACAGCACAGTGGTTAATCTTATGTGTCAACTTGGCTGGGCCACAGTGCCCAGATATTTGGTCGAACACATCTAGATGTTGCTGTGAAGGCATTTTCTAGATGAGATTAACATTTAAATCAGTAGACTTATCCTCCATCATGTGGGTGGGCCTCATCCAATCGGCTCACAGCTTTAAAAGAAAAAAAGTCTTATGTCCTCCTAGGAAGAGAGCATTCTGCCAACACACTGGCTTTGGCCCGGAGCTGCAATATCAGCTCTTCCCTTGTCTCCAGCTTGCTGGCCTGCCTTGCAGGGTTTGGCCCTGCTGGCCTCCACAATTGTGTGAGCCAATTCCTTAAAATAAAAATCTCTCTCTCTCTCGCTTCAATTTCTCTGGAGACCCCTGACTAACACAGATGGCCAGAATAGATACATCATTTTAATATCTCGATCCAGCCAAACCTGACATCTTATACTCCTGGGTTTTTCACTTAACTGGTCCTCTTCAATTGGGTTTCTGTCACTTGGAATCCAAAGGGTTCATTTCAGGAGGGAGCGGTGTGCTCACATTGACTGAAATCTCATTCTATGCCGGGCTCAATGCCCTCCTTTGACAGTTGACCTAGGCCTTAAAGGGTGCATAGGAGTTCACGTAGGCATGAGGAGGACAGGGTAGAGTGAACACGTGCAAAGACACAGAGAAGCGATGGAGCATGGCAGGCCAAGGAAACCAGAGAGGTTGATGTGGCAGAAGCAGAGGAAGTCATTTGGCAAGAACTGGGGCTGGAGAAATGGTCTGGGGGCCAGAGGATGTAGAACTTTGGATGCCAGGCTGAGGGGCACATGAAATCAGACTCCGTACATCGTTTCTTTCTCATCCACTTGAAGCAGTATAGCACTGTGGTTAATGACATGGATTCCTGGAGCAGCCCTGCCTGGTCTATACTACTTACTATCTATTTAACCTCAGGTATGTTACTTAATGCCTTGGTGCCTCAGTTTCCCTAATGAAGATAACAGCATTGGCTACCTCATAGGATTCCACGTAATGATTAAATGAGTGACCACACATTTAGAGTTCAGCACAGTGCTTGACAAGTAGTAAACACCTAGTAGTTCGTAACAATCTTATTCCTACGAAGGCCAGTGGCAGGCTCCTGGGCTGCAAACACCAGGCCCCAGAAAGACAATTGCAGCCCTCTACCCTCTCCCTGCGTCAGGCAGCCCACCTGCCTTCCCCAGGGGGCTGCTCCTGCTCACAGAGGGATGGCCAGCCTGGCCTCCAGAGAGCTGGAATTGTCATTGCAGTGACAGGAGAGAACAGGGCTCTCAGCTCTGGAAACAGATTCTTATCCTCATCTTGGTCTTGGGAATTAGGCTGGAACTGGGTGAGAACAAGCTTCCCAGCCACACAGGCCCAAAGAGAGTCACAGAAGTACAGAGGCCATAAACTCAGCCCTTTCCCCTCTGACTCCCAGATACGGAGGCGAGAGGCTCAAAGCCAGCTCGGCAAACCCTGGGGACTAGCTGTGGAAAGCAACTTCAATGAGATGCGTAGAATGCCAAAAGTTCAGAGTCAAAGGGCATCCTTGGATTCCCAGGCTTTTTAGGTTTGTGTTTCCACTGGGTGGTGCAGAGAAAGGGCACCTCTGCCACCAACTTAGGGGGATCCTGACAAATCATCCCCTCCTTGGGTTCAATTTTCCTGAACATCCAGTGATGGGGGGGTTAGGGTCTAGGGTGGCAAACAAGGTTCATCTTTTGGGTCAGATTTGAGGAGTGGTAAGTGGCTGCCTGGCTGGCTGGTTAGAGAGTACTGGCCCATGGGCAGTCCTTGCCCTAGTTTTAGCCCTAAAATGCTCAGTCTTGGTCACTGAAGTGGATCCTGATGTCTGGCTCAGTCCTCCCACGGACTCTGGCCCCAGCAGTGTTCCTATGGCTCCCAAAGCGAGTCAGGAGCTGATTTAGATTCTACCTCTATACAAATTCTTTGGCTCTTTCCCTTCCTACCTGGTTAATGTCAATGTCTGCTGGAGAGAACTATGCACTCTGGGTTCAACGTGAGACAACTTTCTAATGAGAGTTCATTTCCTTGATGACAATGAAGAGAGCATCACAAAAAAGGAAGCTGAAGCCCATCATAGCCTACGCACTTTGCCAGCCCTAGGTGGCCTCCTGGCTGAGGGCTATGCCATCCACCTCCCCCGGCTCCTCTCAGTCCCCCTTCCTGCCCGGCCCAGTGCTCATCCTCCCTGCCCTTCTCCTCTAATCAGGAGCTCAAAGCCTCTTTACCGTCTCACTCACCAAGTCCGGATAAGGGCTGATAAACTCATTCACTCCTGCTACAGGTGAATTTCCAATGGTGAGATTCCAGGCACTGACTAGCTGAAGGCCTCAGCAGAAGTTTTTGTAGGGCACAAGAGGAAGTGACCACTACCCAACAGCAGAACAGTCACTGTTCTTCAGTGGTGGGGAGAAGTGTTCTGCCAACGGCCTGGAATTTGAGACATTCCGATGGGAGCTGCCTTGCCCTCTAGAGCATATGGTGGAAACGGGTGTGCACAGTCTCTGGGACCAGAGTGCCTGGCTGGAGTCGCAGCTCTACTACTTCCTCACCGTGTGACCTGGGGCAAGTGACTTCACCTCTTTTTATATCAACTGTCTCTTAATAAAATGAGGTTGTTGATAATAATACTACCTGCCTCATGGAGTTGTTGATGGAATGTATGAGCTGAGTGCTTAGAACAATACCTGGCACTTAGTCAATGCCATCTGAGTGTGGGCTGCTATCACCAGGCTCCTGGGATGGCCAGGCATGAAGCCCAGGTGTTGCAGTTTGAAACAGCAGACAAGGGTCTAGCCTAGGCCAGGCACATGGGTGACAGCAAATAGGAGCTCCCTCCTCTTACCTGGGTTTTGGAATTTTCTCCAGAACCAGGTTAGGTGCCTGACAGGAAAACACAGGGAGCTCGTCTGTGTGGCTGCTGTCTCTGAGCGCCAGTAATTTGAAGGTCACTGTGGCTTTGTCTTCATCGAGGACATCAGAAAGTTTGGCAGTTTCTCTGCTCCCTCTCTCTGTCCCCACCCATTGATTTCTTTCAGTCCCACATGGTAGTCGCTGCATTTTGGTCTGAGCCCCTCTCCCCTGCCATGATTCTGGGAGGTGTTGAGAGCCTGTCTGTTTTATTACCAAGTTCTCGGGATCCAGCTTAGTCTGCATCCACTGTGGGATGAAGTGGGGGATTCAGCTGAACATAGGGCTGAACCTGGGGGATGGGCAGTGGGTGTGTCCCCGAGGGGCTCTCTGCAGTGTCCCACCTCAGGAAGGGGTTTTCCTGTGGTCCCCTCACACAGAGGCACTCTCCCTAAGACTGCCTTCCCTTGGGACCCCAGTCCACTTCCTTTCCATACCCAGGGTTTGGTGGGGGAGGAGAGATGTCATAGTCATCCTCTGGTAGGGGTGGTGATCATGACTTGCTGCCCACGGTCCTTGCTGCCTCAGCAGCCATGTTGGGTGGGATGTGACCCCACCCCCGGCCACAGCTGATTGGACCTGTGACTGGTCCCTAACCCAAGGGTCGCCCGCTCAGGTGATTTGGCCTGATCAGATTGTACCACAGGAATTTGGAATGGGGAAACAGAGACGGGGTCAGGCGAGTCGTGCTGATACAGCCCCACCCTCTTCCTCAGAGCTAGCAGCCCTGGTCCCTGTCACCAGAAGAACTGTGACATTCCCCCTGCTGGGCCCCCGGAGTTATGCCTTCCTGCCTCAAGCCCTTGCATTTCCCATGAGCTTCTGTGGGATGTGCTTCCACGGAGGGAGTGGACCCTGCCATCTTCCTCCCTCACATGCTGTCGTGGTGACCTCAGGAGAAGCATTGGTGGCTGTGTCGTTCTTGAAAGAAGCTGGGCACCCCATATCATGAGGTGACCCTTCGGGGCTCCTGCCTTCAGCTCTGCTTTCTGGAATTGAGCAAAATCCCTGCCACACAGACTTCATCTCCTACCATCTCTGCTGAGAAGACATTGAAGCCCAGCCCAGCCCATCTCCTGCTTTCTCAACCTCTGCTCCAAGCCAGCCCTGGCCATTTGATCACACCCTTCATGTCAGACCCAGATCACAGCACTGGGATCTGTCTATCACCCTTGAATAGGGGCCACAAACCTTATGGTTTTTTGATTTGCAGCCTTGAATCTGCTGCCCAAATCCACACTCACTCCTATAAGCTGGAAAATAAATCTATTTTATTAATGAGCTCAGAGTAAGGTTTGGAGTGACAATCCTGGCAGCAATTAGAGCAGAGGGCAGAGGAGAGGGATGGAGAGAGAGAGACTCCAGTGGGGTCTTATTAGGGTTCAAGGAAGGAGTCCCCCAGAGCTGGGAGAGACCAAATTCACTGGGCCAGAGGAAAGGAATGAGAGTCTGGATCCTTGAGATCTTCTCCCAAATGGCTGGCTGCTCCCTTTCCTCCACGTTGGCCTTCAGAAGAGTGGCCCGAGCTGTTCCTTATCTGGCCCTGGTTCAGGGCCAAAGGGAGTTTGAGATTCCTGGGTGATAGATTCAGGTCCCAAGGATGCCATCTGGTGTGTGTAGTGTGGCCTCTCTCAAGGCTGATCCGAGGCTTTGTGTTCACGAGGTGGGGCCGGAGCTCACTGTTTCCTAACGGTGAATTTGGTTTCCCCTTTTGGACTTCAGAAGAAGGTCCTGCAGGGAAGTGGAAACAGCCCAGGTGGATACAGGCTTTGTGGGTGCACACTCAGCCCAGCCAGAGCAAGGCCCCACAAGGGGGAGTACCCACTCTGGCAGCACAAGGCCCTGCCACCCTTTGGAGACCCCTCTGGGTGCAGGCCCCAAGTGGCTACACACCAGCCACAGCCACAGCACACAGGAGGCCAGGGAGAAAGCGGGAGGGACACCTGGGATGGGGGAAGGAGGAGACTGGGAGGAACAGGGGCAAGAGTCCTTTGCAAAAGGCAAGTAACAGAAAACATAGGGCCATGCAGGCCACCCCAGAAGCCATGGTCTACCCGGCCAAGTGTCTTGGGAGCATGAGGCCCTAATGTTTTGGGAAAGTTGTAACAGAAAAGTCAAGTCCAGGCTTGGGTCTGCCCCAGATGCTGCCATCTGTGGCTTCAGGCCACACCAAACACCAGTTTCACAGCCACCTGCCAGCTCTGTCCACGGGCACATCCCTATCACAGGGTGAGAAACACATCCTACAGCTGGGTTCCACGGTATATCCCACAGATAGAGCCCAGAGCCAAGGAAGGGAGAAGGCAGAGAAGACCGTTTGGTCTAAGCACGGCTCAGGCCATGACAGGGCACAACAGGACATGAGCAACTCTAATCCACCAACCCTGGTTCTTTGGACCAGCCTTCAAAACCTCTTAATAGCCCTGGTTCTGGCCAAGTGTGGGGGCCATGGTGGAGCAAGAGCTCCCAGGAGGTTGGCATTCACAGGAAGGGGAATTTTCACATTCTGTTGAGGACATCTCTTGGGGGCAATTCCAGCCAGGCTTCCTGTGGGCTCCTTCAGCCCCACATGCCTGGTTCGAGGCATTGTCTGTGTCCCTCAGAGAATGTTGCCCAGGGCTTCATCCTGCTCATTTGGGTGCTGCTTGGGACCCAAAGCAGGTCCCAGGGCCGTGATGAGTCAGGACACCTGGGTCCCAAGCAAGTACTACAGACTGGGCTTTGCACCACTTCCCTGAGGGGAGGGCTTTGAGTCTGAGGAATTCCACTGTGGCCAACAGCAGGCCCCAGGCAGCACTTCAGGGATGGCGCCTTGTGTACCCTCCAGACGCCAGTCCAAAGAACCTGCTGACAGCGTGGGCAGCAGATGGCCACTGCAAGCAGCAGGGACACACAGGGCCCTGTGGCCCGCCTGCCTATTCACCGTGGGCTCCAGCTGCAGGAGGAACCCGTGTCTGTGCACGGCAGCACGGTCTTCAAGGAGCTTTCGGACCGGTTGGGGGCTTTCAGCTACGGAGGAGGGAAGAGAAGCTCTATATATACAGAGCAGAGCAAGAAACACAAAACAGGCTTGGTTACTCCCAGGCAGAGCTCCATGGGGCTTCTCCTTTCACTGGGCTCCTGCCTCGGGTTCTGCCTAGCCCCTGGGTTCCAGAATTAGGAGCTGCGAGACCCTGGTTTCTCCAAGACATGTGTAGAGCTCAGATTCTGCTGGGCACGGGGAGCAAGCAGGCCCAGCCACGACAGGGAGGCAGGGCATGGTCAGTGAGTGGGTGAGTGGTGGGTGGGTGAGGGCTGGGGAGGTGATGGGATGAGGTGAGGATGGAGGTGAGACACCACACAGAGGCAGAGAAACAGAGAAAGGCAGACAAAGAGGTAAGAATGGATGCAGAATGACAAGGACAGAGGAACAGGGACTCAGAGACAGGGATGAAGAGAAACAGGAAGAAAGAATAGGAGACAGTGAGAGAGAAAGGGGACCGGGATGAAGGGGAAGGAGGGGGGCAGATAAGATGTTGACAGGAAGGAAGGAAAGGGTGAAAGAAAGACAGAGAGGGAGGAGGAGAGAAGACAGAGAGACCCACAGGACACAAGAGACAGACACACAGGGAATCACAGAGAGAGACAGTCTAGGCCAAAGCTCCCTGGAGATCCCACAGCGTGGGGACAAAAGCCTGTGGTCCCGGCTGCCTAGAGGCACAGTATGAGTGAATGCAGTTAGACATCAGGAAGACCTTCCAGAGAGTGAAGGATGGACACAGACACCTTCTAACCATCTAATAATGGGGCAGGGGATAAAGTTCTGAGTGGGGAATTAACAATCCTGAGTCTTTTTCCCAACGTCTCTGCTTACCCGGTCTAAGACCTCATGCCTCAATTCCCCATAGTAGAGAAGAATTTGGACAAGACTGCCCGGGAGGCAGCTCAGACACTGCTTAAGGACAATGACTTGGCTCTAGTCCAGGAGTTTTCTAGGAGCTCTGGCTATGAGAAGCTGCGTGCTTGGGCCATTCCTTCAGGCTGGGAGAAGGCTGGGGATGGGCTGGAGAAAGGTGGCTGAGATTCTGGAGAAGGAAGAAGAGGTCTCAGGCTAGGTGCTTGCACACACTTACAGCTCATCGTCATACTCCTTTGGGGGGCAGACGGCAACCACAAGGTCGATCCAGTCCTGTGGGGAGAAGCCGTGTGACTCTGGGGCACACTCAGTTGGATGGTGCATCTGCCCCGGCACTCCATCCCCATTTCTGGGCCCCATGGCCTAGGATCAGCCAGGCTGCACCTTCTTCCCACGGGCCCACCTGGGGCCCACTGTGACTTCCATGGTCTGAGGACGTTTCTAGTCTCTGAGGCTTCGGGACCATAGAGGACAGGGCTGCAAGGCCCTTGAATGACACTCAGCTCCCAAATGTCAATCTATGGACCGGGGACAGGCAGCAACCTCAGAATCACTTGGGGGAACTTCTTAAAAGTGTAGGCTCGTAGACTTGGCCCCCAGAAGTCAAGGGTGAGTCCTGGGAAATAGTACTTTTAACAACCTCTCTGGGTAATTCCGACGCACTTTCTGATGCACAATCAAGTGGGGGACTTCTGGCCCAGCTTTTTGATCCTAACACCTGAATCCCTTTTACTGCCATCCTTGACTTGCCCCTCATTCTCCCTCCTTGGCTTAGGTGTATCCCCTGAAAAGTATTGGAAATATCACTGGGCCCCTCTACCATGAGCTGGTTCCTAATATTGAGCTGAAATCTCTCTCTCTTTCCCCAGGACTTCCCTCCATCCAATCCAGGTCTTCCCTCAAGAATCAGAGAGAACACTTCTGCTCCCTCTGCCCTAATGCAGACCTTCAGATAATCAAAGATAGTCATCATGTTACCCGTGAGTCTTCTCTTCTCCACATCCCTTCATGTGGGTCCCAGGCCCATCTGGTCAGCTTCCTCGGCACTGAACTTAATACCTCAGGCTCGGCTGCCTGCATACAGTTGCACAGGTTGTGCATTGCACACCATGAGCAGGCACCATTCACACTACAGTCTGTAAAAGGGCACCCCCTCAGATTATGTAGTGCACAGCCTGGGCAATCTTATGCAGTGGCCGTGATCCAGGTGGGTGTCTAATGAGTGCAGAGCAGATTCCCACCAGCCCCTCCTTCATCCTGGGTTCTCTGCTTTTGTTAATGCTTTCTGGTAGCCCCCAGAATTCTCTTGATTCTTGTTCAGTGTGCACTTAGAAAAGACCTTAAGTCTTTTTCTTGGGTGACCTGCCATGCCCTGGCTTCAAGAGTCTGTTTAAGCCACTGGCTTTTTGGATCCAAGGTCAGGAATTGACATCTATTTTTCTGAATCCCATCTTGTCAGATTTAAACCACAGGCTGGATGGGGTATGGTGTCACCAAAGTGTTGCCTGGACTCCAGATGCCCACCCTGGAATGAGGCATCCTATTGTGAGACCTGGCTGCAGAGGCCAGGGTTTGAGGCAGGCAGGTGAGGGAGGAAAGGAGGGAGGGGCCTTATTCTTACCCCGCCCTGATTCCAGGCCTTCTGCAGGGCAGCCTCAGCCTCAGCCAGGGTGTAGTCTGTCACAATCTTGCCGTTGATTGCCATGATCTCGTCCCCTTTCACAATGCCACCTGCAGGCAGATGAGGCTGATTGGCCAACTGGGCTGTATGTGACACGTGCCTGGCCCAGGGCTTGGCAAAGGGGGGTCATTGCCAGACAGCAGAAGAGACCTGAGCCTGGGTTCTGAAAGCTCATGTGGACTCAGAAAGCATGAGGGGAAACTAGCCACCTGGTTAGTGGCTAGTCAAAGGGCATTTAGTCCCTGTCCCTTCCACACCCCCTCACCCCAGCTCAGGAGAACCTGGATATCATTGATGATGAGCCTCTGTTATTACAGAGGGACACAGACCTGCATTTCCAGCACAGTATGAGGCCTGAGTCAATTCTGCCAGCCGGCCCTCCCTGTTGCCAGTCATGCTGGTCTGTTCAGGTCCCTGAGCTGCCATGCTCTCTCCTGCCTCAGAGGCTTCATGTCGCTGTTCCCTACCTTGCTTTCTCTTCTTCTAGGTCTGAGAGGAAATGTCAGAAGGGGCTTCTCTGACCCCCGCTCAGTCGAATGTAGATCTTGCCTATTCTCTCACAGCATCCCAATCTTTTCTTATTTGGCATTTTCCACAATTCGTAATCATTAATCTGTTTGTTTACTGATGGTCTCTCCCACCACACTGTCAGCTCCACGTGGGCAGGGATTGTCTTTTTGGTTCACCATAATATCCCCAGCACTTAACATAATGCCTGACACAAAATAGGACCTCAGTAGATATTTGTTGAATAAATGAAGCTGTAATAAGGTGCTCCTGAAAGAGTTGCCTGGGATCTAATAATTTTGGGGAAAGCTGAGTTATAAGCTGAACAGAGCTACTCACTGCAGGATTTGTCAGTCTTGAATGTGCTAACATGCACTGCAGCTTTCCAAGAGGTAGACAGATTGTGCGTGGTTTTCCACACCTCTTTGACATCAGAGCCCTTTTTGGAGGAATTTCTCCCAGTCCTGATGTCCACAGAACACTCTCCAGGTTACATTGAAATAGATCACCCAGGAGCCTTGTGGCATGAAGGCCCATAGGAATGTGGTGTATGATACTGACAATGGTGGCCATGGTGGCTTAAAACACACGTGCTCCTAGGGAAGCTTCATCAGTGACTAGTTATGTTCAAAGCAGTGCAGGACCAAACCACAGAAAGCAGTTGCCTCTGTGCAGTGCAACTGGGGATGGGTGACTTTCACCTTTTCATTTTGTACAAATCCATGACAGAGTCTCAGGGGCAATAAGGCAGTGGTTGGGTTGGGGCTTTGTAAGTGGGAAGGACCCAGGAGAGTCACCCATCCATCCTGGTCCCCTCTCTCTGCTAGACACAGCAGGCAGGTATCACAGAAGTGTCACCAGGTGACAGAGAAATGAAGACAGAAGAAGAAGGTGGGGCCTGGGTGGGCACTGATGGGCTGGGGCAGCTGCCCAGCTGGGCAGGTCCCCCTTCTATGGCTGAAATGAAAGCTTAAAGTGTGAAGTCACCAAGGTCATGGGTGCAGAGCTGGACTTGTATCCAGGGCTCCCAATGCCCATACCTCACCTTAGTAACCCACAGAGGTCTGGTTGCCAGCCCCCAAGGGCCTTTCCCATCCCTGTTTCCTGCCCCTTACCTCTTACCACCTCCATTCTACCACCTCCAGCTTATGGTACAGCCTGGCTCCAGCCTAGGACTGCCTGGAAGGGATCTGCTCATAGGGTCCCCCACTCTGGCCTGGGAAGGTAAGAGGCCTGGGGCTCCTCCTCCAAGGGCACCTACATCTCCACAAAGGGCCACAAAGGACTCAGGAGCTTCCTTGACATGGAAGAAGAAATCACCAATGGTGGGGTTTCAGACACTGTCCGACAGGTGAACGGGGTGATGGTTTGAAGCAAGAGACTGTGCCTGGGGTCTGCAAAGGTTTCACTCATCAGCAGAGGGTGTTTTTGTAGATAAGGGGATAAAGAACAAGGCAAAATGAGAAGAGAGACACAGGGTATGGGGGCCTCTGGCCCTCTGGGAAGGGACAAGGCTGCAGAAGACCTCAGACAGAGGTGGCACTTGTGCCGGACAGTAAAGCAAAATGACCAAACTGCCTGGATTCAAGTCCTGCCTCCACCTTCTCCTGGCTGTGGGTCCTTGAACAAATACTTTAACCTCTCTGAGCCTCAGTTTCCTCAGCTGTAAAATAAGAATAATAACAGAACCTGCTTTCAGGGTTGTTGTGAGGATTAAGTGAGTTAATATCCATGAAACGCTCAGACACAGGGCTGCAAACCAGATGAATAGCTTCTGGCACATGGCTAGTTCTGGCCAAACGTTCGGCTCCTACCATCACTGAAAGGACAGGCAAGGTTTCGGGGGTTTCCACGTGCTGCTCCTCTTCCTCGAAAGCCCTTTCTCCCCTTCGCGAGGCTGACATTGACTATGCTCAGCTCAGGGTTCGCCCCTCTGAGGAGCACTCCTGGCCTCCCATCTCCTCTTGGTGGGTTAGAGGCCCCTCAGGGTTCCCATGGCTTCCCTCCACTCTGAGTTCCCCGTCAGCCCTTAGCAGACCATGCTGTGACTTTCAGTATCTGGCAATTCTGAGTCCGTCTCCCACCCTGGCTGGGGACCCCCTGAGGGCACGGTGGCATCTGGCTTGGCTGTGTACTCACAGGTCCCGGCGCCATCCCATGCCCCCAGGGATTGGACAGGCAGTCGGATGGATGGACCCGAGTGGGAGGGCATTCTCCAGCAACCGTCAGCCCACTCCAAGTGGTCACCTGTTTGCTTTCCGGGAGGGCCCCGTCTAACCACTGTATCATCCCCAAACCTGGGTGTGGCTAGTCTCCACTCACCATGCCGCTCAGCAGCTCCCCGCTCATACACAGCAGAAACGACCACCTTCCCAATGGGGGAGTCCACACCGCCTTCCAGGGCCAGGTCTAAGGATCCCTCCTGGTTAGAGGAAAACAGGCCTTAGGGAGCCAAGCAGACAGCAGCCTGTGGACACCTGGGCACCAAGGAGTCTCTTGACAGAGCCACAGTAAGAGTGGAAGAAGCCATGGGGTCACCGGCAGTGCCATCTGGAGAAAACGCAGCCTTGGTGCCAAGTGGGGCCTGGGTATGCGGCCCTACAACAGAGGGGCGTCTCCGTGGGAGAGGGGAGGACAGTGGGGACCTGAGAGACCACCCAGGAGTGACCTTGAGAGTAGAGGCAGGAGACCAAGGGAGGAGGGGCAGGCACAGAGAGGGATGGCGGCCCACCGGCCTCCACATGCCCAGGTACCTTCTTGATGCGTAGGAGCCGGACATCCTTCCCCATGATCTGCTCTGGGGTGAACTAGAGAGAAAAAGACAGTGGGAAGCTTTGAGCTGGCCTGAAGGATGGCGCTTGGGGTAGGGCTGGAAGGGGAATCCAGGCACCTATGGGACACTGGGCCCCACAGAGCACATGGGCAAGGGGACCGTGCCCAGCCCCACCCCTACTGGTCTTCAACTGGGGGTCCCAGGCCCCATGGGGACAGTGGACACACACACGTGCATGTGCACCATACAGTTCACACTGGAGTGCCCTTTGGAAGGAATCTTCGTGGGAAGAGCAGCTGGGGCATCACTGGGGCTCCTCTGTGCCCCACCTCATCCCAGGACCCCAAGGCCCAGAATGCACCACTATCAAACCCTCTAACCCCCACACTGCCCTGTTCCTGGGGTTACTTGTCCAGGAGAGAAGCGTCATCTCTTACCATAGAGTAGGGGTCAAAGCCTTCCTCATATTTCCGGAAATCCTGGAAGCAAAGGGAGGGCTTTAGGGCAACACAGCAGAGGGTCTTGAGGGTCAGAGCCGAGGAGTAGGGGGATGAATGGTCGGAATCCAAGGGTCAGAAGTGAGGGGTAGGGCGGGAGAAGGCACGGCCAGGGTACGGGATGCAGACAGGAGGCCGGCAGCCCTAGCAGCCAGGGCACCCCTGTTCAGGGACAAGCAGGAGGCTGAGGAAGACTTTAGAGGATCTTGACCCTGCCCTGCTTCAGCGGCACAAGCGTCAGGGGCTGCAGGGGCACCAGTGACGTCTAGATGGTCTGGAGAGGCGGCATCTGCCTTGCTGAAAGTCTCAGCCCCAGCCTCAAGTCCTTTAGGCCCCACCTCATCTCTTCCAAGTCTCCACTGGAGCAGGCCCAGGCCCTGGGGGATGAAGCCCAAGGTGTCTCCACCCAGTGCTCTGACCCCACAGGAGGGGCCCATCCAGCTCAAGAGAAGGCTGTTCCTGGAAATCAGCCACAAGATGGTGGAGGGAGCCCACGGACAACAAGAAGAAAGCAGGTGGTGTTGAGAAGCAGTGTTGGCCTGGAGCCTGGCAGTGTCCTCATGTAATGCTTACCTAGAAGGTAAGAGGCCTCCCCAGATTCTGCGGAGCGCAGGTTGGCCCTTTAGCTAGGGGAGAAGGGAGGACACACAGCTCAGGGGACCTGGCTTGATGGGGGATGCTGTGGGGACAATGGCTCCAGGGTGTAGAAACAAGACAGTGAGGTGGCACCTGAACACACAGTGAGGTAGTCCCTGAACTATGTGGCCTTCCTCGGGAGTCACACACAGTGAGTGGGAGCCAGGGGCATCCCCAGGCTGAGGGGCCAGGATGCTAAGCACAAGGGCAGCAGAGCCACGGCTGGTCCCCATGGAAGGTGGGAGCAGAGGAGAGCCCCGTGGCAGGCCTCGCCAGACTGAGTGGAGCCACCCACAGCATGCAGGTCCCTAGACCACACCAAGTGACCCATGGGGCCCATGGTCTGTGTGGTGGGGAGGCTACAGATTCCCCTATCCTCAGAATGCACCAACTAGGTTCCGGGCACAAGATGAGCACCAAATATCAGCAGACAGATCCCCAAGCATCTGCCTGGCATCCCTCCTCACTTGCCTCAATCACCCAGGCTCAACCCCAAGAGGCCATGAGCTCGGCTCAGCTTGGGAGCTACATCCAGGTCAGTGTGTGGGCAGCAGACAGAGGAGGGGGTGCAGTGAATGCACAGGCAAGAAGGATCATTGGGCAGGATGTGGAGTCGATGCTCTTTGACTTTGAGGGCCCTGCCTACTCCGGCTGTTTCTCCTGGAAGGCTGGGCAGTGCTGGCTCTGGCCTCCTTGCTCCATGATCCTGAGAACCAGCTCTCAGGGATGGGCCAGATGGCAGGTACTTGTGTTTTGTGTGAATTTAGATCAGAGACTCATAAGCCACTGCAGCTGGTTGGCCCTTAAAGAGGCAGCCCAACCCCTCATTCAACAGAGGAAGAAACTGAGGCCCAGAGAGGTGATATTCACGCCCAAGGTCACCCAGTCAGTGGGCAGGGGAGCAAGGGTTTGACTCCACCTCTGGAGCCTAGACTCTGCACTTCCCTGCTTCTCTCCCTGTGAGGGCTGTTTGTGCCCTAAACCGCCAGGTCCTGGAAGGCCTCTTGTGTGACGACAGTGCTTTAAGGCAGGATGGTGCAGTGTTTAAGAGCACAGGCTGCAGAGACCGACCTCCTGGATTCAAATCCAGGGATTGACATTAGCTGTGCCATCGTGGGCACATTTTCAAATCTCTCTGCCTCAGTTTCTCATAGATAAAATGGGTATGATAATAGCACTTACCACCCAGGGTTGCTGGAAAGATTAAATTGACAAATCCTTGGGCTGGGAGCAGCCTCTTTTGCCAACACCTATGTCTCACTGCACAGTTGATACTGCCCCTCTGCTCCCTGCCTGTAGTCAAATCAGCTTGTGGTCTGTTGGTGGGTTATCAGTGAGGAGGCTGGAGAAGCCTGGGCTGGCTGCAAGATCTCTCTCTGTCCTGGGGTTTCTTTCATTGGTGATGAAACAGCCAATCCAATGGTTGGCTCCATGGAGGTACCCCAGGAGGCAGGGAGGTAGGTGGCTGCCTGCCTGATGCCACTCAGAGGACCAGCAAGGACTTCCACGTCCCTGTGCACAGGAGTGCCCTAGGCACAGGGAGGACCTCAGCCACCACCTCCTCCCTGACGCTGGTTCAGTGTCAGGCAGGGTTGGTGAAGCTGTGATCTGCCCGGAGAAGAAGAGGGGAAGGTACAGGGAGACACCTAAGCAGCCCCTTCCCTCTCTCCTAGGGCTGGAGCGAGGGCCCATCTTGGCCTCTGTGGGCCTCTGAGGGTTCCTTCTGCCCTGCTCCTCTCTGGACAAACAGCAGCAGAAGAGGTGAGTTCCCAGGGATACTGCTGTTTCTCAGCTCATGCATGGGGTCTAATAAGCCCTGGGTCCCCATCTGATATGATATCCTCCCCCACCCCTGCGCAGGCAATGGAGGACACAGCTCTGGCCTGAGGCTTGGTGGCAGATGGGGCCACCATGGACCTGACCAGGTACTCCCAGAGAGAAAGAAGTGGCACAGAGTGGGAGGGACGGGGGTGGTGGGGAGACCTCCAGACACACAATGGGTATCAGTTTACTTGTCTGAATGCTGTCTGATAAACCACCATCCTCTTCAACATCTCCTGTGGCTGCCAGAGGAAAAAAAAAAAAGTTCCACATTGGATGTTACCAATAGGTCTTGGCTGCCCCCTGGTGCCAGGCTTCGGGCCTGCCAGTCTGGGGCTGCCGTGCCAATGTCCCTCCCCGAGCAGTCTGGCTTACGTTAAAGGCCTGCTCAATGCCCAAAGATGCTACCCAGTTGTTGTCAAGCAGACACCACCCCTTGATATTAGCCAGAGAACATGACATGGATGCATCCGCAGGCTGTCCCAGGAGCAAAAACTTTGCTCTCTGGGGAGCTGACGGGACAGTTAAGGCCCAAAATAAATATCTCAGCTGTCCTGCCCTGACATTTGGATAGAGTTTCCTTGAAAGGGAAGTTAAAATTCTGACATGACTGTCTTCTCACTGTGCATGGGAGGCCAGCCAGTGGTCGGCACCTCTGGGAGGTGCACACGAATCCCAGCTCCCTTAGCCGTCAGTAACTGAGACTGGCGGACATTTCTCACTTCCCCAGGACCACACCTCAGACTTCCAGTCACAGTGAGAGGTGAGAAGTAAGTTGGAGAAAGGGAGTGAACCTGCTCTGGCCAGTTTCCCATCTGAGGGTGTTTCATGCCAGGCCACAACAGGCCTTAGGGCAGGGGCCAGGGCACCTGGAATCTCTGTAGGTTTTGGCAAGATGGCAACGAGGGTAACAGCGTGGGCTTTGGAGTATGAAAGGCATGAGGGTAAGTATTAAGTCCAGGCTCTGCCTGGGGAACCTGGTGCCCCTCTGGTAACCTCTCTAAACCTCCCTTTCCTCGAGTGTTAAACAGGATGACCACAGGAACCATCTCACAGTCCTGCTGTGAAGATTAATTGAGGCCATGCAGAGCCTGGTATATAGTAGGCTCTTCACAGGTCGTAGCGATCATTATTACTTTTAGACAGAGCTCCAGGCTGTTCAGTCAAGTGGGGAACAGAAATTCCACTGGTCATGTCAACATCCACTTACACCCATGTGGCCTCATCTCTTGGCCAATAAGAAGGTTAAGAGATGGCATCTGTGATCTGCATTTTTGTCCCACCTCACTTGCCCTCCAGAGACAGCAGAGCCCAGGGGAGGTAGCCCTGGTCTGCTCCTCTAGAGACAACCTGGAGGGGACCCAAGGGGCTTACCAGAACTTCAGATTTCACAGCTGGCCTGTAGATGAAATTGGGCTCCTGGTGGACCATGACAGGTTTGGAGATGGTGGACACGCCAGGGCCTCGTGGAGGCTGTGGGCTTGGGCAAAATGTCTAAGGAGTTAGTTTAACAGGGACCCAGGTGAGGTCATGGTGGGGTGGCCAAGGCCAGCCATGCTACTTCTACACACATGCAAATCTACACCCATGCATATGTGAAGCCAGCCTGGTCATTCAACTGCTCGAGGTCCTGGGGTTGTGATCCTCAGCAGAGAGATGAGAAGCCCATTGGCCACAGTGTGGGCTGAGATCACAGAAACTACTGAGCGGCTCTAAGAAATTGGACGCTTGAGCTAGAGCCTGGCTTGGGGGTGCCAGCAGCCAGTGTCACCCAGGAGACACACTTTCAGACCCTTCTCTCAGTGGCCATGGGTGCTATCCAGTGTCCCTTGTCTTTAAGGGCTGTCTCTTTGGCCACAGTTCCAGTCCCTGGACCACAGTGTGAAGCATCTGCTGTTCCTAGTTGGTAGGCACATAGTCTCTAGGGGCCATGGGGTGAAGACCAGTAAGAGAGGCATCCAGGGGAGCTGACGCAACCTGTCTGCTTGGCTCTAACCCACTTGATCTTTTTGGGCAAGATGTATCAAATCAGTTCACAGCCCTGCCCCCAAACCCTCCCCAGTGTCCGCATTGACTACTGAGCTCATTGGCTTGACTCCCAAGGCCTTTCATGAGCTTCTCTAGCTTCCTTTTCAGCCTTATCTCTCACTCCTCGCCACGCTCCTCACACTGCCTAGCTTTAGCCTCAAAAAATGCCAGGCTTTCTTGCCTTGAGGCCTTTGCACGTGCTCTTCCTTCTTCCGCTTTGCCTCCTAGGTCTTAAGTTGGGCGTCACTGCCTTCTGGAAGCCTCCCTTGAGCTTTTCCTCTACTCCAGCCCTCTTCCTTATTATAGCACCTGTGCTTCCTCCGTCTCCACGCTGATGGTGTGGCGGGTGCCTACTTTTCTTTGTTCCCCACCAGACTGTCTTGAGAAGGGAGACTGCAGCTGTCTATCCAGCAGGGATTCCCAGTGCCCTGCATAGTGCCTTGGCATATAGTAGGTGCTCAATAAGCATGTGTTGAATGAATAAATGAATGACTAAATAGTATGGTGAGAACATGGGACAGTGCCTGTGGATAGATCTGGCCCTGAAAACCCCCCTATGGCCGGTGCTGGTGTGGCAGGCACAAGTGTCAAGCCAACACAGGTGTTTGTTTCCATGACTTGGGGCCTGCTGGTGGCTGGGCTGACTGTGTGGGCGTGTGGTCACTCACACTTCCTGCTGCAGCACTGATGACAGCTTGCCAGGGGCATGCAGGGAGGAGGAGGGTGGGTGGTACAAGGGTGAGAGGTGGGCCAAATGAAGCCAACCAAGCAACAGCCCCCTGGCTTTTGAGGCTGGGACAACCCTGGCTTTGATGTCGCTTGTGACATTTATAGTCCAGTTCTTCAGAGGCTCCTTGTGTTGGGGGGCTTTTAACCTTCCCTGGGCTCTGATCAGGAACTAACAGTGGGAACTTGGTGATGCCTTGAAGAATCTGAGAAGTCTGGACTCTGTCTTGAATCTTGATCCTGACTCAAAGTTTTGCTGACACTGAGATTGCTAAGATCCCAGGTTTGCAGCTTCACCCAAATTTTCTTTTACTCTGGACTATCAATAACCATAGTTAATGTCTACTGAACATCCACGATGTGCCTGCCACTCTTGCCATTCTTAACTTAGAATGTGTCCATGTATTAACTTATTTGATTCGAATAGGTAGCTGCCATTAGCATTCCTATTTTTGGACAGGGATGCCCAGGCTCAGATAGATGAAGTAGCATGTGTTCAGTTACCTAGCTAGTAAGTGGCACAGCCAGGATTCAAACCCAGGCAGGCCAACTCCCTGCTACTCCAACTTGCCATCTTTATGTTCCCTGCACTTGCAATGCCCTTGCTCCCATCCTCCATGTGTTGCCATCCCTCAAGGCTCAGCTCGTAAGCCCTCTACTCTACAGAGGTGTCTTCAATCTTCAGTTAGAATGAATCCCTCCCATAGCGCATGGCTTATGCATATTTTATAGCAGAAGCCTGCCTGGGCAGCAGCTCATCCTTCAGATGGCAAAGTCCTGGAAAGCACAGGCATGTCAATCTCCTCTGCATCCTCTTCAGCACTGCTCCCCTCTCCCCTTCACAGAGAGAGGCCCCAGGCAGGTACTCAATCAAAGTGGAATCAAATTTGTTGAGGAAAAGCTACTGCTCATCTTGATGGAGGCCACTTACAGAGAAAAATGTTGTGCAAGGCTAACTCAGCTCTAGAAACCAGCTCCTGGCTGGGCTCTGGGGAAAGATGTCCCGAGAACAGGCAGATTTCTTCCTGTCAAAGCTGCAGGGCTCACGACCCCAACCAGAGGTCCAGAAAGGGTCCCTCTGAGAGTCTCCCGCTGGAAGCTTCAGCCTTGCTGGCATCTGGCACTTTCTTCACTCCCACCTTCCTTGTAAGCTCTCCTGAGTGCTCTGAGATGCTTGTCCTGCTCTCCACGCAGGAACTCAAATCCATGCAGGGAAGGTTAATAAAAACCACTGGTCAGGTGCTATTGACTATGCCCTCCCTCAGCAACCCCTGCTACCCTCAGCTGACATGAGATGCCTTTGCACTGACTCAAGCCTGGCCTCATGGCTACGGGAGTGGAATAATATTTTGTTTTTCCCTTCATGGGATCCAAGCTCCCTGTCTTCCTCAGAGATTGCATGTTTCAAAATAGTCTTTGGATTACGAATAATTAATAAGAAATATGTCTTTTTCAGAAAGACACTGTTCATCTTCCTAACATCCAAGAAAAACATTCCTATTCTTTTAATAGTAAATTATTTCTAGGAACTCTCTCATCTTCATTTTTTCTATAGCTGGAAATTGGCCAGAAATTTCTGGGTATTACACTTCAAGCCAGTGCAGTTGGCCAGTACTGTAGAAAATGGCACTGGAATGTCCTAATACTGCATTTGATGGTACAGTGTTATCACTTCATTTACAGAGCCAAATACGCCCCTGCTTCCTCCTCCCCTCCCTTTTTTTCCCGTTAAATCAGGAGCCATTTCCCATATTCAAGGCTTTCTGGGATAATATCAGGAAGTGACTGGATGTGACAGAGTGCTGGCTATTCATTAACATAGACTTCCAAGTCCTACATTGAAAGTTACCAGCCTACACTAGCAAAGAAGAGCTAAGAGAGAGCAATGAATATCAAATGGACACACCGTTGCTTACCCCAAAGGTCCCAGGCCATTCACCATACAATACAGCACTTCAAAATCAGTGAGAACCACCATATACATGCAGGATGTCCACACATGCACACGGAGGGGGCATTCCTGGAAAATGGGGTGAGATGATGTTTCTTTCTGTCTCCACTCTCAGGAGCAGTGGAGGACATGGGAAACAGCAGTTCTCCCCACTCTTCCTACTTCCAAACATAGCATGCAGAACAGGGACATTACCTTTGGGGTGGGTGGGAAGCTCTGTTCAGGGACAGGGGAGTTAGTGGGCTTCCCACTGTGGTTCTTTGCCTCCCAGTCCTCCACTGGATTGCCTGTGTCCCCAGTGCGGAAGGGATGGTTGCTCAGTGCTTCTTCCAGCGCCGAGGGCAGTGGGCGGGTGGGAGTGAGGTCTTGGGTGGGAACGGATGGCGGGGGAGGGATGGGAATGGGGGGTGGAGTGCGCTGCACCCATGGAGAGGATGAGGCGCTCACATGGCCAGATAAGGGAAGGACAGGGGGCGCCGGGACCTTGTGGGGTGGGTTGGAGGGTGGAGGGTGGGGCATCACAGGCAAGGCAGAGGGAGTCTTGGGGGGATAGTAGAACATGTCCAAAGGGATGTCGTCCAGGTCAGTGGTGTGCAGGTGCAGTCCGCCTGCGAAGCGTCTCAAGGGTGGGGCCAGGGGAGACACAGAAGGCGGGGGAGGCGGGGGCCCTGTGGTCATCTGGGGGTGTTGCAAGGAAGTTCTGTAATTGTCACTCTGCTTAGAGCTCCACTTCACAATACAGCGAGCACTATGCTCTTCTAATCTGTTTCTCTTGCTACTGGAGACCCACCACCCTTACATCAGAACCATGGGGCGCCATTCCTCTGCCACCTGGATGCCCAGCTGAGGCCATACTAGGCTGCTGTTAGGGAGTGCCCAAATGCAGAAGAGCCCCAAGTTATGCCATCTGTGGGTGGTAAGGTGTTCACAGAGTTCATTCTCTAAACTGGAATGCCCTTGAGAGTGTAAGGGGGACTCTTAGTCATGATGCCAGGACAACAGGCCTAACTGAGACTATCGCAGATGAGCTGGGACTTAGAGATCACTCTGGGAGTATACCCAGAAATACAGACATATCCCTCCTCCTCAAGAGGGGAGTGGGGTGGTAGGGGTGGGCCTGGACAGTGGATGGGCACTGTGAGGCTAGTGACGTTTGCTAGTTGTCATCTCACCTCCCGCTGTCCCCACAGTGGGTCATTCTGAAGACAGCAGGAGGGTCTATGTGGAAAGAAGGGCTCTGTTACCTCTGAAATCTCATTATCAGCAGAGGAAATCTGCTCGAGGCGCGTTTGACAGAGCCTCTCCACCCAATATTGAATCTTTTCCGATTCTTCAAGGTCTTCCCGCTCTGTCTCAGACACCTGGGACCCAGGATCGGCGCAGAAAGGAGAGGACAAAGGGCACATTTGAATAACATGTGGATAGAAATAGCATGAAAGCACTCCTTTAGAAACTCCAGAGTACTGTGAGGTGCATCAGCTATCTAGAAAGAGACCTGGGCTTGTTCCAACTGGCCCTCAAGGAGGCAGCAGCAAGGGAGAAGAGAGTGGCGGGGTGTCAAATTCACTAAGCAGAACTTGTAGGCAAAATCAGAAAAGGGGCTTATGTATTGTGAGGGATTAGCTGGATCCCAGATCCCCATGAACCCTGAGGCTCTTATGATTTTCCAAGAATGGAGTTTTTGTAGCCTCCCCCAGCACATTCCAAGAGTTTAACTTGACTCTTTTTTTTCCTGCTCCATTCTGCCTTGCCCTCAGAAGCATAAGTTCAATCTTATTTTTAATTTTGTGGCTAATTTGTTCATAATGTCAGACCTAATGCATTTCACATTTTCCAGGACTTCTCTGGTTTTATAATCTAATCAAATTGGCATTCTGATTCATGGATGCGTTAAAGAGAAGCAGAAACAATGATACCTCCTACAGCTGGGGAGTTAAGGTTACCCATCTCACCTAGCATAGGAATTATTCATGGTGTAAGGTTGCTTTGGACATGTCTTCATGGGGACAGCCTCAGATATATTCCCAGGTTGATGAGGTCTAGCCTTAGACACACCCTATGTTGAGGGGAGCAGCCTTAGACTGATAGCCTGATTAATTGGGAGATAACCTCGCACCTACCACCTGCATAAGGGGGTTAGCCTCAGACCCATATTCTCAGAGCCAAGCTAAGTTGGGTGGGGGGGGGTCTGGTCTTACAATAACCTGGGAAGGGAGGCCAGAGTGATTCAGACTCGTAGACAGGTCAGTGGAAGCCTAACTTCAAAGCTACAAGCAAGGCAGAAGGGTTAGCCGCAGACCATACTCTAAGTAGCCTCAGAGCCACACCTGAGATGGAGAGGCCCAGCCTTAGACTCTGGTGGGGTAGAGTGAAGAGGACAGACTCAAATCTCTAAGCCAGGTGTATCAAAGGCTAACCTGAGACCTACCATCTGGTCAGAAAGGCTAACCTCAGACTCACACCCCCCGACCAAGGAGGCTAGTTTCAATTCCAAAGCCAGGAGCAAGACTCACACCCCCAAGCAAGGAGATTAGTTTCAATTCCTAAGCCAGGAGCTAACCTCAGATGGCCCTGGGCAGGTGGCATGATCTCTCTCTCCAGGCTGGGGAGCAGGAAAGGGCTCACTCCACCCTTGTATGCCATTTGAGGAGAACAACTCCAGCTGGTCCTCTGGGAGCACATGGAGAACGACCACATTGTGTCCCAGGGTTGCTTGCCTGGCCTGCAGGCAGGACACATACCTCCTGGGCCAGCCGGTTGATCTTTAGCTGCTTTTCCTTCTCCAGCATTTCCTCTTTCTCTTTGTAAAGCTTTTGCTCAAACTCCAGTTCTTTCTTATTCTTTCTCAAGTCCTGCAGGCTGCCATACTTGGCTTTCTTCTTATCTTTTCCTTTCTGAGTAGATGTGGCATTGTTTATATGACAAAGGTTAGAAATAGTGTCGACAGCACAGCACACGGGGCATCCAGTCCTCACATAACACAACCATCCCATGGTGAGCCCCTCCCCCAGCTCTCTCACCACTCTGGACATCAGACCTCAGGTTTAGGACAGGAAGGCCACTGCTACCTACTGCAGAGTGGGAGACACATTCTCTTTACCAGCCAGAAAGACTGGCTTATTAGTTCACTAACTAGCTGTGTGGCCTTGGCTAAGTTCCTTAACCTCTCTGGGCCTGATTTGCCTCATCTCCAAAATGGTAAAAATACCTCCCCCACAGGCTTGCCACCCAGTGCCAATGAAATAACATCCATGAAAGAACTTTGTAAAAGTTCTGTATAAATAAAAAATAAAATAAAAAAATAAATAAGTGCCATATAAATAAAGGGCATTGTGCTGATTTTCCAGTATCTGGCACATGCCTTCTGCATCATCTCATGTTCAGATTCAGAGATGCATCCTGGGAGATTCCAGAGAAAATCTGGGAGGGCTGGCAAGCTTCATCTGTAGAGGTCCCGTCCTAAGCTAGAAGTGATAGGAGTCACACTGAGACCTGGGGGCTCAGACCCAGGGACATCAGATTTTACCCGCATGCTTAAGCTCTGGACCATTTCACCCTGGAGAGTCTAGACCCACAGTTTCCTCTGAATTGTGCCCCTCTACCGAGGGCTAGCTGGAAACTGCAGGACTGGGAGGCAGGGCATGGAGAGAATGGCTTAACTGCTTTACACTCACCATCAGGGTTCTAGAGGATTTGGGGAGGGACATGAAAGGCAAATAGACTCCTTATTTTTCCTGTAGGAATTAGACCCACCGAGCCTGCATTCCTGGCTGCTTCTCTCATGGGGTTGCAGGGAAGCCAGGGGCTAAGGCAGGAAGAGAATGATCATTTATGAACTGCCTATGTGCCAAGGGATTTATACCAATGATCTCCTATGTAGGTTTATCCTCATTCTTTGATGAAGGAGCTGAGGCTCAGAGAGGTAAAGTCCCTTGTTCAATGTCAGACATCTTGTAACTGATAGTACCAGGATTTGGACCTGAGTCTTCGAGGTCCTAGTTTTTCTATGGTGCCCTGATGAGCTGGGGGCAAGGGAAACACGGCAGGAGGGAGGGTCAGCCCCTATCACACACAGCGTGGAGGACAGAGCGAGCATTCAGGAGAGGGGCAGCAGAGACAGCCCACACCCTGGGCAATTTCTGGGGCAAGGAGGAAACCCCCTGTTCACTGAGCTCACCCCCGCCCCCAACAAGCCTTCTGGGGATCTGCTCTTGAATTTTCTGAATCATCTTAGTATCCAAGGCCAGGAATAAGGAATTGAGCTCCCTAGCAATGGACACACAACATTCATCCACAGCTGGAGGGACTTGGTGGGCCATTATGGACCTCTGAGGGACTCTTCCTAGCTCCTCTCCTAAAGACACACACCTCTGTGTACTGCTAATGTGCTCTGGAAATGGTCACCTCTGGGACCCACCTCCAGAGCAGTGTATGAGCCTCTCGAGAAAATGGTTCTCACTGCTTCAGAGTCCTGCTTGGTTCCTTGCCTACCTTGTTCACTAGACTCAGTTGATAGATGAATCCCTGCCATCGTAGTAGAGATTCAGACAGCAATTTCCCAAGAGGAGCCAGAAACACTGCCTAATGGTAGCTTGCTAGAGTAAGAGCCTGGCCTCCTCCAGGACCACCACGAGAATAATGGCCATTCTGTTGCTTAAAAAAAGAAAGAAAGAAAGAAAAAAAAAACTACCAGTGCTAAGATTATAGAGTCAGGGCTTCTGGGTGGGGTAGTAGACAGTTTCTGTCTCATGCCCAAGAAAGTCATATCTGTACAGATGCAGAGGGCAAGTTGCCCCATGGCATTTCCCACTGATCTCAGACTGGCCCCACACAGGTTACTTAGCTGTGTGTGAATCTGCCTTCCCTGCCAGACGGTGGGCTCCTGCAAGTAGGGCTGGTCTGTGTGAGTGACTCAAGCAATTCTGATGAAAGGGCTTAGTCAGAATCATGAATCCTTCATGCCCTGGCACAAATTCTGTGGGGCCAAAGGCCTGGGAACCTTGAGCCCCAGAGGGATTTACTGCCAAGGTGGAAATAGAAGACACTGAATCTTTATATTATTATTATTATTTTCTTGAGACAGGGTCCTGCTCTGTCACCCAGGCTGGAGTGCAGTGGTGCAATCTCGGCTCACTGCAGCCTCTGCCTCTAGGGTTCAAGTGATTCTCCTGCCTCAGCCTCCCAAGTAGCTGGGATTACAGGCATGCGCCACCACACCCAGCTAATTTTTGAATTTTTAATAGAGACAGGGTTTCACCCTGTTGGCCAGGCTGGTCTTGAACTCCCAACCTCACGTGATTCGCCTGTCTTGGCCTCCCACAGTGCTGGCATTATAGACATGAGCTGAATCTTTATATTTTTAAATAAGGGGAATTTATGCACAGATATCATGGCCATGGATACCCACTTGCATTTCCTGGAGACTTGGCGTTCCAGCTGCTGGGAGACAAAGAGTCTCTCACGGCTCTAGAAAAAATGATGACGGGTTTTCAGAGCCAGTATGAGGGGCATGGTTCTGTTGTCCTTTCAGCTGTCAGTTACATCCATGGCCTGTCAGTTACAATATTCCTTTTGGTCCAGACTGAGAGGTGAGGCAGATGGGGCGATTGTGCTATTGATTCTACCCAGAAGCAATTCTTTTTTTTTTTTTTTTTTTGAAGTGAAAATGAAAACCAAAATGACAGCTGTTTCTGGAATAATTAGATTAAGGAATAGGGGAAAGGCAACCCTATTTCTTTATCAACAGCACTTTCAAGGACATGATTTCTGATGGGAGGTGGTATGTGGAGAAGATTCTAGTTCTTTTACATTTACATGTTATTAGTGCCTGAAAAAGATTTGACATATCTGTCTCCTTTATTATTTTTTTCAAGTAAAATCCTATGTGTGCATGTGTGTGTGTGCTTGTGTGTGTGTGTGTGTGTTTTGTCCTCTCTAGCTGAGTTCTAGTAGAGGCAGAATATAGAGAAGAATTAGAAATCTAACCCAATGAGGCATCCTAAGCCACCAAAGTCAGCCTGTCAAGGGAAACAGATAGTCTTATGAGACCAAGGCCTTTCTGAGACCAGGACAATGTGTGAAGGAATTCCCAGAGGAACTCTGTTCCAAGTTTATTCAATGCTATACAAATCCTGATAGATGTTCCTAGATAAAGGCATTAACCTCTGTCAGGAAAAATATTACTGTTTGTTATTTTAATAGCAATGTGCTGGAGGAAGGGGGTAGATTTTCCTGGCACAGTTAATATTCCCATTTTACAGGCAGGGAGAATTATATATCATCAAGGTCACTCAGCTGCCAGTGCTCTGGTTTCTGGGGGACTGACATCTTGCCAGAAAGCGCTGGTCAAGTGATAACATCCAATTTAGCTCACCCAGATTTATGCTGCTGCCTGACCTCCAAATACCAAGTCATCTCGAATGTCCAATTATAGATATTAACAGCAATGTTTTCACAATCAAATGTCAATGTGATTTAGAAAGATAAGGACAAGAGAGTTTTACAAGGCCTGGAGATATTGTAATAAGATTTAGAGAGAAAATTAAAGGTCCTAGAAATTGGAAAAATGCATTATCCTGGGCACATGCAGAGATATTCCTAGGAGAGGGCTGTGCTTGGAGTGGGTCTCTGTCCCAACCTGAGGCAGCAAATCCCCACCTCGTCAGCCAGGCTGCGTCTGGCACAGCTGGTCTCATAACATGCACTAGGTACACCCACTCCGATAATTTGCTCTGTCTGACCCCAAGCTTCTGGCCTTGGTCTCTAGTTCTACTTGACAGAGAAACACAGGAGAAGCTTCCTGCCCCTTTCCTGTTCCCATCAGGGCCAGTGCTGATGCACACACTGCCAGATGGTACTTGGATAGGTCTCACACCATGGATCCCTCTCCCAATGTTGCCTTTGCAACAGCACCCTGCCATTTGATGTCAGCCTGACACAAAGATGGAGATGGAGTTAGCCTTCCAAGTGAACAGGCCAAGTCACACCATTTAGTGTTGATAGGACAAGGAATGTTTGGGAAAAGCCAAAACCCACAGCAAACTAAGCAGCACACCAGCACAGCACCCAACCCTGTCCTACCTTCCGGATGGTTGGGAATTTGCCATCGTAACGATAAAACCATCCAAAAGCTATAAGACACAGATAACAAAATGATGAGACACAGTTCAGCTCAGCCAGAGCATCCATGGGCAGCAGATGGGAGCTGGGTTCCCAAGGAATGCATGACTTTGTGAGATAAACAGCATTGGCAGATCCGACAGCAAAACTGCACCCTCTGTCCAACTCGGCTTACCTGGCCTTGCCTTGGTTGCAGAACAGGCCTAAGACCACCGAGAAAAGCCCCGGTTCCCAGGCCCTGGGTCACTCTCAAATGCCTCTCCCCAGAACACTGGTTTCAGAAGTCAGGGCCAGAACATCAAAGAGAAAACCCCTTGTGGAAGGATGAGCTTTTCCAAATCACAGTCTTCACATACAAAGCCTTGTTGAAAGAGAACAAGGCCTTTTCTAACCCATGTCTGGTCCCTCCATACAAAAAATGGCTCGAGACAAAAGGGAGCCTGGGTGTCTGCCTAGAACTGTTGTTCGACAGAACAAAACTGGCTTGTCTCATAGTGCAGGTCAAGTCCTCCGCTTTCAACATTCAAAGAGAAGGCAGTGGCTGGGACAGCTCTTGGAAGGACAGCTCCAGCAGGAGCGGGCAGGAGATGTGCCCCCAGAAAACAGATCCTCATCCAGGCCAGATAGCCAGTGCACCAGCCCCCTTCCTTCCCCAGGCCGCAGCTCCACAGAGTAATACCCCCAATCTGAAGCTCCCTGGGGCCAAGAGCGATGGCTGAATTACCCACCCCGGACCAGCCTGAGTGCTGGAACAGGATGCTGAAAGCCTCCTGCTGGACCAGACACTACCTCCTCAGTTGCTGGATTTGAGAGTGGTCTAGGGGGTCCTGGGGGAGGGGCCAGAGCAGCAGAGGGGGAATTTGGCAATATCTAAATATTCGAGCCAGCGGTTCAGTGGTACCAGTGTGCAACAGCTGATCTACCAGCCTGGGCATTGAGTCCTGTCGTCTAGGCTTTGTGTACAGTGCTTGGGCCAAGCTGGGGCTTGGAGGAGCTTTACAGACTCTATTGGCCCCCACACATGCTGGGCCCCTGAAGCTGGGTGTCTGCACTGCGGTCAGGAGGAGGCGGGCAGGGTAAAGCAGAGCAGCCAGGCCAGGGAGCAAAGCGGGGACGCGAACCTGCTCTCCCTGCTCCTCCGTGCCTCCATCCAGGTCATCTGCGGGCTCGAGCTCAGGTTCCACTCCCTGATCATCTACCCAGGGAAAAGAGGAGGAAGCTGGTGAACCAAAAGGGACTTGGGAGCCCAAGAGGCCGGAGAACCTTCTCAGGAGTTTGGGGACCTGTAATCAGCTTCCTCCATGGGAGCTGTGAGGTCAGGGGCAGGGGACAGAGTTCAGGAGAGCAGAGCAAAGGTTTTTTGCTCTGAGCTGGTGCATACAGTGTTTTCAACCTTGGCAGCTTTAGTTTTTCTGTCTGTACAAAGGGCTAACAACAGGAAACTCAGATCTGAGGGTAGCATGAGAACCATTTTGTAGGGTATTGGGCTGAAGGCTGGGAAGTGCAGTGAGGAGGATGGGAATATCTGAGAATCGCACACGTTTGAGGGCAAGGGGCTGCAATGGGAGAACAGACCCTCCAGCCTTGTGCTTATCACCCTTGCCTTGGAGCTCTGGGACCCTAGGGGATGTCTGAACAGTGTGGGCAGCAGATGGAGGCTGAAGGTCCTGAGGAGGTGGGGACATCCCAAAAGGTAAAAGGGGTACATGCAGTTAGGAAGACCTGAATTTTGACATAATGTGGAGAGAAGAGCAAACCCTCCATTCCAGAGTTTCCAGCTTGGACTCTGGCCTCCGGCCTCCCTAGGACTCTGGAAGGTAGTATACCCGTTTGCTTGTGAGCTGCTTTTTAATATTTTAAAAGCTTAACAGAACTTGCCCATTGGCCTATGCAAAGGCTGTTAAGTTCTTTGGCTCTTGGCTCAAATTACATTTACCCAACAGTGGAACCCTGATGCTCCCTTACTAACAAGGACTACTTAATAAAACAATGGAACACAAATGATTATTTAATAGTTCGGTAGGAAAATAACCTCAACTTCCAAATCGTGGGGTCTCTTGTGGTGGAGGTGGGGGAGATAGTTGATGGGGCCTTGGATAGGGAGAGAAGGTTGGAGATGTCCTATTTAAACATCTCCATCTTTCAAGAATCCTTCAGCTACCAGATCCTTAGTCAAGGCTGCCCCTGGCAACTCCTGCATAACCACCTACATAACTCCTGCCTAAGCTAAGGGAAGGTCTGTTAGGAGCCTCTGTGGTGGTGTCCTGGCCTTCAGGGCTTGGCAAAATGTTGGGGGTCTGCTGGATCAGCCACGGGTAGGTGGGCAGGAGCAATTTTAAGGGCCCCCTGGGGCAGGTTGGGGGGCAGTCAGTCCCAGGCACATAATTAGGATGAGTGACTTCATTTTCTAGGTAAGAGATGCCCCATGCTCTTTTATTTTAAAAAATGCAGGGCCCGGGGCCAGGCACAGTGGCTCATGCCTGTAATCCCAGCACTTTGGGAGGTGGAGACGGGCAGATCACCTGAGGCTGGGAGTTCAAGACCTGCCTGACCAACATAGTGAAACCCTGTCTCTACCAAAAATACAAAATTAGCTGGGCTTGGTGGCGCATGCCTGTAGTCCCAGCTACTCGGGAGGCTTTGAGGCAGGAGAATTGCTTGAACCCAGGAGGCGGAGGCTGCGGGGAGCTGAGATCACGCCATGGCACTCCAGCCTGGGCAACAAGAGCAAAACTCTGTCTCAAGAAAAAAAAAAAAGCAGGGCCCACCCCTTGCAGGCATAGAAGCCTGAGTCAGGTATAACCTATTGCAAACTGGGTGCTGAGTTGAAGGGTGGTTGGATAGGAGCTGGCTGGGGCCCAGGCCTGCTGGACCAACTCAGCCCTGACCATGCTAGACCCCGGGGAACAGGGAGTGAGGCAGGAGGTGAGCTGGCTCAGGGACCTCACTGCATTTCCTGCCTTAGGTCCAAATGAGAATTAAATTGCTGGTGCATACAGAGACAGATAGAGGCAGCAGCTGTCCCAGCTCAGCGGGCAGGCGGGGGTCATCCATCCTGTGCTTTGTGGAGCTGCCTAAGATCACATTTACCTTGAGCAAATGCAAAATTCTTGGTCTTTTTATTCAAAGAGCTTGATTTGTTTAAAAGGCACTAAATAAATAACCAGCTAGTGAAAGGGTTTTTATTTTCTATTGCTCCTGAGAGGGTGTGTTTGCTGTGAAGCTGAGGCCCAATTTCTTGGAAGGTACCAAATTGACTAGGATTACTTCCATGAGAAGCAATTAAAATCGATTTCTCTCCTGAAGCTCCTATTTCACTCGTAAGAGCAAATTAGCTGTCTGTCTAAAACAGCGATCATTCATTGGGATCTTAGCTCTGGCCATATCCTCAACTGATACTGAATGTCACGGGGGAGGCTGATGAGAGTGTGCTTTGTCCTTCTGAGAGGACCAGGAGATGACACTGCCCTGCTGCCAGGAAGAAATGTGTTGGGAGCTGTTTGACTGCACCAGGGAGGGGTGAAATGGAACCATCCAGATGCCCTGCACCTCTTCCTTGGTGCAAGTGGCCTATGTTGGCAGGTTGACATTCCCATAGGTCTCATATGTGACCCAAAGTTGGGGACAGAGCTGTCCAGACCCCATCACAACATGCCAAATGACTGCCCCACAGCAGAGATGGGGAACCTGGGCTCTTGAGTCCAGAATAGCCCCTTGCTGGAGGTTCCCAGGTCAGCTGAGCACAATCAGCTGGAGTAGGACCTGTCCTGTGTCAACTATAAGTCAAAACAGCTGGAAGGCAGGAGTAAGGACCCAACCAGCAATCCTGGACTTGTGGTTGTCATGGTCCCCGTTTTCCTCTGGCAGTGTGGGCTGCCTCTTAAAGAGGCATATGGAAGCTGGGGTTGAGAAGGTGGTCAGGGAGCAGGTGGTAGAGGCTTAGACTGAAAATGGAGGTGAGGATGTGGGACGGATGAAGAGAGGAGATGGTAAGGAGAGTATGAGCTGAGGCCCCAGGACAGCACAGCCACAGCCCATAGCTGGGTGTCTGGGAGAGGCCTCCTTGTCCTGTTCCTGCCTCCATCCTTGGTCCACATACAGGGATATAGGGGCTGGAGACACTTAGTAAGCTCCTCCCACAGTTATGAATCAACCTTGGACCACCAGAGCCCTTCTCTGATGTGAGGTCCTTCCCCTCTTTTCTGCTGCTGGCTTCACCCCAGCCCCTGTTCAGAACCAAGTAGGAGGAGGACATGGTACCCAAAACATTAGGACGGTAATCCCATGAGCTAATCCACTTTCACTATGGCCCTTATTCCCTCTTCAGCAGCCTGACAGCCTGCCCATGTCAGTGTTGTGGGGGACCTGGGAGCTGGGTATGTGGAGCTGGCCCGTGAACAAGGGGAGCAGACAGATCCCTCCTACCTCGATGCTGGGGCAGATGGTCTCTGACCCACAGCTGCCCCTCCATGAAGGAACCACAGCCCAGAGCACCAAGGGCTATCCATCTAGGAGGTGGTGGTGAGGGGAGGGAGGGCCAGCATTTCTGACTAGTTCCCTTAGCCTCTCCCCTCGGCTCATGAAACTTACACTTTGGCTTGCGAAGGGGTACTGGGTGTACCTCAGCAGTGATGGTTTTAGGCAAGAGTAGCTGTTCCTTTGAGCCCCAGTCTTCTTCCCATTGCTTCTTAAACTTCTCTTCCTCCTCTACAATCCTAAAATGAGACCCCCATGCCTGTTACTGGAGTCAGAACCCCCATAGGCCCATCTCCTGCATATCGGAGAGCCCCAGCCAGCCTGGGGAGAAGCCTCATGGTTCTAGTCATGATGAATCAAGCAAAGTCCCCGAGCTTGTATTCTAAATTGAGTGTGAACCCCACCTTGGCAATTATACGAGACTATGTTTCAGTTACTATAATATGACAGGCTTTACTACAAATAAAGGAGGACCCACCAGGGGATGAGAGAACCAGGTAAACTGGTTCTGGAGGCAGCCTCTGGTTGGCCACACTCCCCTGAGCACACTGATGTTCATGCACAGACACGCGTGGAGCCGAGGTACTCACTGTTCCATCTCCTTCCGGTATCTCTCATTTTCCTCTGCTGCCTTCTGGGCAATTTCTTTTCTCCTTCTGAAACACAAATGCAGATTGGCATGTTTGGCCCTATGCAAGAGAAATGAACTCTTCCTTACTGTGAATTCTTGATTTGGAGAAAAGTTGGATTTTTCTCCAGGCTCCCTTCCTAGGAGGCCTGGACCAGCTTTGGTTTTGGGGGACGTTATCTAACAAAGTCTGGACGCTGTGCTCTTGCGTGGTTTTGTCTGGCATGGCTGAGCAGAGATGCTGGGCTGTGGGAGGAGGGAAGCAGATCCATGTGAAGGCCACACTCCATGCACCCTCCTCCAAACACTTAGGTAAGGTGACTGATGACAGGCGGGGCCTGGACTGACCCCAGGAGCAAAGCAGGGGCTCCTAGCCAGGTGGAATACTCCCAGCTAACTCTGTGTTGGGGGAGATGGGGACAGCCTTTCCTCTTTCCTTTTCAAAATACATTAATTGATTGATTGATTGAGACAAAGTCTCACTTTGCACCCAGGAGTTCAGTGGTGCGATATCAGCTCACTGCAACCTCTGCCTCCCAGGTTCAAGTGATTCTCATGTCTCAGCCTCCCGAGAAGCTGGGATTACAGTCGCATGCCACTATGCCCAGCTAATTTTTTTTTGTATTTTTAGTAGAGACACAGTTTCACCATGCTGGCCAGGCTGGTCTCGAACTCCTGACCTCAGATGATCTGCCGGCCTCGACCTCCAAAGTGCTGGGATAACAGGCGTGAGTCACTGCGTCCAGCCATGAAATACTTTTAAATGCCTAAAAGGTATTTGGATTTGGATCTTGACAGTAGTTTTTGATTTATGAATTGCTCACCCCATTTATTCTCTTAGGCCATCATTTCAATCCTCCTGGACAAGGGTGAGCTTCATCACTATAGGCAGGGCAGCCCTGTGGGGACTTGCCAGATTGCCTGGGGGTGATCCCAGCTTGGCCACGTGTGACGTTAGACACAAGTGGCTTCACCTCTCTGAGTGTCAGTCTCCACACCTCTAAAATGGGGTTAATACTCTCTACCTCCCAGGGCTATTGTGGGAATTAAGAAACATAAACAAGGCCCTAATACAACACCAGCCTTATGGAGGTACTTGACAAATGTTAGCTGGTAGCTAATCCTAGCTAGCTAGAGCCTACTGCTAGTAGGATGCTTATTTTCCATATTCTTGGAATGTTGGAAGACAGGGGGCTCTGCTCAGCAAGGAGGAAGGAGCCAGGTGGTCTGAGGCCAAGGATGGATACGCTGACCTACCACCAAACTCATCTGGTCTGAGGACTGGCCTCCAGGGAGGAGGAGGAAGTTGGCTGGGGACACAGCGGGCAGGAAGCAAGCTAGGTGGGGTCGTGTGGTGGGGTGGGAGGCGGGACAGGGCATCCAGGGCTGGCTGCACTCACTGCCGCTCCATCTCCTGCTGCTCCTGGAGGATCTTGTTGGACTCCATCGCCAGCCGCTTCTGCATGAGAAGCTCCTGCCGCTGCAGCTCACGCTGCCGCGCCTCTGCCAGCCGCTCCCGGTCTGTCATGAACAGCTCCCGGCCCTCATGGGAGAAAAGAGGCCCCTTGCTCAGCCCCCGGGGAACCTGGGGATCCCCTGACACACCCCTGGGGGCCGAGATGCAGGTGGTCTTCTCAGCACCATCAGGCACTGCGGCTCCCGCAATCCCTGACCCAAACTTCTTGCTGGGCAGAAGTCCTCTCGCTCTGCTCTGTCAGAGCTTCAGGGAAGGAGACCAGCCACCCTGGGAGTGTGTGGCAGAGATCAAAGGTCAGAGGGGCTGGGGATGAAGGTCAAGGGGCTCCCACCAGCTCATTCTGGACTTACAGCTGCAGCTACAATGGAGATGGTCAGGCTGCGGCTACTCTTCAGCACATTTACAGCCTGTGGGGACAGAAGGACAGTGGGCCGAGGCCTGACAGACCACAGCAGTCCAGGCAGAGAGCACAGAAGGCCCCAGGCTCCAGGGTGGTGGGGATGAGAAGTGGGGTGTGGAGATGACAAGGGCCAACAGGTGAAGACCCCCACATCTCACCTCCTTGTGATCCAGGTTAGAGAAGTCGACGCCATTGACTTCGACAATCTGGTCCCCTATCTGGTGGGGAAATGGAGAAAGATTAGTGTGTTTGCGCTATCTGTACACTCGCTCATCTGCAGGACAGGCTCCCCCAGGGGCTCTGGGTCAGATGCTGGATCTTCAAGTGGCAGTACCTCAGCTCCTCCTGATGAATGGAGCAGTTGGAAAGCTCTGGTGGAGCTCTGGGAGGGCTTAAAGCTGACCCTGGCACTCCCCTACTTCATAACTATCTTATCAACTATCAAATATTATACCATTACATGTTCATTTCTTTGGCTAAATTTGATGACATTTGCTTTAAAAATCACAGTTTGCAGATGCGGGAACCTTTGAGCTTCTCATTTAGCACAGGCTGTGTTGAATCGTCATAACAGAATAGCTAACATTCACTGATCACTTACAATGTGCTTGGCACAGCTCTAGTATACATATTAATTACTTTAACCCACACAACAACCTTGGAAGAAAGCCTGTATTATCCCCATCTTACAGGTAAGCAAACAGACATGAAGTAACTTGTCCAAAGAAGAGGTTAAGGGTTCCTGCTTTGGGATTGGACCACCTAGGTTTGAATCCCAGCCCTACCATATGAGGTACACGATTTTGGAAAAATCATATACTTTCTCTGGGTCTCAGTTTCCTCATATGTAAAGTGGGGATAATGGTGGTACTTAACCCTCAGCATTCTTGTGAAGTGTAAAGGGCATGGAACAATGTCTGATGCAAGTGGACACTGAAGGTCCGCTCTTTGATTACCATTACGACATTCCCAAGCTCGTGACCAACAACTATCAGAGCTGGGGAAGGCTGCAGAAGGGTCAAACATCCCCAGTCTGTGAAGCCTTCTCTGCAGGGTGGGTAGGGCTCCTACTCCCTCAGTGTCCACTGAAAGAGGGCCATGTGGAAAGGCACCTGCCCCTGTCACCGCGGGATCACAGTCTGACCCAATTTCCAGTGGGCCCCCACTGGGGCCGGCCCAGCGTCACTCACCTCCAATCCCACCTCAGCAGACAGGGAGCCAGGTTTCACATGGCTGATAAAGATGCCAGGCTTCTGGATGGGGCCGCTGGAAATGCTGCGGGAGGTGGGAAATGTGTGCTCGGGATTCAGGTAACCCATGTCCAGTGCTCAGGATACAGGTCACTCATGAGCTGAGGACTGAAGGCCCTTGACTGCCTACCTCTTCAGCCTCTGTGTCCCTCTCCAGCCTGATTTCTACTGCTACCCTGGGCAACAGCCACAGAAAAATCCTTGTAATTCTTCCTACCCAACCTCTCACCTAATATACCTCATATGCTGTTTCTTCTTTCTTTCTAGCACTTTCCTGTCCATCCATTAAGACTCAAATGCTATCCCTTCTATAAGGTTTTTACCAGATCCTCTTATTTTTTTAAATTTATTTTTTAGAGACAGGGTCTTGCTCTGTCACCCAGGTTGGAGTGCAGTGGTGTGATCATAGCTCTCTGCAACCTCCAACTCCTGGGATCAAGCAATCTTCCCACCTCAGCCTAGCTGCGACTACAGGTGTGCACCACCATGCCTGGCTCAGATCCCTTATTCTATCCCAAGACTAAACTAGCCGCTCTGTTCTCAGTGCTCCTATGACATTTACGGCAAGGATGGTACATGTACTGTTAGTATTCCTTCCTAGATTGGTGGCAGAAGTCACTCATTGATCACAGCACTCTTTCCCACAATCCTGGATACAGCTTTAGAATGCTTTTCAAAGCAGCACTCCAGGGAGCTGCTACTCATTGACTAGAGATGGCACCTATTTGCCATCCTGGACGCAGAATGTAGTCCCGTTCGAGTCCCTATCACCCTATATTATAACTATTTACTTGGTTGGCTTCTAGATTAGGCTGTTGTCTCCCAGAAAGGTGGGACTTTTTATCACTTGTGCTTGGCACAAAACATTGAATAAATGTGAATGAAAGGAAAGAACAGGGATAACTTAAATAATAATAGCTAATATTTACCAACTGCTTACTATTTAGCAGGTACTAAGTTTGGCACTTTACTTTCTCCACAACCACCCTGTGATGTGGGAATTATTATCGCCCATTTATAGAGGGAGAAACTGAGGCTCAAAGTGGTTAAGTAACTGGCCCAAGGTTCCAGAGCTCTTAAGTGGGAAAGCAGGGCTGGAACTGGGATCTGAGTAACGGTGGCACCTGCATGCTTAAGCCCCGTGTGGCCCAGTGTCTGTTCGGAATTCCCTGTCTGCCTCTTAAGGAAGCCAACAAGTTAATAAGTGACAAGAGAGCTGTGACAGAGATGACCAGCCAAACAGGCTCCTTTTGCAGTGACTCAAGGGCCCACAAGGTAACACTGTTCTGCCTCTGGGCCTCAATTTCCTCATCTGTAAATTGGGCTCTGTTAGAGATGACCCTCTGGCCCTAAAGGCCTGTCATGAAGTTCAGAGGGGAAATCAGGCACCAAGAAGTGTCAACACCAAGGCTGGGTGCGGTGCTTCATGCCTCTAATCCCAGGGCTTTGGGAGGCTGAGGTGGGAGGATCACTTGAGCCCAGGAGTTTGAGACCAGCCTGGGCAACATAACAAAACTCCATCTCTACAAAAAAATTAAAAGTTAGCTGGGTATGGCAGTGTGTTCCTGTAGATCCAGCTACTCAGGAGGCTGAGGTGGGAGGATTGCTTGAGCTGGGGAGGTTGAGGCTACAGTGAGCTATGATCATGCCACTGCACTCCAGCCTGGGCAACAGAGTCAGACCCTGTATCTAACAAAAAAAGTATCATCACCCATGGACAGTCACACCCCTGGTGGGCAAGGTTTCCTCGGAAGTGGCAGTGAGGAAGGGGAGGGCAATAGGGGCCTGCTGGGGTGCACTGGCCACGAATGACCCCAGGGCATGCCTGCCACCCACCTGCAGCCAAGGCCTCGGGAGCCTACCAGGCTGATGAAGACCTTCTTCTCCTTGTTTTCCCGATTTCCAGGGGAGCCCAGGCTGCCTCGCACGCCCTGAAAGAGAGATAGAAGCAGAATCACGGAGTGTCCACATGCGTGCAAGCGGCCTCTTGAGCTTGTGGGATCTGCAGGGCGAGCACTGCTGAACTCACGCCAGCCAGATCATCATTCCGTCCCTGGGGATGTGTCTGCACCAGCTGGGCCTGGCCGAGGGCTGCTGCCCCACAGCGGTGTGCTGGCTGCCCTGGGAGCCTGTGTGAAGCCCCTGAGGGTGCATCTCTAGAGCAAGCCCTCCCTTCAGGACCGGCCACCCCTCCTTGAAGATGACCCCACCCAAACCCCATCACAGGAGGTCTGGCCCTTACCCCAGATTCCGACACAAACTGATCCACATACTGCCAAGTGAGGGGCTCATCAGGAGAGCTGATGGGAAGGGAAAATAGATGGGAGGGTGGTTAGCGAGAGACGTTTGAGGAACCAGGCCCCACATCCAGATCCACCATGTCTAGAGCCTCCAGCCTCCACTGGCCCAGAAGCAGGGCTGGCATGGTGGGAGCCGGACCCCAGGGCTGTACCAGGATCCTGGGCCCACAGGGAAGAGTTGGCCTGCAGAGGAGGGGCCTCTCACCTTTTCACGGGGATCAGGCCGATGTCTGCGGGAGAAAGGCACAGGGGTTAGGACAGCTCCCCCGCCCTCCCTCCCTCCCACCGTCATGGAGTACTGACCTGCTCCCCCGCCCTCCCTCCCTCCCACCGTCATGGAGTACTGCCCTGCTCCCCCGCCCTCCCTCCCTCCCACCGTCATGGAGTACTGCCCTGCTCTGGCCTCACTCACGTCTCACTTTGATGGACACAGTTTTCTTGGTTCGAATGAGGTTGATGACCTCCTCATGGGTACAGGAGGAGATGGAATATCCATTGATCCGGACGATCTCGTCCCCTACCTTGACCACAGAGAGAGGCAGGGAGCACCAGGTGGAGGGAGCATCAGGCAGTGGGGCAGACTCACCACCAGATGCTCCCGGACTGCTCTCCGGAAAAGGGAAGGGTGGCTGTGCCACCCCCTGGAATAAGCCTTGATCTCAACCAACCCACCCTCCATCAGCCCGGGGGATCCCAGGTTCAGGTGGCATGTCCAAGCAGTCTTGTCGCCCCATTTTACAGATGGAGAAACCAAGACAGGGGTGAGGGGCACAGCGGGTGTGCAGCAGAGCTGGGAGAAGATCTCAGAACTCTCTGCACCCTCACTCTAGTGCCCCTTTCACTCCACTGGGGCACCATCAGATTCTGGATTCTATGCAAAGGGTGACATTTCACTCAGCTTTAAGCTATTCTTACCGGGACTTTGTCCCAACCCACCCCTAGGAAGTTGGCTCCCTATCTCTGTTAATTGCTACAACACTGTAACTGAGTCGGGGTGGGGACCTTCTGTGACTCCTGACCCAAGCTCACATCACCAACACACACACACATATGATTTTTTTTTCCCATCATATGGAAACTTGATGAACATTTTAACTCTGCTGTGGCCCTGACCTCTGAATTCCTATTTTGGGAGCAAGCAAAGAACAGTGAACGAGCACAGGGCTTTGGCATCAGATGTGCTGGGTTCAAATCCCTTCTTTTATTATTATTAGCTATATGACCTTGAGCAAGTCTCTTGAACTGTCTGAACCTGTTTTCCTCGTCTGTAAAATGGGGAATACCAAGGTTGCTGTGAGAATTAAGTGAACTTGTGCATGTAAAGACAGCTAGTGCCTGCCACACAGTAAGCACTCAATACATGATTGCTATTGTTATCATGAGTTAGTCCTGATCCCTGAATACTCAGCTCAGATCTCTCTTCTCAGGGCTTAGGCCACAGTGGATTGTTGAGATGGGCCCTGGGCAGCCAGCCCTGGATACAGAGCCGTGGTGAGATTGCCCCCTGCTGGATACTGCCGGCTCCTCCAGGCACCCCGGCCCTGGGGATCAATTCTGGAGCTCCTCATTTAATAACCACAGGGCAGGAGGAACTCTCAGATAACAGCTGAAGCTGAAGCCCAAGGAAGTGAGGTTTTGTCCAAGGTCACACAGCCAGTAGCTGCAAAACAGAGACTGGCTCCTGGAGAGGTTCCGGTCTGAGGCCAGTGCAGGTCAGCTGGGGGCTTAACTCGAAACACACGTGCTCACCCTTTGGAGACGTGCTGGCACACGTGAGGGATGCAAGCTGGACTCCCTGTGGGTCTAGGTAGGTAGGGGCTGGGTGGACATGCAGCCTCCGAGGGGTCCTCTAGGGCAACTCCTGCCCTCTACAGCATTCCCACAGAGTCACCTTCTCACTATTCCAAGGAACGCTTCCCTCCCACTCCGGGACACAGACCCCAGTCTTCTCAGGGACCTGACAGGAGTGGCCAAGGGCTCAAAATGGCACTGGGGTGGGGGCCCACTAAAGAACTCTCTAGGTTTCTGGGAACATGTAATTCAAGGACAGCGGCCAGACTAACTCCTTCCACCTATTTTTCACAACAACCCTGCAGAGCAGGAATTTGTATCTCTGTTAATCGGATGAGAAAACTGAGGCTCAGAGAGGTAAAGTGACTTGCTCAAGGTTACCCCAATAGTAAACAGTGTCGTGGGATTTGAAGTCAGGTCTCCCTGATCGACAAGTGGTGTCTCTTGGGTGTCTGGAAGTAGAAAAGAAGGGCATCCGGCCAAGCCTAGCTGCAATTCCCTGCATCCTGCCCTCTCTGGATCCTTGCCACCTGTCAGAGCCCTCAAGTCCCACACAAAGGCAGCTGTCCATGTTATGACAGGGAAAACCAAAGCACACAGAATAATTTTCTAGGTCTGGAATATACAGCAAGTTGTATGTCACAGGCTGCCCTGTGCAAGGCAGAGGATGTAGGTTAAGTTAGGATATTCTTGGGGAAAAAAAAACAAAAACCAAGTATCTCCAGCAGGGGACAAGGGCAGAGGGGTGGACCCCCAGGACTAGGTCCTGTGGGAGGGTCCAAGCCCACCACTGGGGACCCAGCCTCACAGGTCAAATCAGCACAGGTCTTTAGCCCAGCCGGGCTGTATCTGAACCTGCTCATCCCCTGCCTTCCAGCATCTTCTTCCAGTTGCCCTCAGGCATGAGATCTCCCCAGAAGCATGAACCCCAGACAGGTCAATGGATGCAGCCATTTTTCCCGAAGCTCCTCTGAGTAAAGTTCCCTGTCTTATTCCTAAAGGGAATTTGCCCAGAACCCCAGTCGGAATGATTCCCACACAGCCCCTGGCTCAGGTTGCAGGATCAACTTTCCTCCCCGTCTCGCCCTGTGTGGAGCCCTGCAAAGGGCCCTTTGTGCAAGGGCCACGATGATATAACGATCTGAGGGACAGCGGCACAAAGGAGAGATGAACCCGTCAGCTAGAGAAAGGGCCGATAATTCATAAGCCTGAGAAACAGCCAGGAAGGTAAAACTGTAGGTCTCATTAAAATACCCCAACGCCCCCAGTCATCGAGGCAGCATTGAGAACTGCTTGTCCTAAGAGAGCTCGCCCTGGAAAAAAGGCGGCCTCAGCTGACGCCAAGAGAGGCGCTCATTATGTGTTTTCTCTGGCTGCATTTCTGAGCTGGAAAATGTGCTGCAGAGGAAAGAAATAATGAAGGGGCTGAAATTTCAGACACCACCAGGGAGCCGTGAGACAGGGATTTAGAACAAAGCGGTGTCTGTCAGCTCCCTGTTTCCACCCCTTACGCCACAGTGTCTTGTACCATTAGCCTTCGAGCCCCTTGAAAGCCCCAAGCTTGGCAGCCTGGATTGGGATGTTGATAACAAACCCGCTGGAAGCTCTTGGTGATGGTGGGAGGGCCTCCTTTATCTCAACACACAAAAACACAGCCCTGGGCTCAGGTAGGAGTGAGACCTGGAGGTCTGCCCATCTCTGCTCAGGCCCTGAGGTGTGGGGACCCCAAAGGAGAGGCACCTGCGTTGCTGAAGAGAGATTTCTGGGCTTGGCAGTCAGGAGACCCAGTTAGTTTCTAATCCTGGCTCTGCCACTTACTGGCCTCTGAGCCTCTATTAATTCTGTAAAATGGGCACGATCCGTTCAATGCATATAGCAAGGACTGCTTGTGAGCATGTGACCTGGCACATTCCAGGCGTTTCTTAAATCTCCCTCTCTCTGTTCACTTACCAGGCTCACAGCATTTGTATGCCAGGCCCTGCTATAAGCACTTTCTACTATTAATTCATTTACTAACAAAACCTGACGAGGTAGACAGTACTATCGGCAACTCATTTTATAGATGAGGAAATTGAAGCACAGGGTTAAGTCATTCCACCAAGTCACACAGCCTAATGAACAGCAAAGCCAGAATTGAACCCGGCTAACCCTGCTTCAGAGTCTATGCTCTTCGGCATCACACTGCACCAGGCTTTCTTTCCCCCTGCTGGTAAAAGGCAACAGGTCCAAAACTTCATATGCCAGCATCACTGTCTTCCTCTCTTGGGGAGTAGGGGAGGTGGGGGGAAGTGCAGCGGCAGCAGCTGGAAGGAGGCAGCAGTTGGAAGCAGGCAGCAGCCAGGTTACCAGCTTCACTCAAGAAAACAGGCAATTGCCTGCGGCCTGATTTCTATGAGCCTAAGAACACCCATCAGGATGCGCCAGCCTCTTCTTCACCCGAAGGCTCAGAAAAGTGGGTGACCATGTTGTGCCACACAGCCTAGTGGATGAATGAGGGGGAGGCAGGAGGTCCGAGGCCCTCGCTCCCCCTCCCCCGGACTCTGTTTGCTCACCTGGAGCCCGACGCTGTCTGCCTGACCGCCTTTGATGAGGTGGGAGATGAAGAGCCCACAGCCAAACTCCAGGCCACCACGCACACTCAGGCCGAGGCCTTCGGGGTGCAGACGGTCCAGACGCACCTCCTTCAGCTTCCTGCCACACAGGAGAGGTCGGTGATGGTGCAGCTTGGCTGCCAGCACTGCCCCGCCCAGGGTGATCTCTCCACCCCCTGCCTCCAGCCTGGTGGCTTCCTCTGCACCTGGAGCGCCGGGGGGTCAGCTGATCATATTCCACCTGGTGCTTCAGTGGGATCAGCGGCCGAATGGCATCAAACAGAGGCAGACGGCTGGGTTCATTGATGACCAGCTTCAGGTCTCCCACGAGCACGGCCACGTCCATGGTCCTGTGGAGATGCCGGGAATGCCTGGAGCCTCACCCCTGGCCATGACCTCAGGCACCCAGGGATTCCAAGAGGAAGCCATTTCAGCCACTGGGCCCAGGCTTAGGAATGGAGTAGACCACTCCTGAAAAGCCCAGAGCTCTTCACACCGGGCCAGTGCCTGAGAAGACTTTGTTCTCTTATATAAATATCCCCAGGAAACCAGTCTACTAGGGATTGTTGACTCATTTTGCAGATGAGATGAAGCCAGGATTTCAAACTCAGCGCTGCCTATCTCGGCTGTTGGGATCTTTCCAGAGGGGAAAGCTCTGTGTGAGATGCTGACAATTCCTCACACACTCATCATCTCCACTCGTATCTGCTGCTAAGCTCTGTCAATTTCACCTCACCACAGTTCACATGCCTCCTCCCTCATGCTGTTCAGACCTTCGACTGCAGCTGCCTGCCCATGTACTCACTGTCACGTCATCTTTTCTCAGTGTAAGGCACTCCCTGGCTTAAAACCCTTTGATGGCCCCTTACTGCCCAGAGGACAAAGTCCACTCTTCTCAGCAGGCTCAAGGCCCTCCATGACCTGTCCCCATGGAGCTTCTCCAGCCTTGTGGCTATTTATGATCTCCGTGCCCTCCCAAGTCCTACTCCCCCAGATTACTTATCTCCATTCACACCCTTGCTTTCATGCCTCCACACTTTGGCTGATGCTGATCCCTCATTCTGGAATGCCCTTCCCAGATATTCCACCTACCAAAATCTTTTTCTTTTATTATTATTTTTTTGAGACAGGGTCTTGCTGTCTTGCCCAGGCTGGAGTGCATTGATGCAATCATGGCTCACTGCAGCCTTGACCTCCTGGGTTCAGGTGATATTCCCACCTCAGTCTCCTAAGTAGCTGGGACTACAGGCACGCGCCACCATACCCGGCTAATTTTTTGTATTTTTTTGTAGAGATGGGATTTCACCATGTTGCCCAGGCTGGTCTCTAACTCTTAGGCTCAAGCAATCCTCCTGCCTCAGCTTCTCAAAGTTCTGGGATTACAGGCATGAGCCACCTTGCCTGGCCCCAAATCTTTCTTATCCTTCAAAGCCTTGCTCAAGCCTTCCTGGTCCTTCCTCTTCCCTCGCAGTTGGAAAGGAAAACTCCTTTCTTCACATTTCTGCTTTTACCTCTACTTAGCAGTTATTTGATGTAACTTATATTAGAGTTCTTTGTGTTTGCAGTGTATGTTCATCTCCCCTCACCAGACCACAAGTTACTCAAGGAAAGAAATTGGATCTAATTCATTTCCAGATTCTGCACAGTGCCCAGCAGTGGCAGGAGCTTATAAAGTAGAAAAAATGAATCAAAAAGCAAGTGGGTGATCGGAGACATCTGATGCAAGGGCTGTGGCCAGCTGGCATTTCTTGTTCTGTCCCAACAATCATGCTCTATAGAATCTATCTGGCTACTAGACAGCCTCCTCCATCAGACTGTGAGCAACCTGAAAACAGAGACCAATCTGTCTGGCTCACAACTATACCCAGCCCCTAGTACAAAGCCAAGTACAAAGTACTTGTGTAAATAGTTGCTGAAATGAGTGAATGGTATGTCCATTTGATTTCCAGGAGCCGTGAGCATCCACCCTCTGAGCTCCTCTGTCTCAGAACAACCCATCCCAGGGCTCCCTGAAGACAAAGGAACCCAAGTGGCCCACAAGAGCTGGACCCAGCACACTTACTGGTGGTACATTCGCAGCACATCATAGAGATAGTCCTTCTCTGCATCATTTTCAATCAGAAAATCCACCTGGAAAATCCAATAGCAGAATCACAGCTCCAGGCTCAGCACCCGCCCCCATAGCAGACCTCAGGGAGGAGAGGTCATCCCCAAGGGCCTCCCCAGCAGCTTTTCAGGGCTGGAGTTGTGAGGAGAGAAGAGGAGCCACAGGCCAGGCTGCCCCTCTGACCCCAATGCATCAGACCTATGCAGACCACCCCAACGTGGCCACAGGAGTACCGCTGCCCCTCCAGATGTGGCCAGGCACCCTTTGTCCCCAGGTGGGGCAATATGTGCACACACGGGGATGAACACACATAGGTACATATGTGAATCCCCATGTGACAGTGACACGCTGCCATGGCAGTGCTGCTGCTCACCCCCATGGCTGTGTCATCCATGGCCAGAAGAAGCCCACTGTCTTACCTGATGGTGGCTGTAGTGCCGGATAAATGCTTTCAGGAAGGATTTGGGCCACTCGCTTAGATAGCACATGCCACTCTCCAGAAGCCCCTTACCACCGAATTCTTCTGTAACATCAGTGCCAGGGGACCTTCACTCTGTCTTGTCCTGACCTTAGCTGGGTTCTGTCCACTAGTCAGTTTCATGGCCACTCCTTCCCCCTCCCCAGGCCCCTGCACAAGCCCCGCAGGGGGAGCGTCAGGTTACATCATTTCAACTTTGTTGACGTCAATGGCTGGCACTCTAAGGTCAGGTTCAGGAGTTGTGTCATTAGCACCTCAATCCCAGCGGGAGGCCCTGAATTCCACTCCCTGAGTTACCTCAGTGTGAATCTCTACACTGTATTTTTGGGTCTCTCTTCAGCCCAAGAACGGGTAACAGAGCAAGGTGGAAGCTTGGGGGGTCACTGGGTCCCTCTCTCCTCCAGCCTCCCGGCCCAGGGCCTCAGCCCTTCATAGAGAGGCTGCAGCTGGAAGCTGCATGCTCTCCACTGACTCGTCCTCAGAAGAGGGCCAGAGCAGCGTTACCTCTTTCTGTGGGTATCCCAAGGGTTCTGGAAGACCGGGGCAGTCTGTCCGTCCCACCACAGAGGGGACATGCTGGGCCCAGCCCTTGGGATTTCTGGCCTGAGCAGGGGGTACAGAATGCAGATTTCTGGCCTAGATCTGACAGTACCTCCTTCCCTATAAAATCAGACTGAGCATTTCATTAAAGGTGAGAATAACTTGGGAGGCTTGACTCACAGCTTGGGCTTTAGTTGCTACAGAAGTTCAGCCCACCTGCTCCAAAAGGGCACCCTTGCTTTCTCCCTACCTCAGTGCAAGGAGTTCCCAGCTAGGGCTGGGTGCGGTGGCTCACGCCTATAATCCCAGCACTTTGGGAGGCCGAGGTGGGCAGATCACCTGAGATCAGGAGTTTGAGACCAGCCTCGCTAACATGGCAAAACCCTGTCTCTATTAAAATACAAAAATTAGCTGGGCGTAGTGGTATGCCCCTGTAATCCCAGCTACTTAGGAGGCTGAGGCAGGAGAATCACTTGAACTCGGGAGGCGGAGGTTGCAGTGAGCCAAGATTGCACCACTGCACTCCAGGCTGGGTGACAGAGCGAGACTCCATCTCAAAAAAAAAAAAAAAAAAAGGAGCTCCCAGATGACAGGAGATGGAAGCATCTGCTTGAGTGGGTGGTACTAAATCTTAGGGTGGGAGGCTGGCCTTTCGCACCCACCACCTCTGAAAGCTCATCTCTCCACATAGCCTGGATTCTCTCACCCCCTCTGCTCAGGCCTGTGGGGCAGGGGTGCCTCCCTGAGACAGGCCTGGGCTGCCCACACTGGGCTGTGATGGAGGAGTATGAACTCTCCTAGCAGCAGGGGCGAGAAATATCTTTATAAATTAGATATGTTGCTTGCTTGCTCAGTAGTTTCTTGTACCCCAAACCAAACCTAAATCCAAACTCCTTACTTTGACTTATCAAAGCCCAATCTCCTCTCCTACCAGTCTTCCTGGCTACAAAGTCCTCCTTTCAGTTCTTCCCACAGGCCGAACGCTCTCCAGCCTCAGGGCCTTGGCGTATGCTTGTTCCCTCTGCTTGGACTGCTTCCCCCACTTCCCTGCCTGGCCACCTCCTTTCCAGAGAGGTCTTCCCTGCTCACCTACCCAGACAGAACCGACTCCTGCACCCCGGAGATGTTTCAATTCCTTCACAGATCGACTACAATTTGTAATTTAAGGTTTGTTTTCTCTGTGAATTGTTTTCTCTGTCACCTTCGCTGGACAGAAAAATCCCATGAGGGGAAAGATGAGATCTATTTTGTTCTAAATTTCTCGTGCCCAACACATAATAAGCTCTCAATAAAGAAGTATTGAATGAATTTATCTGCCTGCCTCCTGGTATGCCCACATGGTTCAGGTGGGAGGGAGGTAACCATGGGAACAGAAGGGGAAGGGAAATGATGTTGTCCCCATAATGCCCCATGCGGTGGCACCAGGAGCTTTTCATGGGCTTTATTCCATTTGTTTATCACATTGGGGCAATATTCTCACATAATGCTGCAGCTGAGGAAACTGAGGATCAGAGAGGTTAAGTCAACTCACCCAGTGTCCCACAGCTAATAAGCAGAGCTAGGATATGAACCTAAGTCTGACTCCAAAGCCCATGTTCTTTCTGCTACGCCACGATGACCATTGATTGTGACTCAGGCCTGGCAGGGGAAAATAACTCCCAATGTCCCTTTAGGCCAAAATTTCCAACCCTTTGCTTTCAAGAACTCCTTTCTTATCTCTAAGCCCCATCTCTCTCCTCTGCACTGTTAAGAAAACACTTTTGGCTTGGTCTATAATGAGTGAGAAAATGGGACATCTTTTGAATGACTCTTTGAACCCAAGTGTTGTACTTTCTAAGGGGAGCATAAAAATCACGTCTGCTTTGGCTGAAGAGAGGACACCCTGACTAAAGACTTCTAGCCTAGTTATAACCCTGGGTGGTGACACAAGAAAGAAGATGGGACAGAGAATCTCTTATTGACTGAGGCCTTAGGACTGAAGTTCCCTCTTATCCCTCTTTGCAGAAATGTATCTTGCTGTAGCATTAGATTTCAGTAGTGAGGAACTGTCCTCCTTAGACCATGTTTATTGTGCATTAGGTGGAAAACTGAGGTAGAAGAGTAAGGTAACTTGCAATGTTAGGGTCTAGGGTTCTGTTTTTCTCCCTTCCCTGGGCCAAGCACAGATCACTTGGAGATGGTCTTGGTGGAAAGGAGCCTGTCCCTGAAGGTCCCGGGCTCCTGGCCCTTGTCAGCAGCCCTCCAGCACTGACCACTGCTCCCAGAGGTCTCATCCTACCTGTCTCCTGAGACAGCTGCAGAGCTCAGCTCTTCGGCCTCATGTCCACCCACTGTCACCGGTTAGGTCACTCAAACCCTGTCCTCAGTTCTGCCATTGCTCGCTTCACCACATCCCAAGTGGGACTCAGCTGCAGTGGAACAGATCCTTCCCCTGACACACTGGAATCTCCTTGTCCTCACTCAGAACATTCCATCTACCGCCATGTCTGACTTGTCTATTTAAACAATTCTCTATAGACCATACCAGCTAACAGGGAAAATAGATCTGGTTTGTGTAGAATGCTCTTTAAATATGAATCTAAGTGATAGATCATCAAAAACTTGAAAACTGGTTACACAGGAGATCCTGCAAAGGGAGGGATCATTCTCACCCAGAAATATCTCAGAAAGACTCAGAAAGAACAGCACTGCTTTGTTCTCTGACCACACCTGAGTGAAAACACACACTCACACCTCACTCTTCAGGCATTAAAAGGCACCAGGAAAGAAAGCTGAGAAAGATGGAAGTTTCTCTAAAGCCTGAACGTGCAGTAACAATACCACCATCACTTAAATTACTTTTTCTTTGTAGTCTTCCCTGTGGTCCAAATCAAATTACTTTTCCAATATTAAAAAATTATATAGTTTCCTCTCTTCTGGAATTCTGCCTAGCACTAGCCCGAGGATCAGTTTTGGGGAGCCCCTGCTCTAGGGTGCTTTGTACCATTGTCCCAGTACCCTGTACTCAGGTACATACGAAGCACTAGGCACGCAGTAAATCTCCCACACTCCTTTCTTCCCTTCCTTCCAAACATGTTCTTCATTTCCCTGTGGAACCCAGAACCATGTCATGCACACAAGCGCACGGTGCCCAGTGGCGTCCGTTGATGAAACGTGAACTCTATTTGCTCTAGTCTAGAGCCTTCTTTCTGACCTGTTGGCCCAGGCCTGGGTCACCACCTTTCCACTGGTCCTCAGCACATATATTCTGGGTCTGCCTCCCCTTAGTTCACTTCCAATTCATCACAAAAAAGTAGGTCCCAGCGACTCCATCTATCCACAATGGACAGCTTTCCTCCTCTCATCTGAATCCTGCCTTCATTTCAGATGAGGCCCAAGTCCCCTCTTCTAGAGTCTGGAGCCTCCTCACCTGCCTCCCAGCCTGAGTCTCTTTCTGTCTGGCTCACTTATCCCAGCCAGCCTCTCCCTACTGACTGTCCACTGCCTGAGGAACTTTACGTGTATTATCTTTAATATCCTAACAACCCTCTGAGGTGAACGTTATCATCCCCACTTTACAGATGAGGAAACAGAGGCTCAGAGAAGTGACAGAATTGAGACCCCAACCTATGCCTACTGGCTCCAAAACCTCTGCTTTTTTTCAATCTACCACATGGTATCCACTTATGAAATATAACTCCTTTGTTGTCCACTTGTCCATTACACATCTATTGAACACCTACTGTGGGAAAGACACCAGTCTTCTTTCTCCGACTAGATTTAGAAAGCCTTTCCTTTTCTTGGATCCCTCTTGATATTAAGCACAGAAGCCCTAAAGGAGCCCACCATCTACAAATAGCTGTTGGGGATCTCTATTATCATCCCTGCTACCCCCTGCCCCTGCTGCCAGCCCTGCCTAGATTAGCATTTGCTGACTGATGTTTCTCTGGCACTGTGCTATTGGTCTGTGTGGGAGGGAGGAGGGGACAGGGAGCATCTCCACCCTCACAATCTTCAGGCCCCTTGTCTAGGGTATTGGAGGCAAAAGCTGGGTTTGGCCATGTGGTACCCTCCAGTCTCATCCCTCTGTATTCCCCCATATGGACTGGCCCTTCAGGATAGCTACACAGGGGAACCATGGGACAGTCAACTCAGGAAGATTCAACTTTAGGTGTGCACCCAGCCAAACAGGGAGAAAGAGAGCCAGAACAAATTAAATAATGCATGTTGTTCTGCTTGATGAAGTCTCTTTGGGCTGTTGCGGGGATTAAATGAGTGAGTATGTGTAAAGCACGTATGACAATGCCTGGGACATTTCAAGGTCTCCAAAATGTGTGCTAGATCTTTTCCTTTCATGCCTCCAGCCTTCTCCACCCTGCCCTTTGTCCAGAGGGCTCTGCCTGGGCTCCTCTCCCCTCTGGCTTTCTGCTGTGTTCAGCCATCGGGAGGCACAAGCAGGAGATGAGAGGCGTGGGGAGACAGGAACTGAGGCTCCTAGTCCCTGGGGGCTGGCTGCTGGGCCACAGTTAGGCAGGTTCCTCCACCCAAGGCTGCAGCTGCTGTCTGGGCCTCTTTGGCAGCCCTGGTTCTCACCTGTTCTGGTAACCTTCCCTCTACTGGCCCCTTCAGGGATGCTGGCCTCCTGCATCTGGCCCCAGGGTGCAGCTTGTTGGGTCATTTAATCCTGCCCTTTTCTGTAGAACCTGTTCATAAAGCTTTCTTGGCTTCCCCCTTGGACGAGCCACCTGCTCCCTGCTGCCACCCTGGTTAGCCATTAGCAATGGTGGTACCAGCAGTATTTCCTCTCTGTGGACTCCTCCTCTATCTTTAAGACTCACTTCAAATGTCGCCTCTTCTTGGCCAAGTCTTTCCTTAGGCTCCCACACAAAGCTGGCCACATCTTTCTCTGTGCACACAACAGCACTTTGTCCCCAACTCTGCCATGGGACTCACCAAGCTGTGCTGAACTTTCTCCCTTTACCCTCCTGTCTCCCCACAAGCCTGTGTGTGGCCCAGACACAGGCCTGGCTTGTGAGTGTGGTGGTAGAGCCAAAGAACCCCTTCCCCAACTGGGTCTGCTCCTCTCTGTGCCTCAGTTTCCTTATCTGTAAAATGAGGACTAACATCTCTTTTTAAAATGGGATTTAATCACTATGAGAGATTAATCATTGTTTTTTAGTATTAATTTAATGAGTTAATAATTATGAAGAGTTCAGAACAGTGCCTGGCAGGTAGTAAGTCCTGTGTTTGTTACATAAAACTAAGTGACAATAAGTGGACATAAATTCTATATCCACAGCAGTGGGCAGCGAGTGGCCCTCTGTAGATGTTAGTGGGATGAATAGATCCAGCCACACTTCTTCCCAGGCCTTTAGAGTGTGCATCCCAGTGGTACCAGGCTTTATTTGACTCTCATTTTCTTATCATCCATCTTTTCTTTTTCTTTTGCTTTCTTTCTTTCTTGTCTAGGGTTCTCTCTGTCTCTGTCTCTGTCTCTCTCTCTTTCTTTTCTTTCTGTTTCTGTTTCTTTCTTTTTCTTTTTTTTTTTTTTTTTGAGACCAGGTCTTACTCTGTCACCCAAGCTGGAGTGCAGTGGTGTGACCACAGCTCACTGCAGCCTCAACCTCCAGGCTCAATTGATTCTCCTGCCTCAACCTCTCAAGTAGCTGGGACTACAGGTGCACAACACCACACCTGGCTAATTTTTGTATTTTTTGTAGAGATGGGGTCTCGCTATGTTGCCCAGGCTGGTCTCAAACTCATGGACTCAAGTGATTCTCCCACCTCAGCCTCCCAAAATGCTGGGATTTCAGGCGTGAGCCGCCACACCTGACTTCTTTTCTTTTTCTGGAACCACTTTATTGAGGTATGCCTGACATGTAAAGCGCTGTATATATTTAGTGTATACAACCTGATGAGTTTGGGGATAAATGTGCACGTGTGAAAGCATCACCACCATCAAGGACATAGACAGTGCCCTTCATCTTTTCAGAGGCTCTTGACATGTCAGCTAGTTTGTAGTATTTCACCCTGTGCCTGGCACAGCAATCACGCCCTGCTTCTCCTTGCTTTCCTTCCTCGCTTGCTGCTCCTTCTCCTCCAAAAGTTGAGGTACCCCGGGCTCTGTCCTAGGTCTCCTCTCCATCTGCACTGTCTCTCTAAGTGACCTCATTCATCTCAGGGGTTTAAATACCACTCACACCCCCAAGGACCTACCGATGCTTATCTCCAGGCCAGACCTACAGCCTTCTCAGTCACCTCTAGCAGGCGTCTCAAACTTACAGCATTCGAAGTGGAACGCTAGGTTTCCACCACCTCCTGCTCCGTCTCCACCAACCTGCTCCGTCTCCACCAAATGTGGATTCACCCTTGATGCCTCTCTTTCTACGCTCGCAGCCAATCCATCAGCAAAGCCTGTCAGTTTTTCCTTTAACATGTATCCTGAATCCGACCCATTCTCACCCGAGTCCGAGCCCCTGCCTCTGGCCTGGGCTCCTGCAGGAGCCTCCTGACTGAGGTCCCCTTCTACTCTTGGGCCCCTCAGTGGATTCTCTACAGAGCAGCCAGAACAATTCCTTTTAAATGTAAATCATTCACACTTACAAGAAAATCCTGACCTGACCATGGCCTACCAGGCCCCTACCACCCCTCCGACCCATTTCTCACCATTCTCCACTCACGATTCCTCTGGGACACACTGTCCTACTTGCTGTTCCATACAGGCGGGCATCTGCTTGCCTCAGGGCCTTCACACTTGTTGCTTCCACTTTAGGGAATGCTCTTCTACATGTATCTCTGTGGCTCCTTCTCCTCACTTCTTCTAGGTCTCTGCTCAGATGTCACCTCTTCAGAGAGGCCTTCGTGACTGCCTACCTTGTCACTTACTATCTCTCTCTCCCCATCTTAGTTTATTTTTTCATAGAATTTATCACTATCTGGCATTGTATGATACTTTTGTTGATTTCCTTTTAACTACCTGTCTTCCCTACTGGAATGTACTGTCTAAGACAGCAAGGGCTTTATTTTGTTTTTTGATGCTTAGAGTACTGCCTGGCATATATTAAGGGCTCAGTCAATATTTATTGCCTATGTGAATAAATGAATGATTAACAAATTCCTAGAGAGTGGTGGCTCTTTCTGATCTTATTCATCCCAACCGGTTGTCAGATGCCTGGCCTCAGGCAGAATACACAGCTATGCTCATAAATGCATGATTGCTGAAGAGGCAATAAATACTTTTAAGCCAATGAGTAACCAAGTTCCTACCCTGTGCTGGTGCTGCGAACAGAAGAGCAGTCTCCCTTTGAAAGCTGGTTCTCTGAGGGAGAAAACAGTCTCTGACCAAGCCCTGCTCCCCCACATCCTGGCCCAAGGTTGCTACTAGTTACTGGAAGGGTATGCAAGTGCTCCTGGCGGCCTTGGGGTAACTTCACAAATCAAAGGGAGTCGATGCCTGGAGCCTGTTGGCTCCCACTGGACACTCTGCAGGTATCAGCTGGAAACAGTGTGGTTACTGTGGGCCCAGAGCAGCCAGTACTTTAATTGCTAGTTAGTTTTGACTGTCTTGTGAGGTAAGTTCTACAAACTCCATCTCATAGCTGAAGAAACTAAAACTCAGGGAGAGTGGGTGGCTTGGTCAAGGTCTTCCTGACAGTGACAGGGCTAAGATTTGGTCCCAGTTCTGCTAACTCCAGATAATAATCAACATGGACATTTCTTGAGAGCTCCCTAAGTGCCAGGGTCTATTTAAGCTCCCCACACACATGTAGGTCTCATTCAGCATTCATGGTAACCTTATTCGTTAAATATTGTTATCTCTTTTCACAAGTAAGAGCACTGAGGCACAGAGAGATTAAGTAACTTGCTCAAGGTCACAGAGCACTTTCCATTATAACACACTACCTTAAATATTACTTCCAACAACTAAGGATTTAGATCACAAACCATTTCTTCCAAAACACTAAGGAAGGGACCCCTACAAAGCAAACAACAGCAAGCTGTAAATTTCTCCCAGCATGTCTGTGTGCCTCCTTTCTATCCTCTGTGCTTCATCCTCTCTCCCCAGTTCCTGGATGATCCCCAACCTGGGAGGGGAAGGCTGTGGCTGTCTCCAAGGCAGCAGGGCACAAAGTCCAGCCTGGGCCTTGCCTAGCGCATGGCGCCTGCCCTGCCTGCACACAGGGATATTAATAAGTAATGACTGTTGCGATGAGGAAGAGTAGGGCAGAGGAAACGTGGAGGTCTGAGGCCCTTTGGAGCCTGTGGGACCTGGGGAAGAGGAACAGGGCAAACCCAGGATCTGCATCAGACACCAGGGACCCTGGAGATGATTCTCACAAAAAAGAGAGAGCAGGTACCCCACAGAGTGAAGGCAGAAGACCTGATGTTATTTCAGGCCAGGGGCAGGAAACTGAAATTCAACCCTGAGTCTTGGGTTGGGGGATGGAAGGCTGAGCTCCTTCAAACTGGGTTGCCTGAAATCTACACTCACAAAATGTCCTTAGTGGCTGAAATTTCTTCCGACATGTCTCTTTGCAACAGGATGTAACAGTGAATGCTCTCTCAAGCTCCCCTTGGTATTCGCCAGCCCCTAAATTCCTGCTGAACTTCCAGCTATCACCCACCCCTGGGAGCAGGACCAGAAATGCCCAAGACCTTGTTTTCAGGAGCCTTCTGCCAGTTTGAGCTGTCCCTTTGTGCCCCTACAAAAGCTTGGCCTCAACACGCAGCACTCAGACATGGGTAATTACCAGGGTAGGGTCTGCCTCCCACCTACACCACCAGCAAAGGGCACAGACTGGGTATGGCTGAGAGGATGCTCAAAACATGCTTATTAAATGAATAACTGACCCCGGGCCCTTGGCCCCAAGCCCCTGTGGCCCCTACACTGGCTAGCTCCTTGGGCTCCTATGGGCCTCTTTATGGGAAGGAAGGAGTTAAGCACCCTGACCTGCCCTACCTGAGCTCAGCTCTCAAACCAGGAAGAGGTTTGGCTTGGTCTAAAGACACTGCCCCTGGGGTCTTTGGGAGAGCCTTGGGTCACACAGTTATCAATAGTTAAGTTATCAATAGTTACCTGCCCCTCAGGCAGGGCCTGTGGGGAGCTCCAGATACCACCCACCCCCCCCAAGCGGCTTCATCCCCAGACTCAGAGGCATCCTAAGACTTGGTGGGGAAGTAGGCTGGATCTCTTTGATGGCCCTCTCTGGTCTCAGGGCCTCAGCAGATTCTGCACAGCTTTGTGAATCATTCTCGAAATGCCCTGTGTGAAACCTGGCCACTTCCAGAGATGGTCCTTGAGAATCCCAGACCACCAGTGAGGCCCCTCACTGGGACACACCAGGGTGGACCCGGCTCTGCCTGAAGGATCTGGCCGGCCAGAGCCCAGCTCCGACGCCCTCAGTACCTCCTCCCTTCCTCCCCACCGCACCCGGGTCAGCACCAGCTCCTCAGCTACTTCTCAGACCCTAAGAAACGCCCTTAGGCAGGCAGGGCTGAAATGCTTCTAACTCATGTTCTGAGGTCAAAAGGCAGAGAGAGAGACGTCTAGTTTCCCTTCTCCCAACCCTCACCTCTCAGATACTGCCCCAGACTGTCTCCACATGCCTCAACAGCCCTGAGCTGGGGGCACTAGGAAGGAGAGGGGCTTGCCCACAAAGGGGGCACCTCAGAAAAGCGGCCAAGACTGGAAGGAATTCAAACCCCAGAGACGTCCCTGCCCCTGGAAGGCAGAGGGAGAAAGGCTGGCAGAAGATCGACTCGTTTAGCAGTCCTTGAGCCGGGAGTCCCCGCATTCCCTCCCTCACTTTACTGGGGATCCCTGCTGCCAGCCAGACGACCCTCGGGTGTCCCAGCCCAACCAGAGCCATCAGGTGGGGCCGGAAAAGGGAGGGGCAGTGCCGGGGTGTCCACCCCCTACCCACCGCGCCCAGGACTCCGGAGTCCCAGAAGCCTGGGGCGCCCTGCAGCTCTGACCTTATGCCGGAATTCTCGGGCCACTTTTCGGTCCATGGCTGGGCCAGGTCCAGCTGCGTCGTTGCACGACCCGTTCCTTCGGGTGCCCGGCTGCCAGGAGCTGGAAAGAGCCGCGACCGCGACCGGGCCAGCCGCCCTCGGAGCTGGGGGCGGGGCCTGAGCGCGGAGGGGCGGGGCCAGGCCTCTGTGGGGCGGGGCCGCTGCGAGGCTGGAGTCGAAGGTGCTGAGTCGTCGCCTCCCACTGAAGCCTGGGAGCAAATGGGCCCCAGTGTGCCTATGGGCCTGAGGTGGCAGTAGCTGGGCTTCAAGCTGGTATTTCTCTGGAAGTGGTACCTGAACACATGCGTTTGAGGAAGAAGATCGTGGAGACGTAGGGAGGAGGTTTGGGACTTTTTTGTGGGGACCGGAATAGAGAGATACGGAAACTATTTACACGGGCGGGGGGCGGGGCAATCTAGTCCGTTTTCTCTGGATATTCTTTTTTTTTCCCCCCCGAGACGGAGTCTCGCTCTGTCGCCCAGGCTACAGTGCAGTGGCATGATCTTGGCTCACTGCAAGCTCCGCCTCCCGGGTTCACGCCATTCTCCTGCCTCAGCCTCCCGAGTAGCTGGGACTACAGGCGCCCGCCACCACGCCCGGCTAATTTTTTTTTTTTGTATTTTTAGTAGAGACGGGGTTTCACCGTGTTCGCCAGGAAGGTCTCGATCTCCTGACCTCGTGATCTGCCCACCTCGGCCTCCCAAAGTGCTGGGATTACAGGCGCGGGCCACCGCGCCCGGCCTTCTCTGGATACTCTTGTCGAGGTTCATGGCCCTCCTGGACTGTCAGCCCTTGCTACGCCCTCACCTCCAGCGTACCTTCAGTCCTGGCTTCCTCCTGCACTTTTCCACCAGGGAGAAATCAATCCTTGTTCTGTGAATTCCTTGGGGACAGGGCTGGGTTTTACTGTGGGCCGCAGGGGTCTGAATCAGTGTGTGTGAGAGTGCCCCCCTCAACTGATTTCCCCTCCCACCTTCCCTAACACCTCCACCCCCAACAAAACAAGACAAAACAAAACCCAAACCCAACACACTCACATATCCATCGAAGCCTGGCAGAGCCTGGCAGTGACATTTTGATCTATGGCTGACCTTCACCCAGGGCCCAGACCCTCTGGTTCATTTAATTCAATTTGGTCAGCATTTGCTTAACTCCTAGGTCTAGTGCTTGGTGCAAAGACAATGATGAACCAGGCCTGGAAAGGAATGAAAGGAAAGATTCATCAAAGACAATGATGAACCAGGCCTGGAAAGAGATGAAAGGAAAGAGGGGCTAGGAGAGGGGTGATAAAAATGTGTAAATCAGAGGCTAAGTATGGGGCTTGTGCCTGAACTTAACCCAGGGAGGCACCTGAGCCCTTTGTGCCCTGTCAAGGGCAGGGGCAAGGAGATGGACAGCAGCTTACATCAGGTAACCACTTACAATTGTAACTCTGGGGCACCTAAACACCCCTCTGCGTCCCTCTCCCCAATAGCTGAAGTTTTACAAGCACACTATTTTTGTTGCCTAGTTTAAGATGTAAATCCCTCTTGGAGAAGAACCTTAAAATATGATCTGTTTTCTCACCTTAGCATTAACTATTAAGTCAGCGATAAAATGGAAAGACTTGTGGGATTTTTGAATGGTCCAGAAAAGGCCACACAAAATGCATTCCCCTCCGACTTACTTCATTGATTCTCTACATTGGAAAAGAATGTCATATGGCTGTTTATTTTGTATTTAGAATCCTGGCAGAGGTGAATGAATGTCCTTATCCAGGGGAATGCTGTTCACCTGCCACACCAATCCTTATTTTACATTGGCCATTACCCCCACAGACTCCCTCCACCTTAAAATGCCCCCTGCTTTGTTTTGAGAATAGCATTGAGACCTGGTTCTCCTCTCTCATGAATTTTTGTTTCAAGCTTCCTTGGAGACAATCAGTCTTTGCCTGTTCCTTAACCAGCATTCCTTAAGGCTCCATCCTTAGCTCTTTCCTCTTCATCTTCCTATCTGTGCCCCCAGCTTCCTCCTGTGTGAAGATAGCTGTGTTTGCTTTATTTACCACTATATGCCTAGAACAGTGCATGGCATGGAATCAATGCCAAACAAATTTGTTGAGTGAATGAATGAATGAATGAATGAATGAATGCATCTCAAATCTATACCCTTGCCTAGAAGTCTACTGGGGCCAATACCACCACGACCACCACCACCACCATCATCATCATCCTCTGTAAGACCTAGCATCTAGTTGGTGTTCCCTAAGTGATGACGAAGTGAATGATGTACAGATTCCCCAGGTGCTCAGTCCCATGTTTTTGCCATTTTAAAATTCCTCCTGGGCAGACAGTGGACCTCGTTCACACATATAAAGTTGTTTTGTCAAAGTTTGGCCTTGATGGTGGCAATAACATAGGAGTATGAAACACTTTTATTATTCAATCGTCATTTCCTGAGCTCGGGCAGGAGCTGGTGCTGGGCATTCAGAGGACTAAGGCATGATCCATTCCCTAGAGGTGCTCAAAACTGGTCATAGGATACGGATGTGGAGACCCAGGTGGAAGCTGAGGTGGGGCATGGTGAGAACATAGGCTAGGACTCTGCAGGCTCTGTTATTGACCACTGATCCCTGAGTGGCATGTCCCAGGGCCTCAGCATGGCCCTCTGTAAAAGGAGAGGATAGGGCCAGACTCATACCTGCATCTTGCGTCTCTGGTATTGGGCTTCCAGGACCCAGGTAAGGGGAGCTGGAGGTTGCATAGGCTGCCTCTATGCTTCCCTAGACAATTTAGGGCTGAGTAATCTGAATCCAGCCTCCCCTGGGGAGGTGTGGCCACAGGCCAAGAAAAGCAGAGGCTAGGCTATGGACAGGCGCCTAAATTATGGTAATAAGCTGGGTACTCCTGTCACTCTAGTTCGGGGAGGAGCTGAGAGCCTGGGAGGAGGGGCTGAGGGAGCCCTGGGGCATGAGAACAAGAGGGACCTCGGCTGCGGAGTGGAGGTGTGACCCTGCCTTAGCCCGGGGAGGCACCTCGGGAGGCTGGCCCTGCGCTCAAGTCCTCCGGTCCCCTCGTGTCCCTATGGGAGTCCTGGCGTCTGCGCTCTGCTGGCTGCTTTGTGTCTGGCTGCCCTGGGGTGAGCAGGCAGCCGAGTCCCTGCGGGTGCAGCGCCTCGGTGAGAGGGTTGTGGACTCAGGGAGGTCGGGGGCTCGAGGAATGAGAAACGTTAAAGGAATGAGGAATGGGCCCGCGCAGGTTGGAGAGAGGGAGGAAAGAGAGGTTTGAGGGAGAGCAGAGGGACACCCAGGAGGAGCAGTCAGGGGAGGAGGGACCCCGAAGCCAACAGAGGCAGGCCTATGACCGCGGGGGAAAGAGTCCAAAGTTAGGCTGGGTGGAAGAGACCCGAGGTGGGGAACTAGAGAGAGCTGGGGGCCAAAGACTGAGAGTAAACAGGGAGATCCTGGCTGGAGAAGGGTCATCAGGAAGGGAGAGAAAGGATTTGAGAAGGCTGCAGGGAGGGAGAATGGGGGAATGCTCAGTGGCGTGGGAGAGGCTTTCTAGCAGTGGGGGCCAGGTGGTGGGAGGCCCCAGTAAAGACAAGCACAATTTGAGTGGAGAATAATCCCCCTCCCCAGCCGCAGCACCCGTTCTGTGGGGCAGTGCAGAGCCACAGCCAGAGCCAGCCGGGCAACCCAGGTGAGTAGGTGTGAGCTGTGGCGGCCCCACCCACAGCTCCCATCCGTATTTCTGGCATCAGCGACCCCAGGGCTTTAGCACTTAGGGTGGGATAGGCCAGGGGACTGCGGGGAGGCATAACCCATCCTAGCCCCCCATCCATGCCAGACTCGTGTTTCCTCCAGCAGCAGCCACCAGGAGGCGACCCTTGCCATGGGGGACAAGGCTACAGTCGTGGGAGGCCAGGTAAGGGAGGTCTTGGGAGGGGGCTTCATTGAGCAGGAGCTCATGTCTATCTGGATCTGAGGCTGGCAGGGAGCTCTGTAGGTTACAGGAGGGGTCTCTGGAGTTGTTCAGAAAGGAACAAGCAGATTCCTGGTATGTGTCTGAGGTGTGCAAGTTCATAAAACCCTTCTATTCTTTTTAATCTCTTGGGGGTCTATAGTCCACTCTTTTTTTTTTTTTTTTTTTTTTTTTTTTTTTTTTTTTTAGGAGAGGTGGGCACCAGGGCTCTTTCAGGAGAGAGCTGAGCTCTCCCTTCTGGCAGGTAAAAGTAGAAAGATGGACGTTTAGAAGAATGGAGTTCTCTTTTCCCTGACTGGCCTGCGAAGGCCCTCAACCCTGTCAGAGGCTCCTCTCCATACCCTGAGCGGAGCCTCAAGAATGCAGGCAAGACAAAAACTAGGCCACCTGGTGGAAGTTGCAAGGAAGGTTTGGTTGAGAAGCAGAGCCCTGAACTCATCCTTTGAGCCTTTTTTTTTCTTTTTTTGAGTCGGGGTCTTGCTCTGTGACACAGGCTGGAGTGCAGTCGCATAATCATAGTTCACTGCAGCCTCAACTTCCTGGGCTCAAGTGATCCTGGTGCCTCCGTTACCTGAGTAGCTAGGACTATAGGTGTGTGCCACCATGCCTGGTTGAATTTCAATTTTTTTGGTAGAGACAGAGTCTCACTATGTTGCCCAGGCTGGTCTTGAACTCCTGGCCTCAAGTGATCCTTCTGTGTCAGCCTCCCAAAGTGCTGGGATTAGGCATGAGCCACTGAGCCCGGCCTCTATCCTTTGAGTCTTGACCATTCCACTGCCCATCTTCCCACGGTCCTCTGTGTTTGTGGGAGAGGTGGCAGTTTTGTTTTCTCCCTTTGCCAAACTTCTTTGGTCTCTGGATCAGGTGACTCAGGTCTACTTTCTAATCCTGGCCCGCATTTGTCTCCCTCTTTCTATAACTACAGATGAGCTATAAGTTCCACCCACCTGCAGCTAGGTCCCCCAAAGCAGCTGAGCCTCAGCTCAAGTGCCCCTGCCCCAGCCCCAGCGGTCAGCTCTGGGGAGCCCCTTGAGCCAGCAGATTGGGGAGAATCGTTTATGACAGCAATGAGTCCCAACTCCTGCCCTTTGGAAATAGACATGAAGACCCCAAGGTGGAGTGAGGGGGGATGGTGTGGGCGTGCTTCTTCTCTGATGTGGATTTCCTGGATCTTTTACTTCTTCTTTGCCCACACTTCCAGGCCCTAAGATTTAGAATCACAGTCAAATACTGCTTGAGTTGGAAGGTATTGGAGTCATTTTTTTGTAGGTAGGGAAATTGAGGTGGGTGGATGACTTGTGGGGGCCCTGCAATGAGCAGGTGGAGCAAAGTCTACTGGCAGAGCCAGGCCGTGCATACAGGACTTCAGGAATCCCCATGTTTTAGTGGGGGAGATGACCCTTCTCCAAACACTTCATTTCCCTGTGGGTATCCTCCCGTGCTGGTTTCCAGGGTAGGCATCCCGCCTTTTCCTTGGGGAAGGGTCATAAGTGAGTGGACCAGGCAACCTGGGGAGGTTTCTCACGCTGCTCCTCAGAGCAACGAGGAATTAGAATGGCCTCCCTCTAAGGTGACAGGAGTTGGGGGGTGGGGGACTGAGGCTCATGTACCAGGGATACTTCAAGGGCTCCTGTTTGGAATGCCCTCTTCATGAAGTGGGGGTGTGCCCCAGACCAGTAGGCAACCAATCTTCATTTCAATGCTGTCCCGCTTCTACAGAGCTCAACCATTTTCTAGAGAATTGTTGTAGACAGGGGTCCATGGATGGGGGAAAATAAAAACACATTGTTATTTACAGAAACCTCAATCCAACTGAAATTCAGCATCCTTTTCAATTATTATTATAGTCTACAAACCACAAGAGTATTTGCAGTGTTTTTGACTGTCACCAATAGACATGACAGATATTTTCCTACCACTTATAGATGTTGCTGTCTCAAGATATCATTTATGTTCATCACTACTTCAAAATTTTGGCAGTGATAAGGCCCACTGCTAGATCTTTTATTTATTGAGTTATTAAAGAAGCACAAATATTACTAAATTACACATTTTTATAAAATATTTTCATAAAATGATATTGTGATATAAGTGATTTCCTTTGTAACCTTATCCTTTATTTTATGTTTTTAAAAACATTATTCTGAGAAGGTGTCCACATAGGGTCACTAAATTATCTAAGGGGTTCGTGGCATAAAAATGATTAAGAGCGCCTGATTGATTAGCCCCTGAAGACTAATCATTTGGACAAGATTTAAGAAATCCTTTAGAAAATGGCTTTGACTCTTTGCATCACAGGTTGTCTCATCCTCATGACTCATTTATCTCAGAGGCCACATCTGAAGTGGGAGTGAAGAGTGAGGACACGAAGACTGAGTTTAATTACAGCTCTCTGGTGGCTAAAGGATGCGAGTTGTTTCCTGTGACCCTGCCCTCTCCTATTTCCTGTGGTCTCTGAGGGCCCCATGAGATAGATTAGTACCCGGGTGGGAAACCTGACTCCTGGGGCTGGGGCTGGGTCGACTGGGTAAGGATTGCTCGGGAGAACCCAGGAACCAGGGGCCAAAGTAGGTGAGGACACCAAAATCTGGCTAAGATGTCAGGAAGACCATGAAGATGAAAGGTGTGAGCGTAAGGGACAAGGTGGCCAGGCTGTGCCTGCCAGGGCAGGGCCAAGAGCTGGGGTTGGCTCCAGGGACCAAGGGCCTGAATATTTCCTATGTTCAAGTCCTTTGCTGGATGACAATGAGGGAGGCTGACATGTGAGGTAAATACCCACAGTGCAGTTTGTGGCTTGTTGGCCCTATGAACAAGCACATAAGCTCCAAGAGGGCAGGGACTCTGCCCTGTTCACTGCATCCAGCACAATGCTTGGCACAGGGTTCTGGGGACATTGTACAAATGAGGAGGCTGAACCTCTAAGGGAGGAGGAGCCAACTGTGCCCAGGATGCCGGTTCCAGGTGACATTAGACGTCTCGGACTGGAGTTCTGAGAGGGCTGGTGTATAAGTCATCTAGTCCTGTGGTGACTGAACACCCCTGTTGTTATATAGTCCTGATTTCAGGCGGTTTATGTCTGGAGAGACCATGCTCTGGGAGTTCTGTCTGGAAAATAGGGTTTCTAAGCCACACACTTGGCCTGTCTCCTCCTTAGACCTGAGGTATCAGGGCAGGAGTCCTGACTGGGAGCTGAGTTGTGAGGACAGTGGGTGTTGATCTGTGGGCTGCTGGTTTTGCTGTTCTTGGAAGAACCCCAAAGGAAGGTTGGGGTGGGGGTGGCTGTGGGGGTGAGATGTTCCCCTGACCTGGGGTGAGGGGCTGCCTTTGTTCCTTAGCTCTGCCTCATGCTCGTAATCCAGACAAGGGATTGTGTGTAAGGCTGTGGAGGACATAAGGGTTTACTGGGAGAGAGGGAAGAAAAGGAGGCTGGCAGGTATTGGGGCATGGAGGGGAGGGGCTGTGTTCCAGCCATGGGCCTCATGGTCTGCCGCAGAGATGCCACTTGGGAAGGTGAGAGCTAAGCCTTTGTTCCTCTGAGCCCAGGGCAGGCCTAAACATTCTCCTCTGCCTCTCGAGGGGGCCAGGCGAGGAGGAGTGGCTGGGGCACTGAGGGGCAGGGGCTCCTCCCTCTGGGAGATGAACAAAGAGGGCTGTGGCCACCAGGAAGCCTGCCTGGGAACCCGTCCTGAGGTCAGCCCTCGATGTGTTCTCTTCCTCCTGTCTTCACAAGCAGGCTGAAGCCCCAGACTCCGTGGCCATGTCTTCCTGGGAAAGGCGGCTCCATCGGGCCAAGTGTGCACCATCCTGTAAGTGGCACCTTCACTGTGGTCCATGGGTTGTGCATGGGAGAGCCCTGGCAGAGGCCTGAAAGGGCAGAGGGCAGGTGGGGCTTCCCTCAGGCCTCCATGACCCCTTTTTCCTGCTTGGCATCTCCTTCCACCCACTCTGGCCCCGGCCACCATGCCATTTGGCATTCTCCTCCCTGCCTGAGGAGAGCTTCCTCTCTAGAGTCCTGTTCCTATGACCATGGCCCGGGACTGCCCCCTCACAGGCTGACTCCAGTGAGACTGTGCTTCATTATTTAGTGGTTGTTTCCCCCTCCATCCCACCTGGTTCTGTGGCTTCTTTCTACTTTCTGTGGTATTGCCCTTCATCTTGTGTTGTCTGTAGCCCCCACTCCCTGTCCTGTGTCCATGGTCCCCCTCACCTGTCCTAGGTCTGTGGCCTCTCCTCCCACCTGTCCTGTGTCTGTTCCTACCTCCCCCACCTGTCCTGTGTCCCCCACCTGTCCTGTGTCCCCCACCTGTCCTGTGTCTCCCACCTGTCCTGTGTCCCCCACCTGTCCTCTCACATCATGGCTCCTTTCCTCGCTGCCCTCTGCTCTGCTTTGTCTTCCCTTCGTCTATGGTTGTTCTTGCTACAGGCCTCTCCTCCATCGCCTGGTTACCCCCGTGGCTTCTTCCCTGAGTGTGTGGAGCAGTGAGGAGGAGCAGCAGCTGCAGATCTCTGGGCAGTCCCCCTGCTCACCCCACATGCTCCCCATTCTCAGTTCTGCCTGCCTTGCTTGCTAGCCAGGAACAGCTCTAGCAACTGAAGGCCCAGGTGGGGCTGGCCTGGGGGCCACTTGATGCACATCAAAGGCAGATGCCCTGCGACCCCACCCCACCGGCTTGCCAGGGAGGGGGCAGGGCTGTGGTCTGAGGCACCAGCTTGTGCTAGCTGCTGAGGAATGTTGGGGCTGGGGCTGCCTGTTATGGGGGTCTGGATCCTGTGAAGCCTGAGAGGGCTGCCTCCCTGGGTTCTGCCAATCTCAGCTTGATGGGGCAATGACTCTGTGTCTCCCATGCAGACTTGTTCTCCTGCTTCAATGGAGGCGAGTGTGTGCACCCAGCCTTCTGTGACTGCAGACGCTTCAATGCCACTGGACCGCGCTGCCAGATGGGTGGGTCTGGGCTCCACCCCACCCCCAGGAAGGGACCTGGGTGCAGGGAAAGCTAGGGAGAAAGGGAGCAGCACTTCCAGGGCTGGAACCCACCAGCCTCTGGCTTGGTGCCCACTGTAGCTACACAGAGAGGTTCTCTTTTCTCTCCCTCAGTGTACAATGCCGGCCCTGAGAGGGACAGCATTTGCCGGGCGTGGGGGCAGCACCACGTGGAGACATTTGATGGGCTCTACTACTACCTCTCCGGAAAGGGCAGCTACACCCTGGTGGGTCGCCATGAGCCCGAGGGACAGAGCTTCTCCATCCAGGTGAGGCCTCCCCTGCCTTGCCTGTCCAGGAATGCTTCTCTAGGCCCTGGAGGCTGCACTGGCCTGGGCTCTACTTGTCATAGTTAGAGAGACTGGCACCTTCCTCCTTGCATCGCCCCCCAGCTCCCACCCAGGCAGTCTGCACCTGGAAGGAGCTGGGGACTCCACAGCTCTCGCTCACCCACTCACCCTGGCCATTCATTTATTGAGCCACTCATTCATCAAGTATTTACTAAGTGCATACTGTACTCTTTTCTGGCATAAGGTCTGGTGGCGGGAGGCCCTGTAGACAACAACACAGGTATAATCTTTGTCTTCTCAGAACTTATAGTCTAATGAAGAAGGACATCAAATCAGAGGACTCATTTCAGGTGCAAATGAGTGCTATGGAGGAGAAATGCCAAATGCTAAACGAACATGTCCTGAAAACCTAATCCTGTTTATTCGGAAGGATGGTGACCTGGGAAAGCTTCCTGGAGAAAGTCACATTTAAGTTGAGGTTTAAGGAATAAATTGGAGTTAGCCAAGTGAAGAGTAGGAGAGTGTGGGCAGACTTGAGAACATTCTGGGGAAAAAGATCATTGGGTGCTAAGAAAGAGACTAGGGCCTCAGAGAAATGATGGAGGTCCTGGGTGACTCAGTTTAGAGTCACCTCCTCTAAGAAGCCACCCTGGATCTCCTGACCTTCCAAGCTGGCTGAAGAGCTCCTCACTGGGTAACTCAAAGTTCCATATTATGACGCTGTCATTGTATTTCTCTTACAAAGGTCTGGTTTTGGGTTGGTTTTCTCTACCAGCTGTGAGCTTCCTAGGCCAGGGGTCATGTCTCTCTCTTTGACAGTGCCTGGATTGGTGCTCAGTAAAGGTTTGTGAAATATAGGAACACGTGTGAAAGCCACTGTCATGCAGGCCTGATTTTCATGCCTAACCTGTGTGCTAAACTGGGAGTCACCTTCAGCCACAGCTCAATACCCCTCCACCTGGAGGAAAGTCTCTTTGGAGAACCAGCTCTGTTGGAGGGCACCTTGGTCAGTACTGAGTTAGGGTCAAGGGGTTGGGGGTGTGGGGAGACCCCAGTGTTCAGTGTCTCCCCTCTGCTAGCCATTTGTGATCCTTCTGTCTCAGTCATGGACCTATGAGACTGCTCTAGGGGCCATGCCCTGGATGGGCGGGGAACTGCAACCAATTTTCCTCTCTCTGCCTCGGCCTATCACATAGCAGAGATTTTCATGACCTATCATTTCATGATGGATATGTTACAATTACTTAGACTAATGCATTGCCATACACTCGTGGGTTACAAAATCAACTTAACGAATCACAACCATCATTAAAAAATGAGACAAATAAAATAGAAAATATTGTAAGAGTGTATTACGCATGATAGAGATAAGTATTATTTTGTAAAATTTTTAGTTATATATATTTCTTATTGTAGGTCATGGTCACAAAAGCTTGAAAACCCTTTAGTTAGACCATGGGGTAGCTTTCACAGTTCCCACTTGTAGTTGAAGTGGCTCCAGCCTGCTTAATCACATTGAACAGTAATCTGATGGAAGGTGCCTTCCTGGGAAGGGTTTCCACACTTGGCAGGGATAAGCTCTGGGAAGCTCTCCCCTCTACCCCACCCCGTCCTTTGGGTCTATGGCCTTTGAAGTCTGGGTTCTGTCTGAATGGCGGGGGCAGAGATGTGTGTGTGTGTGTGTGTGTGTGTGTGACAGCAGCACAGGAGTGAGATGTGTGCCGATGGGTGTAGGGGAAAGTTACAATCTGTACCTGCCAGGGGCATGGGGGAAGGGGAGTGTGTGTATAGTGTGTGCACTGAGAGTGTCATGGGAGAAATTTATGGGGTGTGTATAGATGTGTGTGTTTGTGTTCTGTATGAGTGTGAGATGGTGGAGTATGTCTGTTGGCCTTCAATCTGATGGTATTTCCTGGGTAGGATAAAGAGAAAAGTTCAGAAATACGGAGATGGCATGATTGACTGGGAAGAGCCCTGGAATCTGAGCCATCCAGACCGGGGCTAGAATCCCAGCTCTGGGATTTCCTAGTTTTCTGTGTGTGGCCTTAGTCACTTCACCTCTCTGTGAATCCATTGCCTCCCCTCTGTGATGTATGGGGACTGAGCGAGATCACAGAGGAAAGGCAGTTGGTATGCAGGGGACAGCCATCGGCATTAGTGAAAACTCAATAAGGTGTGAAGCTCAGGGTCAGGCCTGTGGCAGGAGCCTGCAAACCAGCCTCTGAACTCCCTACTCAGGTACACAATGACCCGCAGTGTGGCTCTTCACCCTACACCTGCTCCAGGGCTGTCAGCCTCTTCTTTGTGGGTGAGCAGGAGATCCATCTGGCCAAGGAGGTCACCCATGGAGGCATGAGGTAACTCTAACACCTTCCACATCGAGCTGTCCTATCCCTGACACTGGTGGTGGTGGATGGGTGAGCATCCGCTCTTCTCAAGCCCAAAGGAAATTGTTTTCTGGGGACAAACAGCAATTTCCACTATCTGGGCGGAAGCATACTGGCAGATCACTGGGTTTCTTGCCAGTGGGGTTTGCAGAATGATTTTTTTTTTCCTGGAACTCTCAGATATTGCAGATTTCCAGACAGCAGGCTTTCAGGAAAATAGAGTTTTCCAGTGAGTTGAGAGTTTATCATGATAAGCATGCTTACTTTTCCCTCCCAAAATCTTCCCAAATGGATCATACACAGTTTCTACCTCCTCTCAGCAGATTCGGAGTACACTTCCATTTCTGATGACACAGGGTCATTGTGAATGTCAGTTATCTTGCTGGGCCAACAGGGATGCTTGGAGGACCACCAGAGGAGTGGGGACCCCTTGCTCCCATACTAAAATGCCCCAGACTGTGGTCCTTTGTGAAATCTTTCCTGCATCTCTTCCTCACTGTTCTTTCCTTTCCTTGCTGTCCACTGTCACTTCTTGTTGCTGTCATGGGGTCTTCCTGTAATGACACTTCTCCCTGTCCTCATCTCCTGCTTCAGATCTGGAAACTGGGTGACCAAGCAATTGTTCTGGGGCTGAGTGTAAAATTGATGGCCTATAGGTTTCTCCTGTGAATGAAGAGTTGGTAAATGGGTCTTGTGGCTAGTTAGACAGTACTTTTGTTTCCCTTTCCTGAAATTTTGCTGGGTTCAAGGTTGCCAAATTCCAGGTTGGCTAGGGGTCCCTGTACCAGGAAAACTGGGAAAGTGGTCAAGGCTGCTGGAGCCCGCCATCTTTTCTTGCACTCCCAGTTTTCCTCCTCTCTTGGCTTCTGTTTCCACTTGGTTCCTGCTCCCCACCAAAAAAATAAAGCAGATGTTTGTTTATATTCTATCCTGTCTGGGAGAAAGGAACTTGGAGTCACTCACTCTAAGATTTATTCCTGCCCAGGAAATTGCCGTCTTAAAAAATTTCTAAAGACAAAAGAATCCATCTCTAATGGTATACTTCCAGGCACCTGGGAATTCTGGGAATTCATGGGGAGGGGAAGTGGGGGCCTTGGATCATGGGGTAGGGACTGGCTGTTCCTTCGGTGAAGAGACTGGGCTAGTGGAGGTGTTGTGGATACCCTGAAGCTCTGGGATGTGCCCTGCAGGGTCCAACTGCCACATGTCATGGGGAGCGCGCGTCTGCAGCAGCTTGCCGGCTATGTCATCGTGCGGCATCAGTCAGCCTTCACACTGGCCTGGGATGGTGCCTCGGCTGTCTACATCAAGATGAGTCCAGAGCTTCTGGGCTGGACCCATGGGCTGTGTGGGAACAACAATGCTGACCCCAAGGATGATCTGGTGACCAGCTCTGGTGAGGGTCAGACAGGTGGCCTCTGAGGGGTGTTGGTGGGGATGGGGGACAGGTCAGGCTGGGAGGGGTTGGAGGGGACTTGGAACAGAGCCCTGGGGTCGTGGTCATGGTATTAAAGACCCAATGGAAGGCCAAGGACCCCTTCCTAACAAATGTGTGTCCTTGGGCATGTTCTTAAACTACTGTCAACCCCAGGTTCCTAATCTGCAAAAATAGTCATGATAAGAATTCCCACTAGGGTTGTGGGGGATCTAATAGACACTTTGCAGGTGGGATTGACCCTGCAATGTGGGGCATGGGGTAGGCAGGGAGCAGAGGGCTAGAGACAGCCAGGAAGAGAAATGGCCCAGCTAAAGACACCTATGGAGGAGTGGTAGGAAGTGAGTGAAGCGTTCAGGGCCAAATCATGGTGGCTCTGGCCAGAAGGGTCGTGACCCCTTTTGAGCACCTACACCATACTAAACACTTTACATGCATCATCTCAAGTAGTCCTTGCAACAATCTCACTGGGAGATTATGTTCCCTATGGCAAATATGGGGAAACTGAGGCTCAGAGAGACACAGGAGCTTGTTCAGGCTCACACACCAGTTCTCTTTCCGGTGCATGGTGCTGCATCCCCTGAGTTTGGAGCCATAGGGAGCTACTACAGGTTCCTGAGCATTCTTGGCTATTACTATCAAACAGCTTTTTCAGGAGAATGGCTCAGTTGGGAAACCCTGATTGGGATGGGAGCTCAGGAGACCGGATTCTTCAAAACTCCTTACCCATCCCTTGGGATCCGCTTTCCCTCAGAGCCTTCTGTCCCTCCCATCCACCCAACCCCATCGCTGCCCCATCATGATGTCAGCTCCCTCCTCCAGGGAAGCTGACTGACGACGTGGTTGAGTTTGTGCACAGCTGGCAGGAGCAGGCCCCTAACCAGCCTCCAGGGCCCACAACTTCCTCCCTGCCTCGCCCACCGTGCCTACAGCAGAACCCAGGAACCATGCAGGTCTGGAGCTTGGGGAGAAACTCCCCTACCCTAGAGCCTGACTTGCTATCCAACTCTTCGAAAGCCACTGGCTGTGGCACCCCAGAATGTCTGGTGCCCTTGACCCCATCCCTCTCTTCTCTGCCTTCCTCTCCCTCTCCCCACAGCTCAAGTTGGGGTTCTGTGTGGGGCTGTGTGTGGCTTTGCCAGCCCCTAGCCCTGGCTCCTGGTCCCTTGCTCTAGGGCGTGTACGAGCAGTGTGAGGCTCTACTGCGGCCCCCCTTTGACGCCTGCCACGCCTACGTCAGCCCTCTGCCCTTCACAGCCAGTTGTACCAGTGATCTCTGCCAGTGAGTAGGGGTGGTGTGGGCTATGGGGAACCCTCTAGTATTGGGGTGAGTGCTCAGCACACGGGCCATCAAACTGGGTGATCCCAGGCACTGCCAGATCTGCTTCCCAAGGCTCTGAAATTCTTATCTGCCTAGGTGGGACAGAGCTGCCCCATTCAACTGAGGCTTGGAAATGGGGCCGGACCCCGTTAGGGTCACATAACAAGTTAGTGGCAATGCTGGGACTAGAATCCAGGATTTATAGCTCAAGTCTAGGGATCTGTTCACCTAGATGCCTTCCTGGGCAGCCTTTCCCAGCTGGGTGGAGAGGAGAGATGCCCTGAAGCCCTGGCAGTGTCTATGGGATGCTGGTGGGCTGGTGGCACTTTGGGTTTTGTTCCAGTGTGACCCTTGGTTTCTCTGCACAGATCAATGGGTGATGTAGCCACCTGGTGCCGGGCACTGGCGGAGTATGCCCGGGCGTGTGCCCAGGCAGGGCGGCCCTTGCAAGGCTGGAGGACCCAGCTCCGGCAATGCAGTAGGTGCAGCCCAGTAGTGGGGCAGGGAGGCCTTCAGGCTGTGGGTGGCATTCTCAGGCCTCAGCTCAATGTCTTGTCCTGCTCAGAATCACAGTTATCAGAACTCTCAGCCCCGAGGTTTTATCGCCATGAGAAAGACGAAAAAACTGAGGCTCAGAGTGGGAGGAGCTAGCCTGGGTGATTCTCAGAGCCTCCCCTTGCAATTCCTTCTCCTTGTCAATTTCCTGGGCACCCAATGCTCCCTCTGGGACTAGGAAATCATGAAAATCAAAGCCCTCCCTCCCATCCTCACTCCACGGCCTGGGGTAGGAGCTGGGTCCTGGCAGAGCTGGGGCCAGTAGCTGAGAGACCATGGATCCCTCCTTCCCAAGCTGTGCACTGCAAGGAGAAGGCCTTTACCTACAATGAGTGCATCGCCTGCTGCCCTGCCTCCTGCCATCCCCGGGCATCCTGTGTGGACAGTGAGATCGCCTGTGTGGACGGCTGCTATTGCCCCAATGGTATGCTAGGGGCAGACGTAGGTGCCTGGCACCATCTTCCTGGCCTGGCACAGATGGCCACGAAACAGGAGTTCAGAAGATACCTGTTTGTGGAAGGAAGGAAGGAAAGGAGGGAGGGAGGGAGGGAGGAAGGAAAAAAAGAAGGAAAGAAGGAAGGGAAGAAGGAAGGAGGAAGGAAAAAAGGAGGAAAGAAGGAAGGGAAGAAGGAAGGAAGGAAGGAAGGGAGAGAGGGAGGGAGGGAGGAAGGAAGGAAAGAAGGAAGGGAGGGAAGGAAGGAAGGAAGGAGCAAACAATTAACAAATGAATAAATGGTTTAAGGGAAGTGAGGGTGAGGACAG